>NC_000017.11:50685980-51310980 GCF_000001405.40 Homo sapiens | reverse complement strand
CCATCATCTCGTCATTTACATTAGGTATTTCTCCTAATGCTATCCATCCCCCACCCCCAAACAGGCCCCAGTGTGTGATGTTCCCCGCCCTGTGTCCAAGTGTTCTCATTGTTCAATTTCCACCTATGAGTGAGAACATGTGGTGTTTGGTTTTCTCTCCTTGTGATAGTTTGCTGAGAATGATGGTTTCCACCTTCATCCATGTCCCTGCAAAGGACATTAACTCATCCTTTTTTGTGGCAGCATAGTATTCCATGGTGTATATGTGCCACATTTTCTTAATCCAGTCTATCATTGATGGACATTTGGGTTGGTTCCAAGTCTTTGCTATTGTGAATAGTGCTGCAATAAACACACATGTGTATGTGTCTTTATAGTAGCATGATTTACAATCCTTTGGTTATATACCCAGTAATGGGATCGCTGGGTCAAATGGTATTTCTAGTTCTAGATCTTTGAGGAATTGCCACACTGACTTGTACAATGGTTGAACTAATTTACACTCCCACCAACAGTGTAAAAGTGTTCCTATTTCTCCATATCCTCTCCAGCATCTATTGTTTTCTGACTTTTTAATGATCGCCATTCAGATGGTATCTTATTGTGGTTTTGATTTGCATTTCTCTGATGACCAGTGATGATGAGCATTTTTTCACATGTCTGTTGGCTGCATAAATGTCTTCTTTTGAGAAGTGTCTGTTCATATCCTTGGCCCACTTTTTGATAGGGTTGTTATTTTCTTGTAAATTTGTTTAAGTTCTTTGTAGATTCTGGATATTAGCCCTTTGTCAGATGGGTAGCTGGAAAAATTTTCTTTCATTCTGTAGGTTGCCTGTTCTCTTCTGATGGTAGTTTATCTTGCTGTGCAGAAGCTCTTTAGTTTAATCAGATCCCATTTGTCTATTTTGGCTTTTGTTGCCATGGCTTTTGGTGTTTTAGTCATAAAGTCTTTGCCCATGCCTATGTCCTGAATGGTAATGCCTAGGTTTCCTTCTAGGGTTTCTTATGGTTTTCGTTCTAAAATTTAAGTCTTTAATCCATCTTGAATTAATTTTTATGTCAGGTGTAAGGAAGGGATCCAGTTTCAGCTTTCTACATAAGGCTAGCCAGTTTTCCCAGCAACATTTATTAAATGGGAAATCCTCTCCCCATTTCTTGTTTTTGTCAGGTTTGTCAAAGATCAGATGGTTGTAGATGTGTGGTGTTATTTCTCAGGCCTCTGTTCCCTTCCATTGGTCTATCTCTCTGTTTTGGTACCAGTACCATGCTGTTTTGGTTACTGTAGCCTTATAGTATAGTTTGAAGTCAGGTAGCATGATGCCTCCAGCTTTGTTCTTTTTGCTTAGGATGTCTTGGCTATGTGGGCTCTTTTTTGGTTCCATATGAACTTTAAAGTAGTTTTTTCCAATTCTGTGAAGAAAGTCATTGGTAGCTTGATGGGGATGGCATTGAATCTATAAATTATCTTGGGCAGTATGGCCATTTTCACAATATTGATTCTTCCTGTCCATGAGCATGGAATGTTCCTCCATTTGTTTGTGTCCTCTTTTATTTTGTTGAGCAGTGGTTTGTAGTTCTTCTTGAAGAGGTCCTTCACATCCCTTGTAAGTTGAATTCCTAGGTATTTTATTCTCTGTAGCAATTGTGAATGGGAGTTCACTCATGATTTGGCTCTCTGTCTGTTACTGGTGTATAGGAATGCTTGTGATTTTTGCACACTGATTTTGTATCCTGAGACTTGGCTAAAGTTGCTTATCAGCTTAAGGAGATTTTGGACTGAGATGACGGGGTTTTCTAAATATACAATCATGTCATCTGCAAACAGGGACAATTTGACTTCCTCTTTTCCTAATTGAATACCATTTATTTCTTTCTCTTGCCTGATTGCCCTGGCCAGAACTTCCAACACTATGTTGAATAGGAGTGGTGAGAGAGGGCATCCCTGTCTTGTGCCAGTTTTCAAAGGGATTGCTCCCAGTTTTTGCCCATTCAGTATGATATCGGCTGTGGGTTTGTCATAAACAGCTCTTATTATTTTGAGATATGTTCAATCAATACCTAGTTGATTGAGAGTTTTTAGCATGAAGGGCTGTTGAATTTTGTTGAAGGCCTTTTCTGCATCTATTGAGATAATCATGTGGTGTTTGTCATTGGTTCTGTTTATGTGATAGATTACATTTATTGATTTGTATATGTTGAACCAGCATTGCATCCCAGGGATGAAGCTGACTTCATCGTTGTGGATAAGCTTTTTGATGAGCTGCTGGATTTGGTTTGCCAGTATTTTACTGAGTATTTTCACATTGACGTTCATCAGGGATATTGGTTTAAAATTCTTGGGGGACTCCCTCTTTTTCTATTGATTGGAATAGTTTCAGAAGGAATGGTACCAGCTCCTCTTTGTACCTCTGGTAGAATTTGGCTGTGAATCCATCTGGTCCTGGACTTTTTTTGGTTGGTAAGCTATTAATTATTGCCTCAATTTCAGAGCCTGTTATTGGTCTATTCAGAGATTCAACTTCTTCCTGGTTTACTCTTGGGAGGATGTATGTGTCCAGGAATTCATCCATTTCTTCTAGATTTTCTAGTTTATTTGTGTAGAGGTGTTTATAGTATTCTCTGATGGTAATTTGTATTTCTGTGGGACTGGTGATGACATCCCCTTTATCATTTTTTATTGTGTCTATTTGATTATTTGATTCCTGGTGATATCCCCTTTATCATTTTTTATTGTGTCTATTTGATTCTTCTCTCTTTTCTTCTTTATTAGTCTTGCTAGCAGTCTATCAATTTTGCTGATCTTTTCTAAAAAACAGCTCCTGGATTCATTGATTTTTTTGAAGGGTTTTTTGTGTGTCTATCTCCTTCAATTCTTCTCTGATCTTAGTTATTTCTTGCCTTCTGCTAGCTTTTGAATTTGTTTGCTCTTGCAGATTCTCTAGTTCTTTTAATCGTGATGTTAGGGTGTCGATTTTAGATCTTTCCTGCTTTCTCTTGTGGGCATTTAGTGCTATAAATTTCCCTCTACACACTGATTTAAATGTGTCCCAGAGATTCTGGTATGTTGTGTCTTTGCTCTCATTGGTTTCAAACAACATCTTTATTTCTACCTTCATTTCATTATTACCCAGTAGTCATTCAGGAGCAGGTTGTTCAGTTTCCATGTGGTTGTGCGGTTTTGAGTGAGTTTCTTAATCCTGAATTCTAGTTTGATTGCACTGTGGTCTGAGAGACAGTTTGTCATAATTTCTGTTCTTTTACATTTGCTGAGGAGTGCTTTACATCCAACTACGTGGTCCATTTTGGAATAAGTGCGATGTGGTGCTGAGAAGAGTGTATATTCTGTTGATTTAGAGGGGAGAGTTCTGTAGATGTCTATTAGGTCTGCTTGGTGCAGAGCTGAGTTCAAGTCCTGGATATCCTTGTTAACCTTCTGTCTCATTGATCTGTTTAATATTGACAGTGGGGTGTTAAAGTCTCCCATTATTATTGTGTGGGAGTCTAAGTCTCTTTGTAGGTCTCTAAGGACTTGCTTTATGAATCTGGGTGCTCCTGTATTGGGTGCATATATATTTAGGAAAGTTAGCTCTTCTTGTTGAATTGATCCCTTTACCATTATGAAATGCCCTTCTTTGTCTTTTTTGATCTTTGTGGGTTTAAAGCCTGTTTTATCAGAGACTAGTATTGCAACCCCTGCCTTTTTTTCCTTTCCATTTGCTCGGTAGATCTTCCTCCATCCCTTTATTTTGAGCCTATATGTGTCTCTGCACGTGAGATGGATCTCCTAAATACAGCACACTGATGGGTCTTGTCTCTTTATCCAATTTGCCAGTCTGTGTCTTTTAATTGGGGCATTTAGCCCATTTACATTTAAGGTTAATATTGTTATGTGTGAATTTGATCCTGTCATTATGATGTTAGCTAGTTATTTTGCCCATTAATTGATGCAGTTTCTTCATACCATTGATGGTCTTTACAATTTGGCATGTTTTTGCAGTGGCTGGTACCGGTTGTTCCTTTCCATGTTTAGTGCTTCCTTCAGGAGCTCTTGTAAGGCAGGCCTGGTAGTGACAAAAATCTCTCAGCATTTGCTTGTCTGTAGAGGATTTTATTTATCTTTCATTTATGAAGCTTAGTTTGGCTGGATATGAAATTCTGTGTTGAAAATTCTTTCCTTTAAGAATGTTGAATATTGGCCCCCACTCTCTTCTGGCTTGTAGAGTTTCTGCCAAGAGATCCGCTGTTAGTCTGATGGGCTTCCCTTTGTGGGTAACCCGACCTTTCTCTCTGGCTGCCTTTAACATTTTTCTCTTCATTTCAACCTTGGTGAATCTGACAATTATATGTCTTCGGGTTGCTCTTCTCGAGGAGTATCTTTTTGGTGTTCTCTGTATTTCCTGAATTTGAATGTTGGCCTGCCTTGCTAGGTTGGGGAAGTTCTCCTGGACAATATCCTAAAGAGTGCTTTCCAACTTGGCTCCATTCCCCCCGTCACTTTCAAGTACACCAATCAAACGTAGATTTGGTCTTTTCACATAGTCCCATATTTCTTGGAGGCTTTGTTCATTTCTTTTTACTCTTTTTTCTCTAATCTTGTCTTCTTGCTTTATTTCATTAATTTGATCTTCAATCACTGACATCCTTTCTTCCACTTGATCGAATCGGCTATTGAAGCTTGTGCATGCATCACGAAGCTCTCATGCCATGGTTTTCAGCTCCATCAGGTCATTTAAGGTATTCTCCACACTGTTTATTCTAGTTAGCCATTCCTCTAACCTTTTTTCAAGGTTTTTAGCTTCCTTGCAATGGTTTAGAACATGCTCCTTTAGCTCGGAGAAGTTTGTTATTACCGACCTTCTGAAGCCTACTTCTGTCAACTCATCGAAGTCATTTTCCATCCAGCTTTGTTCTGTTGCTGGTGAGGAGATGCGATCATTTGGAGGAGAACAGGCACTCTGGTTTTTTGAGTTTTCAGCTTTTCTGCTCTGGTTTCTCCCCATCTTTGTGGTTTTATCTACCTTTGGTCTTTGATGTTGGTGACCTACAAATGGGGTTTGGGTGTGGATGTCCTTTTTGTCGATATTTACGCTATTCCTTTCTGTTTGTTAGTTTTCCTTCTAACAGTCAGGTCCCTCAGCTGCAGGTCTGCTGGAGTTTGCTGGAGGTCCACTTCAGACCCTGTTTGCCTGGGTATCACCAGCACAGGCTGTACAACAGTAAATATTGCAGAACAGCAAATATTGCTGCCTGATCCTTCATCTGAAAGATTTGTCCCAGAGGAGCACCCGCCTGTATGAGGTGTCTGTCAGCCCCTACTGGGAGGTGTCTCCCAGTTAGGCTACACAGGGATCAGACATCCACTTGAGGAGGCAGTCTGTCCATTCTCAGAGCTCAAACACCGTGCTGGGAGAACCACTGTTCTCTTCCGAGGTGTCAGACAGGGACGTTTAAGATTGCAGAAGTTTCTGCTGCCCTTTATTCAGCTATGCCCTGCCCACAGAGGTGGAGTCTGTAGAGGCAGTAGGCCTTGCTGAGCTGCAGTGGGCTCCACCCAGTTTGAGTTTCCTGGCCGCTTTGTTTACCTAATCAAACCTCAGCAATGGCGGATACCCCTCTCCCCACCAGCCTGCAGCCTCGCAGATCTATCTCAGACTGCTGCGCTAGCCTTAAGCAAGGCTCCGTGGGTATGAGTCCCACTGAGCCAGGCATGGGAGAGAATCTCCTTGTCTGCCAGTTGCTAAAACTTTGGGAAAAGTGCAGTATTTGGGTGGAAGTGTCCCGTTTTTTCCAGGTACAGTCTGTCACAGCTTCCCTTGGCTAGGAAAGGGAAATCCCCAGACCCCTTGCGCTTCCTGGGTGAGGCAATGCCCTGCCCTGCTTCCGCTCACCCTCCATGGGCTGCACCCACTGTTCAACCAGTACCAGTGAGATGAACTAGGTATCTCAGTTGGAAATGCAGAAATCACCCATCTTCTGTGTCGATCACTCTGGGAGCTGCAGACCAGAGCTGTTCCTATTCAGCCATCTTGGAATGAAAATTAGAGCTTTTATATATTTTTAGTAGTGAAACATTGTGTACACAATACATAATTACATAGACATATTAGGCATACCAGTAGAAGTACATCTTATAGATTCATAAGACCTACTTTTTTTTTTTCCTGTCTTAGACTTGCAAACTCTTCATAACCTGTTTCATTACCCTGGCAGTTGTCAGCTAAATTGCCTTAAATCTGCATATCGAAGGAAACAACTCTTAGGTGAAAAATCAGGTAACAAAATTTACATCTCAAGGTACAGAGAGAAAAAGTCTGGTGTTGCTAGAGGGAGATTAAAGATGGATGCCAAATCAAACATAAAATTATAGAAATCTATCATAGGATTGTATAAGGAAACCAATTTTATTTAGATACGGACTATCTGCCTTTTAAGTGGATCTCTGATCTCTGGGCAGAGCCCACACTGAATCCTGGATCTCCAAAAAGGGAGAATTACTATGAGGCTAGACCTCATGCTTTTCCAGTGCACTCAAAAAAAATTTTTTTAACAAAGACATTTCTAAGTGTCTAAACTACATTCTTCCTTAACAACCCAAGAGTTGCCTCTGTTGCAATAACTATTTTAGTTAAAAAAATCAGGTAACACAATACAAAAGAAAGCAGTTTGAAAGCTGAGACGAACTTGTCTGTTTACACTCTTTGGATTCCATAAGGAAAAACAGACATTTCCCAAAAGGGAGTCTGGCACCTTCTCTGTTTTTTTATTTATTTATTTATTTTTTTTTTTTTGAGACAGAGTCTCACTCTGTCGCCCAGGCTGGAGTGCAGTGGCGCTATCTCGGCTCACTGCAAGCTCTGCCTCCCAGGTTCACGCCATTCTCCTGCCTCAGCCTCCCGAGTAGCTGGGACTACAGGCGCCTGCCACCACACCCGGCTAATTTTTTGTGTTTTTTTTTAGTAGAGATGGGGTTTCACCATGTTGGCCAGGATGGTCTCGATCTCCTGACCTCGTGATCCACCCTCCTCGGCCTCCCAAAGTGCTGGGATTATACCTTCTCTTTTTCCTTTTAGGAACTTCAGACTATTATAAACTATTTTAGGTCTTCATGCAGCAGAGGGTGCAAGAGAAAGGAAGGACAGCAGAAGCAAATAAAGAAAACAGAATTCAGTCAACAGAGAAGAAAAAAGGTTTTGTTCAAAAAAAAGACAAGGTCCTAAGAGGAAAAAAAAATGAAGGCCTTTAAAATACAAACACTCACACACACACACACACACACACACACACACACACGCATCTTCGATGTTAGCTTTTAATTGAGCTGACTTTTAACCATTGAGCTCCTTTTAAAAAAATATTTTTAGATTTCATTACCATATTTCAAATAGGACAAATTGCTGCTATTTCAGAAGTACCAAGTATTAAACCAGAAAGGGCTTCATTTAGGGACAAAACCCAGGCTGTCGTGGTGATAAAAAGAAGGCAGAACATTGGCTATGGAACTCCACTGTAGGGTAACAGCCATTGCTCTTACAGTTTGGCCTGGCTAGCCAAAAGGTGGCCTTCTTATGTAAATAAAGCCCCTTAAGTAATCAAAATCAAATATCTTTCCTTTTTTTTTTTCTTTTTCCTGGCCATTTTTCTCCCCTCACCATACCACCTTTGTGTGTGTGGGAAGGGGGGTGTTGGGGGAGTATGGGGGAATTGAAAAACAGCCAGCAAGAGGGGAAAAAAAAGGAAAGATTGTTTATTTGGACTACTTAAGGGCTTTATTTACATAACAAGTCCACCTTTTTGTGTATGTTGGGAATTTAGCCAATTCAGAGGGCTTGTTCCCCATAATTTGAAACTTTCTTTGGACTTGATCAAGTCAGATACAGTTGGTCAAACCCAATGGGAAAAAGGTTGAAAGAACAAAAACAGAGACAAACAACAACAAAACCGTTAAGCAAAACAAACAATTGCACAACTTAAATGATTACTGAGCACTCTAATGGTAAGGAGAAATGAAGACCAGTTGGTTGTTAACCTTAACTTTAGCCAAGACAAACCCCAATTCAGTTACTTACCTAGGGACAGGTCTCAGGCTGGAGACTGCTCTCTATTATCCTAGAAGCAGGAAAAAAAACCCTCAAATTTGCCTTCCCTGTTGGGAGCAAGCTCAAAGCCCTAAAGGAGTAACCTATTTGTCATGGAAGCAGGAAAACTAGCCTTCCTTGTGCTGGAGGAAGCAAATAAAACTCACAAGAAAAAAAGGAGTTGTAAAGCAAAATAAACTTCAGATCTTGACCAAATTTTGAGAGATCAGGGATTCTCTGGAGGGCGTGCTTCCAGGCCTCAGCAAATTGCCCTATTGGTTTGAGCCATCAAGACAGCTCAAGATGGTACCAAGCACCAATAGGAGATTTGTCAAAGGCCGGGAGGCACCTCCACTCAGAGTTCCTTTGTGGTTACCAAAATGTGAACCCTGAATATCTGAGACAGGTCTCAGTTAATTTAGAAAGTTTATTTTGCTAAAGTTGAGGACTTGCACCTGTGACACAGCCTCAGGGAGTCCCGACAACATGTGTGCCCAAGATGGTCAGGGCACAGCTTGGTTTTATACATTTTAGGGAGACATGAGACATCAATCAATATATGTTAAGAGGTACATTGGTTCTGTCCAGAAAGGCAGGACAACTTGAAGCAGGGAGGGGGCTTCCAGGTCACAGGTAGGTGAGAGAAAAACAGTAGCATTCTTTTGAGTTTCTGATTAACCTCTCCAAAGGAGGCAATCAGATGTGCATTTATCTCAGTGAGCACAGGGATGACTTTGAATAGAATGGGAGGCAGGTTTGTTCTAACCAGTTCCTGGCTTGACTTTTCCCTTTAGCTTAGTGATTTGGGGGCCCCAAAATGTATTTTCCTTACATGCCTCTGTCCCCCTAAAATATCTAAAATCAAGCTATAACCCAACCACCTTGGGCACATGTTCTCAGGATCTCTTGAGAGTCTGCATCGGGCCTTGGTCACTCATATTTGGCTCAGAATAATTCCCTCAAATATTTTATGGAATTTGACTCTGTCGCCAACTTTTTGTTCTGTCTGTAATCAAGTCAGATTTTTTAAGTTTATAGAATTTTGATACAGGCGTGCAATGTGTAAGAATTGCATCATGGGGCTGGGCACGGTGGCTCACGCCTGTAATCCCAGCACTTTGGGAGGCCGAGGTGGGTGGATCACCTGAGGTCAGGAGTTCCAGACCAGCCTGACCCATATGGTAAAACCCCATCTCTACTAAAAATACATGTGGTGGGGGGCGCCTGTAATCCCAGCTACTCGGGAGGCTGAAGCAGGAGGATCACTTGAACCTGGGAGGCGGAGGTTGCAGTGAGCCAAGATTGTGCCACTGCACTCCAGCCTGGGCGACAGAGCAAGACTCTGTCAAAAAAAATAAAAATAAAACATGGCAAGTGGGCTATCAATCCCCTCAAGTTTTTATCCTTTGTTACAAACAATCCAATTACACTGTTATTTTAGAATGTACAATTAAGTTATTACTGACTATAGTCACTTTGTCACTTTGTTGTGCCATTAAATACTAGGTCTTACTCATTACAGAGAAAAATTGGAAACATAATGCTTTGAACCAGTCTTTGTAGCAGGGATTGGGCTAGAGAAAAAACTCAAGTTTAAAGTCAGTCTAAACTACCTAGCTTATGTGACAGTTAATGGAGAAGCTTTAACATTATAGGGAACATAAAAAGTGTTTGGGAACAGTGGAGGACAGGGTGTGGAAATGTGTCAAGTTTGGCATGGCAGCCAGGCACCCAGGCCAGTGGTCCTTTAATAAGAAATGTACATTGAGGTGAGAACGGTGGCTCACGTCTATAATCCCATCACTTTGGGAAGTTGAGGCAGGCAACTGCTTGAGCCCAGGAGTTCCAAGACCAGCCTGGGCAGTATGGAGAAACCCTATCTCTACTAAAAATATAAAAATTAGATGGGCGTGGTGGGGTGCCTCTGTAGTACCAGCTACTCGGGAGGCTGAGGTGGGAGGATCACTTGAACCTGGGAGATTGAGGCTGCAGTGAGCCATGATCATGCCACTGTACTCCAGCCTGGGTGACAGAGCAAGACCCTGTCTCAAAAGAAAAAAAAGAAATGTACATTGAATGTACCAATGTAAACATATCTGTTTATGGCCGGGTGCAGTGGCTCACGCCTGTAATCCCAGCACTTTGGGAGGCTGAGGCAGGTGGATCACCTGAGGTCAGGAGTTCGAGACCAGCCTGGCCAACATGGCAAAACCCCGTCTCTACTAAAAATACAAAAATTTAGCCGGGCGTGGTGGTGGATGCCTGTAATCCCAGCTACTCTGGAGGCTGGGGCAGGAGAATCTCTTGAATCAGGAGGCAGAGGTTGCAGTGAGCCGAGATCACAACATTGCACTCCAGCCTGGGTAACAAGAGCAAAACTCCGTCTCAAAAACAAAAACAAAACAAAAAACCCTATCTGTTTCTAAGTTATCTCTATGATCTACAGTATGAATACATTATGTAACAAGAATACTTTTTTTTTTGAGACGGAGTGTCACTGTGTTGCCAGGCTGGAGTGCAGTGGCATGAACTTGGCTCACTGTAACCTCCGCCTCCCGGGTTCAAGTGATTCTCCTGCCTCAGCCTCCCGAGTAACTGGGACAAAAATACTTTTTACACAGCATAGAAGTTCTAGTATTTCCTTCCCACAATCTAAAGGGCTGTATCTCATACCCTTAAGAGTATGCAAACCCTGCTTTGTGGACCACTGATCTATGTCAAAATGATGGCTTTGGGACCAAGATGCTCAATCTCTTGAAACTTCAATTTACTTTCCTGTAAAATGACAATGTTATTTTCCTCACAGAGGAACGAGAATTATATGAGATTCTATGTATGTATTACTGATGTCAGCACAATTACAGCACCAGGGGGTCGGAAAGGCTATCCACATCCCCACAGCCTACCTTCTCCGCCAGCCTCCATTTCCTCCAGTTTAAAAGAATGGAAAATGCTTTGTTTCTTGTGTAATGACTTTGCAGATGCATTTAAGTATCATCCCAAGTAGCTTAAGAACTCTTCGAAGCTGTGAGCCAGCACCTGACTTCATGGGCATTTGCTTGCCTCCATCCCATCCTCAAACTGGAGGTGCAGATATGCCTACAAACCCTTCAGCTGGTCAGCTTATAACAGGTTACATATCCGTACCAGAAACACACACATACGCACACACTTAACGTCCATCGGTAAGGCAAATGACTTTTCACCTGGACTTTGTTTAAACAGAGGAAACGTCTTCGTAAGACTAATCATTCTTCGGTTCACTAACTATTAGTGAGGATGTGGGGGAGAGATGAATGGGATACATCAAAGATTTCAACTTGTCGATTTATCAAAGTATACCCAAGTACATCCTGTGTGGCTCTGGATGGCAAAATATCACCTCACAGCTCAAGATGGTTCCCCCCAAAACAGAGAGACATGAGCCACTTTCATGCTGTCACAGCAACTGCCAAAAGAGCATCTGTAAAGAATTTCATGGCTATGGATCTCATTTCCTTGAAGAATTAGCTTGGCACTGGTTACAAGGAGACGCAATGAAAGTCTGACTCGAATCCCTAACTCTCATTGAGGGGGAAAAAATATTAAACATTACAATACAAGACACAGGATTAGTAGCACCTCTGTAGAACAAATAGCACATCTGTCTATCTTGGAGATTAGAACTGGATTCTTTATTCTGCTCCTAGTAGTGTATAAAAATGATCTAGAGAGTTTAACAAAGAACAGTTAAAATTTAGACTCTGCTTCCATCATTTTCTGTAGGATAAGTTCCTATAAACTGTCACACTTCTGGGAACTGAAAACCATACGCAAAATAAGCACATATAAGGCTTGGTGTCCATTTCTGAAACAATTTTGCTGAAGCTAAGGACAAGGTGACAGCAAAAAGCTCCAAAAGCCTTGCCTTCAACTATTCATGTGATCCAATGCTGCCCTCTAGCAATGGGAGAGAGAAATAGCACTAACAATCCCACTGGTTTCAGGAATTCAAGGTTTTAGCATTAATAGTATTTACTATGGAAAAAGTTGCTGAAAAAGGAGGAAGTAGGGGAAGGGTCTCCACAATTAGATTGCAACAGTCCATCTCAACAGAAAATGTTCTTTTAGAAAGACACTGGGATAAGTTAACACAACCCATACCTATTGGACTGCTCTATGTCCTACGTCCTCTCCAGCTGACCCAGGAGAGCCTTGAAGACACGAAGGGACTCTCCACTGACCTGGAACCTATTACTTCACCGGGCAAAGCTACTTTCTGTTGCTGAAAAAACTCCCTCCTCCGCCGACTTCTCTCTTCCATGTTTTAGTAGAGGGTGGGGCTAAAAGCTATTAGACCTAACTTGATACTTCTCGTAACACCCGCCCAACCCCTTTAATACTTCCTAAATGCACGATATGGTGTCAGTTCTTCCTAAGAAATGTAAGGACTGGTCTCAAGCAAGGTTATATTATGATAAGAGAACTATGGAGCCAGCTGCCAACCTTGAAATACAAATTAAACATTTAAGTTGGCATAATGAACATTTCCAGGAAGGGCAGTGGCTAATAATCTGTAGGACAAGGCTACCAGGTTTACTATGGCTCCTCTTCAAATGACAATGACAAAGATTTGAAGTAATAAGGCCAGAAAAGCCTTTTCATTTCCAAAATCATCTTTCCTGGAAGACTTGGAAGTTCAAACTTCACTACGTGAGATTTCACTGCTCTCATATCAAGCCGACTGACCTCCATAGCTCAAGAGACTACCTGTTAGCTGATCCCCTAAAGCATGGAGGATCGATTCAGGAAGGGGGATCTATTCAGGAAGAGATCTATGCATCAGGGTTAGCTGTATGAGAAGTATGAGAAAATCTGCTTATATTATTTTTGGCTACAGACAGGTGTTTCCAATTTCTCATGTTTAGTCTTAAATGCATCCAAGTTTGTGTGTGTGTGTGTTGGGGGTGGAGGGAAGAACCAGATACACTTATTTTCAAACAAAAGCTGCCACATGTTTATTAAGACATTACTGGCTCTTAAGCACAGCTGGATCTATAAATCATTTTCCATATATTATCACATATTCAGGAAAGTTTCTGAGATGATATATCAAGACAGGCTTCTCTTGTGACTCAACTGGACCTGAGGAAAGAACAAAAGAAATTACATACCTGATTTATAGCTGCTGGTCATCAACAGACACGTACTGGCAATGTAATCTTTTGAGACAGGAGAGCTAAACTGCTTTCCCCTCCTTGCTAAAGCTTTGCCCAAAATGCCTGTACCTTTAAAAATCCTTTGTCCTAATTAAATCTATCTGCATTCTCAAAGTCCCTCAACATTCATTAATCTCTGAGGAGACCAAACAGTCAACTGTGATGAAGAGGCCAATTGCAAAGCTCAATCTCAGAACCACCACATCTCAGGCCTGAAAGGACACCATGAGAAGGGAAGGATGTTCTATGGTTTTAAATATTGGGCAGCAGAACTAATGGCCAGCCCCATTATCTAGCTCTGTGAAACAGAGCAAGCTGCTAATCTCTCAAGAAACATATATATAATAAGAGGATTCAAGCTCATACAAGCTATAGCTATATCTGAAGACCCATCTCTCTGTGTTATTAAGTCTTTTGTGGATTAAACATGTTCAGTAATTACAATTTTGATGAGAATTATTGAATGCAACATTAGAGATCAGACCTCAGAAGAACCGAGCCAGATTGCTGTGATTTGGGATAAGAAAGGAGGGTCCAACTTCAGCTAGACAGTTCCTGATCTACTTCCAACCCACCCCTCTAAATAAAGATGCAGTAACTTAGGGGTAGAGAAACAAAGCTCAGCTAATGTGCTGCTTCCACCAACTGACAGCAATGGGTGTATCTTAAAACCTGCAGAATTTGTAAGAAAAGGGTTTTCTTACTTCAAATAGTCTCTTTAGAAGTCTGAGTAATGGTGCAACCTGGAAAAGTAAAAAATAAGTCATCTGAACAACTTTGTAATTACCCACAGTGTTTTCAATTAGATCACAGAAGGGCACTTAGGAAGATTTTAGTGGGAAAAATATGTAATCACAATCATTCACACCAGGCAGTTAGGTTCAGACTCCTCAATCTGACATTCTGGAGGATCTGAACGCCTCAGATTTTAGGTAACATGAGTAGGCTTACTCCAAAGTTTCACATGGGGGGTCTATGAAATACCTGATCAGACATAAACAATAAAAATGTCATCAGTCAATTCCAGTCACTGGTATAGCTAGAAACAGTGTCATTCTAAAGAGCAATGCTCTGGTGGAAAATCTAATGGCCTTTGGGTCTTAGAGAAAAAAAAATTTCACTTATAAAAATACCAAAGGATTTGGAAGAAAATTCTAAGTGCAATAAGAATCTGCATCCTTTTATAAAATACAAACTGAAACAGAACCACTCCAAATCTGATCTGAAATGAGACTGATGAAATTATCCTGGTATAACCTGTTTTCCTTTCAAAGTAAGTAGAACTGTAAACCACATTATTGTCTGGTATATTCTCCTTTCACAACTATTTCCTCAAAACCAATTTACATTCCTCCTTTTCTTCACTCCAGATTTTAGTCCGTTTTGAAAGCAGGAATTCCCTAAAGCATACAAACATAAACACAGGGTTCTATGTAGCATTCACTACCAACACAAGGAGCAAGGCAAGAGGGCTGTGATTTACATCACAAGTTTTCTACTGAAAGCTCTTTAGTTCTCCCTAAAGATCCACCTTGTCACCTATATCTTCTAGCAATGATGCAATTAGGTTTTGTTTGTTCCTGTTTTATAGCCAAGTATGTTGGGTACAGAAAAGAACCTGGACAGCGCATATAAGTTTTGGTTATCTTTGTGGTTAACACCCTTATTTACAGCTTACAGCTACAGGGAAAGAAACACCTTTTAAAAAGAAATCAATTAAATCTAGTGGAGTAAACTGAATTATTAAATCAGCAAAAGCTAATCTAAACATAAGGCACGAAGAAAGTGGAAATATTATTAAAGTGGCTTTTTCTCAATTTGACATTCTCAAAATAGTGCTTTCCAAAAAATATATATATTCCCCAGGTGAAGTTTCCTGCTAGTGACATTTTATGGTAGAAAATTACCCAAAGTACTGCCCAAGGTTATTTATAGATTCAATGCCATCCCCATCAAGCTACCAATGACTTTCTTCACAGAATTGGAAAAAACTACTTTAAAGTTCATATGGAACCAAAAAAGAGCCCGCATAGCCAAGTCAATCCTAAGCCAAAAGAACAAAGCTGGAGGCATCATGCTACCTGACTTCAAACTATACTACAAGGCTACAGTAACCAAAACAGCAGGGTACTGGTACCAAAACAGAGATATAGACCAATGGAACAGAACAGAGGCCTCAGAAATAATGCTGCATATCTACAACCATCTGATCTTTGACAAACCTGACAAAAACAAAAAATGGGGAAAGGATTGCCTATTTAATAAATGGTGCTGGGAAAACTGGCTAGCCATATGTAGAAAGCTGAAACTGGGTCCCTTCCTTACACCTTATACAAAAATTAATTCAAGATGGATTAAAGACTTACATGTTAGACCTAAAACCATAAAAACCCTAGAAGAAAACCTAGGCAATACCATTCAGGACATAGGCATGGGCAAGGACTTCATGTCTAAAACACCAAAAGCAATGGCAACAAAAGCCAAAATTGACAAATGGGATCTAATTAAACTAAAGAGTTTCTGCACAGCAAAAGAAACTACCATCAGAGTAAACAGGCAACCTACAAAATGGGAGAAAATTGTCGCAACCTACTCATCTGACAAAGGGCTAATATCCACAATCTACAATGAACTCAAACAAATTTACAAGAAAAAAACAACCCCATCAAAAAGTGGGCGAAGGATATGAACAGACACTTCTCAAAAGAAGACATTTATGCAGCCAAAAAACACATGAAAAAATGCTCATCATCACTGGCCATCAGAGAAATGCAAATAAAAACCACAATAAGATACCATCACACACCAGTTAGAATGGCGATCATTAAAAAGTCAGGAAACAACAGGTGCTGGAGAGGATGTGGAGAAATAGGAACACTTTTACACTGTTGGTGGGACTGTAAACTAGTTCAACCATTGTGGAAGTCAGTGTGGCGATTCCTCAGGGATCTAGAACTAGAAATACCATTTGACCCAGCCATCCCATTACTGGGTATATACCCAAAGGATTATAAATCATGCTGCTATAAAGACACATGCACATGTATGTTTATTGATGCGGCACTATTCACAATAGAAAAGACTTGGAACCAACTCAAATGTCCAACAATGATAGACTGGATTAAGAAAATGTGGCACATATACACCATGGAATACTATGCAGCCATAAAAAATAAAGAGTCCATGTCCTTTTTAGGGACATGGATGAAACTGGAAACCATCATTCTCAGCAAACTATCACAAGGGCAAAAAACCAAACACCGCATGTTCTCACTCAGAGGTGGGAATTGAACAATGAGAACACATGGACACAGGAAGGAGAACATGACACTCCAGGTACTGTTGTGGGGTGAGGGGAGGGGGGAGGGATAGCATTAGGAGATATACCTAATGCTAAATGACGAGTTAATGGGTGCAGCATACCAACATGGCACATGTATACATATGTAACAAACCTGCACAGTGCACACATGTACCCTAAAACTTAAAGTATAATAATAATAAAATAAAATAAAATAACCCAAAGTAAGATAATGAAGATGAGAGTCAAGATAAACAGACTAGAATTTATTAACTGTAGAATTAGGAATATATAGTATCTCTTCATACTGTCAGAAGTAGTTTATAGGTATCTCTGACTTTTAAACATAAATAATACCTACCTATACATCAGGGCCTTGCCCTTTTCATTCCCCAAGGCAAAGTATCCACTTCTCGGAGAAAAATCCATGGTATGAACATGAGAAATATTCTTATTTTTAATGACTGGGAAGTTTGAAAATACTGTACAGGAAGGAAGATGAACCTGCAGGAGATAATAAAAAACTTTAAAGTGTAACAACTGGGAGCTCATGTTTCTTAAATTGTAATCTTCACTCTATCTTCCTGCTGAAACATAAAGCTCATTTTGATTGTAGCACACAAGAAAGTACAGTCTATTAGTGCAGCAAAGTGTTCCAAAATTAAGTTTGATCTTTTTTTATTACTTTATTTTTATAGTTAAGAGATACAGCTGCAGTTTTGCTACATGAATTTCTTGCACAGTGGTGAAGTCTGGGCTCTTAAGTGTCACCATCACTCCAATGGTGGACAGGGGTGTCCAATCTTTTGGCTTCCCTGGGCCACAACGGAAGAAGAATTGTCTTGGGCCACACATAAAATACACTAACACTAACGACAGGTGATGAGCTTAAAAAAAAAAAAAACAACAACTCATGTTTTAAGAAAGTTTACAAATTAGTGTTGGGCCACAATCAAACCGTCCTGCGCCGTGGGTTGGACAAGATTGATGTACACTGTACCCATCAGATAATTTCTCATCCCCTACCCCTCTCCCATGCTCCCACCTTTCCAAGTCTCCAATGCCTATTATTCTACTGTGTCCATGTGTACACACTATAAAATTTGATCTTTAATGTGTTATTAACTGAGCAGAAAAGGAAGAAAGAGAAAAAAGCGTCAGTACAGCATCCAGCATGATGCCTCAGAGATTCAAATGTTTGCTGAATGAGTAAATTAATGAATAAACTAAAGCAAAAAGTACCCACTCTAGCTTAATGACCACAGTAAAGAATACTAAAATCTGATCACAGGGAAAAGAGATTTTAAACATGAAGGTTCATCTGGTTAGTTAAATGGTGAAAAAAATTAAACATTATAAAGTCTGATTTTACATAACTGAAGCCTAGGCAAAGTCATACCACATATATTCTACTATCATAAAATTGCCATTTTGTACTTTTAATTTTCAACTATTGTATATACACTTTGCCTTTTACAATTTCTCCTCGAAGAGGGCTGAATCATGAAAATCTAACTCCAAGTGAAACTGTTCTGATTTAGAGAGAGCCAAAAGCTCACCTCAAAGCCAGACGTAAGTATGAGGAGGAACACACACAGTCTCTTTCTCCAGAGTCTACTTCCTAAGTTCAGGAGAGTTGAGACAGGTCCTCACCCAATTTGTGGATGAATAAAACCCAGGTATGGAAGCAGTTACCTTTAGGCCACAATTGTAACAACACTCACTTTCAGATGTTCTCTAGCTCTCCCAAGAGATATAGCACCTTCATGTTCAAATATATACAACCGTTATCATTCAGCTGGGCAGTTAGTCATCCTCCACACTTCTAGGTCAGACTTTATACCATCAAAGTGATTTTCACAGGCAAGTGCTGGGTAAAAACCACTGATACATACACCTATTAAACTGGTTTCAGTCAGTCACATATTAGGCCAAATTCTGATACATACTTACTGACCATTTTGTCAAGAAAATACTGTTTACAGTGAATCTCCAAGCCACATTCAATTATTTTCAACTTTGCCAGAAGGCAGGTTCTGCCTGCACAGCGTGGCATCAATGTGAAGGCAATGGTGCTAATGAGAAGTGGTCTTGACCCATTAAAGCTAAGAAGTTGGCAGTACCCCAATTTGGACTTCACTTCTAAAGTTCTTAAATACCACTCTCTATACAGGTTCCTCGAGAAATTACTTTTAAGTATATATATTTTTTCAAGCACTTAGTAAAAAAGCAGACTCCTGTTTTACAGAGAGAAGCCACAACATGGATATTGCAAAATTTATTTACATTTAATTTGGGAAGGCAGATATTATATAAATTTGTGATAAGTACCTTGGCTTAACTGTGTTTCACTTGGGTTATTGTAAGTTTGTATCCTTCAAGCATGCCCCAACTATGAACAGATGATCCAAAGCATCAGGAAAGCAGATGATCAGGAAAAAAACATTTGCTACAAGGGGTGAGGACAAAGCTGTTCTACCTCTGCCTTTTGTTCCCACCCTATTCACCTGATACTATGAAACTAGGCCTCAGGCATTCACTCACCAACTTTCCTGGAATGACTTTGAAGTTTGGGGAGCTGGTTTTCTGACTCTTCCTCATCAAAATACACTAGAACCAACCTTTCTATCTGAATGACTTTTCTTTTCTTTTCTTTTTTTTTTTTTTTGAGATCAAGTCTCACTCACTCTGTTGCCCAGGCTGGAGTACAGTGGTGCGATCTCAGCTCACTGTAACCTCCGCCTCTTGGGGGCAAGCAATTCTTCTGTCTCAGCCTCCTGAGTAGCTGGGATTACAGGTGTGGGCTACCACGCCCAGCTAATTTTTGTATTTTTAGTAGAAATGGGGTTTCACCATGTTGGCCAGGCTGGTCTCAAACTCCTGGCCTCAAGTGATCCTCTCACCTTGACCTCTCAAAGTGCTGGGATTAAGGTGTGGGCCACTGCACCTGACCTATTTTTAAACTTTATCTCTGCTACTGACTTGGAATATCGGGAAAAGGAGGGGAATTGTTTACAATGTCCTAAGAGATCAACAGCATCTACCTGCAAAATTCCCCAGTGTAATCTCTCAATGCATTGGTGAATCTTCCCTCAAGCCAATGATCTCACCTGATTAAAACTATGCTGTGCTCTGACATCTATTTATAGCCCCCATTTTAAAAGGTATAATTGAACTATTAATTAGGAAAAATGCCTATAAAGATCCAACTTCTTTAACTCCTGGCCTCAGGTGATCCATCTGCCTCGGCCTCACAAAGTGCTGGGATTACAGGCGTGAGCCACCGCAGCCAGCTTTCTAATACCATTTCTATCACGACAGTTAAGTGTACAGATATCAAAATTCAACAAGTAAAAGCTCGCTCATCCTTGATTTAATGGGTAGAAAGTTCCATGACGTTCTACTATATCCAAAATTGTCGATGTAACAGGAATTTGACTTCTGAGTCTCCTACTAGTCCAACAGCTTAAATTCACAGTGCTTTGTAATGGGATGACAAAACCGTCTAGATCATTATAAGGAATTGACTGCATTTAACAATGCTAACAATGTTTTTTACAAGGCATTATATGGAGCTGCTATGCCTGGCTTCTTTCCATTAGATATTATGGTTGACTACCATTTAAAAACTGTGATTTGGCTTTTACTAATGAATTCCTTATGTGATTTTGCCACAATAAAAAAAATATAAATGCTGTCATGATCACTGAAGCAAACAATGCAGAACTATTATGTGTCTTGCAGAATATATTATGTCAACAGGAGATAGATCCCATGGTTTTCTAAAACAATTTACTACCATTAAAGTGATAAAAGGTTAATATTACTAGTATACCACTCCCATTAGGGAGCAGGGATTTTAAAGCTGACTTGAATTAGAACCTTCTCATTTATCAAATGATTCATTCAACAGCATAGCAATAAAATGCTATGCTGTAATTTTCACACTCTTTTTCCAGCAAACCATTTTGTTGTTGTTGTTGTTGTTTTTGAGACAGACTCTTACTCTGTCACCCAGGCTGGAGTACAGAGGCACGATCTTGGCTCACTGCAACCTCCACCTTCCAGGCTCAAGCCATTCTCCTGCCTCAGCCTCCTGAGTAGCTGGGATTACAGACGCCCACCACAATGCCCAGCTAATATTTGTAATTTTAGTAGAGATGGGGTTTCACCATGTTGGCCAGGCTGGTCTTGAACTCCTGACCTCAAGTGATCCACCCACCTCAGCCTCCCAAAGTGCCGGGATTACAGGTCTGAGCCACCGTGCCCAGCGCAACAAAACATTTCTTAAGGAAATCATATGCAGAATCCCAATATATATACCACAGACAACAATGACACTGCTCTACATGATACAAGTTAAGGAGCTTAGCCTCCTCCTTGCCCTACATGCCATATAAAGCCCTGTGCAGAATCTAGGGCTCTGTGGAATTCAGCCAGAAAACCAATGAACTGCTAGAAAAAAATGTGGAATCTAAATCACAATTCTGCCCTTTATTAACTGTTTACTTTGGTTAAGTTAATCCTCTGAAGAACTGTTACTTGGCTCAAACTTTTTGTAGAACTCTTTGTAAATCTTTGTAAACGATATATTCTAATACAAAGCTGATGGCAGATGCAAGGCTTTTTGCCAAGTGAGCACAATAAAAATAACACACTTTGTAAAGTGCGTACAATCTGGTAGTACACACATAGCAGCAAACATAATTCTGCTATTCAAAGTTCTATGCCTTCTGTATACCTGGTGCCTTGAGCAAAAAATTGTTAAATGAATGAGAAAATTGGCTCTGCCTGAAGATTAGGAAACTTCACAGAGATGGGGTGACACTGAAAGTGAGCTCTGATGTTGGGCAGAAAAGAGTTTACATAGGCCCAAGGCTGCTATCCTTAGAAAGTTCTGGGCTGGGCACGGCGGCTCACTCCTGTAATCCCAGCACTTTGGGAGCCCGAGGCAGGTGGACCATGAGGTCGGGAGTTCGAGACCAGCCTGACCAAAATGGTGAAACCCCGTCTCTACTTAAAAAAAAAAAAAAAATACAAAAATGAGCTGGGCGTGGTGGCGCATGCCTATAATCCCAGCTACTCAGGAGACTGAGGCAGAAGAATCGCTTGAACCCAGGAGGCGGAGGCTGCAGTGAGCCGAGATCACACCACTGCAGTCCAGCCTGGGCAACAGAGTGAGACTTGGTCTCAAAAAAAAAAAAAACAAAAAAAACAGAAAGGTCTGCTTACAAGGGTGGCCACTGCATAGTGTCGGAGAATTTGACTAGCACACAGTTCCTATACTGGCATGAAACTTTCCCTAAATGATATGGGTAGCTCACTGTGCCTAAACTGTTTGTACAAACAATGTGGTTTATGCTAAACACCTGGCTTTTCTTCTGGGAATCTAGAATTTTGGTACATGCTAGGCAGAGGGTACCCTATATGAAGTCCCAATAAAAACCTTCTGCAATGAGTCTCTAATGAGCTTCCCAGGTAGAAAACACTTAACACATGTTGTTACAACTCATTACTGGAGGAATTAAACTGTCCTGTGTGACTCTACTAGAAGAGGACTCTTAGAAGGTTTCCTCCGGACTTTACTCCATGTACCCTTTCCCTTTGCTGATTTTGCTTTGTATCCTTTCCACTGCAATACATTTTAGCCATGAGTTCAATGAACATATGCAGAGTCCTGGAAGTCATCTCTCGTTAGCCACCAAACCTGGAGGTGGTCCTGCGGATTCCTAACACAAAGGGTATATTCAAAGGTACTACCTAGCTATTTAAATTACAATACTTTTATACAATTTAATTTTCAAGTTCAACTTACTTTCAAAACCCGAGAATTGCCTCCGTTCTGTTAAGACAACAGGCCTTAAAAAGGTAAATGAGGAAAGAAAATTGTGAAGGAATGAAGTGTCTGCCTTAAATATAGTCCTTAACATTAATACTAAAAGAAACCTCTGAAAATGAGGACCACTTTAGGAATGGTGAGAATGGACAGCAAAGCTTTACTGAAAGAAGTGACATAATCAAATGTGGTGGCTACTGTGCATCCTTCCAACAACCACATCCAAAAGCTACAATACTAATAATTCCTATATCAAAAGAAGCCACTGTTTTAAAAATAATTCAACGCTCTCCTTTCCTGTTACTCTTGCATGTTTTCAACTTAAATTTAAAAAATAACAATAATAAAGGGGTAATGAAATATTTACCAATCTGACTGCTTCTTTCATTTTTTCTGAAGCAATTGCCAAGATTTCTGTAGTAGGATTGAAGGTCAGAGAAGTAACACCTGTAACCAAGTTCATTATAGCTTTTATTGGCTTTGGGTTTGTTTCTTGGAGACAAGAATCTTGATTGTATATATTTACCACTCCACAATTAGAACTACAAAGAGAAAAGGATTAAAATAGATTAAAAACCAAGTAAAAGGGCTTTCACAACCTAAGTGAATATAGATTTAACCCCACAAACTGGTATTTACAGGAATCATGTTACAAAGAGACCAGCTATCACCACTATAGCCACAGATGTCCTATAGAACCTCCAACCAAACAGGTTGAAAACAGAATTCAAATTCTCCCCCTTCTGTTGACTTCTTGAAGGCTAAACTTTACTGACTCTTCTTGCATCCTGATTCCTTCACAGTCACCTCTTTCTCCACTGATTCTTGTCCCCAGGATTCTATTTCCAACCTACTTCTAGTGTCTCATTCATCTCATTTACTCCCACAGACCACCTATCACCCACCACATCCAAATCAGTGCCTTTAGTCCTAATTATGCACTGCATTCCTAAAGGTTTGTGGGGGTGGCCACATGCATATTATCTCTTCTAACACCATCACCCCTCCTCCCGCCTCCCTTCAATGACAATTCCACTCCTCTGGTTGCACAGGCCTGGAGCCTGAGAATGTGAATACTTCTCTCCCACTCCCCATCTTCTAAGCACTTATCAAATACATTACAAACATCCTTTGCTTATTCCCCCACTGCCATTCC
This sequence comes from Homo sapiens, assembly GCF_000001405.40. Lineage (NCBI taxonomy): Eukaryota > Metazoa > Chordata > Mammalia > Primates > Hominidae > Homo > Homo sapiens. Next base: position 51,287,414 of record NC_000017.11, on the reverse strand, counting down.
TACTGTCCTGGTGACTCATTACCTGATGCCTGCCTATTGCTGCAGTGACCTCAAGGCTCATCTCCCTGTCCTTTCTTCCTCTTCTAAAAGCTTAAAGATTTGCTTAAGATTCTTTAAGAATAACTTGAAGATTCTAAAAGCTTAAATGGTTGTTGGCCAAGCACATCAGAAATCAATTACACTGAAGGGCAATTAAAATTAAATGAGTTTAAGCTACTAGTATTAGATTCTTTCCTATATAGGCCCTTCAAAGGGGGCTAATAAAAAGTGATACAAAAAAGAGAGGGCAATGAAGACTGGCTTCACAAATCTGAGTGAAGATCATTTCTGCGCAGTTTTTCTTGCCCCATATAGAGGCAAATGCAGTTCTTAAAACTACTTATAATGGACACAGGAAGGGGAACATCACATACCGGGGCCTGTGGGTCGGGGGGGGAAGGGGGAGGGATAGCATTAGGAGATATACTTAATGCTAAATGATGAGTTAATGGGTGCAGCACACCAACATGGCACATGTATACATATGTAACAAACCTGCACGTTATGCACATGTACCCTAAAACTTAAAAGTATAATAAAAAAAATTTAAAAACTACTTATAATGAGTTTAAACAGCAGTCTTCATTTTAAAGGAGCTTTATTCCCAGAAGATCTGCTACTCATGAATTGCTGCCATAGCGCACACTACCCTGGTAAATGCTTGGCTTGTGCTGAGATGTCCCTCGCTACAGGGTTGGCACGGGTATGGGTAGGAAAGGAAGGGGCCTTCATCAGGGCACTCTCCCTCCAAGGGATCTGTTACTGTCTTACTGCCTAAGGCAGATGGCCTGGTCTCCAAGCTCCACAGCCTAGTTCTACTTGCCTTTCCTCCCAAACTCCAATTTGCAAACGGTGGTAGGGATATATATACAAGCAGTTTCCCCAGTTTTAACCTGGAAGGAGAGAGTGAACAAAGAGTAGAGAGTATGCTAAGTTTCTGGACAACAAGACCCCTTGACTTCCCATCCCAGGGAGGATTTGACTGAAATCATTTCATGGCTCAATTGTGTTTGGTCTAAGAAAATCACAAAAACCTACTTCTTGAAGTTACAGAATTATGGGTTCTAATTAGTGGTTTAGTAAGGTAGCTTAGAATTACTGCGAAGTATCCAATGCCTCATCCTCTCACCCTGCATCTTCAGAATCAAGTAGTAGAACACAGCCATCTTTTCCCCAGTGTAATAACCAATGTTTTCAGTAATAGCACAGTACAATGTGTTCTAGATAATATTTTTAAAGTTTCTACAATACTATCAAATGGTATTTCCTAGGAACATGTTTTTTATTTATACCCCCAGCTGGATAAAGGAAAAATGCTTTAGGTATCTTTAAGATTTAAACCCAAAGTTACTTATTCTATCTCCTCATCAATGACAAGAAGCTGAAAATAATTATAGGAAAACTTGATGTGATCAAACAGGTATTTTAAATAGGAAAAAATACAATGATATAAGGTAGCGCCAGCATTTTCTTTGCTAAAAAGGTGTTCAACTGCAATTATAGTAATCCCTTCTTATCTGGCAGGGCGTATGTTCCAAGACCCCCAGTGGATGCCTCAAACTGTGGATTACTGAACCCTGTGTGTACTGTGTTTTCTCCTATACACACATCTCTATAAAAAAGTTTAATTTATAAATTAGGCATAGTAACAGACTAACACAACTAATAATAAAACAGAACAATTGTAACAATATATCCTAATAAAAGTTACGTGAATGTGGTCTCTTGCTCTCAAAATATCTTACATAGATTTCAGATTGTGATTAACCACAGGTAACTAAAACCACAAACAGTGAAACTGCAGATAAGGGGGGAACTACTGTAATATTATTATTCAACACTGCACAAAGATGATAAAATGAAAAAAGCTCAGCTGGGTTGACCAATTTCATATTACTGAATAGTTTATAAAGAGAACTACTCATGCACCACCTAGTATATTCAATTCCTCAACATATTCTCATTAGCACAATGTGATTAAGGTTACAAGAACCTCTCTTTACTTACCCACAAGCAACATACTGTCCATTCCTAGATGTGGCAATGCTTAATCCATATAAACTGCCTTCATCAACAAATCTGTTAAGGCACTTCCTTGAGTTCACATCCCAAACATAAACTTCTCCATCCCCTGCATAAAAGAGCGAAAAAAAGAGTTGTTAATTTTGCTTTAAACTTGAAAGGCAAGTAAACTGGCCACTCTCAGTCCCTCTTAACAGTACAGGAGACTACAAATACAGACCTATTATAACCCTCCTAGTTCTGGAAAACTGGACTAAGAATATTTCTTTTCTTTTTTCCTTTTTTTTTTTTTGAGATGCAGTTTTTCTCTTGTCGCCCAGGCTGGAGTGTAACTGCGCCATCTCAGCACACTGCAACCTCCTTCTCCCGGGTTCAAGTGATTTTCCTGCCTCAGCCTCCCGAGTAGCTGGGATTACAGGTTTGTGCCACCATGCGTAGTTAATTTTTGTATTTTTAGTAGAGACAGGGTTTCACCATGTTGGCCAGGCTGGTCTCGAACTCTTGACCTCAGGTGATCCACCTGCCTTGGCCTCCCAAACTGCTGGGATTACAGGTGTGAGCCACCATGCCCGGCCTAAGAATATTTCTTGTATACATTCACATATACAAAAGAAAACTGCATCAGTTAGTCATTAATAGACAGTACCTTTAGGTTTACAGGAAAAAAATCACAAGCTGTTGGTTTGAGTTGAACTTTTAGAAAAAGCTTCTAAGTTCCACTCAGATAAATTATTGAAGCAAAAATCTGAAGCAAAACAAAACACCACTCACTAGTGTAACTCTTCCAACATCTATCAACAGGTATTAGACTACCTAATAGGCAAGGTTAGCGATTTAGATACCAAAATGTTAATGATGATGGAAGAGGAAGAAGTGAAAAATGAACGGATCCAGAACACGGGAATTTATAATTAAGAAGACACACACAATTTATCTATTACCAAGTTATTTAAATGATTAAAAAAAAAAGGCTAAACACAAGCTTACGAATAAGCACAAATAGTTTACTCTAATGACCCTACATCCATCTCAAAAGTGGATCCTCACTATTTTACGTCTTCCTTTTTCTAGTACCTCAATATCCTTCCTTGCAGGATATTGCTCTAAAGTTCACCCTTCCATATGTACTCTTATTCTCCCAATGAGAATTCAGTGAATCTCAGTTTCAACTCCCTAACAAATAAAATGTTCCAGGCTAGAGTAAGCGTGCAGGTTAAGCAGTAGTAAAACACATTTGGGAAAACTGAATAGGATCAAATATTAAAACCTTTGCCTTATATGTCTGCCTGTACATTAATGTTATAATAAAGGAAAGTGTTTTAAAGATTAGTCTCTCAGTAGACTAAAATGGGAAGAGATCAAAAGCAAGAACATCTAGAAAGCAAGTGCATGAAATGGTCATGAGTTGATGACTTATGGCAAAAAAGGCAACATGAGATGGCCAGGCATGGTGGCTCATGCCTGTAATCCCAGCACTTTGGGAGGCCAAGGCAGGTGGCTCACTTGAGGCCAGGAGTTCGAGACCAACCTGGCCAAAATGGTGAATCACCATCTCTACTAAAAATACAAAAATTAGCTGGGCGTGGTGGCACATGCCTGTAATCCCAGCTACTCGGGGAGGCTGAGGCATGAGAATCGCCTGAACCCAGGAGGCAGAGGATGTAGTGAGCCAAGATCACACCACTGCACTCCAACCTAGGAGACAGAGCAATGCTGTCTCCAAAAAAAAAAAAAAATCCATGAGTAAACAAAGACAAAACCAGTAAAGTTAGAAAAAGGTAAATTCTTCAACTCTTTTTATCTCAAATTATTCTTTACATGTAACAATGTAATGTGAACAATATGTTACTAATCACACAAACGACTCCATACAGAATAAGAAAAGGGTGCACACGCAGTGGCTCACACCTATAATCCCAGCACTTTGGGAGGCCAAGGCGGGCAGATCACCTGAGGTCAGTAGTTCAAGACCAGCCTGGCCAACATGATGAAACCCTGTCTCTATTAAAAATACAAAAATTAGCCGATGTGGTGGTGTGTGCCTGTAATCCCAGCTACCCAGGAGGCTGAGGCAGGAGAATTGCTGGAACCCAGGAGGCAGAGGCTGCAGTGAGGCGAGATCACACCACTGCACTCCAGCCTGGGCAACACAACAAGACTCAGTCTGAAAAAAAAAAAAAGAAGTGGCTGGGCGCGGTGGCTCACGCCTGTAATCCTAGCACTTTGGGAGGCCGAGGCAGGTGGGTTGCCTGAGCTCAGGAGTTCGAGACCAGCCTGGGCAACACAAGAAAACCCCGTCTCTACTAAAATACAAAAAATTAGCTGGGTATGGCGGTATGCGCCTGTAATTCCAGCTACTCAGGAGGCTGAGGCAGGAGAATTGCTAGAACTTGGGAGGCAGAGGTTACAGTGAGCCGAGATCGTGCCACTGCACTCCAGCCTAAGCAACAGAGTGAGACTCTGTCTCAAAAAAAAAAAAAAAAAAAGAAGAAGAAGAAGAAGAAAAGGAGGAAGAAGCGGAGAGAGAGGAAGAGAACCATCAACATTTCAAAATTACCCCTAACTTACCAAGGCTCAACTTTTGATTTCTCCTTCCCTGCTTTCTTAGGACCTTATGATAAATTAGATCTCCACAGCCATGACCAAATTTGTAAATACATTATATCTGCGTCCAATTCATATATCAAATTTCAGTACTTCTGCTGACCAACCCTCCCCACCTCTTTTCCCTCCCCAACCTCTTCTCCCTCCCCGACTCTCTCTCTACCAGGGCCAAGGGCCATTTCATCAGGAATATTACTCTGAACTAATTCTTTCTTTCTTTCTTTCCTTCCTTCCTTCCTTCCATCTTTCCTTCCTTCCCTCCCTCCCTTCCTTCCTCTTTCTCTTCATTTTCTTCTTTCTTCTCACAAAAACTAGTATAATATAGAAAATATAGCTGCTCCTGGCCTTATATGCATTGATTAAAAACATACCAATGTAAATAACCTTGTGAAAGTCTGATTCTAGGACAAAAACAAAACAAAAATTAATGTTAAGCTAAAATTAATCCTTTTTAAAAGTTAAAAAATAATTTTAATTAATGCTATTAATTTTATTAATGTTATATTACCAAATGCTCCTAGCTGAGGTCAAATAAAAATTATGCTAAAAAGCTTTACAGAGGTTGCTGACTACTACCCACAGAGCAGAACCACTTGAAAGTCTCCCGCTACCAAACACAGCATTAGCTATACTAAGATTATGTAGCTGTCCCAAGGGATGGCCCCCATGGTCCTTTGGGATAGACAGTAAGAGTTAACAAGTCTTAGGGAAGTCAGAAAGGTAGAAGAGCAGGACAGTGCAGGTTAATCAAAAGAGCTACAGAAATGTCAGGAAGGACAATAATGTAGAAAATTTAACACACCATCAAAGTCAAGAGAGTATTGCTACAAGGGCTGATGATTTTAAGTAACTTTCAAAAAGAAAGTCAGAAAACCTTCAAATGAATCATCTTTTTTTAAATAATGTCTGCCTTATCTTTTTAAGAAAGGTAGGACTACTTATTTAAAATTATGCCTTTTAGATTCACACACACTGTAAGGAATAATACAGAAAACACAGTGTACTCTTTACTTTACCAGTTCCCCCCCAATGTTAACATTTTGCATAACTACAGGACAACATTACAACCAGGATAGTGACACTGATACAGTCAAGACACAAAACTTCCCATCACCACAAGGACCCCTCCTGTTGCTCTTTTATAGATACCTCCACTTCTCTCCTGCCCTCAAATCCTCCTTAAACCCTCACAACCACTAATCTATTCTCTATTTCTACGATTTCATCATTTCAAGAATGTTAATATAAATGAAACTGTAGTGGAAGTTTTTCCTTTGCCCCCTGAAGGTTTCCTGAAAACCAAGTGACAAAAGAGAGAATAGAGAAAAAAAGGCATGTAAAATTTTATTTTAATTTTCATAGCATGGGGAATCATAGGAGAATGATTTACCCCTGAATAATCTTTTAAATAAGCATTATCTTCCCATTCTTTCCCCAAACATGTTAAAACTGCATGTTAAATTGTTAGTCCTCCACTATTATTAATGAGAAGGCAATGGCAACAAAAATGAATTCTAAAAATAGATCTGATTTTCTAGCTAAAAAGAAACTTTAAAACCAAACACAACTTTTCGTTTAAAAAAAATATATATATATATATATATATATTTTGAGACGTGATCTCAGCTCAGTGCAGCCTCTGTCTCCCAGGTTCAAGTGATTCTTTGCCTCAGCCTCCCAACTAGCTGGGATTACAGGCGAGCGCCAGCATGCCTGGCTAATTTTTGTATTTTTAGCAGAGACAGGGTCTTACCATGTTGGCCAGGCTGGTCTTAAACTCCTGACCTCAAACGATCCACTCGCCTCAGCCTCCCAAAGTGCTGGGATTACAGGCGTAAGCTACCGCGCCTGGTCCTAGGTTTTTTTGCTTTTGTTTTTTGAGACAGAGTCTTGCTCTGTCGCCCAGGATAGATGGCTAAAAAAAAAATTTTTTTATTGAGATGGAGTCTCGTTCTGTCCCCCAGGCTAGAGTGCAGTGGCCCAATCACAGCTCACTGCAACCTCTGTCTCCCAGGTTCAAGAGATTCTCTCACCTCAGCCTCTCAAGTAGCTGGGACTACAGGCCCATGCCACCATGCCCAGCTACTTTTTTTCTTTTTAGTAGAGACGGAGTTTTACCATGTTGGCCAGGCTGATCTTACCCGCTGACCTCAAGTGATCTGCCCATCTCGGCCTCCCAAAGTGGTGGGATTACACACGTGAGCCACCGCGCCTGGCCTAAAATTTAAAATGTAAAAATATCCTTAGCTTCTTTCATGTCGTTGTCTTACCCGAAGAGGCGTATACTTTCTTACTATCTGAAGAGAATGTGGATGCTGCAACCCTTCCATTAATTTTCATGCTTCCAATCAGTTCTTTGGTCTAAAACAATAAATATTATTTATCAAACTGTTAGAAAGTATACAGAAGAATCACACAATGTAGAGTAAAAACAACCTAGTTCTCTATTTTCTAGCACCTACTCAACTTTATTTTTCCCTGTAATCAAAAGCTCTCCCCCAACTGCCCACAACTTCTCTCCAAGTCCCACCTGTGCTCCTCTACTTGGAGATGCAGATTTAAGGACACACTGAGTTAAGGTGCAAGACTATCCCTACACTAGTGTCTTGTGGGAGAAGAACAAGAAGCAATAATAATGCTTTACCTTCATTGCTAGCAAATGCAAATATCCAGCAATGCCATTTATGAGCAAGAAGGACCCATCTGGGGAGACTTCAAAGCTCCTCACTATCTTCTCTTTCAAACCTAAAATAGGAAATGAAGCAATTAAATAAAGTTTTATATAGTTTTCAATAAAACTATCATCTATTGACAAATGAGTTTCTTACTTTTTAAAATACGTAAGTGGCTCAAATTAAACAAAACCCTGGCTCAGACCCCGAATAAGTCTAAACGCAGGCATCACTGAGTTTGACCCAAACATAAGGTCACTACAAAGCACTTAACAAACTTCTCTTCTTTGTCCTGGTTAGCATTCACCATTTTAACTGCAGGCCAGAGACTCAGCTCTCCAAACAGTAAACATATCAACTAATTTTCCAAATATATGCAGTAATACCTCTAATTTACTAAAAGGATAAATTATACTTCTTTGTCACAAAGTTCATTACCAGAAGGGAAATACACTGCCACTAGAGACAGCCAAAAACATAAAAACATATATAAACTAGCTGCTGGCCACTTACTAAGCAGCTCATGATGGACAGGAATCTCATCTTTAACTTTGTGAGTCAAAAACAAAAACAAAAAACAAAAAAAACCCCAAAACTTTTCACAATATGTCAGTTTACTTAAGGACTGACTAGCTTCTCTGGATGTGACACATGTAACCAAATCATATATGAGAGCTAGGTATATACAGTCAACTTACTTACAAAAGGACATGTCTCTTTTTCCATGACTGAAAGGTTCATATTGACTATACAGGGGACTCCTCCTGATATCAAAATGCTTAGAGAGCCAAGTTACTCATTAAAAAGTTACCTAACAGGATGCATCAGAATGCATACAACTGGCTACCTCCAAGGAAGGAAAGCAGGAAGACAGGGAGACAGAGCAGAAGAGAGTTTTCACTATCCATTCATTTCTACATAGTAGATTTTTAACACCGTGTGAATATATTGCCTAGTCAAAAATATATGTCTATATTTTTAAAATTTTAAGTTACTAAGTTACAATATTAATTAGAGAAAAAGGAGTTACAAAAATCTGGTTAAGGACCCTTGTTCCACTACAGGAAAATACAAATTAAGGCTACTTTCCACTACTACAAACTGGACATCCCACTCTAGTCCTGTCTCCCAAAGACTACATCTTAGTTCCCTTGCTTGGACTCATGCTCCCCAATATTATTTCAGACACATACTACATTTCCAATCACTGGGGTTACTTCTGCTGATGACTAGTCTCCTTACTATGAAAGGCACTCCACTATGCCTATTAAGGGTAATTTTAATCCAAATTTCTGAATAAACCGTATGTACTGACTAAAGTATACTGAAGTAGTTCCAAACATAAAGAAAATATCATTACGTGATGAGGTAGGACAGGAGGCTTGTTCTAACACCATGTGAAGCTACAACTGGAAACACCTACAGACCTAATCCTAACAGCACAGTATCAGGCGGTGGAAATGTGAAAACAGAAAAAGGAGAAATACTGGGAAGGAAAGATCAATGCCATGTCTCCAAAGCAGTTGGTGACTGGACACACACTCCTGCCCACCTAGCAGATCCATGGTAAAGATCACTAACTGTATCTTGGCCAACGCATGGTGCGCTTTCTCTCAAGAGGATGCAAGACAAGGAGATGCCAGAATCCATTACTTTTGAATAGTGAAATGACATGTAAAAATAGTAACTACTAAATATTGTTTTCTATTTCAATATGAGAAGATGGTTTAAGACTTTTTAACCAAGTGAGGTCCATGGACCACACAGTATCACCATCACCTGAGAGAATCAGAAATGCAGACTCAACCCACCTAAGACCTACAGAATCAGAATCTGCAGCTTAATGAGACCCCCAGGTGATTCACGTGCACATTTACTTCTGAGAAGCTCTGCCTTAGGGTAAACCAAGGATCTACTTGGAAAGGATCAAAGTGTCAGGAACACAGGAAAGAAAAGATTGGAAATGCTAAAGATAAACATCATAAATGTTTCTAAAGTTGGCCCCATCCACTTTCAACCACTAGTAGAAAAATGGTTGTACAGAGCTACTCTTGTCCTTTCCAGCCACATGCATGTACAGTTTAATAGGGAGAGCACCAGTGAGCCGTGCCATACGCCAACACTACCTCCTGAGATTAGCCAGACAACCTCATTAGAAGGGCTTTGGTTCCCAAAGGATGCATGAAGGTGTCGGTGTATTTTGGGATATAAAGGAGCAGGGAAATATAGGAAAAGAATGGGTATGGTAGAGGGCAGATAAATTTTCACCTCCTAAAAAAGCGTTATTTTTTAAGTAGTTCATTCTTTAAAATACAGAAGTACCTCCAAAAGCAGTGCTTTATTCCCTTTAAATATAAATCAAAATTTTATTATAACTAACACTAAAACTACAGAGTATCCAAGTTTCCTGAAGATCAGAGAGGTGAAACAGTTTGTCCAAAGAAATGGAATCCAGGTCTTCTAGCTCCATGGCTCATGCTTTTTCTGCTGCATCAACTGCTAACTTTACAGCCAAGTATTTGCAATTGCTTGTCTGGTGTAGGGGGAATATATATTTCCAAATTATGATCATTCCGTAAGTGTTCAGTAAAAAAGTTCACTGGTTTCATTCAAACGTGTTATCTCAAAAGCACAAAGACATTTTCCAAACACTATACCTAAAGAAACTCTTATTTTTAAGAATCCTATGGAGTGAAAAAAGTGTTGTAAACACTGTTACATAAACTCACCTTGGGGGGAATGACTGGTTGTGTGCATTCAACAGAAATCTTACCTCTCACTTGATGCACAGGAATTAACTTTCCAGCCAGCATGTCATAGACATAAAGAACCTTGCTGTGGGTACTCGTGGCTAAAACTTCTTCCCCATTAGCACTAAAACAAGCCTTAAAGATTGGAAACCTTTCCAAATAGATGCTCTGAATTTTAGGATTTGTTTTCCCATCAACCTATAAAGAAGTACAAAATGGTTCTTTTGATTATTTCCACAGACCCTGTATCCTGGTAGTATATACTTTTCACTACAAGTGTTCATTTAAAAATACATATCCAAGGGGCTGAAGGCTGACTTAAGCAGCCACGGCCAGTGATTTAATCAACCATGCCTATGTCAAGAGGCCTTCATAAAAAGGCTTAACAGAAGGTATTCAGAGAGCTTCTGGGTTGCTGAACACACGGAGGTGCTGAGGAGGTGGCGTGCCCTGAGAAGGCACGGAAGCTCCACGCTCCTTCCCCATACCTTGCCCTACTAATTTCTTGAGTTTGTCCACCCACAGATAAGGAGATAAGAGTCAGTCCCATCCAAACTACATGAACTGGACCAAGTGTTATTCTCTAAAAGAAAACTGGGATACCCTATCCAAGAGCAGATACTGTGAAGCACCTGCAGGACTGAATGGTTACATTTGTGACCATGTGTTCACCATCTATACCCCCATCAGAGAGTGACATCCTGAAGTGAAGGGCCAGGTCTGTTGTTTATTGTTGCAACCCAAGAAACCATCAATGTACATCAGTGTTAGATTAAACATGGAAGACCCAGTAAAGTCATGAGGTTATATTATCGCTTTGCTCTAATAACTCACCAGAAAATTAAAAGAACACGTTTTTGTAGAGAGAATATATTCACTAACATGATTAATATATTCTTCACTTCTCAATCTATTATTTTAAACCACTATTTTACTGAACTTTTATATTCAGTGGAAGAAAAATTTTACTCCAAATCCCCTATTATTATGGTTCCTTGTACACTGAAGTCATACAGGTGCATTCAATAAAAATGTGAGTGGGCAAGGGATGGTGAGCGACCCAAACTGTGAACAGGCAAGGGGTGAGCAGCTGTGATTGAAAACAGTGACGACAGACTTTGGAGCAAGAAGCAAGGGCAGTATGCTGACTGGATGTTCTGTTTTGTATTTCCAAGTAAATGAACTCTGTCACTTCTGTGAGACTTAGCTATGCTTCGGGCTATGATGTTTTAGCTATGAATATCTTTTTCAGTATTTTTGCATTTGGGGTTGCAAATGTCTGGTCCTTAAATAAAAATAATGCATTAGAAATAAATAAGTAAATAAAGATGCATACCTGAAATAGTGATACAGCATTATCTAATCCAGCAACCATCACAATCTGTGCACCGGGATGGAACTGCACAGATGAGATCCGAGCAACAGTAGGACGTTCAGCATTCGCATGCTGGCAGTTCTTCATCTATAGGAAATGAAAGCTGGGATTTTATCAATTGAAATGAATAAACATTATTTTCTTTAGAGTAAGAAGAAAAGACATTACAGTTTATAATGAAGGAAAAAAATGCACTGGAATGGTAACCAAACACAACTCAAAAAAAAAAAACAAAAAACAAAAAAACCGCAGCTCTGGCACCAACTAGCAAGTCACTTTACCACAAAAGAATCCATTTTTACCATCTTTCAAATAAAAAGATTAAATCATTAAAGTGCTTTCCATATCTAGAAGTCTGAATGTATTACTCATTCTTGGAGCACTAGTATGTAGTCATTTCCCCAAAATACATCCATTTGTGTTAAGAGACTTTCACTTCTGAGGAAATTTCACTTAAAACTTCTACTTTGGCACCTGGCATCTTTGCATTCATGGCACAAATGCAAGAGGCACTGCACAGTTGTCCCCACAGTTCTTCAATTGGCACAGGTTGCTTTATTCTCTTAGGGTACATGGTTCCAAGTTTAAAGTAATGGTAATCTCACATCCATCACCTGGACTATTTTGTTATTTATTTTGTTTTTACAGGTTTCCCCTTGAATTTTTAAAATTCAGTTAAAAACAAAAGTATGTGTTTTGTTTGTAACCACCAAGTTAAATTTTTATGGTAACTACAACTTTTTTTTTTTTTTTTTGAGACTGGGTTTCACTCTTGTTGCCCAGGCTGGAGGGCAATGGCGTAATCTCGACTCACCACAACCTCTGCCTGTTGGGTTCAAGTGATTCTCCTGCCTCAGCCTCCCAAGTAGCTGGGATTACAGACATGTGCCACCACACCCAGCTAATTTTGTATTTTCAGTAGAGATGAGGTTTCCCCATGTTGGTCACGCTGGTCTCAAACTCCCAACCTCAGGTGATCTGCCCGCCTCGGCCTCCCAAAGTGCTGGGATTACAGGCGTGAGCCACTGCGCCCGGCCATGTGGTAACTACATTTTTAATGGAGGTGAATTCACCCGTAAAGAGCTAAATGAATTGTCCTCATAAGGTGCAAGACAAAATCACTGTATCTAATTTATCATAATAGTTTCCCCTGCCCCATTTAAATACTCCTGCCATGGTGTAATAAGAAAAGAGACCTATGTCGCTGGGCGCGGTGGCTCACGCCTGTAATCCCAGCACGTTGGGAGCTGAGGCGGGCAGATCACCTGAGGTCAGGAGTTCGAGACCAGCCTGACTAACATGGAGAAACCCTGTCTCTACCAAAAAAACAAAAACAAAAAAAAATTAGCCAGGCATGGTGGTGCATGCCTGTAATCCCAGCTACTTGCGTGGCTGAGGCAGGAGAATTGCTTGAACCCGGGAGGCGGAGGTTGCAGTGAGCCGAGATCACGCCCTTGCACTCCAGCCTGAGCAAAAGAGCAAAACTCTGTCTCAAAAAAACAAACAAACAAACAAAAGATATCTATGTCACAGAGAGATCTGTTAATATGACAGATATTTAACTAAAGTACTGCCCGTTAGTATGACAGATATTTAACTAAAGTACTGTGCTACATAGGCAGCTGGTTACCATAATGAACATGCTAGACATAGTGATGAGTTAGAAAGTGAATAGTGTAGACCACTTTAGAGAAAGTCTTGTCTAAGGTGCCATTTGAGCAGAAAGGTAAGAATGAGCTAGCCATTAGGACTTCCTGAAGACAAGGCAGGCAGAACAAAAGAGAAAGAGCAAAGGTTCACAGGCAAGAAAGGACCTAGCAGCATGTCCAAGAAACAGAAAAAGGCTTGTGTGACTCAAGTGGGAAATCATGGGAAACAGGTCTGATATGAGGCTAAGGATCCAGGCAAAAGCCAGACTGTAAAGGGCAGTGTAGAATACGATAAGGAATTCAGAAGTTTTCAAAAAGCAATGAAAAGTGACATGACCTGATGTTTTATTTTTAAAAGATCCCTCTGGCTGCCATACAAAGAATGATTTAAAAAGAGGTAAAGTAGAAGTAAAGAGTCCAGTCACAAAGCTACTGCAATATGCCAGATAAGAGATGACAGCAGTATGAACTAGGCTGATGCCAATGAAAATGAAGATAAACCAAACGGGATTCCTAGAATTACTGGAAAATTTATTTATTTATTTATTTATTTATTTATTTATTATTTTAGAGACAGGGTCTCGCTTTCACCCGGGCTAAAGTACAGTGGTTCCATCACAGCTCACCGTAGCTTCAAACTCCTGAGCTCAAGCAATAGGAACATAATACCTCTAGAACATTTTTTGCAAAAGGAAAAAAAAAAAACAATAACATAAGTATTTACCAGGGCAAAATGACAGCAAACATATTTAACCCCACAGATAATAGGAATCCATACATCTGCTACTGGGAAGCAAATTAAACTGCAGAGGTAAGTAGTTAGATAGGATCCCCCAACTTCACTGACTCTCACCTTCAAGATTCCTCTTGGAAGAGAAGTTGATGTGGATATGAAATTCCCAGTCCTTTGCAACAAATCATCTTCATCCTCTTCACTTTCATCTAAGTCAAACAAACCCAGAAGGCTGATCTTTAGAATCAATGAGCTGCCCCTTTTACCTACCCCAAACTTCTATGAATATATTTTCAACATCAACTCCCTTTCCAGCCTCCCTACCTCAATTGCTTTTTTTAAAGCTGCAACTGGCAAAAGCAAAACAGGAAAAAAAAAAAAAAAATTTTAAAGGAGAAGAAAAAGATGACACAAAGCTTAACATCCATAGTTAAAATCAAAGTTTAACTCTAGAATGAAAGACTAACACATACACAGATGGTTACTAAAACAAGATGAAGTGAAATAAAAGTTTAAAGCCAGCATTTCATTTAAAAAGAGCAACTCATAATTATGGCAAAATTGGCAACAGGTTGGCTACTGATCTAGTTTAACAACTCACATGAATAAAAACCAGAACTTTTAGCTGAATGATCAATGTCAGCAATCTATGTATCAGAACTTCAAAAAGAGCAAATAGGGCTGCTTTTCCCCCTGGAGATGACTGATGATTCCAGTGGAGACAGCTAAGAAGCTGAGCAAACTTAAAACACTTGCGGAGCTAAGAAGGGAAAAACTAGCTCTAAGCTTCTTGACAGGGTCTGGTAAGCCACCAGATTTTGGATTGCGGCCACAAAGGGCTACCACTAGGATTAAAGACGAAATCAAAGAATTATAAGAAAATCTTCCCAAAACTGAAATTCTGCTTCACAATTCCTCATTAAAATAAAACGTTCTGGGATTACTAGTGTCCTCTGCCAAGCTACCTACCTAGAAGTAAACATATAAACCATCATCCTAGATCTAATTAATCTACATTATTTTTCATATGCAATGTCCACCACTCAATGAAATATAACCAGGCAAATATTGACAAGATAACTTGACTAAAAACCACAAGGAAAAACAGACAATCCCCACAGGGATCTAAACAACGGAATTATCAGACACAAACCTTAAAAATACTATGTTCAGGCCAGGCGCGGTGGCTCACATCTGTAATCCCAGCACTTTGCGAGGCCGAGGTGAGTGGATCACCTGAGGTCAGGAGTCAGAGATCAACCTGGCCAACATGGAGAAACCCCGTCTCTACTAAAAATACAAAAATTAACTGGGCATGATGGCTTATGTCTGTAATCCCAGCTACTTGGGAGGCTGAAGCAAGAGAATCACTTGAACCCAGGAGGCAGAGGTTGCAGTGAGCTGAGATTGCGCCACTGCACTCCAGCCTGGGCAACAGAATAAGACTCTGTCTCAAAAAAACACAAACAACAACAACAAAAAAAACTATGTTTAATATATTTAAGAATGAAAGACAAGATTCAAAATTGAGCCAGAAATGTAGAATATTTGAAAAAGAAATTCTAGAGCTGAAAAATACGTAATTAAAAGTAAGCCCCCAATAGGCCAGGCATGGTGGCTCATATCTGTAATTCCAGTACTTTGGGAGGCCGAGGCAAGTGGATCACTTGAGGTCAGGAGTTCGAGACCAGCCTGACCAAAATGGTGAAACCCCGTGTCTACTAAAAATACAAAAATTAGCCAGGCATGGTAGTGCACACCTGTAATCCCAGCTACTTGGGTGGCTGAGGCAGGAGAATCATTTGAACTCAGGAGGCAGAGGTCGCAGTGAGTGGAGGTAGTGCCACTGCACTCCAGCCTACACGACAGAGCAAGACTAACTCAAAAAATAATAACAAATAAAATTAAATTAAGCCTCCAATAGATGTTTTTAACAGTACATCAAAATTAGCTGTAGAGAGAATTTGTGGTCTAGAAAACGAATCAGAAAAATATACCCAGACTGAAGTACAGAAAGAAAAAGGATAAAAAACACTGAATACCAATGTGGGCAACATAATAAGATCCTGTCACTACAAAAAAAAATTTTTTTTTTCATTAGCTGGGCATGGTGGCACATGCCTGTAGTCCTAGCTACTCCAGAGGCTGAGGTGGGAGGATTGCTTGAACCCAGGAGGTCGAGACTACAGTGAGCCAAGATCACGTCACTGCACTCCAGACTGGGCGATAGAGTGAGACCCTGTCTCAAAAAAAAACCAAACCAAAAAATAGGTGGAAGACATTTAATATACGTATTACTAATAATCTAGAAAGGAAGACTGGAACAGAAACAATACTTGAAGACAGGTGAGAATTTCCAAAACTTACAGAAGACATCAAGCCAGTTCAAAAGTACTATGAAGTCTAAGCAAAATACAAAGCAAGCTAAAATGATAGGGAGAGGGGATAAACAAAGAGCAACACAATACAACAATTCATAATATTAATGAATTGCTGTTGATTTTTGGAGCTGTGGTTATGTTCAAAAGGGAGAATTTTCTTATAACGAAACTCAGTAAATATTTACAGATAAAAATAACACACTGGAGATAATCATGAAGCTGAGTGCTAGTCACCATTCTGTCAACAATAAGTATACCTTCAACAAGTCACTATCTCTTTGAACCTCTCTCATGTACAAAATGAATGTGTTAGACAAGCATATCCCATACTGTAGCAGACTAATTGCTGACTTAATCCACTTCCTTTTTCTCCTGTGCACAAAGCCAAACTACACTTCCTAGGATCCTCTCAGCTAGTGTGGCCTTATGACTGAGTTCCAGCCAACAAAATGTAGGCAAAAGTATCCTGTACCATTTCCAGGAAAGGCCAATAAAAATCCCCTCTTTCTCCTCCTATAAGCCAAGTGGATGTCAACATCTTAGGCAACTCTGGAAGAACCAACCTGAAGATGACAGAACTTCTATAAACTTGGGTCCCTAAAGTAAACCATCACCTTCCTACCACCCCAATTTTATGTGCTGAAAAAACCAACTTCAATTGGATTATGCCACTGGGATCTGTGGGATTTTGTTTCAACAGCTAGCATAACCATACCCAAAATTACAGGAATCTAAAATGTTGTGGGGTTCTATAAATGCAGCATTCTGAAATGGATAATAAAATTATGTTTCATCCAGGAGGGCAAACTGGTGATCTAGGGTCTAGAAGTACGCCACCAAAAAAATGGTCAAAATAACGAGGGATGTTTAACATATTAAAAAACAAACATGGAAAGAGGCTTCCCAAATGAGAGAAAAAGAAGATAATCTATATGTTTCAAACCGTAGGAGTAGAGACTTGTTGGGACATACATTTCAAAATAGGAAAAACTGTCTAACAGTTCTTAAAGAAAAGGGAAGAAGGGGAAAAAACAGTTTAGTAAAAAGTACATTATTTAGGCCAGGCACAGTGGCTCATGCCTGTAATCCCAACACTTTGGAAGGCCAAGAGTTCAAGACCAGCCTGGCCAACACGGTGAAACCCCGATTCTACTAAAAATACAAAAATTAGCCAGGTGTAATGGCGCACACCTGTAACCCCAGCTACTCAGGTGGCTGAGACAAAACAATCACTGGAACCCGGGAGGCAGAGGTTGTAGTGAGCTGAGATTGCCCCACTGCACTCCAGCCCTGGGTGACAGAGTGAGATTCTGACACTGACACACACACACACACACACACACACACACAATACATTATTTGATATATTTAAGCAGAGGATAATGTAGAAAAGATTACTGCAGTGGATAAAGTCAGGCCACATCACTAAGATTCCTTCAACCTCTAAAAGCAAATGGCTAGAAACAAAGACGGTCAATTTCTACTTAGTAACAGATTGTCTTTTCTAATAGAATTATATAAAACACTGGCTCTTTGTATGGACTCCCTGCATTTACGTACCATGAGGACTAACAGGGTAGGAAGAAAGGGGACAAAGGAGGTGGTCATAATCAAACTGAAGCTCTACGGACATGAAGGATGCTAAGGAAGGAGCTCCCACATGATGTGAGAGGATATACTCCGGACTCTCAGGATTTCAAAGGTTAATTCCAAGTCTAAAACATGTAACTCCAAGCACACAAACCAGATTTTAGCTAAGCCATCCATATTTATAATAGCTAAACTCAAAAGATCGAAGAAGCAGAAAATAGCCATGGTACAAGTTAAATTTAAAACCTACAGTCAAAAAACAGATTTTTTTGGTTTTTTTTTTTTTTTTTTTTTTTTTTTTTTTTGAGACAGAGTCTCACTCTGTCACCCAGGCTGGAGTACGGTGGCACTTATCACTTATCACAGGTTATTGCACCCTAGTCTTCCCTAGCTCAAGCAATCCTCCCACCTCAGCCCCCCAAGTAGTCGGGACTACAGGAACATACCACCAGGCCTGGCTAATTTTTGTATTTTTTGTAGAGATGGGGTTTCGCCATGTCACCCGGTCTGGTCTTAAACTCCTGGACTCAAGCGATCCACCCGCCTCGGGCTCCCAAAGCACTGGGATGACAGGCGTGAGCTACCGAGCCAGGCAAGAAATGCCAGGTTTTAATGAGCCTCATAAGAAAGCTCAAATAATAACGAACAGGAACAGGGACTTATGTACTAATTTAAACAGAAATATCAACGCTCACCATCTGAAGATGTTTTCCGCTTAGTAGTCTCTGCCCAGGCAGGTACTCCTCCCATGGCATGTTGGAATCTAAGCAAAAATATTTGAAAAATATATTTATGGCAACCACTACATGTCCATAAAGCTTGATACATTTAAAGCATATACGTTGAATCACCCTTGAGAATACGTATGGACTCTCTTCCAAAGAAGTAACTATCTTTAAGAACAGAAGTTATTATCTTTACTCACACAGAACAGTCCCAACCTGCCTATACTGGAAACCTCCATGAACCTCTGCCCACTTAAACTAGTCCTGGATACATATTTTTTGTTAATTATTTCCATCTAGTTACATGGTTGTCTTATTTGTTCATATCAACACATCCCAGATATCAGGACTATGTAAAGAAGTCTCTTTGTGGTTTATGCCACAGTACATAGACTACACACTAGAACACGTCTAAAAGAAACTGACCAGATTGTTAAGAATATACAAAACTTCATTATATATCATCTGAATAAAACAGAATCACTTCACTCTGGAAAAAGTAAGCTTTAACAGAAGCATGATAGCTGTGTTCGTAAGAACTGGTACCTGGGCCGGGCGCCATGGCTCACGCCTGTAATCCCAGCACTTTGGGAGGCCAAGGCGGGCGGATCACGAGGTCAGGAGATTGAGACCATCCTGGCTAACATGGTGAAACCCCGTCTCTACTAAAAATACAAAAAAATTAGCTGGGCGTGTTGGCAGGTGCCTGTAGTCCCATCTACTGGTAGTCCCAGCTACTCAGGAGGCTAAGGCAGGAGAATGGTGTGAACCCGGGAGGCAGAGCTTGCAGTGAGCCGCGATCACGCCGCTGCACTCCAGCCTGGGCGACAGAGCCAGGCTCCATCTCAAAAAAAAAAAAACAAAAAACAAAAAACAAAAAAACAACAACTGGTACCTGGAAGAGGGCAAAGAGAGTTGTTTTAATTTTTTGATGCAGAAGTACAGACTAGCTCACCAAACTAAGCCCACGAGCCATAAACAACTAGAAACCTGGACAAAATATATGAAACAAATTTTTTCGGAAACTGGATGACAGCATAGGACTGTGATCCCTCAGAGAAGGGATATAAGCAAGATGAACCCCATCACCACCACAAATTTTCCCCTAAAGGCATTTATAAGACCCTGACACAAAGCTGAGAAAAAGATCAGACTTGAAAGAGACTGATACAACTGGACTTTGAGGGGCAGTGTCTGGTACACATCATCTTAAGATACTCCT
The DNA here is from genome assembly GCF_000001405.40 of Homo sapiens. Taxonomy (NCBI): domain Eukaryota; kingdom Metazoa; phylum Chordata; class Mammalia; order Primates; family Hominidae; genus Homo; species Homo sapiens. The sequence goes on along the minus strand of NC_000017.11, from coordinate 51,267,652 downwards.
CACCAAAATACGTAATTGAATTCTAATCAAGACTTTAAGCCCAACTTAACAGGAAATACAGATGACAGAACAAGTTAAACAACACAAAGAAAAAATAATCAGATTGAGGGAAGAGGAAATGCAAAGTGACTAATTAATGGAGAGTTTTCTTTTGAGGTGATAAAAATGTTTAAGAACCAAAAAAAAAAAAACCAAAAAAAAAGTTTTAGAACTAGATTGAAGAGGTGGTGGCACAACATTCTAAATATACTAAATGCCACCAAATTTACACTTTAAAATGCCTAACACTGTTATGTGAATTTCACCTCAATAAAAAACAGGAGTCTTAAAATGTCAGAATGTGGGATATTCTACAAGACAACAGGTCTGAACACTTAAAAGATAGGTAATGGCTGAGCACAGTGGCTCACCTCTGTATTCCCAGCACTTTGCGAGGCCAAGAAGGGCAGATCGCTTGAGCCCAGTTCAAGACCAGCCTGGGCGACATGGCGAAAAACCTCATCTCTACAAAAAAATACAAAAATTAGCTGGGCATGGTGGCACACACCTGCAGTCCCAGCTACTCGGGAGGCTGAGGTGGGAGGATTTCTTGAGTCCAGGAGCTCAAGACCAGCCTGAGCAACATAGTGAAACCCCATTCCTACAAAAAAATTTTAAAAATTAAGGTGGTACATGCCTGTAGTCCCAGCTATGGGGAGCCCAGGAGATAGAGGTTGCAATGAGCCATGACAGCACCACTCCATTTCAGCCTGGGTGACAGAGTGAGATCCTACCTCAAAAAAATATATAAATTTAAAGGACATAAAATCCAAATAAAATGTATGCACCTTACAACAATTGGAGAAACTAACATGGACTAGCCGTAAACTGTTAATTTTCTTAGGTATGACAATGGTATTGTGAATATGAAGGAAAACATCCTTAATCTTAAGAGATGCACATTGACAAATTAATGAGTTAAGTGTCGCATTATCTGTACCTTACTCTCAAATACATTGGGAAAGCACACACATCCCCCAAATACACAAAGCAAATATGACAAAATGTTAAAAACCATTGAACCCAGGTGGTGGCCATTTAAATTTTTGAAAATGTTCATATTATAAAATTATGGTGTACCATATGCAAATGAACAAGTAAGCAATATTATCACTGATTATATTTGAGTGGTAAGAATTTTTTTCCAAATTTTCTTTGTGTCTGTGTTTTGTCCCCTCTCCCCTAAAAAAAACTACAGAAATTTAGTCACTGCCCACAATAGCAATCCTCTTACTGTTTCAAAATGGAAAACTACACAAGAAGCGGTTACGGTTAATGACTGGGCATTGGTTACATACACCTCTTGGTAAATCATATGAAAAAAGACACTTACTCTTCTTTAAGTCTCTTTTTAAGGTTGTCTTTCGAAAGTTTACTTTCACTAGCATTTTTCATCATATCCTTCCGAAACCGATTGTTCATCATGTCAACCCTACAAAAACAGAACAGCATATTTTAAATAACTTTTAAAGAGTTAATATAAATAGCTGCTGCTTTTAGCACTTGGAGAAAAATGTTTAATGAAACAATATAGGTCAAGATTTTTAAGATGTGAACATTTCAAATGCATCTTCTCTGTTCTTCCTAAAAGAACAAAAAAGTAGTTGCCAACATTTCAGATCATCTGGTTTACACTTTGGAGAGCTACTATTTGAGAAAATTCATCATGACTTATCTGCACACAGTTTATGAAATTCTCCAAAATAAACCCCAAGTAAATCAAAGAGTTAAATACATAAAGAGCAAACCTTAGGCCCAGCGTGGTGGCTCACGCCTGTAATCCCAGCACTTTGAGAGGCTGAGGCAGGTGGATCACGAGGTCAAGAGATCCAGACCATCTTGGCCAACGTGGTGAAACACCATCTCTACTAAAAATACAGAAATTAGCTGGGCGGGGTGGCACACACCTGTAATCCCAGCTACTCAGGAGGCTGAGGCAGAAGAACCACTTGAACCCAGGAGGCAGAGGTTGAAATGAGCCCAGATTGTGGCACTGTACTCCAGCCTGGGCAAAAGAGTGAGACTGTCTCAAAAAAAAAAAAAAAAAAAAAGGCCGGGCACGGTGGCTCATGCCTGCAATCCCAGCACTTTGGGAGGCAGACACAGGCGGATCACTGAAGGTCGGGAGCTCGAGACCAGCCTGGCCAACGTGGTGGAACCCTGCCTCTACTAAAAACACAAAATTAGTCCAGCGTGGTGGCAGGAGCCTGTAATCCCATCTACTCAGGAGGCTGAGGCAGGTGAATCACTTGAACCTGGGAAGCAGAAGCTGCAGTGAGCCAAGATCGCACCACTACACTCTAGCCCAGGCAAGAAGAGCAAAACTCCATCTCAAAAAAAAAAAAAAGAGCAAACCTTAAAATACTATGAAGTAAAAATATAGATAAACATTTGTCTCTCTCTGTTAACTACTTACTATTAAAAAAGCAGTAAAAATAATGAAGGAAAAGATTCACAGATTTGACTATATAAAAATTCAAAACTTCTATGCACAGAAAGCTGGGGAAAACCTACAATAAATCTAACATATAAAGGTTTGAAATTCTCAATATGTCAGGAACTAATATACCAAGATTATTTAAAAAGTCTCCAATAGACAAGGACATAATAAAGAATATTTATAAGAAACGAGGCCAGGTGTGGTTGCTCATGTCTGTAACCCCAGCACTTTAGGAGGCCGAGGCAAACAGGTCACTTGAGGTCAACAGTTCGAGACCAGCCTGGCCAACATGGTAAAACCCCGTCTCTACTAAAAATACAAAAATTAGCTGGGCATGGTGACATGTGCCTGTAGTCCCAGCTACTTGGGAGGCTGAAGCAGGAGAATCGCTTGAACCTGGGAGGCGGAGGTTGCAGTGAGCCAAGATCGCGCCACTGAACTCCAGCCTGGATGAAAGGATGAGAGTCTCAAAAAAAAAAAAAAGAAGACAATGACTAAACACAAAAACACTTCCTCAAAACAAACTAGGTAGAGATATTACCCACTACCAAACTGACAGAGTCTGGAAAAAAAAAACAAATAAACCATTGTGTCTAAGAATGGACTGAAACTGACACCTTTCAATGGGAAGGCAAACTGGTAGAGCCCCATAGCATGCAGTCTGGCAGTACTTATCAAGAACCTTAAAAATAACTGTGCTCTTTGATTAAGTAATTCTACCTCAAAGAATCTTTCTTAAGGCAATAAATTAGAAAATAAAGAAAGGTTTATACATAAAGAGGTGATAAACATTAATGCTGAAATAATCTGCATTAAAGGGAAAAATAAGGCTGGGCACAGCAGTTCACGCCTGTAATCTCAGCACTTTGGGAGGCAGAGACGGGTGTATACTTGAGGTCAGGAGTTCAAGACCAGCCTGGCCAACGTAGCAAAACTCCGTCTAACTCTGTCTCTACTAAAAATACAAAAATTAGCCAGGTGTGGTGGCACACGCCTGTAGTCACAGCTACTCGGGAGGCTGAGGCAGGAGAATCGCTTGAACCCAGGAGGCAGAGGTTGCAGTGAACCAAGATCGCACCACTGCACTCCAGCCTAGGTGAAACAGCAAGACTCTGTTTCAAAAAAAATAATTAAAAAAAAAAAAAGGGAAAAAGAAAATCTACCCAACAATAGCCACGTAAATTATGGTTAATTCACATAATTGACTCCAACATAGCCATTTTAAAATGTCTATTTTTTTTAAGTAGGGAGAAATGTTTACAAAGTAACTTTATGTAGAAAAAGTCAAAATGTTAAATCAAGCATACAGTACATTCTCATCCATGACAGTTCCTATGGTGTGAGCTACCTTCTTTTTAGCCTTTACTCAGTTTCAGGCACTGTGCTAAAAGTTCTACAAGTACTATTTTGTTTAATCCCAACAAAATTCTGATGTAGTTACTATCATTGTGCCCATTTCACAAAGGAAAAAATGTAGGTTCCAAACTGCCCATGGTCAATTAGAAACTGGCCAAAAGAGGAGGCAAATCGAGATCTGACTTCAAACACTGTATTCTCTTAGCTACTGTATACAGCAAAGAGGAGACTGAGACAGAAGTGTGACAACATGCTAACAGCAGTTCTCCCTCGGTGGTGGGATCAGGAACCATGAAAGATCTTTTCTATACTTTCAAATATTTTTCAAATCTTCACATAATCACAAATTGGTAAAAAGAATGATTTTAAAATCTGCAAAATAACTTTTTTAAGTGTACAGAGGGATTCAGAAGAAAAGTTAGGCAACTTACATTTCCTCATCTTCATCTTCTTCATCCACCCAAACTGGCTTCTTTTGAGGTGGAAAATTACCTTTTGCTTCATTCTCCACTTCTGAGTCACCCGAGTCTTCATGTTCTTGAACCTACAGCAGACAAAACACCCTCAAGCACTGAGATTTTCCTATCCCATGACTGCAGACACATAGGCCTTACAGCCAAATGGCTCATAGAATGTTTTTTCTACCACTCTCTGATGAAATAATGGGATGGAATGCTACCATTGCAAATGCTGGAAGCAGAGGCAGAAAATGGAGAAATCAGAGAATGGCACCGACTGGACAGGTGAGGCAAGATGGAACAGTCAAGGAGAAAAAGTCAACACTCAACACGCAGGAAGGAAAACACCAAGTAAGACAAGAACAAAAGATGAGTCTGCAGATGAAAAAAGGAGGAGAAATGTCAGAACTACAGAAATTACAGGACCGGAGGCAAACTAGAGTCAAAGATATCTCCATTTTCCCAATCTGTTTTTGACCCCCTACCTCCTTAAGAAACTTTATACCAGCAGAGAGCGCAATGCCTCATGCCTGTAATCCCAACACTTTGGGAGGTCAAGGTGGGAGGACTGCTTGGGCCCAGGAGTTCGAGTCCAGCCTGGGCAACATAGGGAGATCTCGTCTCTACAGAAAATTTTTAAATTTAGCTGGGTGTGTGGTGTGCACCTGTGGCCCCAGCTAACTACTTGGGAGGCAGAGGCAGGAGGATCACTTGAGCCTAGGAGGATGAAGCTGACTTCTGAGTTTAAAGTGTTCGGAGAATTGTGCAGGTGTAATTTATCTGTGACCAACAAGAAGAGCAACCAGTTACTATTAGCAAAAGGGAGATGGAAGACTAATAGGTGCCGCTACACTCCAGTCTGGGTGACAAAGTTAGACCGTATCTCTAAATAAGTAAAAAATAAATATACCATTAAATCTAAATTCTAAAGTTATAAATTTATACCATAAAGTTTATACTATCAAATCTAAACCTAGGCCGGGTGCGGTGGCTCACACTTGTAGTCTCAGCACTTTGGGAGGCCGAGGCGGGCGGATCACGAGGTCAGGAGTTTGAGACCAGCCTGGCGAAGATGGTGAAACCCCGTTTCTACTAAAGATACAAAAAAAAATTAGCCAGGCGTGGTGGCGCACGCCTGTAATGCCAGCTACTCCAGAGGCTGAGGCAGGAGAATCGCTTGAACCCAGGAAGTGGAGGTTGCAGTGAGCCGAGATGGCGCCACTGCACTCCAGCCTGGGCGACAGGGCGAGTCTAAAAAAAAAAAAAAATCTAAACCTAGACCACAGAATATCCCTTGAAGTGAGTTTGAGCTTCCCAAAACCAATGATAGAAATGTCCAAGTGGTTTCTACTTGCTCTACTACTAGTCTAATAGCCTTCAAACCCAACAGCTCCCACCTCCGTACACTGTTCCTTTTCCAGACGACAAAACCGTCGCACAGTTCAGCATGTTTCCAGTAATAGTTCTGTACTTCCCAAAAAGATTGCTGCCACTTCTCCTACAAGCACCCGAAGGCGGCTCTGGTAAGCAGCTGACATTAACTAGGTCAGCATTTGTGTAATAAACATGGCCTGGGTAATTCTCGGTGAGCTTTCCTCTGCCCCCTTTATCTAAAATTTCACAGGCCTCTACACACGCCCATCTCCCTTTCCCGAATGTCCTTTTTTCTCTTCAGCACTTGTCACCAACAAACCTGAAGTTTACTCGTTTATCTCCTCTATCTTGTCTCTGCCACTAGCACACAAGCGCCAAAAGGCAGGGATTTTTGTCAGTTTTGTCCATTGCTGTGTCTCCTCCAGTGCCTAGAACAATGTCCGGGACTCTCTCAAGAAAAGCCTGGTATAGAATTTAAAGGGATAGCAAAATGTGTGCAAAAAGTATGATCAATCACGCAGGGTTTGCCATTGCCAGAAAGGGTATCTGGCAACTAACAGGTTCACCAATATTTGCTAAATGAACGGAATACACGATCATTCTCAAAACATGGTGGGTCTCATAGTCACATGGGGACATAGTTACAACGGAGATGCCCAGGCCCGTGCCCACGAATTGATTCCATCAACGAAATCGAATTCCTGAATCACAAGGAACTGAGGCAGGTGATCAAAAGACCACCCTCAGTTTGGGAAGAGGCTAGCGGAGTCGAGCAGCAGCGAAAGATGCTCACGACCACAGTTCGCAAAGCAGATACCCGAGCAGCGGCGCCTCCAGGGGCGGAGAAAGACGCGGTCCCCGCCCTCCAGGCACTTTCAGTCTGGAGCAGGGAGGCGAGGGACCCGCAGCTGCGACCCTCCGCGCCCGCGTTCTCGGGCTCCCTCCCACCTGAGCGCTCCCCGCCGCCGCAGGTCGCCCAGGCTCCGCCCCCCGGAGCTTCACCGCCCACCGCGCGCCCCGCCCGAGTGCGCCCAGCCCGCGCGCCGCGGCCTCCCTCACCCTCGGGCCTCGCAGACGCCGCAGCAACGCGTCCTCGTCGTTCTCGACGTCGCCGAAGACCAGCTCCTCCAAGCACCGCTCCACGGCCGGTTTGTCCTCCTCCAGCCTCAGGCGGTTCCGCTGCCGGAGCCGTCTCTCTTCCTCCGCCGCCGCGACTGCAATCGCAGCGGCCGCCGCGCTCGGCCGGGCCGGCGGTTTCCGCTGGGATGAAGGGGCAGGCTTTTGGGGAGGCCCGCCTGGCCCCGCTCCGGCTTTCCAGTCCGGCCTCATTCCGGGCTTCCGCTTCGGCTTCGCTCCGGTTCTCCGGTCCAGTTTCATTCGTCTCCTCCGCTCCGGCGGCATCGTTAGGTTTGAGGAGAAACGCAGGCGCTCACGTGGAACCTCGCTGCGCATGCGCCCAGGCCCCTCGCGGGCCGCCGCCGCCGAAGCCCCGGGGGCCGGAAGGAGCCTGCGCAGCCTCTTGCCACGTGACCAGCACTCCCTCCCTCTACGTAACTCCCGCTCCCCTACCCAGCCCCGCCCCGTGTGGGAGTTCCTCCGGGAGGGCCAATCTTCCGGGTGTAGGGGGAAGCGGCGTGACTGGAGTGGAAAATTTTTCCAACACAATTTCGCAGCTGCAACATATTGAAAGGAGCGCAAGAAACCCCGACTATACACTGGGACGGCTGAATGGAACTTCTGCTTTTCCTCTTGGCTGTAACCACTTGACTTGACACAAGCCCCAATACGCTTTCCACCCTTCGTCTTGGTACGGTCCTTGGAGTACGGAGCCTGCAGAGGGTCCCACGGTGGAAGCGAGAGAGGAGGGTATGTAGGGAAGTGGGCCAATCGGGGCGCGGGTCACGGCGCAGGCGCGCTGGGGAGGGAGGGCTATGCTAATGTTGTTGATATCCTGGGGCCACCCGAGTTAAAGGGGGGAAATCCGGGGGCTGCTGCACCCGCCACCGGTCTGGGCCCAGCCGGGGGCCCCCTGTAGTCGCCGCAGTCCCGGGGAGAGGCACCTGCCCCCAGCCCGGGGAGGGGGCGCCGCGGGCTCGGGGAGCACGGACAACCCCTACCCATGAGGCCCTGATGGAAAACACAAAGGATCTGGTGAGAGCCGAGCGCGGCAGCCGCTTTGTGTGCCAGGTGGGGGGGACGCCTGCAGCTCTCCGACCCCAGGAACCCCGCAGCTCCCTGACCCCGCTCCCTGGCCTGCTTCTCCATCCCACGCCCTCTCAACCTCCGGAGCCCCCCTCCCCCTTCCAGCCGTTAAACGATTCAGGGGTTCCCCTCCCCCCACCCCGTCAGCCTTGGACTCGTTGGGGTTCTCTCCATCTCCTCCACCCTTTGGAAGAAAAATTCGAGAAGAAAGTTTTTCTCTGCGTCCTGCCCCCGCCCCCTGCTCTGGCTAGGGGGGAAAGGCTGGATCCGAGACTTTTCCTTTTTTAGCCACCCAGGGTGGGAGAGTGGAGTAGTCCTCTCTTCTTGGCGGGGAGGGGGAGCACAGTTTCGTTGCTTTGCAGGGGAAGGTGTCTATCTGCCTTGGGGGCAGTGCCGCGAGGCGGTTTGCACGTGGAGGTGGAAATATTGAAAGGGGGCGGGGTGGGCACGTGCGGGAGAGGTGGGAGTGGTGTTTGGGAAGCAGCCTCCAAGGCTGCATATTTAAAAGGGTTTCAAGTCGGTGGACTTCTGTGACCATTGCGTTCTCCTTTGTGAAATAAGAATCCTAACATTTCAGAGTCGGAAGAGACATTAGAGGTCATCCAAAGCAGCCGTCCCCTCTGCAGCCTCTCTGACAAGTGGTAGGTAGTCTGAACCCTGCTTACACCCCTAAAAGCACTGAGAGCTCACTACTGCCCAGGAAAGCCCATATTTCAGTAGTTCTAATTGTTGTCTGCCTACCCTTATTAGACCCTTCAGTCTCATTCATGTCCTGGTTAAGTTGCTCCTTTTTTTACTTCTCAAATTTTCTCTCACATCCTCCTCACCCACCCACTGCTCATTGGCCTATATTTTGTGTGCCAAGAAAGAACAGCAGGGAAGTGGAGGAAGGGGGGTTGAGAGATAGTGAGGGCTAGCCGAAAACTTTGCTGGGTCAGTGTCAAGTGTGCTGGCTTACATGCCTGAAGATGTTTTTCTACAGGAAGCTAAAGAATTACAATATGGGAATTTCGTGCCTGTTTTCTCTTAGGAGTGCATCTTTTTGAAGTTAGAAATTTCAGCGTCATCTCCGTGGTTCTTGTATCACAAAACACATTTGTTTATTACCTAAATCACTTCTAAGGATGTCTAAAACTGAAGTGGTTAGAAGCATCACCTGGTAGAGGGATGATTAGATGATTACCGCCCACACCCGTATTTGACCTGTGTTCCTCGGAAGCTAGTCTTTCCTCCAAGGGCCTCTCTTCCAAATGCTTTTACTCCTTCTTTTTTTTTTTTAAGTAACTATCTTTTATGAGATTTGAAATTTACGAACCATTTTAATACTTGTTTAGAGTTTACAATATTTTTAATTCTCCTTATATTAGCATGCACCAGTACTTATCACTGGGTGGTTGAGATAGTTGAAACTATTGTCACTGGGTGTTTTTCTAACATTCTCCTTCATTTGGTGAGCTATGCTGCCTCTAAAAGTAGTTTTATTGGCCTAAGAATCTTGGATATACCTATTACTCTCTAATGTGGTGAAGTGGGTGTCAAGACATAACAGGTATAATGTAGAAATAATGCATGTGATTTAAAAGCCAGCAAATAAATTTCACCTTAAGCCCCAGTCTCCTATTTAAAAGGTTAGACTCAATTTTTCTCTCCTCCTCTTATAACTTAGAGACTGTTGCTTTGCTCTTGTGGACTTAGACTGTTATTTTATTTTTCATTTGTTTACCTCAACACCAGAGTGTTTAGAAAGAAAATAGCTGTACTTTTTTTTTTTTTTTGCACCACCTCCTTCTCTGAATAACAAGTAGCTTCTATCTATCTAAAACCCCATACTGATTGCTTGTGAGTACCTTGCAAATTATGGCAACATCTGTCTTGAATAAGTATTTATTCATAGTGCCTTACGTTGTTGCGTCATGCTTTTTAACCATCCAGTTTCTAACTTTATGTAATGTTTGACATAAAATATTTCCTCTAAATCTACTCATTAGAATTCAGCTTGTGAAAAAGAATCAGTAGAGGTGTAATAATAGTGTTTTTAACATTTTAATTAATAAGGAGTTCCAAGTTTTTTTCCTGCTTACTTTAAACATGAACTGTCATGACTTAAGTTGACTGACTTTGGAGACATCTGCATTCTAAACATACTAGACAGGAACAACTGGTTTTATTTTTAAGACGCTGCCATATTCTTTAAAGCTGGTTATATGTTGACCTTATTATCTAAACCTTTCTAGATGTTCTAGTGCTGCTTTTGGTCCCTCAATAATGTTGAAAATTAAAACAACATTTTAAATTGTTTTCAAATGTAACATAGTGATCAAAGGAAAATATAAGCTATAGTTTAAAAGTGAAAACAACATATTAGGATAAATACTAAACCACTGAATTACTAAAAGCCAAGAGTGCTCAGTAGTCTGAGTAACCACATTCTAAAATTAGACAAGTGACATTCTTTGGGTTGCTCTTTGTTTCTCAGCTTTTCATCTTTAAAATGTTTGCTAAATAAGATATAACCTTTCACACTTATGTATCATTAGTCTGAGGGTTTCAAAATTCAAGAAAGAATAAAAACATCAGGACAATAAAAGAGAAAGGACTTACAATAGTTAAAACAAGCTAAGATATTTCTCCTAACACCACAGTATTCTTAACTGTGCAAGATGACTTTTGATTTCAGGCAAAAATTGCACATAGATTTAATCATTATTTTTTAATAAACCTTGGCTTAAGGATTTTTTTACCTGCAAATTTAGGATTTCTCTTCTTGCTTTGCTGGAACCCACAATAAAAGGTGAAAAGGAAATAATTCCCATTTGAACAAACCCTGAATATGAGATAGGATGAAGTGATACAATAAGAGGGGTGCTGGCAGTGAGGTTGATGTCACAATTCTGCCATTGAGTAGCTCCATGGCCCTTGTTGGACAAGATCCTGTGCCTCCATTTTCTCATGGCAGTTGAAGGGTTAGTCTAGTATCAGCATAATCCAATAGAAGTTTCTGCAATGATGGAAATTTCCTATATCTTTGCTGTCCAGTTACGGTAGCCACTAGCCACATGTGGTTGTTGAGCACTTGAAATGTAACTAGTGGAACTAAAAATTGAAGAACTCAATTTTTAATTTTGCTGTTTTAGGCAATGTAAATTTAAGTAGCCAAATGTCTGGCATACTGGACATACACACATAGAACACTGTTTTCTAAGCATAACTAATCATTATAATCACTTCTTGGAGGCTCTTGTTAAAATACTAAACTTCTCTCCTATAACTTATTTAGTAGGTCTGCAGTGGGTCCTGGGAATGTGTTTTTAATGTATACCCCAGAAAGTTTATCAGGTTGGTTAGGGAAACACTCCATTAGGAGATTTCTGAGGTCCCTTCGAGTTCTCACTTTAGCACTGATAATTTAGAATTTAGTCTAGTAGAAGTGAGCTCTGGACAAAGTCAGCAAGCTACCTCTCTGAACTGCGATCTTAGGTGAGTTGTGTAACCTCTTTGAAAGCTTCACTTTCCTCATCTGAAATACAGGGTGAACATCAGCCCTGCCTCCTGTAGTTTCTGTAAACCTCCACTCAGATGTTATGCCCGCTGTTTAAAAAAAGTAAGCTGCTATAAAAGATGAGACAAGTCATAAGATAAAATGTTAAGATGTGTTCCCAGGCTTTCCTTCTTTTTCCTTTTTCACTATGTTTAATTCCTACTACTAGTCTTTTAAAACTGGTTGTATATAATACTCATTAGTTTGTTCAACGTTGTGGCCCAATTATTTGGCCACCGTTTGCAGTCTTAATTGTAGGACAGGAATGTTAAGTCTAATACTTCTTTGTATTTCTGGTGCTAAGCATAGTGATTTGTATATATCGTTCAATAAATATTGGTTAATATTAACCAGGTGTGTTGGCTAACGCCTGTAATCCCAATACTTTGAGAGCCCAGGACAGGCAGATTGCTTGAACCCAGGAGTTCAAGATCAGCCTGGGCAACATGGCGAAACCCTGTCTCTACAAAAAAAAATTACAAAAATTAGGTGTGGTGGCACACCCCTGTAGTCCCAGCTACTCGGGGGCAGAGGTGGGAGGATTGCTTGAGTCTGGTGGGAGACCCAGGTTGAAGTGAGCCATGATTGTGCCACTGGACTCCAGCCTGGGCGACAGAGTGAGACTCCGTCTCAAAAAAAAAAAAAGGAAAAAAAAAAGGTTATCATCATCTATTACTTTAAGACTTCTAAGCTTTAAAATTTGCTAGAGATTATTTTATACACCAGAGAAGTAGCCCCCTTGTGTATCTGTATGTGTTTAACCCATCTTTGTTTAATTATTAACACCCTGTAGTTACTATTGTTCAGTGATTTTATATCTTCTGAGCAACCAGTTCCAAATATATTTTTTAAAGGTAAACACCAAGAGAATGTTATCATTTCAGATCAAGTGTTTTTAGGTTATATCAGATCAATATGATACTGAATAAGCTGTTGAATTTACTTTCTCTTTTCTTTTTTTTTTTGAGATGGAGTCTTGCTCTGTTGCCCAGGCTGGAGTGCAGTGGCATGAGCTCGGCTCACTGCAGTCTCCGCCTCCCGGGTTCAAGTGATTCTTCTGCCTCAGCCTCCCGAGTGGCTGGGACTACAGGCAAATGCCACCACACCCAGTTCATTTTTGTATTTTTAGTAGAGGTGGGGTTTCATCATATTGGCCAGGCTGGTGTCAAACTCCTGACCTTGTGATCTGCCCGCCTCAGCCTCCCAAAGTGCTGGGATTACAGGCGTGAGCCACTGCGCCTGGCCCGTCTCTATGTTAACATACTAATAAATGATCTTGTTTGATCATTCAGACCACATTCGCCCTACAGACCCAGCTTGAGTATGAATTCTATTATTGGGGTAGAATTGATAGCTGATAATGATCTCAGGGAATCTCTAGGCCACTGCATGTTTCAGACTTAATTTTGATATGGTCATCTTATTTTTAATTAGCTTTCCAGGTTTGTACTTAAGGATTCATAGCTTTCTTCGGAAGAACTGAAAGCCTATTCATGTGAATTTTTTTATTTTATCATACATCCTTCCTGTGTGGTAAGTGATGTTTTTCTTATTTAGAAGAGAGGGAAACTGAGACCCAAGTAATTGTTACATCCGAAGTCATAACAGTGATAGGTCTAGAAGTTGAACCCAAAGAGGTAGAAATTTGTATTTCTTGTAGATCAAAGAATCACTTCCTTTTGTTCACTGTTGCTTTAAATCTTAAAATATTGCTATGTAGAATATTGTCCTCTCCTATCATTCTCCTGGGTACTTTTCCATTTCTTTAGATGGGTTATTCAGAATATTATTGCTTTTGGTTTCCTCTTGATTGTATCATTGACATGAATTTATTCTTGCTTGCACATTGAATTTGTGGGAAATAAAAACTCAGTAATCCCAAATCCTTACCATTTATGTTCCTCGTAACAGTAAGCTTAGAAAGAAAGAAGGCATTTCTCTTTACACTGATGAGTTTTATCACTATACCAGAATGTGCTTTCATCCTCATAGTATAATAGAATGAAAAAGAGGCCTGCAGGAGCTAAATAGCTCTTGAGCTCCTACCAAGTTCAGTCATTGTAGAGTATGTATTAATCTCTGTTTACTACTTTGTGATCTCATGCATACAACATTCAAATTTAAGATTCTAGAAAATATTTGCTCCATAGCTAAATATAAAAATTTGAAAATTATGTGAGCCACTGCTCCCAGTGGGTTTGGATAATGAAGAATTGGTTGACTTCTGATGAGTTTATTCATATCTGGTGAGTTTACTCATATTGAAATTACACTATTATTAATATTACTTGGCTCCATGTTTATTGACACCTGCATTTAAGATTTCAAGTGTTTTCTGTCATTTCTCCCAGAGATGTTTAGTTTTGTTGGAACTTTTGTTTGGTTATACCAATAAGTTAATGACTATGCTTTTTAATTCCCTTGTAGATTTCATAGGGAGGATGGTTTACCTAAGTGACAGTTACAGTAGGACAATGAAGTTCTGTTGTGATTTGTGATCTCTTCTTTAATTTTGTCACTATAAAAACCTTTTATTTTTTATTATAGAAGTACACCTATAATGTTTTAAAAAAGAAAAATATTGAAAAGTTAGATTCATCTTCCCATGCCACTTCTACCCTGCTAAAAGTTTAGCTACTCCTAAGGTCTTTCTTAGTGCACATAAAAACAAACATACATATATTGATCTGTGTATATGCCAGTGTATATTGTCTCTTTGAATAAAAAGTGAGTCATATTGTGATATATTTTATTATACTATATATTGTGATTTATTTTTTCCACTCAGTATTTTACCTGTTGCTCATGATTCCCCTGCTGATTGTAAGTTTGTCTCCAGTTTTTCATTATTATTACATTAGCAAACATCCTTCTACATAGGTTCTTGTGTCCTTGTATGTATTATGTATGAGTATTTCTGAAGGACAGATTCCTAAAAATGGAATTACCTAGTCAAAAGGCATAGCCATTTTAAGTTTTCATATGTAATGTCAAATTGCCTTCCGGAAAGATAGTGTAAGGTTACCTTCCTACCAAGTGTATATGAGCACTGTTTTTCCCACATGTATTTACTGATACCAGATATCATCAATCTCTCAATATATACCAACTTAATTTTTTAATGTACTGTATACTTCATATAAATTAGCTTTTATTTTTATCAAAGTAATACATGCACTTGATAGTACAATAATTAAACAATGCTAAAAGTATTCCAAAAAAAATGGTCCTTGTCCCAATTCAGCTCTGATGAGACAACTGCTTTCATTCTTTTAGCTTTCTCATCTAGTATCTATCTCTCTAATTCTAAAGCTTAGGCTTATATTATTTATTTAGTATATGAATTTTAGACATTAGTGACTTTATAGTGGACAGGGAGTTAGAACATACACCCAAATATAAAGCAAGGTTTACCTACCTACAATCATTCCATCTCCCTACATTCAAGACCTTAGTCATCTAATATGATTTGCAGTTTTTTGGGGTTTTGTTTTGTTGTTTTGTTTTTTTTTGAGACAGAGTCTCACTCTGTCGCCCAGACTGGAGTGCAGTAGCTCAATCTTGGCTCTCTGCAACCTTCGCCTCCCGGGTTCAAGTGATTCTTCTGCCTCAGCCTCCCTGGTAGCTGGACTACAGGTGCCACCACCACACATGGCTGATTTTTGTATTTTTAGTAGAGATGGGGTTTTACCATATTGGCCAGGCTGGTCTGGAACTCCTGGTGGATTACTCCTCAAGTAATCCACCCACCCTTGGTCTCCCAAAGTGCTAGGATTACAGGTGTGAGCCACTGCACCTGGCCTCGGTTTTATTTTGAAGAGCAAAATGTTCATGAAGGCACGTTACCTGAAACATATTTATTTGATGCTTGTTTTGTATGCTTACAGAGGCTAGCTGACAGAACCAGTATTGGGGAGGGGGGAGAAAGAAGGTTAAAATTTAAAACGTTTTAAGATAGTCCCATGATTCATATTATTAGTGTTCATGGTGGTTATATGATCTTGGGCAAGTTGCTTAGCCTATTTGGGCCACTGCTTCCTCCTGTAAAATGAGAGTGACACTCATAAGGTTTAAATGCGCTGCTACAGATTTAAGTGCTGAATATGCCTGACACATACTAAGCATATTACAAATATTATAATAATAACCAAATCAGATCAGTAACAAAAATAGTCCAACATGGTTGGGTGCAGTGGCTCATGCCTGTAATCCCAACACTTTGGGAGGCCGAAGTGGGCCAATCACTTGAGGCCAGGAGTTCGAGATCAGCCTGGCCAACATGGCGAAACCCTGTCTCTACCAAAAATACAAAAATTACCCAGGTGTTGTGGCACACACTGTAATCCCAGCTTCTCGGGAGACTGAGGCATGAGAATCGCTTGAACCTGGGAGGCAGAGGTTACAATAAGCCAAGATCATGCCACTGCACTGCAGCTTGAATGACAGAGCAAGTCCAATATTAGGTTATTGTAGAATTTACAAATAAACTCCTATAGGACGAAATGTGTTTAAGAGTTCAACTCACAAATTTAGTTTATTTCTCTGCCTATAAATAGAGATTTGTAGATTCTTATAGGTAGAGAAATAAACCAAATTCCAACTGCTCCTTATGATCATTCCTCTAGGTGTTAAGAGTGAGAGAGGGAAGGCTTGACAAATTTACTGAAAGAGGTATGGGAGTGTGAAAGCTTTAGACAAGGTACAAAGATCCACTCTCAGAAAGAGAAAATCTGAAAAAAGCTCCAAAACATTGATCATAGGTTTGGAGTTTGATAGTTCACAGCTCTATGTATGGAGAAGAGCTTAAAGGTAAGCAGTACCAGAATTGGTAGCTTTAAATTATAAGCATTGCCTCATAAGGGAAACATGAAGACTTGGAGACATGTCAGTGAAGACTTGGAAACATGGCAGTGAAGAAGAAGAAAGAAGAAAAAATTCTTCAGGAAAAGAAAAAAACTGAACTTAGAGAAGAGGGTGTTCTTGAAGTAGGAGCTCTGCCTATGAAATGAACAGAAATAGAAAAGAGCAGGCCACATCCATACAGAACTGTAAGAAAAAACAAACAGGAAATGTGAATCAGCATTTCAACTGATGAAAATCTACCCCCATCAAAAAAAGCAGGAAAAAATTGACACAATGCTCCAAGTGAAATTAAACATCCTCAAACCAATGTTTGGAGATTTGAAAAATAAAATTAAGAAATATTCTGAAACAAATACAAAGAACAAAAAGCATTAAGAAATGAACACAAAGTAGATTAAACAGAAAAATAGAAGATAAAATCATAACCAATAATGAAGTTTTAACATTCCCACATTTCAAATTCAAATTTAATAAAAAGTCTTGAAGAAAAGCAGGAAAACAGGATAATTGAGATGAGATTTTTGTTTTGAAAATTGACCAAGTTGAAATGGGAGATGGATCCAAAGTCTACTGTATATAATTGGTGTCCTTCAAGAAGAGAAAATATTTAAAACTATAATCCAAGAAAACTTTCTGGAAGTGAAAAGAGATCTGAATCTATACCACAGAAGTTCATACCAGAAGGCACACTCAAAGATATTTCCTAGTAAAGCTGTATGACTGTAAAGATGCAAAGAATTCTCAGGGTCTCCAGGCAAAGACGTGACATAGAGGCAAGAGAATTAGACCAGTGTCAGATTTCTCAAAAGCAACATAACAAAGCAAGACAGTGGAGCAGCATGAGGAAAGTGACTGCTAGCCAAGGATTTTATATCCAGCTAACTGTTGTCCAGGTATTAGGGCTGCAGAACAACAGTTTGAACATGCAGGAACTCAGGGAATACTGTACTCGTTTACCCCTCCTGAGGACACTCGAAAAGGATGACTTTCATCTAAAAGATATTTGGGACATTTCCTACAAAAAGACTGTGACAATAAGTATTTCAGATATCTTTTTGAACTAAGATTAAAACCAATAGTAGGGACCTAGAGAATAGTACATAAACATTATACATTCTGACAAAGCAGAAAGAATGCAACTAAAATATAATGGGATGGAAAATAAAAGGAAAAACTAAGGCCATGTGTGGTGGCTCACACCTGTAATCCCAGCACTTTGGGAGGCTTAGGTGGGTGGATTACTTGAGCCCAGGACTTCTAGACCAGCCTGGGCAACATAGTGAGACCCAGTCTCTACAAAAAAAAAAAAAAAAGTGTTTAATTAGCCAGGCATGGTGGCTCATGCCTGTAGTCCCAACTACTCAGGAGGCTGAAGTAGGAGGATCATTTGAGCCCAGGAGGTCAAGGCTGCAGAGAGCTGTGTTTGCCTAACTGCACTCCAGCCTGGGCAACAGAATGAGACCCTGTCTAGAACTGTTCTTTTTCAGAACTAGAATAAGAATAATTACTGTAATTGAAGTAATATGAGGGAGTCAGAGGCTACCATCTAAAACTGAAAGACCAAATAGAAAAGATTAGGTAAGAAAAAAAATACAGTGTACTGTAAAAGCTATTAATATAAAGGTAAGCGTGACGAAGACTTTCCAAAATACTGAGAGAAATTTTTAAAGGGACAAAGAAAACCATGATGGAACAGAAAAAAAAGTATACAGTACATAATGCATACCCTAATGATAAAATATGTGGAGAATTGAGAGCAAACATAAAGGCCAGGACAAATATGTACCAGGCAAATAGAAACCCCAAGAATACAAGACTGAAAATGCTGATAGCAAAGTAGAATTCAAACCAAAAAAAGCATTAAATCAGACAAAAGAGAACAGTTTATAATGCTAAAAACCATGATTCACAACAAAGAATTCACAGTTAAATATGTACCACATAACACAGCAACAATCTGTATAAAGCAAAATCTATATGAAGTATAAGAAGAAATAAAAAACTAAAATTAGGGGACTTTGACACTTAGCACAAGATGTAGTGGGTAAAAAAGGATATAAAAGATCTAAATAATATAATGTGAATCTTCAAGTATATCCCTAATAATCAAGAATATACTGCTTCCCCCCACCCCCAACTCTGTCTCCCAGGCTGCAGTACAGTGGCATGATCACGGCTCACTGCAGCCTTGACCTCCCTGCCTCAGGTGATCCTCCCACCTCAGCCTCCCAAGTAGCTGAGACCACAGGTGCACACCACCATGCCCAGCTAATTTTTTTTTTTTTTTTGCTTATTGTAGAGACGAAGTCTCGCCATGTTGCCCAGGCTAGTCTCAAACTCTTGGGCTCAAGCAGTCTTCCTGCCTTGGCCTCCCATAGTGCTGGGATTATAGGTGTGAGCCACCATGCGGGGCCAGAGAGTATGTTCTTTTTAAACACAGAATATTCACAAAAAATTGTCAATCTATTAGAAAAACATTAGTAGGTCCCATACAAGAAAACAAAAACAAATTCAAAAAGCAAAAGGACATTGCACTTCCGTCTTGAAGTTAAGAAACCTTGTATTATGTATTCACAGAAAACCTTGTACAAGAATTTTCGTGGCAGCTTTATTCATAGTAAAATCTGGATGAAGAAAGGGTAAGCTGATACATTGACGAGTATTACTCAGCAATAAAAAGAAACCATTTATACATGTAACATGAATGAATCTCAGAAACACTATGCTGACTGGAAGAAATTAGACACAAAAATATGCATACGATTTTATGCCATTTATATAAAATCTTAAATATATACAAAATTTAGCCAAAGCTAATAGAACTCAGGACTGGGGAGAGATTGAGTGGGAAAGGACAGGAAGGAGCTTTCTAGAGTGACAGAAAAGTCCTATATTTTGATAAGTGTTCAACAGTATGCCTTAATTTTTAAAAGTTTAATGGGTAAAAGGGAAACACAAATTGCAAAGTTTCTGGAAAATGATGATAAGAAAAGTACTACATAATACTACATACCAGAATCTGTGGAATACATTTAAAGCAGTGAGCAGAGGAAAATTCATAGCCCTAAACACTTACATAAATGAAAATAAATTCCCAATTCAGAAATGAACAAAGTAAGCCAAAAGCACAAGGAAGGAAATAAAGATAAAAGTAGAAGTTAATGAGTTAACAGAAGAACTATACGTCTAGTTGATGAACCAATCTTGGACCCTTGAGGGAAGAGTCACATAATAGATGAATCACTAGCTAATTTAACCAAGTGGGGAAAGGGAGAAAGCACACATGAAATTTTAAGAAATAACAACGGGAAAATAACATTGGATACAGAGGAAATTGAGAACTATTTTAATACAGAACTATTTTGCACACCTCTGTACAAATACATTTCAAAACCTAGATGAAATGGATAATTTCTTAGGAGAATACAGTTTAATAAAATTGACCTCATTAGAGATTAAAAGAAAATAAGACCAATTTTCCTAGAAGAACTAAAAATTTGTCAAGGAACCATCCCACCAAACACCAGGCCTAGATGGTTTCACAGGGGAATTCTGCCTGACCAGATACTCCCGATGCTACATGAGTATAGAAAATGGAAAGCTAATTATTTTTGTGACGTAAGAGTAATACTGGACTGTGTGCAGTGGCTCACGCCTGTAATCCCAGCATTTTGGGAGGCCAAGGTAGGAGGATCACTTGACCCCAGGAGTTTGAGATTGGCCTGGGCAATTGTAGTGAGACTTGATCTCTACAAACAACTAAAAAATTAGCTGAGCACAGTGGCCTGTGCCTATAGTCCCAGCTACTTGGGAGGCTGGGGTGGGAGGATCACTTGAGCCCAAGGGGTGTTGAGGCTGCAGGGAGCCAAGATCGTGCTGCTGCACTCCAGGCTGAACGATAGAGCAAGACCGTGTCTCCAAAAAAAAAAAAAAAAAAAAAAGTAATACTGATTTCTTAGCCTGATCAAGATAGCTCAAAAAATGAAAATTACAGAGTTATCACATACAGATACTAATGAAAAACTATTACTGTGCAGTCTCTCACACTATATTACAAAAATACATTTTGATGAGTGAGTTTTATACCAGGAATACAAGGATGATTCAGTATTTGGAAATCTATTTATGTAGTTCACCATACTAATCGGTCAGAAGAGAAAAGTTGTGTTCTCTTTATAGAAGCCGAAAAAGCCTATGACAAAATTCAACACCTGTTCCTAACAAAAACTTTTCAGAAAATAGGAATGGATGAATACTTCCTTAACATACAATATTTTTATTTTTATGAATACACACATATGCACATGTACATAGCCTTAACCCTAAAGCCAGAATCTTATTAAGAAACACCACAATCAAGAATAGAGTAAGGATGCCCATTTTCTCCATGACTTAATATTATACTGGAAATATGAGTCAATACAGATAGAAAAGAAAACAAATGGCCAGGTGCAGTGACTCACACCTGTAATCCCAGCACTTTGGGAGGCTGAGGCGGGCGGATCACCTGAGGTCAGGAGTTCAAGACCAGCCTGGCCAACATGGTGAAACCCCGTCTCTACTAAGAATAAAAAAAAAAATTATCTGGGTGTGGTGATACGTGCCTGTAGTCCCAGCTACTCAGGAGGCTAAGGTGGGAGAATTGCTTGAACCCTGGAGGCGGAGGTTGCAGTGAGCCGAGATTGCACCACAGCACTCCAGCCTGGACGACAGAGTGAGACCCTGTCTCAAAAAACAAATTAGAGACATAACAGTGGAAAAAGAAGAAAAGATTGTTTGTTAGTGACGTGATTGTTTATCTGGAAAGCCTTAGAAAAATCAGTGACAAAACTACCTTCAAACAATTCAGCGAGGTAGGATATAAAATAATAAACCTTTGTGTAGTGAGAAAATAACCAGTTAAGAAAATACAACAAAAGAGAAGATTACAATAGCAACAACAAAACATAGATTGAGCATCCCTAATCCAAAAACCTGAAGTCCAAAATGCTCCAAAATTTGAAACTCTTTGAGCATGGACATGACACCACAGATAACCACATAGGCAACTGAGATAGTGACACCTTTGCTTTCTGCTGGTTCAGAGTACACAAACCTTACTTGATGCACAAAATTTTTTTTATACTGTATAAAATTATCTTCAGGCTATGTGTATAAGTTGGATATGAAACAAGTGAATTTCGTGTTTAGACTTGGGTCTCATCCCCAAGATATCTAATTATGCGTATGCACATATTCCAAAATCTGAAATGTTTCTGGTCCCAAGCATTTTGCATGAGGAATACTCAAACTATAATTAAATTCCTAAGGATTTACTTCCTTAAAAACGTTGTTAAAAACCTATGTGAAGCAGGCTATATAAAACATTCCCAAAAGACACAAAGCAGACTTGAACAAATGGAAAGACATCCACTGTCCTTGAGACATATCAAAATGTCACTTTTTCCAAAGTTAATTAGAAATTTAATGAGATCATAATATAAAAAGACTGATAACTTTTTGGTATAGAGTTGAACTATCTAATACTTGAAGTGCACTTGGAAAAATAAACATGCAAGAATGTAAAAACATTAAAAGATTTTTGAGGGGGTATCTAGCTCTGCAAGATATCAGAATACATTCCAAACCCTTGATGATTCAGAAAGCAAGACATTGGCACAAGAACAGACCAGGGAAATAGTGTGAAATCCAGAAATGGACACAACTACATATGGAAACCTAGCACTTAAAGTGGTATTTTAAATCACTGAGATAAAGATGGACATTTTGATAAAGGATGTTGGCGCAACTAGATAGCCATTTGGAAAAAATATTAGAACTGTTCTTCATGCTATACATAATAATAAAGTCCAGACACATTAGATCTAAATATAAAAACTATACAAATACCAGGAAAAAATACGGGAAAATTTTTCTGTACCATGCTTCAGGAAAAAATTTTCTGACTCATAATCAAGGTACAATGAAATAAAATACTGATACATTTTGCTATCTCAGATATTTTAAATGTATGGGGAAAAGCTTCATGTGCAAAATCACAATTTTCCATACATACAGATAAAGGGTAAATGTAAATTTCTCAATGCCAAGAACTTTGAAGAAAATTAAGACTAAAAACCCTAAAGAAGAAAAAAAGTAGGCACATAAAACCACACAAAATAAGATAACAAAAAAATCCTCTAGGGCCGGGCACAGTGGCTCATGCCTGTAATCCCAGCACTTTGGGAGGCTGAGGCGAGCAGATCACGAGGTCAGGAGATCAAGACCATCCTGGCTAACATGGTGAAACCCCGCCTCTACTAAAAATACAAAAAATTAGCCGGGCGTGGTGGCACACGCCTGTAGTGCCAGCTACTCGAGAAGCTGAAGCAGGAAAATCACTTGAACCTGGGAGGCGGAGGTTGCAGTGAGCCGAGATCATGCCACTGCACTTCAGCCTGGGCGACAGACTGAGAACTCCATTAAAAAAAAAATGCTCTGTAGAACTGCATTAAGTGCCCAGATCTTGGCTTTCAATACCAGTTCTTTGCTAATAAGGACTAGAGTTCCTTGGAAAAATTATTGATTTCAGGGCTGGAGCAGCATAGGTATAAAATGAGCCTGGAATATCTTGATAAGGAAGAAAGTAAGGAATTCCTCAAAAAAAAGATGGAAGTATGTCAAAAGGACACAGGAGGTCTGACATGTTGGGTCATGCCTGTAATCCCAGCACTTTGGGAGGCTCAGTGGGGCAGATCACTTGAGGCCAGGAGTTCGAGACCAGCCTGGTCAATATGGTGAAACCCTGCCTCTACTAAAAATACAAAAATTAGCCTGGCTTGTTGGTGCACACCTGTAATCCCAGCTACTCAGAAGGCTGAGGCACAAGCATCACTTGAACCCGGGAGGCAGAGGTTGCAGTGAGCTGAGATCATGCCACTGCACTGGCAACAAGGGGAGACTGTCTCAGGAAAAAAAAGAGGACACAAGAACCAGTTCAGGGACATCATTGTGGCCACATCTGGCATATTTTGAGCCCCAGAATAAGAATAGTGATGAATGATAAACCACTGGGAAAAAAATAGAAGTTAGTGAATTCATACTGATAATGAATAGGTAGGTATGTCAATAAAAGGGGGTTATGACAGGATTTCTTGCTGACTGATAAAAAAGTGCTGGAGTTGGGAAATCGTTTTGCAGCCATCATATTAATGTTTGGTTTGGCACAAGTTATCATTAGATGCCAAATTTAAGAATGGCGGTGAGATTTCAGTGAGAAACAATGTGGTCATATTTCAAAGTGTGTCCCTGAGGTTGCCGATTGGTTGCAAGGAGAAATACGTAGTATACAGTGGAAAACTGGACTACACCTTAACAAAGTAATCAACATTAACATCACCAGTGAGAGACAGATAGGAATCTTGTGACTCTGGTTACAATTTCCTGAGGACAAATGTAATATTATGGGGTACATAACCAGAGTCTCCTAAGGACACAGACACATCAGATGAACCTCAAATGAGAAGCATTCTGTTAAGGGGGAAGGGGCTTGCTTGCATTCTTCAAAAATAATTTCAAACGAAACACGTCAGTGTACACCTGTAATCCCAGCTACTCAGGAGGCTGTGGTGGGAGGATCGCTTGACACCAGGAGTTTGAGTCCAGTCTGGGCAACATAGGGAGACCCTGTATCTAAAAAAAATTAAAACTAATCTTCCAGATTAAAGGACACTAAAGAGATAGATACGACTTTTTAATTTTTATGTGATCCTGGTCTTGAAGGAGGAAATGCTATAAAGATATTGAGTCAGTTGGAATGTGGATGGTGAATTAGGGAAAAGTATCATATATTGTCAGATTTCCTAAAACTGATAACTGTGCTCCAGTTATAAGAAAATGTTTTTATTCCAAGGAAATGCACATTGAATTATTTTGTGATACGTAACTTTCAAATTATTCAGAAAATCTATGTGTTTAGAGAAGAAAAATATGGGGCAAAATATTAGTAATTGTTGTGTTTGAGTAGAGTACACAGGACTTCATTGTATTATTCTTCTAACTTTCCTGAAAGTTCAAAGTTACTTCCAAATAGAGAGCTTAAAAAAAAAAAAAAGACAGTGACAACTATACTGGCATACCATTTTTCATCCATCATTTTGGGAAAAATTCAGACACTTGGCAATACATTCCCAGCACCTCTGGGGAAACAAGCACTCTCAATATTGCTGGTGCAAATGATTACATTTCTTTGGAGTGGAATTTGGCAATATCTAACAAAATTACAAATACATATATCCTACACAGCAATCCCATTTCTAAAAATATACCCTGGAGGTATACCATGCACAGTATAAACACACAGATACATAAGTTCGCTGCAGCGTATTTGTAATTGCAAAACATTGAAAACTAAATGTTGAAACGAGAGATTTGTTGAATAAACATACACAATGGAGTACTATGCAGCTGCAAGAAGAATAAGGAAGATGTCAGTGCACTGAAATGGAATGATTTCCAGGGTATATTTCTAAACAAAAACACAGGAGAGAGGAATATAGTATGTGACTTTTGTGAAGGAAATGGAAATAAGAAAACATATATATAGCTGTACATATACTGTTTACTTTTTCAAAATGTACACAGGAAGAATGAACCGGAAAGTGATAAAGTTGGTTACCCGCTTAACAGGGTGGGTGGTGAGGCAGGGAAAGAAATGACATTTGAGTTACACCTATTTGTATATTTCTTTATTTTTGCAAGAAGGGTGATCTTCCCAGTAGTCCCCCCAAAAAATGAAATAAATCCAATAAGGATGATGGAGGAGACTAAAAACCAAAAGAAACCAATTCTAACTTATTTCAAATCAGTAACAACCACATTGAAATAAATAATCCAAGGAACTTTTATACTCAGTAGTCAGTCTAGAGAAAAGTGACTGCAAAGAAATACTAAACTCCAACAGTTTTTTTGTAGTGATATGCTGTAATGCTTCTGTAACTATTTAAATGTCTAAAAGGGTTGAGCAAATGAGTAGATAGGTTTTGTTAAGAGCCAGCATTCTGTTGAAAAAGACACAAATGTGAAGTGTGGGAAAGTGAGAAAAAAACCCTGTGGGGATGGCTTGGAGTTGGGGATTTAAGTGTGAACTCATAATTTTCTAAAATACATGTGTGTATATATATGTCACATACATGTGTGTATACTTTGTCCAGTGGAAAGGCCCAGAAGCAAAGAGATACCCAAATAGCAATAAGTACATTGAATACCTAGATCTTTATTTCTTATATCATTCCCCACTAAAAGATACCAAGGCTGTTAGGAGAAATGTTTGGTTCCAGGGCTGGGACAGAGAAATGGTTATAAGATAAGCCTGGAGTATCTTATTATGCAAGAAAGTAAGGAAATGCTCAGAAAATGATAGAGGCATGTCAGAATGACACAGGAGTAGGCTTTAAGGGGCTCCCACTGGCCTACTCTGGGACAGTATGATCACCCAGATAATTAAGGACAATAACGAGTTATAAAACCTTGAAAAGTAGGCTGGGCATGGTGGCTCATGCCTGTAATCCTAGCACTTTGCGAAGCCAAGGCGGGCAGATCAGTTGAAGTCAGGAGTTCGAAACCAGCCTGGCAAACATGGTGAAACCCGTCTCTACTAAAAATAAAAAAATAAATAGCCTGGCATGGTGGCAGGCACCTGTAATCCCAGCTACTTGGGAGGCTGAGGCAGAAGAATTGCTTAAACCCGGGAGGTGGAGGTTGCAGTGAGCCAGGATAGCACCACTGCACTCCAGCCCGGGCAACAGCGAGACGCTATCTCAAAAAAAATACAACATTGAAAAATAGAAATCCATGAGTTGATACCAATAATAAATAAAAAGAGAAAAAAGAGAGCTGTTTCTTAGAGAATGCTGACTGGTGAACGTGCAGGGAATGTTGGGGTTGGGAAATCATCACAGTGAGAGACTGGGCAAGAATCATTGGATCCTAAATCTTGAGTGAAAATTTAATGAGCTGAATATTTGCATTATCTTTAAAGTGTCTCCCCATAGATTGCTTATTAAAGAAAATAGTAAAAGTACAGTGGAGAAACCAGACCATATCTAGACCAGGTCATTAAAATTAACACCAGCCAGGTGCAGCAGCTCACACCTGTAATCCCAGCACTTTGGGAGGCCAAGGCAGGAGGATCACATGAGGCCAGGAGTTTGAGACTAGCCTGGCAACATGGCAAAACTCCGTCTCTACAAAAAGTACAAAAATTAGCTGGGTGAGGTGACACGTGTAATCCTAGCTATTCAGGAGGCCGAAGCAAAAGGATTGCTTGAACCCTAGAGGTGGAGGTTGCAGTGAGCCGAAATCACGCCACTGCACTCCAGCCTGGGTGCAGCCTGGGAGACCCTGTCTCAAAGAAAAAAAAAAATTAACATCACCAATAAGGGGTGGATGGACCTCGTGCCTCTGGATTTGATGCCTTGAAAATTATAGCATCAATTAGGCAGTGCAACCTAAGTATAATCCTGAGGGCACCTAAAACCCAAAACAAGGAAATTTTTTATTTTTTAAAAGAGGAAATCTATACAGAAGAATTCCAAATACTTAATATGAACATTCCACTCTCAAGAAGGGGAGTATATAACTCCCTGTTCCTTAAATGTGGGGTATACATAGTCACTTTGTTCCAAAGAGTATAGTTTAGGAAAGGATTCAGAGTAACTTCACAGCAGAGAAACCTGATAAACACTACCTCAATCAGATAGATGATCAAGTTCAACGTCAGCATTGATAAGTCATGTTAGTGTGTATCGTTGAAATGCTCTGATACAAAGGACACTTTACCTCTGCCATGTACCTGCCAAAAACATAACCCCAGCCTGATAATGAAGAAACTATCAGACAAATTCCAATAGAACAGTCAGCAAAATATCTGACCAAGATTCCTCAAAACTGTCAAGGTCATGAAAAACCAAGAAAACCTGAGAAATTCTCACAACCAAGAGAAGCTGTATGACAACTTAAATAATGAAAACTTAGGGTGACTAAATGTACTGTGGGATCTTGGAACAGAGAAAAGAACAGTAAAAATGAAGGAAAACTGAAAATGTAGACTTTAGTTAATGACAGTGTACCTATCAGTATTTCATTTATTGTAGCATGTTCAATACTAATGTAAGATGTTAATAGGGGAAACTGGGCCATATGGGAACTCTACTGAATTTTCACTTTT
This sequence comes from Homo sapiens, assembly GCF_000001405.40. Classification (NCBI taxonomy): domain Eukaryota; kingdom Metazoa; phylum Chordata; class Mammalia; order Primates; family Hominidae; genus Homo; species Homo sapiens. The sequence continues at coordinate 51,240,176 of NC_000017.11, read as the reverse complement.
ACCATAAATTTATTACTTCTCAAAAAATAAAGTCTTTAAGAAAAAAAGACTTTTGAGAACAGTTATAGATTTATAGAAAAAGGGTAAAAAGTCTTAAAGGGACCGCATTCTTAAAAGACATCAAATATAAAAAAAGATAAGGTCTCCCTCTAGATTAAAGACTAAGGCACATGACAAATGAAATATATGACCCTGGGCTGAAGAAGAAAAGAAGATCTTGTAAAGGGTGTTGTTGAGTCAGTTGACGAAACTGGAGGACGGATGGTAGATCAGATGAAAGTATTGGGTTAATGTTAAATTTCTTGAAGATGATAGCTGACCTATGATTATGTAAGAGAATATCCTTATTACTAGGAAAGGCACATTGAAGGATAAGGCAATAGTTCTCAACTGGGATTTTTTTTTTGTTTTTTTTGTTTTTTGCTTCCAGGGGACATTTGGCAATGCCTAAAGGTGTTTTTGGTTGTCACCGCTGGGGGATAAAGGCGAGTGTTACTGCCACAAATGATGCTAGACATCTTATAATGCACAGGCTAGCCTCCTACAAAAAAAGCATTTTCTGGCCCAAAGTAATATTGCCAAGGTGAAAAAACCCTGAGCTATGCTTCTACTTCTGATTTAGAGGTAAAAGGGCTTAAAGCATATAAACCATTCATTAATGGTTGAGAGGGAAAAATATACGTGTAGAGAGGAATAATTGGGAGAAAATGTTAATCATTGGTCAGTCAAGATAAAGGTTGTCTAGATGTTCTTTGTATTGTTGTAACTTATAAATTTATAAATAAAAAGTTAAGTATTTTATGGTAAAAACCTATAACCATCCTTAAAGAAAGTGATCTTATAATAAAGGACATGATCATATAATAAAGGGCAGTAATTTAAATTTAATGAATTAAGTTTTATGAAAAATAAAAAGTGTATTAGTTGATACAAATAGACATTTGCTCTTTTACTGTCTATCCCCTAAACTGTTTTTATTCAAGTTGATCCAAAAAAATTGTTTTTTTAATCTCATTGGGAAATGAGGGGCCATGTTGTTTTCACGCTTATCCAGTTCATTGACTTTTTTTTTTTTTTGAGATGGAGACTCGCTTGGTCGCCCAAGCTGGAGTGCAGTGGCATGATCTTGGCTCACTGCAACCTCCTCCTCCAAAGTTCAAGCAGTTCTCCTGCCTCTGCCTCCCGAGTAGCTGGGACTACAGACGCACATTACCACACCCAGTTAATTTTTGTATTTTTAGTAGAGACAGGGTTTTACCATGTTAGCCAGGCTGGTCTCGAACTCCTGACTTTAAGTGATCCATCCACCTCAGCCTCCCAAAGTTCTGGGATTACAGGCATGAGCCACCACACCCGGCCCACTTCATTGACTTTTATCACAAGTTTTGTTTAAATTGCTAGTGTTTATATAGTACATAAATAGTATTTACAGCTTCCCAGCCAGTCACTGTACTGTTTCCTTTCTGATACAACTTTGTTTCCTGCAGTTACTGATTGGTTCACTTTTTTCATTTAGTCAGTGTTGAAAGTGCCTGTTGCCTTTTTCCCCATGCTGCTGCAACAAGCTCCAAACACAAAGATTCATATTTTTCCTAGAATCCTTCCAGAGCCATCATCCATCTTCTTTTTCTAATACAATCTGGTTGTTCTCTAAACCCGCTATACAGCTGTAACGCTGAGACATCCCTTTATCATTGCTTTAGAAACTCTCGTTACCTCTGTGCTGTACTGAATCATGTAGTTCCTAAATCAACCGTCTTCCTCTTTCTTGGTTACTTTGATGTTATAATGAAACATATCTTCTAATCATCTCCTGAGAAAAAAGTGAACATGAGAGCTAAGTTTTTCGAAGGGGCTTCAGGGGCATATCTGAAAATACATTTTCTACCATTAGACTTGGTTGATAATTTGGCTGGCTATAGATTTTTTTAACAGCCTTATTGAAGTAAAAATTGACAAAATTAAACTGCACAGAAACATAGGTGTACGCTCATGAAACCTTCACCACAATCTAGGTAGTATAATCCTCATCTCTAAAAGTTTCCTCATGCTCCTTTATAACTCCCCTTTTCCACTCCTGGCCCCCACCCCATCCCCAGGTAATTACTGATCTGCCTTCTGTCACTATACAGCTAGTTTGCATTTGTAAAAAGAGTCATACAGTAAGACGTTTTTGGGTCTGGCTTAGGTTATCCACGCTGTGTATATCAATAATTCATTCCTTTTTGTTACCAAGAAGCAAAATGAAATCATTGTATGGACGTACCACAATTTGTGTAATCCCTTATTGATGGGCATTTAAATTGTTTCCAGTTTGGGGCTATGATGACCATTGGTGTTTATGTCTTTGTATGGGTATATGCCTTCATTTCTCGCAGATATATATGAGTGGAATGGATGGTAGGTGGTTGTTTAACTTTTTAAGAAACTGCCTGCTTTCCAACATGCTTGTACCATTTTACATTCTCATCCACAATGTATGAGAGTTCCATTTGCCACACTGACTGTAGAGGACTTTTATAAATTTTAGTCATTCTAATAGGTGTGTTACAGTATCTTGTGGTTTTAATTTGTGTTTTCTCAGTGACCGCTGATGTTGAGCATCTTTTCATGTTGTTACTTGCCATCTGTATATCTTTGAATTTCTGTTTAGATCTTTTGCCTCTTTTTATGAATTGGGTTATTTCAGTCATTGAATTTTGATACTTCTTTATGTTTCTAGATACAAACCCCTTATCAAATCTGTGATTTGCAAATATTTTTCCCAGTCTGTGCTTGTCTTATTCTCTTAAACATTGTCTTTCAAAGAGCAGAAATGCTTCATTTTGACAAAATGTAGTTTATGAAATTTTTTCTTTTTCTTTTTTTTTTTTTTTTTTTTGAGATGGAGTCTCACACCATCACCCAGGCTGGAGTGCAATGGCACGATCTTGGCTCACTGCAACCTCTGCCTCCTGGGGTTAAGCGATTCTTCCACCTCAGCCTCCCGAGTAGCTGAGATTACAGGCACCTGCCATCATGCCCAGCTAATTTTTGTATTTTTGTAGAGACAGGGTTTTATTATGTTGGCCAGACTGGTCTTGAACTACTGACCTCAGGTGATCCGCCCGCCTCGGCCTCCCAGGTGCTGGGATTACAGACGTGAGCCACCGTGCCTGGCCGAATTTTTTTTCCTTTATGGGTTATATTTTTTTTGTCATAGCTAAAAACTTCTTGCTTAACACAAGATTGTTAATATTTTTCCCAGAAGTTTTATAGAACTCTTACGTTAACTTACATTTAGGCCTATGAACTACTTTCAGTTGATTTTTATATATGATGTGAGGTATGGATCAAAGTGGTATTTTGGCATATGAATGTCTTAATTCTTCCAGCACCATTCGTTCAAAGACTATTTTTTTTTTCTCCACTAAATTGCCTTTTCAGCTTTGTCAAAAATCAATTGACCGTATATATCTATAGATATATAAGCAAACAGAGAGAGGTGATGGAGGTAGGCCTGTGAGGGCAGCAGAGGCCTCCCTGCCTCGGGCCTTGTGCCACACCATTGAACTGTGCCACATGCTTGGAGGGCCAGAAGATGAACAAGACTAACCTTGATGAGCAATGCACAAAGTGGCATAAAAAACATAGGCCAGACGCAGCAGCTCATGCCTGTAATCCCAGCACTTTGGAAAGCTGAGGCGGGCAGATGACTTGAGGCCAGGTGTTTGAGACCAGCCTGGCCAACATGGTGAAACCCTGTCTCTACTAAAAATAAAAAATTAGCTAGGCATAGTGGCACACACCTGTAATCCTAGCCACTCAGGAGGCTGAGGCAGGAGAATCGCTTGAACCCAGGAGGTGAAGGTTGCAGTGAGCTGAGATCATGCCACTGCACTCCAGCCTGGGCAACAGGGTGAGACCTCATCTCAAAAAATAAAAACAAAAACATAGTGTCATTACATAGTGTGAACAAAGCAGTGTGAACAAAACACTGGGGATATAGATATCTATAGGTAGAGATGTGAATCTATAGATATATATAGATTCTGTAGATATCTATATAGATATTGACATATCTATAGGTATGTAAATCTATAGATATATATATACACTCTATATGTATCTATAGATATCTATATATAGACCCATATATACCCATAAATAGACATACATATAGAGAGAGACCGATAGATAGATAGAGGTCTATTTATGGACTCTTATTCTGTTTCATTGATCTTTTTGTCTATATTCATGCTAAAACCCTACTGTCTTCATACTGTAGCTTTATAATATATCTTGGAGTCAGGAAGCTTTAGTCTTAACTTTGTTCTTCTGAAATTTGCTTTGGCTATTCTAGAGCCTTTGCAGTTCCATATGAATTTTAGAACAAGCTTTTGATTTTTACCCAAAAATCTGCTGTGATTCTCATTGGATTGTGTTAAATCATAAATCAATTTGGGAAGGACTGACATTTTAATAATGTTAATTTTTCTGATCCATGAACATAGTACGTCTTCCTAGTTTGCTAAGAATATTTTTCAGGAATCAATGTTAGATTTTTGTCAAGTGCATTTTCTGCATATTTCAAGGTGATTATATGGCTCCTCTTTGGTCTGTTAATGCGGTGAATTTATTGATTTTCAAATGTTGAATTAGTTTTACATTCCTGGAAGGAACATACTTGGTCATGCTAAGTTCTTTTTATATATTGTTAGGTTCAATTTGCTAAAATTTTGTTAACAATATTTTCATCTAGCTGGGCATAATGGGTCACACCTGTAATTCCAGCACTTTGGGAGGCTGAGGTGGGTGGATTACCTGAGGTCAGGAGTTCGAGTCCAGCCTGGCCAACATGGTGTAACCCCCCATCTCTACTAAAAATACAAAAATTAGCTGGGTATGATGGCACATGCCTGTAATCCCAGCTACTCAGGAGGCTAAGGCACGAGAATAGCTTGAACCCAGGAGGCGGAAGTCGCAGTAAGCCAAGATGTCACCGCTGCACTCCAGCCTGGACAACACAGTGAGACTCTGTCTCAAAAGAAAAAAAAAATTGCATCCTATATTCATGATATTTATTCTGTAGTTTTCTTCTAATTGCTTTATCTGGTTTGGGGATCAAAGTGATACTGGCCTAGTAGAATGAGTTTGTAAACTGTTTCATCCTATTCAATATTCTAGAAAAGTTGATATATAGGCCGGGCGTGGTGGCTCATGCCTGTAATCCCAGCACTTTGGGAGGCCAAGGTGGGCAGATCACCTGAGTCAGGAGTTTGAGACCAACCTGACCAACATGGAGAAACTCCATCTCTACTGAAAATACAAAAAAAATTAGCCAGGCGTGGTGGTATATGCCTGTAATCCCAGCTACTTGGGAGGCTGAGGCAGGAGAATTGCTTGAACCTGGGAGGCGGAGGTTGCGGTGAGCCGAGATTGCACCATTGCGCTCCAGCCTGGGCGACAAGAGCGAAACTTCGTCTCAAAAAACAAAAAGAAAAGTTGGTATAAAGTCTGTAGTATTTCCTAAGTAGAATTCCCCAGTAAAGCCATTTGAGCCTAGAGTTTCATTTGTGGGAAGATCTTTAACAAATTTAGTTTTTTCAGTAGATACAGGATTATTCAGGTATGTTTCTTTATGAGTGACATTTGGTTCTATGTCTCTGAAGGAATTTGTCCATTTCATCCAAGTTGTCAAATTTAATGTCATAAGGTTGTTGATAATATAGTCTTTTTAATATTTTAATATCTGTAGAATCTGCAGCAATGTTACTTTTTTTTTTTTTTTTTTTTTGGAGACGGGGACAAAGTCTCTCCTCTGTGGCCCAAGCTGGAGTGCAGTGGTGCAATCTCAGCTCACTGCAACCTCTGTCTCCCGGGTTCAAGCGATTTTCCTTTCTCAGCCTCCTGAGTCGCTGGGATTACAGGTGCATGCCACTACACCCAGCTAGTATTTGTATTTTTAGTAGAGATGGGGTTTTGCTACATTGGCCAGGTTGGTCTCGAACTCCTGACGACCTCAGGTGATCCACCCACCTCGGCCTCCCAGAGTGCTGGAATTACAGGCATGAGCCATCACGCCTGGCCTTGTTACTTCTTTCATTTATGATATTGGGATATTTTGTCTTCTTTTTTTTGTTTTTCCTATCTCTGATTTGAGGTTTATCAGTTTTATTGATCTCAAAAAACCAACTTTGTTTTCTTTTTTTTTCCTTTTTTCTATTTTTAGTTTCATTTATTTTCACTTGGAGCTTTGAGTATAGATTTTCTGGTAAGAATTTTTAGAAATCTGAAGGCAATACATTGATCAGTCTTGCTGTTGAGAAGTCCACTGATATTTTGATTCCCTTCTCTTTTTGTGTAGCATAGTGCCGAAGCTTTTAATACCAGTATTGGCAGAGTTGTGAATTGTTATAATGATGCATGTTGGTATAAATTTTTTTTTAAATCATTAAGCTGGGCTTATATGGTCTCTTTAAATATGGATGCCCCATTTTGGTCTTGGAAATTTGTTTTGTTTTGTTTTTTTCTTTTATGTAACTTTGTTCCCATCTGTTTTCTCTTTCTTGAATATCTCTTAATTGGATTTTGGATCTTCTAGGTTGAACTCTTATTTTTTTCTTTCTTGTTGCCTAGCTTTTTGTCTCATGTATACACACACACTCGCTTTTTGAAAGATTTCCTTGACTTTATCATCCATTTATTGAATTTGTTTTCCCATTTTTGTTTTTAAATTCCAAGGTCTATCTTGTTCTCTGATAGTATCCTATTCTTACATCTCTGAAGAATTCGTAATTTTTTTTAGCGTTTTCTTATGCTGTTTGCTTTTCTTCTGTTTCCTATAGATGCATCTTTCCTGGAGATTTGTTTTGTCCTTTCATATACTTAGAGGCCTTAATGTTTAGGTACTAAGCACCTGATTAGACTGTCTACCTGAGTAGAGCTTGTTGACTGCTGAGCTTCACTGTGGTGATTGGTTGCTTTTTAATATCTTTCCTTTGATGTTCTGCAGTTTTACTATGGTCTGTTTAGATGTGGATACCTTTTTGTTGTGCCTAATTTACATTATAGTTTTATCTGTGAATTCATGTTCTCTCTCTCTCCCTCACTTTTTTTTTTTTTTTTTTTTTTTTTGGTGAGGGAAGGTCTCGCTCTGTCACCTAGGCTGGAGTGCAGTGGAGCAATTGTGATTGCACCTCACTGCAGACTGAATCTCCTGTGCTCAAGTGATCCTCTCATCTCAGCCTCCTGAGTAGCTGGGACCACAAGCACATACCACCACAGCTGCCTAATTTTTTTTATTTTTATTTTTATTTTTTTGTAGAGGCAGTGTCACACTTTGTTGCTCAGGCTGGTCTCGAACTCCTGGCCTCAAGCGGTCCTCCTGCCTTGGTCTCCCACAGTTCTGGGATTATAGACATGAGCCACTGTGCCTGGCCTAATTCATGTTCTCATTTCTGCAGAATTCTTAGCCAGTATCTAATTCAACATTGCCTTTCTCCATTCTCCATACTCACTCCTTTAAGAATTCTTATTAGACTTTTATTGGATCTTTACATTCTGTTCTCTTATTTTGACATCTTGTTTTCCAGTTTTCTATTTTTCTTTGCTGCATTTTGAGTGTTTATCATGTATCTTCCATTTTTTAATTCTCTTTAGCCATGTCTAATAAGTTGGTGTTTGTTTTATATTGCTTATTTTTCAATAATATTTTTCTTATTAAACAACTCATAATGCTTGTTTTATGTTCTGTCTCTGTCAATTCCAATGCCCAAAGTATTGGGGATTCTTAATCAGTTTCTGCTGATGCTTGCTCATGGTGGATTACTTATTATGTGTTTGCTATTTGATCGTGCGCTCATACTTGATAAAATTGGTGGGAATGCTGAAAGGCCTGAATGGTAGGTGACTTATTTCCTGATCTAATTTAGGTTTGCTTCTGCTAGGTATCAAAGGGCACTGGTAGCCTGGAACCACTTTAATTTCTTGGCCTGGGAGTTCCCTGACCATAGAGGGAAGAGAAAATTTCAACCTCAGACTTAACTCATGAGGTCAGGCCTGTGATTACAAAATCCCAGAGAAGCCTCTTCACCGAGAGCGTGGACCTGAAATGCTCCCTCATAGGTCTTTTGAGTATAATCAACTTCTTTCTCACTCATCCTTTTAATGAAGTTGCAGACCCTTTCAGGGGTTTTGGTCTAATGTAGGAGTTTCCAGTTAAGCGCCCTCATAGTAAATAAAAGGTAAGTTTTACATAGGATAAATCAATTATAGTTTATATATTAATATTTAGTTCGCTGGTATTCTATCCTAATGTATATATAAAAAAAAAACTTAGATAAGTCACTGTAGTGTTTGCAAGGGGGAAAAAGTACAAAAAAAAAAATCACTTCAGAAAACCACATTGCCTAAATAGAATAAAGCTTATGAACTAGTGTTCCTTAGATTAGGAGTATGTCCAGGTATTCATTCCTCCAATACTTAGGACAGTCAGAGGCCTTAGGCTGGGTGCATCCAGGGGTTTATTCCCCTTGTGTTGTGCAGATGATCATTTTCTGTGTGTGCTAGGACCATGGAAAAGATCAGAGAACATTTCTCTAAAACAGTCCTAAAAGGTACTCTAGAAAAGACTGCATACTGTATATTCCTCTTTAATCACTATAATGTTCATAAGCATATTAAAGTCTCCAGAAGACCTTGACGTGAGGAAAATTTCCCAAACATCTTTGACCATGGTACTTTTAAAAAAAAAATACTAACAGCTTGTAATTATTGAAAACAAAATATCTGTAGTCATTGACCTCCTGAAATTTTAAGGCTATATTCCCTGAAAATAGAGTCAGAATAAGATATTCTGGGTTGACATTTAAGGGTCAATAATCTTACATTAGCTGCTAACCAAGTTGGCTATATATTAATAGTAGACAAGCCTATATGAAAACTATAGATATAAAAGGTCTGGCCGGGCTGGTGGCTCACACCTGTAATCCTAGCACTTTGGGAGGCCAAGGCGGGCAGATCACAAGGTCAGGAGTTTGAGACCAGCCTGACCAACATGGCGAAACCCCATCTCTACTAAAAATACAAAAGTTAGCCTGGCGTGGTGGCAGGCGCCTGTAGTCCCAGCTACTCAAGAGGCTGAGGCAGAAGAATCGCTTGAACTCAGGAGGCGGAGGTTGCAGTGAGCTGAGATCGTGCCACTGCACTCCAACCTGGGCAACAGAGCAAGACTGTCTCAAAAAACAAAAAAAACTATGAGTATAGAAGGTCGCCTCCAAATGGAGGTGAGCTGTATGACTCTATTAGAACGTAAAATCTAGCCAGTGTTTATTAAATGTGTAGAGCAGGCTCTGTGATAAATAGTTTATAATGTCTTCCCATTGCCTCCAGGAAAAAAATCAGTTTCTTACCCTGGCCTACAAGGGCCCTCATAATCTGGCCCCTACATCCTCTGACCTCTCCCATACCTTTCACACTGGGTGCCAGCCACACTGGCCTCCGAGTGTGCTAAGTTTATTCTAGCCCAAAAGCCCTCGTCTTGCACTTCCCTTTGCCTAGAATATGCCAGCATCAGATATTTAAGTGGCTGCCTTTTTGTCCTCATGGTCTTACCTCACTGAGATTGTTCCTCACTGCTGAATCTCAGCTAATCGCCCCTGCTTGAGTGACTCTGCCCTCACACAGCCTTGCTTGGTTTCCTCCTACCAGTAGCTTACAGTCTTCCTGAAAACCATGGATCTTGTCTGCTTTGCATGCTTTTCTGTCTTTAGCCTTGGTTACTATGAGACCCACAAATACTTGATAAATGTCGAATGAGTAAGAGAAGAAACCCATAACTTGCACAAGTTCACAGCTAACAAGTATCAAAGTTGAGTCTTAACCCATGTTTGTCAGAATTCTGTGTTCATAACACCACACTGTATCTAAATGTGGTTGTCCCATTCCCTTCCACATTGTCAGTTCAAAGTGCTATTAGAACTTTTCTTTTGTATTGCCTTCAAGGTCTCACTTCATCTTTTAGATCTTCTGATTGTAGCAAATCTTGATTCTTTGAAAATACCTTTGATTTATAGAAATACCTAAAAGTTATTCAGAACCAAATCTGCTGAATCAGGTTAGATGACCAAGCTAGGGAAGACTGATGCAGGGAACAGGAGGAATAATTCTGAAGTGTCCACAAATGATAGGTTTTTCTTTTTAAAATTGTATCTAAAAGGCAGTACTAAAAAAGTATACTGGCTGGGTGCAGTGGCTCACGCCTGTAATCCCAGCATTTTGGGAGGCCGAGACGGGGATCATGAGGTCAGGAGATCGAGACCATCCTGGTTAACGAGGTGAAATCCCATCTCTACTAAAAATACAAAAAATTAGCCGGGCGTGGTGGTGGGCGCCTGTAATCCCATCTACTTGGGATGCTGAGGCAGGAGAATGGCGTGAACCCAGGAGACGGAGCTTGCAGTGAGCCAAGATTGCGCCACTGCACTCCAGCCTGGGTGACAGAGCAAGACTCTGTCTCAAAAAAAAAAAAAAAAAAGTATACTAAAAATGCCTGGGCTGTGGCAACATTATTAGAACGTGTATATAACCTCCCAAGGGAACTTCTTTGGTAATGTAATATTTCCATTGTGTGGACTAAGAAATCAGTTTTTGTAGCTTTCATAGCTGCACCTGATACAACTGAAAATTAGTTTCCTGTCTCAATGCAAATGTTTAATACCTGACAATGACATGTGGATGGTTTTATCTTGTCAAACTTAGGACAACAGATTTCAGCCTTGTTACTGGTCATGTAATACTAGCTTTGTTTTGTGGTCATTTAATACCAAAAAGAAGGTAGACTAGCCAGGAAAAAAAAATTTTAGCTTAAAGTGTAGTGTGAGAGGATTAAAAAAAAAACTGTATCTGTGTAGCAAAAGAAAAAGGATAGGTGCCAAATCTCAAAGATTCTTGAGTTGATAGTTTTCATCTCTCTGGTTATAACTCACTTAATGTTTTGTAATGGTTTGGTTTTGTTTTCTTGTTTGTTTAGTAGAGATAGGGTCTCCCTATGTTGCCCAGATTGGTCTTGAACTCCTGGGCTCAGGCAGTCCTCCAGCCTCGGCCTCCCAGAGTGCTGGGATTACAGGCGTGAGACACTGCACCTGGCCCATTTGTTTTTTCTTTTTCTTGTTTTTTTTTTTCTGTTGTTTGTTTGTTTGTTAGGTTTAGGGACATGAGCTGGGCCTCAGCCAGTGGCCCGTCTCCTGTTTTTATTTTGCATTTGAGATACCTTTCCCTTTTCCCACCCACCCACCCCCGAGAAGGACTCTTACTCTGTCACCCAGGCTGGAGTACAGTGGCGCCATCTCAGCTCACTGCAATCTCTGCCTCCCGGGTTCAAGCATTTCTCCCTGCCTCAGCCTCCCGAGTAGCTGGGATTACGGGCGCCTACCACTGCTCCCGGCTAATTTTTTTTTGTATTTTTAGTAGAGGTGGGGTTTCGCCATATTGGCCAGGCTGGTCTCAAACTCCTGACCTCAGCCTCCCAAAGTGCTGGAATTACAGGCGTGACCCACCGCGCCCAGCCTCCCAATTTTTTTTTTTTTTTGTCCTTTTTATTGTCTCCTATTTTCTTTTCACTTCTCACAAAGCCTGTAGTTATGCAATTTATTTTGGAAATGGTTAGAGTAGCAATATTAGTTTTGTCTTGTTTTTTTTTTTTTTTCGTGGTTTGAATGAGGCAACATCTTGGAGGAGACATAAGACCAGCATTCACTAAAGATGATATAACTTCTTTGTATCTTTCTTTGAAAAGGAAATTTTTTTAATACTTCTATTTTAAGTTCATGGGTACTTGTGCAGGTTTGCTACGTGGGTAAATGTGTGTCATGGGGGTTTGTCGAACAGATTATTTCATCACCCAGATACTAAGCCTAGTAGCCTAGTACTCATTCGTTATTTTTCCTGGTCCTCTCCCTCCTCCCACCCTCTACCCTCCAATAGGCCCCAGTGTCTGCTGTTTCCTCTATGTGTCCATGTGTTCTCATCATTTAGCTCCCACTTATAAGTGAGAACATGTGGTATTTGGTTTTCTGAGGAAATACTGTTTAGCTTGAGAAAATTGGGTTGGGTTTTAAACCATTGTTTATGTTTTTTTAAAAACTGAATAAATATATATGTAGAAATATTATCTCCTACAATTTCTGAAATATTTGCCATCTTAAAATTGTAAAAGGTAAAATTTTCTTTTTTTTTTTTTTTCTTGAGACGGAATCTTGCTCTGTCGCCCAGGCTGGAGTGCAGTGGTGCAATCTTGGCTGACTGCAACCTCTGCCTCCTGGGTTCAAGCGATTCTCGTGCCTCAGCCTCCCAAGTAGCTGGGACTACAGGCATGCACCACCACGCTCGGCTAATTTGTATATATTTTTAGTAGAGACGGGATTTCCCCACGTGGACTAGGCTGGTCTCAAACTCCTGACCTCAGGTGATCTCCCCGCCTCAGCCTCCCAAAGTACTGGGATTACAGGCGTGAGCCACTGCACCCAGCTGAAAGGCAAAATTTTCTGTTAGACCCTTCAGAGCTTTTAGCAGTGATTTTTTTTTTCTTTTCCAACATGATAAAGTATCAAGCAAAGTGGTTCTTGGTTTTGAGTTTGAGACAGGGTCTCACTCAGTCACCCAAGCTGAAGTGCAGGGGCACGATCGTGGCTCACTGCAGCCTCGACCTCCTGAGGTCAAGCTATCCTCCTACTTCAGCCTCCCAAGTAGCTGGGACCACAGGTGCAAGCCACCACACTTGGCTAATTTTTGTATTTTTTGTAGAGATGGAGTTTTGCCATATTGCCCAGGCTAGTCTTGAACTCCTGGGCTCAAGCAATCCACCAGCCTTGACTTCTCAAAGTACTAGGATTACAGATGCGAGCCACCATGCCCAGCCAGCAAAGCAATTTTTTTTTTTTTTTTTTTTTTTTTTGGAGACAGAGTCTCGCTCTGTCACCCAGGCTGGAATGCAGTGGCTCAATCTCAGCTCACTGCAAGCTCCGCCTCCCAGGTTCATGCCATTCTCCTGCCTCATCCTCCCCAGTAGCTGGGACTACAGGCACCTGGCACCACACCCAACTAATTTTTTATATTTTTAGTAGAGGCGGGGTTTCACCGTGTTAGCCAGGATGGTCTCGATCTCCTGACCTTGTGATCCGCCTGCCTCGGCCTCCCGAAGTACTGGGATTACAGGCGTGAGTCACCGCGCCCAGCCCAAAGCAATTTTTAAAAACGTCTGTGTGTTGGCTGGGTGCGGTGCCTCACACCTGTAATCCCAGCACTTTGGGAAGCCAAGGCAGGCGATCACTTGAGGCCAGGAGTTCAATACCATCCTCACCAACATAGCAAAACCCCATCTCTACTAAAAGTACAAAAGTTAGCTGGGCATGTTGGCACTCACCTGTAGTCCCAGCTACTCGAGAGACTGAGGCACAAGAATCACATGAGCCTGGGAGATGGAGATTGCAGTGAGCTGAGATCATACCACTGCACTCCAGCCTGGGTGACAGAGCGAGACTCTGTCATCAAAAAAAGAAAGAAAAAAAGCATCCATATTTTCTGGATACTCCAAATTGGTCTAGAAGTTTAGTTTTAGAGATGAAAGGCAAATTTAAAAATCATGTTTGTTATGTATATTTCACCACGATTTTTATTTTATTTTATTTTATTTTTGAGACATGGTCTCTCTCTGTCACACAGGCTGGAGTGCAGTGGCATGATCTCAACTCACTGCAACCTCCACCTCCCAGGCTCTAGTGATCCTCCCACATAGCTGGGACTACAGATGCGTGCCACCACACTCAGCTAATTTTTGCATTTTTTGTAGAGTCAGGGTTTCGTCATGTTGCCCAGGCTGGTCTCAAACTCCTCAACTCCTCAAACTCCTCTGACCACCTCGGCCTCCCAAAGTGCTGGGATTATAGGAGTGAGCCACCATGCCTGGCCCACAATTATTTTTATATGGTTTTTTTGTTTTGTTTTGTTTTTTTGTGTTTTTTTTTGGTAGAGTGGGAGTCTCACCATGTTGCCCAGGCTGGTCTCAAACTCCTGGGCTCAAGCTATCATCCCACCTCGGCCTCCCAAAGTGCTAGGATTAGGCTGGGTGTGGTGCCTCACACCTGTAATCTCAGCACTTTGGGAGGCCGAGGTGGGCGGATCACCTGAGTTCAGGAGTTTGAGAACAGCCTGGCCAACATGGCAAAACCCTGTCTCTACTAAAAATACGAAAATTAGCTGGGTGTGGTGGCATGCACCTGTAATCACAGCTACTCAGGAGACTGAGGCAGGAGAATCACTTGAACCCAGGAGGCAGAGGTTGCAGTGAGCCGAGATTGTGCCACTGCACTCCAGCCTGGGCAACAGAGTGAGACCGAGTCTCAAAAAAAAAAAGTGCTAGGAATATAGGCATGAGCCACCACGCCCATCCCATAATTAAAAAGAAAAAAGAAATCTGGGCGAGGCACACTGGCTCACGCCTGTCATCCCAGTGCTTTGGGATGCAGAGGCAGGACATCCCTTGAGGCAGGGAGGTGGCTCACATCCATAATCCGAGCACTCTGGGAGGCTTGAGTGGGCAGATTGCTTGAGACGAGGAATTAAAGACCAGCCTGGGCAACATGGCAGAACCCCATCTCTACAAAAAAAAAAACACAAAAATGTTTATGGGATGGTGGCACTTGCCTGTAGTCCCAGCTACTCAGGAGGCCAAGGTGGGAGGATCATCTGAGTGCGGGAGGTGGAGGTTGCAGTGACCGAAGATTGTCACTGCACTCCAGCCTGGGTGACAGAGCGAGACTCTGTCTCAAAGCATTTTTTAAAAAAAGAAAAAAAAAAGAAAGAAAATGGTTATTTCTCAGGGCTGCGTTTTCATTTATCAAATCTCATTTACCAGAATTTGTGCTAGGGTCTTTTAGGGGGTGTGTATGAGTGTTGTGTCATGTGTCACTGGTTTCTCTTACTTCAAAGACTGAACATTCTTCACGATCTGAAAGGAAAAGAAGAGATTCTTTCGGGATGTTTGACGGTTATGATAGCTGCAGTGAGGACACAAGCAGCAGCTCCAGCTCCGAAGAGAGTGAGGAAGAAGTCGCTCCTTTACCTTCTAATCTCCCGATTATCAAAAACAATGGGCAAGTCTACACATACCCAGATGGTAAATCTGGCATGGGTGAGTATTTATAACCTTCACCTGTTCTACAGCTTTATGTTTAAGGGTGTGTTTTCATTTGGTTTCTTCTGTCATTTCCCCTTCCTTAGAATTATTAAGGGGCAGTTTGAAGAGCTGACGTTTATAATTCGAGATAAGATCACTGAGTTGGTGTTTAACTCTTTATTTTGCCTACCTCCTGGTGGAAAGCAAATACAACAACAACAAAAAAAGGCCAGTGAGAAACTTCATGTGGATATAAATTTAGTAATTAGATAAGAAATGCCTCTGTAACTGAAAGTATAAGTGCATAGGATCATGGGCTTATAAAATTGAAAGAGACATTCGAGGTTGGGCTCCCTCCTCTATATTAATTTCTTATAATTTCCGTTTTAACATAACTGGTGCTTGGATATTCTCTGACTCAGTAAGGAATTTCTCTCTGCCTAAAATCTGGCTTGAAAAAGAAAAAGGAAATGAAAAAGGAAGCAGTTTCATTTCTTAGTATCTCAAATTACTAGAATAGTGTCTTTATTGAACCAAAATTTCCTTCCTCCAACTTTTATCTTTTGGTCTTAGTTTTGCCTTTTTAACTTTGCTTCTGGGAGTCTGGAAAGTTTTGCTTTTTAAAGCTACACAGAATAATTCTAATCCTTGTTCTAATGACATCTTTTTTCTCCACAATAGAACCCTTCGTTCTAGTTTATCTCTAAGGCATACCAAGGAGCCATAGTTGCTTCAACCATTTCTCTCATGGTGTATCCCAGTGATTTAATTCTTTGATATCCTGGTCACTGTATTCTGGGGATACTTCAGATTATGTGGTAGTAGGGTAACAAGTCATCCTGATTTGCCTGGAACTGTCCTGGTTTTACCATTGAAAGTCCCACATCCTGGAAATGTGGGAACCAAACAAATGGTCACCCTGTGTGAGGCCAGAAGATCATTCAACCTTTATCTCCCCTTTTCAAGGCACTGTTTCCATTCATGCCACCAAAATTGCTTTAGCTTTCTTGAAAATGATAATGAACTTGTAAATAACTGATATCCTTTGACCTTTACCACATGAACTAACCCAGTTTAAACCAGTCTTACTGCAGTTAACTTTTTAAACCCAAGATGTAGGACTTTGGATCTCTCTATATAACCTTTTTCTTACTAACTTTCAGTCTTAGAAATTGTTGTTGTTGTTGTTGAGACAGTCTCACTCTGATGCCCAAGCTGGAGTGCAGTGGTGCAATCTCGGCTCACTGTAGCCTCCACCTCCCGGGTTCAAGCAATTCTCCTGCCTCAGCCTCGCAAGTAGCTGGGACTACAGGCCTGCACCACCATGCCTGGCGTATTTTCATATTTTTAGTAAAGATAGGGTTTCACCATATTGGCCAGGCCGGTCTCAAACTCCTGACCTTAAGCAATCTGCCTGCCTCGGCCTCTCAAAGTGCTGGGATTACTGGGGTGAGCCACCACGCCCAGGCTTTTGTTGTTGTTGTTGTTGAGACAGTCTTGCTGTATTACCCAGGCTGGAATGGCAGCGGCAAGATCTCGACTCACTGCAATCTCTGCCTCCCGAGCTCAGGTGATCCTCTCACCTCATCCTCCCAAGTAGCTGGTACTGTAGGCACATGCTACCATACCTGGCTAATTTTTGTATTTTTTTCAGAGACGGGCAATTTTCACCATATTGCCCAGGCTGGTCTCAAACTCCTGAACTCAAGCGATCCACCTGCCTCAGCCTCCCAAAGTGCTGGGATTACAGGTGTGAGCCACTGCACCCTGCCCAGTCTTAGAAATTTTTTATTGCTAATTCTGTCATCTAATATTGAATGCTGTGTCATCTAATCTTCCAGTTTTATATCATTTTCAGTTTTGATAATTCTGCCCTGTTGGTCCTATTCTAGTCTTTTGGTTAAAAAGATGAATAGCGTGGCCAGGTGCGGTGGCTCATGCCTGTAATCCCAGCACTTTGGGAGGCCGAGGCAGGCAGATCATGAGGTCAAGAAATCGAGACCATCCTGGACAACATGGTGAAACCCCGTCTCTGCGAAAAAAAATTGAAAAAAATTAGCTGGGCATGGTGTCATGTGCCTGTAGTCCCAGCTATTCAGGAGGCTGAGGCAGGAGAATTGCTTGTACCCAGGAGGCAGAGGTTGCAGTGAGCTGAGATCACGCCACTGCACTCCAGCCTGGCTACAGAGCGAGACTTCAAAAAACTAAAAAAAATTATGAACAGCTCAGGGGCTGATAGAGAGTCATGCAGACCATATCAAAAAACTTCATTTATCAGGATTCACTGGGTTTGGTCATCCTCCAGTTAAAACCTACCTGGGTGTCGCTGGGCGTTGGTGGCTCACACCTGTAATCCTAGTACTTTGGGAGGCTGAGGCGGGCAGATTGCCTAAGCTCAGGAGTTCGAGACCAGCCTGGGCAACATGGTGAAACCCCATCTCTAACAAAAAATTAGCCAGGCATGGTGGCGTGTGCCTGTAGTCCCAGCTACTCAGGAGGCTGAGGCAGGAGAATTGCTTGAATCCGGAAGGCGGAGGTTGTAGTGAGCCGAGATGGTGCCACTGCACTCCAGCCTGGGTGACAGAGCGAGACTGTGTCTCAAAAAAAACAAACAAAACAAAACAAAAAAACTACCCGTGTCTTCTACTCCAGCTGAAATTTCTCAGTCCTGTTATCAAAGCTACATGAGATTTTATCAAATGTGTTAGCTCCTGTTAGTGTATATTCTTGCCATGGTTTGATTATAACATACCAGCCTAGTAATCCTATCATAAAAGGAAATAACGTTTATTGAAGCTTTGTGTGTGCTAGCATCTATTTTAAATACTGGAGATAGCAGATGAACAACACAGAATAAGTTTCCTGTCCTGATGGAACTTGCATCCTACTTGTGGGAATTCTAGTTTGACATGTATAATTTCTGGCAAAGATTCACTGTTTCCTTGGGATCACAACTTTTCTATCTAGGTGTTCAGAACGTTCTTTAACAATCTATTCTAGAATTTTTGCAACAGAAAACCGTTTAGTTTTCTCTCCCAGTAGATACCCTTTGTTCACCTGCAATCTTCTGGCATTTTTATCTTTTTTCCATGATTTCTCATAGATTTGTAAGTAAGTACAGTTGTCCCCTGGTATCCATGGGGGATTGGTTCCAAGATTTCCCTCAGATACCAAATTCACAAATGCTCAAATTCCTTATATAAAATGATGTGGTATTTACATATAACTTACGCACATCCTTCCATATACTTTAAATCATGTCTAGATTACTTATAGCTAATACAATGTAAATGCCATGCAAATAATTGTTAATACTATACTGTTTAGAGAATAATAAGAAAAAAACGGTCTGTGTATGGTCAGTACAGACGCAATTTTTTTTTCCCAAAATATTTTCAGTCTGCTTTTGGTTGAATCCACAGATACAGAACCCATGGAAGCACAGAGCCAACCGTACCAGTTACACTACAGGCTTCTCCAGTTTACCTGTTTGGGTGGAGGCTTTAACTCACTAAGGCAGTTATTTGCTATGTTACTTTTTGTTTATCTTTTTTAAACTTCAATTCTTGTGAACCTTGTTCTAATTCTACCTTTCAAATTATTGTCTATTATGCAATAGTAGCCAAGAGTTCTGCTGTTTCCCACTATCACTGATTAATAATAGAGCACCTACGTCAAACTTGTTTTGTTTTTTGTTTGTTTGTTTTGTTTTGTTTTTTGTTTTTGATTCAGGATCTCCTTCTGTTGTCCAGGCGAGAGTGCAGTGGTGCGATCATAGCTCACTGTAACCCTGAACTCCTGGACTTAAGCAGTCCTCCCGCCTCAGCCTCCTGAATAGCTGGGACTACAGGTGTGTGCTACCATGCCTGGCTCTTTTTTATTTTTATTTTTTGAAGATACTGGATCTTGCTATCTTGCCCAGGCTGGTCCCATACTCCTGGCCTTGAGCCAGTTCTCCTGCCTCGGCCTCCCAAAGTTCTGGGATTACTGGCATGAGTCACTACACCTGGCCTCTACCTCAAACTTTGAACCCATTCCTTTTTTTTGTCCCCTAAACATAACTTGAAGGAATCCTCATACAGCTCTTAGCATTTTTCCAAGTATTACCTCTTTTTAAGTTTCAACCTTTGCAGTATTTTAAAGGCCTGTGTTATACTTTGTTATTAATCCTCAGTTGTGTGGCACTTTTCATCTTTCAAGTGTAATCATTTCAAAAGCTGGAATTTGTTGTATATGAAAATGCCTGGCACATGGTAAGCACTAAGGAAATGTTGGTTGAATCCAGCGTATCTGCCCTGTTTCTGTTGACCCTTTGTAAACCTTTCAGACCTCAAGCCACTATCAGACCTTATAGAGCCCATCACCATGGCACAATACCAGTGTTCTCTCTGACTTCTCTGTGCAGGCTTCTTTATCATTTGTATAGGAGATAGAAGAAATGTTCAAGGCAAATTTTTTAATTAAAACTTTCAGATGGCAGGAGAAATTATTTAAACTGTTAGATGAAGATTGATTTTATTATATCATCATAACACCAGTGTTTTTATTTTGTTAATTAGCTACCTGTGAGATGTGTGGGATGGTTGGCGTCCGAGATGCTTTTTACTCTAAAACAAAGCGTTTCTGTAGCGTTTCATGTTCAAGAAGTTACTCGTCAAACTCCAAGAAGGCAAGCATTTTGGCCAGACTTCAGGTAACGGTACAGAAACTTTCTTACTTATATCCATTATTTCTATGGCTTTTGCCATTTATCTGTCATTTGACTGTGATTCACTGTACTCCACCTCTGCCCACTCAGTTATGGTTTTATACCACATCTTGAGGAAACATGTGAGCCCCAAAGTTTGTTCAGCCTATAAAATTGAAAAACTATTTTAAATGGATAAGGCATACTATCCAAATAAACTATTATTTGCAGAAGTTAATTAAAATATCCTTTTTCCAAATAAGTATAAACACTTTTTTATATACAGAAATTGAAGACATTTTCCTGTTTCCCCTTGTTTCCTTTTGTGTTAACATCAAGGTAGAATCTTTCAACATTTGGGGGGAAATAATTTAATCTCTGGTTTTATTTTCTCATCGTCCTCGCTTTGTACTTTTTAGTACAATCCATTTGATACATTGACCAAATGTATTTGGTTAATCCAACTAACCTTTTTGACAACGCTCATGGTATGGAAAGAAAATCGTCTTGCTTTAAATGTACATCAGTGCCTACAAAATGACTGGAGACTTGACCATTTGACTAAGTTCTTACTATTGTATTGTAAACTACTTTTTAAAGGCATTAACTTAACTGATTTTTGCAGTATTTTTATTGGATGATCACAGTCTTCTCATTTAATTTATTATTGTGATCATTACATAGCACTGAAAGGGTTATTTAAATCCTCCAAATTAAGGAAATACATCACTTAGATGTATTTCTATATTTCAGATAGACAGTACCTAAAGATCCTGAGCAGTGGTCTGTACCCAAATGGATGGCAGTTTGTCACACTGTGAATTTGGCCCATGATCATTTTGTCATTGATCTTTTGCGTTAGCACTAAAGGTATAAACCTCAGTCACTTGCTCTTTGAACATTAAATTATCTTCTCTTACCATATAAATAGCAATGCTTGGCAACCTGCATGAGTAAATAACCACTGGTTCTATCTACTGTAAGAAGGAATCAAGTATCCACCACAGCCTATATTTTAACATCTTGTGGGATATAATTTTTTATTAACATATTAATTTGCATATTGCTGTTGTAGTCTATGCCAGCTCTGCTACCCATATTAGATAACTACATTGTAGCAGAACTCCAGAAAAAAATTCTCATGTTAAAATTCTTGTATGTTTCCTCTGCTTTAATAATTTTCTAAACCCTCAATGTTTACTTAAGCAGAATGTGTAGTATGCAGTCCAGTTAAATTGTGGTGGTGAGGGGATGAAAAAGAATCCTATTTACTTAACTTTTCTTGTTTTAGGGTAAGCCTCCAACAAAGAAAGCAAAAGTTCTTCAGAAACAACCTTTAGTTGCTAAGCTAGCCGCATATGCTCAGTATCAAGCTACCTTGCAAAATCAAGCAAAGACAAAAGCAGGTAATATTGGTGAATCTGACAGAGGTGAAATATATGACATTGATTCATTTAGTTTTAATTAATGACATTGTAATTTTGAATTCTGTTTAACTAGCTGTTTCTATGTCCTGTCAGCACATTACAGCTCTAAGCTTCCTAATAGTTGTTTTGATTTCAATAAATTACTCTAGAAGAGTATAGTTGCATGCATAAGTTCAAGTGCTTTTGGCAGTCTCCTTAATGTTTTTATTTGGTTTATTATTTACTTTTCATGTACAGATTCTTTGAATTGTGAAGATATTAGGCAAAGAAATGGGATGTTCAGCAGGCTTCAAAGGGATTGAGGGAAGAAGAGTAGTAAGAGGAGATTAAGGAAAGGACCATTTCCAATAGATTTTTTTTTTTTTTTTTTTTTTTTTTTGGAGACAGAGTCTTGCTCTGTCACTCAGGCTAGAGTTCAGTGGCGTGATCTCGGCTCACTGTAACCTCTGCCTCATGGGTTCGAACAATTCTCATGTCTCAGCCTCCCAAGTAGCTGAGACTACAGGCGCACGCCACCACACTTGGCTTATTTTTGTATTTTTAGTAGAGATAGGGTTTCACCATGTTGGCCAGGCTGGTCTAGAACTCCAGACCTCAAATGATCCACCCACCTCAGCCTCCCAAAGTGCTGGGAATACAGGTGTGAGCCACAGCGCCCAGCCAGAAGATTTTTAATAGAAGTAAATAGAAAGTGAAGCAATAAGTGAGTAAATAATGAGGAGAGCAATAAGAGAGTAAATAGTGAGAAGGGCAATAAGTGAGTAAATAGAAGAGGCAATAAGTGAGTAAATAGAAGTAAATAGAAAGTGAGGTAATTAAAAGTGATATGGGGTAGGTATCTCACTGAGGTACATGGCAAGAACTGAATGGAAATAAAAGCACAAAAGCAGCCACAACAGTGTTTGTCATTCTGTACACTTCTCTCAACTTCTCTTTGTTCCCCTTAACCAAAGAGCTTGTACCTCACTTCCTCAGGAGCATGTGTCATGTATAGAACAGTTAAGAAACTCCTGGCCAGGCGTGGTGGCTCACACCTGTAATCCCAGGGCCAAGACAGGTGGATCACGAGGTCAGGAGTTGAAGACCAGCCTGGCCAATATGGTGAAACCCCGTCTCTACTAAAAATACAAAAATTAGCTGGGTGTGGTGGCATGCACCTGTAGTCCCAGATGCTCGGGAGGCTGAGGCAGGAGAATCACTTGAACCTGGGAAGCAGAAGTTCCAGTGAGCCAAGATCATGCCACTGCACTCCAGCCTAGGTGTCAGAGGGAGACTCAGTCTCAAAAACATAAAGAAACTCCTGTTTGTTTGCAAATATGATATAAGCCAAAGCTCATGCTATTTAGAGAAGTTATTTGATCTTTACATAAAGAAAACGTTCTTTAAATGGGATAAATTAATTTTATGTCCTTTCACACATTTTAACAATGATAACCTTCTTATAAATAAAAGATTTGAGAATTATAATACATCTAAATTTGTTTCATTTTAGCAGTCTCCATGGAAGGTTTCAGCTGGGGTAACTACATCAATAGCAATAGCTTTATAGCAGCTCCGGTTACCTGTTTTAAACATGTAAGTACAGAATTTCTCACCTTATTTTGAAGTACTTAGTCATTGTTTAAATCTGAAGGTACAATAACACCTAAGCATCTTATCCTTAGAAGGTGTTTGTTTTTATGTCTTGTAACTGAAATGCTTCTTTTATTATTATACTTAATAATAGTTAACAAGAACTTCTGTAAGTTTTGTAAGTACAAGTTTCCTATAGAGAAATTGCAGTTTGAAGTTATTTTAAACAGGGAGAAGTACTAGTCTTCTCTTATAAATACTAATTTTCTTTTATATTTATTTATTTTTTAAATTTTTTTGTAAAGACATGGTCTCGCTGTGTTGCCCAGGCTGGTGTCAAACTCCTGGCATCAAGCAGTCCTCCCACCTTTGCCTCCCAAAATGCTGGGATTACAGGTATGAGCCACCATACCCAGCCTCATCAGATGTTCATATTAAGTTGAACTGCTAGCTTTGTCCGGGCACAGTGGCTCAACTGTATTCCTAGCAACTTGGGAGAATGAGGCAGGAGGATCACTTGAGGTCAGGAGTTCAAGACCATCCTGGGCTACAGAGTGAGACTTCTTTTCTACAAAAAATGAAAGTAAATGAAATTGCTAGTATTGTATATCAAAAATATGCATATTGACAATGTCATACGATTTGACCTAACAAACCATTCATTGTGTATGTTACTTAAATCTGCAATTTGAACTGATAATTCAGAAGAGGAAGGATCTTTTTTCTAATTTTTTTGTCTCCAAATGTTAAGTCACAAAAACAAGGAACTATTAGTAACATAGTATTGTGAGCTAAAATATGTGCTATATATATATATCATGAGAAACCCTTTAAAAGGTTTTCTTTTCAGCAAGTGGATTGTTACAGAGCATTTAAAATAATTTAGAATTATGTTTAAAATTTATCTGATGACAAGTTCTTTCCTTTTGATTATTTTATTCCTTTAGATTTGATTAATTCTGTCCAATACTTGTTTAACCTGACTACAACTTTAATTAATACTTAAAGATCTTTTCTGCTGCTATACATGTTTAAGAAGAAAAGAGAATTTAGAAAATACATGAACTTTTGTTTGCATTTAACATTTTGTTAACTTAGGGCTCTAGGCCGGGCACGGTGGCTCACGCCTGTAATCCCAGCACTTTGGGAGGCCGAAGCAGGCATATCACCTGAGGTCGGGAGTTCAAGACCAGCCTGGCCAACATGGTGAAACCCCGTTTCTACTAAAAATACAAAAATTAGCCAGGGGTGATGGTGGGCACCTGTAGTCCCAGCTACTCGAGAGGCTGAGGCATGAGAATCACTTGAACCCAGGAGGCAGAGGTTGCAGTGAGCTGAGATTACGCCACTGCACTCCAGCCTGGGCAATAGAGCGACACTCAGTCTCAAAAAAAAAAAAAAAAAAAAAATTAGGGCTTTATTTTTAGATAACAGCATATGAACAAAGCTGAGCTTAGGTTCCTGTTGTAGAAATCTAAGTGAATTTTCACTGATTCATGGCCATTAAAGGAGTTTGATCAAAGTCAAGCAGGTTAATTTGCTAATTCTCATTCTTGAAAATACAATATGAAGCCCTTAGTCAGTGACATCTTGCCTTAAATGGAATCTTATTTCTGTGTAAAGTAGGTGATTTATTTTGCTGTAATGTTGATAATAGTGTCACATTTGTGAGAAATATTCCATACACAGCAATAGCAGCTTTAAAGAGAGATCTTTAAAAAGAAAATCTTTAACTCTCTTCTCTTGGGATATTGCTTTCTTGACGCTCAGAATTAGATTAAGTTCTCAGTTACAGTAACTCTTTCATCTCAGATTCCTGGAACATTTGTCTTTTGTCTCCTTCGGAATGGCCTTTCTCTCTCTTTGTATCTCCTTTTATATTATAAACCATATCAGACTGTTTTCTGTAAGTAGTCAGGGTATTAAAAAAAATGGCATTTCAACCCCAGAAGCATAACATTTTGTTTTCTGTCCAAATCTTTGAATTGTTATACTATATTAAAGTTATTTATGAGAAAATCTCTATGGTAATAATGAACTTGATTGACTTTGTTCAATTCTGCCTTTTTTGAGATTGAAATGTTCTATCAGGGAATCAAGCAGCTAACCTTACCACATGATTAATGATAAGAATGTGGAGCCTCTGCTTTCTCACTCAGAAGTGAGGCATCTGTTTCTCAATTATGTGGACCCAGTGCCTTCCTGTTCCATTTACCTCTCTTTACTGCCTTCTTATCAAACAGGAAAAATCTGTCTTAGTAATTCCTTGGTATGTTTTTGTACAAAGAGCTTGCTCTCTTAACTGGCATATTCATTTGAAGCCATTTTGTTAAGGGGGCCACACTTCATTGCTGCACTTGATTTTGTCCTTTAGAGTTGACTCTTCCTGGTTGTCCCCTCCGAAACAGTTTTCTGGGTCTCTAAGGAGAGTTACTAGCTTTGTCTTTAGAAAACCTATAGTCAGGAGCTACTAGGAGTACAAGATCCTGCCTTGTATCATCAAAGTCTTCTAAGACTTGATACTTGCTCTGAAACTGGTTCATTAGTCAGGAAGGCCTCTTTGTTCCAGACTCTACACCTGCCTTCTCTTCTACTTGAGTACAAGTCGGGAGCCTTTCCTGCTCCTAGGGGATTCTTTTTCAAACATAATTTATGAAAGAACACCCAGCATGTAACATGTAACACGGAAGCGGAGCTGTTGTGATTGAGTCAGGAATTGGGATGGGGACGCTGTCAGAGCCCTGGCTTCTTTAACTTAACCCAACCTCTTCTTCTAGAATAAGGATCCCAGATAAATACTTTCTGTTTTCCAGCACTTAGATATTACTGTGATTAGTTCTAAAATCATAGAATTTCAAGAATATAATTCTTCTTTCCATGGTCTGTCTGTAAGCTTCTGAGAAAGAACTTTCTACAGAGTAGATCATAGGACTATATCTTTTTTGATAATTCCTGTAACTATTTATAGTGGCTTATACTCAGTCACTCAATTACAACAGTATTGGACAATTTTTTTTTTATAATCGGCAGTGGAAATCAAGCCCCAATTGACATTTAATATTTCTACTTAGGCTGGGCACAATGGTTTATACCTGTAATCCCAACACTTTGGGAGGCCAAGGTAGGAAGATGGCTTGAGGCCAGGAGTTTGAGGCCAGCCTGGTCAACATAGCAAGACCTTGTCTCTACAAAAGTGTATGTGTATGTGTATATATATATGATGTGCATATATACATATGTGTGTATGTATATATATATGTGTGTGTTTATACATATATATACACACATACACACACACATATATACTACTAAAAAATCTGTGTATTATGATTGGCCGATATGTCTTTTATTGTATCTAGGGGTTAGTTTTTCAGACCTTTTATTTAAGCATCATAATTGCCCTTTTTTTTTTTCTTTTCTTTACTTGCCATACATTGGCAAGAATTCCCCTTTTCTCTAACAAAAATCTTAGACCTCAGAACACAGGATAAGAGGAAACTGCGTTGATTGTTCTGGCAGAGATGGGGTGTTGCTGCCAGAGCCTTGGCTCCTGACATTTGAACACCCCATCGTTGGCAGTTCCTGAGGCTGGAAACCACTAAAATTGGGTAATATCACTTTTAATTAATCCTAAATCACAAAGCTAGAAGGCATCTTTAAAATCATCTGGTTCAGCTAGTCCATCTCTTATAAATGAAGAATACTTGCTACTTTGTTGAGTAGCTGGACTATAATTTTCAGCTTTGGGCTTTAACCCATTTTTCATAATGCAAGTCTTTTTTTTTTTTTAATGTGCTTTTTAATTAAGCCCCTAAGAGCAGTATCCATATCTATCCTAATGGTGGAAAAATCTCCAAAATAGTAATACAGTATTATATGCCAGTTAGGTGCAATGTATAGATCAAAGAAATTCACAGATTATTTTCTATTAGTAATTTAACTTTAACCCAGCAGAGCCTTCAGTTGATGTCTGTATATTCAGAACATTTGGCTTTAAAGCACTCTAGCCAAGAGCAGTGGCTCATGCCTGTAATCCCAGCATTTTGGGAGGCCAAGGTAGGAGGATCAGTTGAGCCCAGGAGTTTGAGACTAGCATGAGCAACATAGTGAGACCTCATTTCTACAAAAAAATTAGCTGGGCATGGTGGCACATGCCTGTAGTCCCAGCTACTCAGGAGGCTGAAGGGGAAGAATTGCTTGAGCCCAGGAGGTCAGGGCTGCAGTTAGCCCTGATCGTACCACTGCACTCCAGCCTAGGTGACAGAATGAGACACTGTCTCAAAAAATAAATAAAAATATATGCTCTTCAGGCCAGGCACGGTGACTCACGCCTGTAATCCCAGCACTTTGGGAGGCCGAGGCAGGCGGATCACAAGGTCAGCAGTTCAAGACCAGCCTGATCAACATGGTGAAACCCCGTCTCTACTAAAAATAGAAAAAAAATTAGCTAGACTTGGGAGGCTGAGGCAGGAGAATTGCTTGAAACCGGAAGGTGGAGGTTGCAGTGAGCTGAGATTGCGCCACTGCACTCTAGCCTAAGCAATAAGAGCAAAATTCCATCTCAAAAATAAATAGATAAATAAATTAAGCACTCTTCATTATTTTTTAATTACTTAAAGACTAAATTGAAGCACTTCTATTTCCCATTATTTGCCATGTGAAATCAAGTAAAACTTTTTTTTTCCTGGGTATTGTAGCACGGGCTAAAATGTATAAATGTACATAAAGTCATTTTCTTTCAGTTTTATATTTACAGACTTCAGATTTCTTCTGTTTGGTACCTAAACTAATAATCCCATGTCTTATTGATGCTGTCTTTACTAAGATCAGAAATGTTGAAATCATCCCATTTTCTCCCTCAAATACAGTTGTAGTTTGTACCAAAAAAAAAAAAAAAAGTCATTTGTACACATAGATGCAGAAACTTTTCAGCTGAGTTTATCATACTTTTTCTTTTCTTTTCTTTTCTTTTTTTTTTTGAGGCGGAGTCTCACTCTTTCAGTCAGGCTGGAGTGCAGTGGTGTGATCTCGACTCACTGCAACCTCTGCTTCCCGGGTTCAATCAATTCTCTTGCCTCAGCCTCCTGAGTAGCTGGGATTACAGGCCTACACAACCACACTCGGCTAATTTTTGTATTTTTAGTAGAGACAAGGTTTCACCATGTTGGTCAGGCTGTTCTCGAACTCCTGACCTCGTGATCTGTCCACCTCGGCCTCCCAAAGTGCTGGGATTACAGGTGTGAGCCACCGCGCCTGGCCGCATACTTTTTCATTCTGCCTCCACAGATACCCTCTTGTTACTTACGTGACATACTCTAATCCTCTTTCTTTTGCCTGACCTATATGTATGTCAGCTTTTTTGAAGGGATAAAGTTACCATGTTTTTTTGCAGTGTGTATCCCATATACTTTTAGGTTTTAAGGAAAGAAAAATAAAAGCCCTTTTGTGTATGTACAGTAGCAATAGTTTACAGTAAAACTCATTATCTATTTCTCAGTTATGTGCTTATTAGTAAAATCTTTTTCAAGTAGAGTCATTTTTGGTTTTTTTTTTCCCTAGTCGTGACCCCACACACAGGACTCTATTAAAGGTTAGAAATAAATCATAATACTTCATCTCCATTTTAACGAAAGTTAAAATCTTCAATGTAGCATTCTAGATTGCAGGATTTTCCTTCTAATGGAAATAAAACTTAAATTAGTTTCTGGTACTTCTTAGTGCTCCATCTCAGTTAGCTAGTCTGAGTGTTGCCATGAAATAAACTCTCTGCGGGAAAGCAGTGGACTCTAACATAATAAACATCACCTGTCTTGTCTTTTTTTTTTTTTTTTTAAACAGTCTCACTCCTGTTGCCCAGGCTAGAGTCCAGTAGCACGATTACAGCTCACTGCAGCCTCAACTTCTTGGGCTCAGGTGACTCTCCCACCTCAGCCTCACAAGTAGCTGGGACTACAGGCACACACCACCATGCCCAGATAATTTTTTGTATTAATTTTTTTCTATTTTTAGTAAAGACGGGGTTTCGCCATGTTGTCCAGGCTGTTGCAAACTGCTGGGTACAAGCAATCCCCCAACCTTGGCCTCCCAAAGTACTGGGATTACAGGCATGAGCCATCATGCCTGGCCCTGTCTTTCCGTTGTTTTAAAGAAAGCCTAACTTAAATTTTTTTTTCCTTTTTTTTTTTTTCTTTTTTTTTTATGAGATGTAGTCTTGCTCTGTCACCCAGGCTGGAGTGTAATGGCACCATCTTGGCTCACTGCAAACTTCGCCTCCTGGGTTCAAGCAATTCTTGTGTCTCAGCCTCCTGACTAGCTGGGACTACAGGTGCGTGCCACCACACCCGGCTAATTTTTGTGTTTTGGGTAGAGACAGGGTTTCACCTTGTTGGTCAGGCTGGTCTTGAACTCCTGGCCTCAAGTGATCTGCCCACCTTGGCCTCCCAAAGTCCTTGGCGTGAGCCACCACACCATGCCAATTCTTTAGTGATATTGGTTTAATATGGTTTTTTAAAAAAAATTATGGACTGTTTTATGCATGTTGTTGTTGTTGTTGTTGTTGTTGTTGTTGTTGTTGTTGTTTTGAGACAGAGTCTTGCTCTGTTGCCCAGGCTGGAGTGCAGTAGCACAATCTTGGCTCACTGCAGCCTCTGCCTCCTGGGTTCAAGTGATTCTCCTGCCTCAGCCTCCCAAGTAGCTAGAACTACAGGCATGTGCCACCATACCCAGCTAATTTTTGTATTTTTAATAGAGACAGGATTTCTCCATATTGGCCAGGCTGCTCTTGAACTCCTGACCTCAGGTGATCCACCTGCCTCAGCCTCCCAAAGTGCTGGGATTACAGGCGTGAGCCACCACACCTGGCCGCCTTTCAAATTAGTAACCAGTGCTTCCTATCTTTTTACATATACATAGCATTATCTCAGCCTTAATCTTACTTCCACCCTAGGCCTCCCATTTTCCTTTTTGTCCTCTCCTTGGACTCCCCATCTGCCTGCTACCACCACCCCAAAAGATAGATTCTGGTATCAAATCAAAAGATGAGTAGAGGACAGGCACAGTGGCTCATGCCTGTAATCCCAGTACTTTGGGAGGCTGAGGCAGGCAGATCGTCTGAGGTCACAAGTTAGAGAACAGCCTGGCCAACATGGCAAAACTAAAAATACAAAAATTAGCCAGGCTTGGTGGCATGCGCCTGTAATCCCAGCTACTCGGGAGGCTGAGGCAAGAGAATGGCTTGGACCCAGGAGGCGGAGGTTGCAGTGAGCCGAGATCGCGCCACTTCACTCCAGCCTGGGCGACAGAGTAAGACTCTGTCTCAAAAAAAAGGTGAGTGGACTTTATGGAGAAGGCAGGAACAGTTTTTCTTTTCTTTTTCTACTTTCTACCAGAAAATTCTGTAAGTAGTTAGGAACTCTCATTTCTTTCTACTTAATTTTCTGTAATGTTTTCTCCCCTTCCAAATAATATTTCATCATCCTCTGCTAGATGTACTTTGCCTGTTAGTCTGAAGACATTTTGATGATGGCTTTTTGTACATTTGCCATCTCATTGGGATAAATTATTCCTTCTTGGTTACCTATATGCAACCTCAGGTCTTGTCTCTGCCCACTTACAGATTAATATTAAAGATTGTATGGTTGTCTTTGGTTGGCAGCTCTGCAGAGGGAAATCTGTATCTCTGCCATAAAGCATCGTGTGTGCAGTGCATCAACCTCCTGAGAGTCTGAATACTAGCCAGCTGAGCTGTTGGACCATCTGGGAATGATCTTGAAGTACAGCAAATAAGACTTCCCACCCACTTATTTTCTTACAGTCATGTGGAGGTTGTCATACATTTGTGTTGGGGACCCCTCAGCATTTGGATTTGGCCATGTCCTGCAGGACCTGATGACAGCTTACCTTGCAGGGAAGGAGAGTCGCTCCCAGATAGCCCTCACGAGTGGCCCTGGAGCAGGAAGTGGTGGAGCAGATCTTCCTTGTTTGGGAGGAGCCTGAGGTGGACCTCGCGTCCTGAGTCTGGAAGGTAAATTTGTTGTTACCTGTAAATTATGGTTCTGCTAGTTCATGCTATGCCAATCCAGACTTTCAGAGGTATCCCTCCTGCCAGCAAGAGAAGACAGATGACTTGGATGAAGATGGCTGTCAAGCCCTGGGTCATTTAGTCTTCCACACTTAAGAATATTCATTTTAAACAAAAGGGCAGACATATCTATGAAATTACCGTGTTATTTCAACACATTGAGCACATACTATGCTATGACCGTGGTGCTCTTTCTTGTTGATGTTTTTGTTTCTTCACTTTTTTTCTTAGAATGAACCATATGGATTGGTTTAAGAGGGCCTAGCAGAACCACAACCTTACAGGCAAGAACAAATGTCACTTTCTGCTACTTTCTCCTATACCAATCCAGACTGTAGGGACCAAAACACAGTATCCTCCACCAAAGTGAACATTATTTTTTAAGCAAGCATATTGACATTTTGTTTTCTTTAATAAAATAATATTAAAAGTTTTCTCCAACAAATGTTAAGGCTTTAAAAAAATAAAAGTCTATGACACATTTAGCTCAAAAAGGAGTACTGTATGCCAAACTTACTTACCAGTGTGCCAACCTGACCCCCAGCTCATTAGCATAAGCACGCCTCTTTCTTCTCAGTGAAAAATAAACCCAATTCACAGATTTGGTAACCAGACAGAGGGATGGATGCTGCACTGCATTCATTTAACTGCATCTATCTACTCGAATAGGTACATCCTCACAGAAATTAATACATGATCTTTGTGTTAATATATGTTAGTTTATTCTATGTTACCTGTCTTCTTTCTAGTGTCTCCTTTTTAATCATATCTGCTGGCAATAGGGATGGCCCTACAGTCTAGAATGATATAGGGGAAAGATAGCAGAACCTGAAGAGTCCAGTCTTTCAGTTTAAAGAAGAGGTAGTCACAATGAATATATTATTTTTTGCACAAGTCGGGGAGATAGTTATATGTACCCTTCCAGAACCGCAAATAGTTGAGCTTGTCCATTTCTCCAAGTTACTGAGGTAAACTCATTGCTTACTACTTAAACCAGTAGCCATTAATTGATTCTGTCTTTGGTTTCTAGACTTATCCAACTTCAGTATTTGACATTCTCTTCCTCTCCTTCAGAAATTCCAGAAACTACTAAGAGGGTAGGGGTTGAATGTTGTTTTAGGCTAATCCTCCTGTTGGGTGAGCATCCACCAAAGTAGGAGGGGCCTTGCATGGAGGACATTTGCCTAATGTTCAAATTGGCTAGTTCATGTAACTCCTAGATATCTTTGCTCATCTTTGAGCTTTGAGGCTATTTTGGTTTTTCCTGATTTGTTCATACTATCAAGTCTTTTATAACCTCACATAATCCTTTTCTTTATGATCAACATTCTAAATTGAATGAGGAACTGACTGTCCAGAGCAACACAAACTGTTTAGTGTTATCAGCATTTATATTCTTAAATTTGCTTATTTGATTTAATTTACCATTGCATAAGTTCCAAGTAATTGTGAATTGCCTTGAGTTTTAAAGATTAAAATATAATGGAAACAATACTTTGGGAACATCTGTTAGATTTCAGAAAATCCCTTCATGATGCTCATTTAATTGATTTTCCGAGTCCCCATCTTAACCATTTGCTGTGGGAGGCTAGTGATTACCGGTTCTAACATTGGAAGTTTTCTCTTTATAGTAATTTCTACATGAGAAATTTTGAAATAATAATTTAAATAGTTTACCATGGTACTCATCTCCAAAACTCTTCAACTCCACCTTCTTAATAACTTTATCCAGTGCTTTTCCCTCACGTCCATCTATGTGGACTAGATTTCTAATCTATGAATTTAATTTAAATTGAAAATTTTCATTTCTCTTATTCATGTTGTTGGAAACCACACTGCTGATTGGAATTGTTTTTCTTTCTGCTCTTAGGCCAGATCTTTTAAAAGTAGAAATTAGGGTGAAGTGTATTCACTCAGTACATATTAAAAATTTCTTAAATCAGTTTAATCCTATTAAATCTGCTATTGAGTTTGTAATTCCACTCATAGAAAAATCGCTGCTTAAATCTCATATTAGGACAGTATCAGATTTTGAAGTCAGCATGAATCTAGTCTAATATATGTGAATTTTCTCTTTATCTTGTTTGTCCCTGAAACTGGCTTTTTCCAGATAGAATTCTAGGAAACAAACGGAATTAAAATGACATTTTTAGTTTAATATTCCTATTATTGATGGTACTGCTTAATTTTCATTGATATGTTTTAGGCTTTATGTTAATAAGACAATAATTTAATGATTTTTATGTGACAGGCACCTATGGGGACCTGCTGGGGTGATATCTCAGAAAATGTGAGAGTAGAAGTTCCCAATACAGACTGCAGCCTACCTACCAAAGTCTTCTGGATTGCTGGAATTGTAAAATTAGCAGGTGAAAAGCATGAATAATAGTTTAGTAGAAAATGCAGAGATCCTTGTAACCTTTCGTAAAAAAAGCATGTTTATAAATTTTGCAAGTATTGCCAAATAAAAAATATGTTATGATATAGGGCAGGGGTTGGCAAATTGTTTTCTGTGAAAAGCCAAACAAATATTTTCAACTTTGCAGGCCATATGATCTCTGTCACAGCTATCCGTCTCTATCATTATAGCATGAAAGCACCCTTAGCAATACATAAACAAATGGACATGATTGTGTTCCAGTAGAACTTTATTTACAGGAAATTTGAATTTCATATAATAGTTATGTATCATGAAATATCCTTTTTTTCTTTTCAACCATTAAAAATGTAAAAGTAATTCTTAGATCACAGCCATAAAAATAATCCAGCAATAGACCAGATATATAGGCCATAATGTATATGTTACTTTGAAAAGTAACAAAAGTTGAGGTACTAAAAAAAGTGGTAAGAGCTGGCCACAGTGACTCATGCCTGTAATCCCAGCTTTTAGGGAGGCAGAGGCGGGAGGTTAGCTTGAGCCTAGGAGTTCAAGACCCACCTGGGCAAAATAGCGAGACCCATTCTCCATTTTAAAAAAATAAAAATAAAGTGGTAAGAACCTTAATACCAAATTGATACAAGTGTTGATAATTTTATATATCTTGGGTTCTTCCGTTCTGTTTATTCCCACTGCCTCCACCATACCAAGCCCTTTACTGCTCATGAAGTAAACATGTTAGGAATCTACTATGGTAGACAATGTGGACAAAAGATGATATCCAGAAGTATAAGACTTGTATTTTTTCCAGCATGTTCACATCGGCCAAATGTTGACTACTACCAGGTATTAATATGACAAGATACTCAGTGAGTAGTGTAGTAGGGCATTGTGGAGGAGAGGCAGGCAGCCACTCATAAGAAAAGTTATCTTCAATTACTACTGTGACAGATTTTTAACTCCTCCCACTCTCTCTAGTTTTATTTCCGGCATTCTCCTCAAAACACACTGTAGACTGCTCTGTTGTGTACTGCTAATTGACTTAATTTACCTAAAAATTATTTTAATTTTATTTTTCTGTTCAAGCATCTTTTATGGCCTCTTTGTACTTAAAGGATCAAGATAGCCAGCATTTATGACTATTGATGAGTTGCACCATATACCACATGCCAGATGTATTGTAGTTCTCCAGCATAAATGATCTGTTGTGATGAGGCCAGTCTCCCTCTCCCTTTCATACAGCACGTTTTTGTCACCTCTGTGCCTTGGGTTACTCTTGCAAGAGTGTCCCATCTCTGTACTGAACTGTACTACTACCCAAGTCAATTCCCCATCTTTTTCTTGAAACATTTTCCCAGCTGTATAAGCATTCACTAAATGCTTGTATTATTCTCTACACTGTAATTTAAAACAACAGCATATTATTTTTGCCCTGGGTGTTTAAGTTAGTTACATTTAAATAGCTCTTAAGATCAGTGCATTTACTATCCAAAAATTACTTCTGCCTTCCATCTCCGATTTTACATTTCTGTTTTATCTAACTGCATCATGTATCTTCTTTTAAGCCACTTTAATGCCATTGTAGAAGTGAGCCTAATGTTAACCAGAAGCTAGAGTTCAGCAGTAATTAGCAAACTCATAAATTGTTCTGAGAAATTATTGAATTTTAAAACTGAACATTTAAGGCTATAAATTTTCACAAACATGAAAATGCTGACTAAACTTGTCTCCTAACCTGAAATACACATATATTGGCCTTTTTCTGTTTCATTAAAGGCCTTAAATTAAATCGTAATCTTTTATCAACATAAAGTTTATAGAATTATAAATAGGATATATTACATATTTTTTGTACTTTCCAAGAGTAAGCCTTCCTATTTGCCTAAGACATAGTTTTTAACTCATTTTACATAATTTTCTTTGTGTTTATTGAACTTTTTACCTGGCATATTCAAATCTTATTTCCAAATACATACGACAGAAAAATTTAGATTCTTAAAGTAGCCACATTCAAATTACCCAGGAGTAATTGGCCACCTAAGCAGCTGGATAAAGCAATTTCTTTGAAATACATTTCAAGGCCAAGCACAGTGGCTCATGCCTGTAATCCCAGCCCTTTGGGAGGCCAAGGCGGGCAGATCACCTGAGGTTGAGAGTTCGAGACTAGCCTGGCCAACATGGTGAAACCCCATCTCTACAAAATACAAAAATTAGCTGGGCATGGTGGCGCACGCCTGTAATCCCAGCTACTCAAGAGGCTGAGGCAGGTGAATCACTTGAACCCAGGAGGCAGAGGTTGCAGTGAGCCAAGATCACACCACTGCACTCCAGCCTGGGCGATAGAGCAAGACCCTGTCTTCATAAAATATATATATATATATAATTATATATAATATAAATAAATATATAATATGTATTTTTATATGTTTATATGCTTATACATAAATATGTATGTTATATGTATAATTACATATATATGCCTATAATCCCAGCTACTTAGGAGGCTGAGGTAGGAGAATCGCTTGAACCCAGGAGGCCAAGGTTGTAGTAAGGCAAGATTGCACCACTGCACTCCAGCCTAGGCAACAGAGCAAGACTCCATCTCAAAAAAGAAAAGAAAAAGAAATTATGGGTACAATTGAAATACATGTAAGGATGCCATGCTCTGAAAACAGTTGAACTGTTTGCACTGAACAGATGGTTCTCAAAGTTTGGTTCATAGACCAGCAGCAACAGCATCACCTGAGGACTTGTTAAAAAGGCATATTCTCAGTTCCCACCCAAGATCTACAAAATCAGAATCTCTGGAGTGAGACCCAGCCATCTGTCTGTTAACAAACCCTGCAGGTGATTGTATTGCAGATAGACACTAGTTTGACAACTGCTATCAGATGCTGTATTGTTTTATTTAATTTTATTTTCTTATTATGTAGTGATTTATTTCTGGGTTTCAGGTTACAATGCCCTTTTAAGATATGAAGGATTTGAAAATGACTCTGGTCTGGACTTCTGGTGCAATATATGTGGTTCTGATATCCATCCAGTTGGTTGGTGTGCAGCCAGCGGAAAACCTCTTGTTCCTCCTAGAAGTAAGTAGTTTATTTACCCTTACCGTAATTTTTTTATATGTGTACTTTAATGCTATTTTACACATAGTAATGTTAGAGTAATATGGAAATTAAAGGCCGGGCATGGCCGCTCACACCTGTAATCCCAGCACTTTGGGAGGCCAAGGCAGTCGGATCACTTGAGGT
The DNA here is from genome assembly GCF_000001405.40 of Homo sapiens. Taxonomy (NCBI): domain Eukaryota; kingdom Metazoa; phylum Chordata; class Mammalia; order Primates; family Hominidae; genus Homo; species Homo sapiens. Next base: position 51,203,625 of record NC_000017.11, on the reverse strand, counting down.
CAGGAGTTTGAGACCAGCCTGACCAACATGGCAAAACCCCATCTCAACTTCTCCCTAGCTGGGCATGGTGGTGCATGCCTGTACTCAGGAGGCTGAGGCAGAAGAATCGCTTGAACCGGGGAGATGGAGGTTGCAGTGAGCCAAGATCACGCCACTGCACTCCAGCCTGGGCAACAGAGCGAGACTCCATCTCAAAAAAAAAGAAAGAAATTAAAATAGTTTTTTTGGTGTTAAGCAGCTTTTTGCTGGCAAGGCATATACTTGCTTTCTCTATATTTGTTACTTTTCAGAATGTTAATAGCCTGACTTTGCAAGGAAATTTGTTACTTTTTTAACAAATAATTTATGAAGCAGTTCTTTTTTGCTAAAGTATAACTGATTATTTCTTCTATTTTAGCTATTCAGCATAAATATACAAACTGGAAAGCTTTTCTAGTGAAACGACTTACTGGTGCCAAAACACTGCCTCCTGATTTCTCCCAAAAGGTAAAAAACAGGATCTTATAAAGACTGAAGAGCTCTAAAAAACAAGGGTAACAGAGAACATTTTTAAGGAATTGGTTTAATTTTGTGAACCAGATGATCTGTGTTACATTTCAAGTGCATTCAGTATTTTTTACAGTATAATACAAAAATTTCTTGTAGACCTTTGTCATGAATTTCGAGCAGTTTTTTTTGTATGCTTTTAAGGTTTCAGAGAGTATGCAGTATCCTTTCAAACCTTGCATGAGAGTAGAAGTGGTTGACAAGAGGCATTTGTGTCGAACACGAGTAGCAGTGGTGGAAAGTGTAATTGGAGGAAGATTAAGACTAGTGTATGAAGAAAGCGAAGATAGAACAGATGACTTCTGGTGCCATATGCACAGCCCATTAATACATCATATTGGTTGGTCTCGAAGCATAGGTCATCGATTCAAAAGATCTGGTAAGCACCTATCACAAGAACTCCTGTCAAAAGCATCATTGAGGCTGATTATACTAGTTGGTTATTTTTCTCTGCAGAATTGCATAGATGAAAAATAGCATTCTAGTTGTTTGGGCTGCTTCTTCTACCTTAATTAGTGAAGGTTCACACCATATTAGTGTCCTAATAAATTTTTTTATATTCCTTCCACTTGTTCTCCAAAAGAAGGAACTTCTTCTGGTCACAACTATAATTGTTTCTTTCTTTTATTATTCAGCCCATTTGAAAGATCTAAAGATACCTTTCCCTTTCCATTCAATTTTAATCAAAATAGCAAGATTAAATGTGGTTAGACTTAATACTAAGCACATGAAAACATGCTTCTAAAGTTGTAATTTTCTAACTAGGGAATTACATTAAAATTATGAGCATTAAAATTGGCTGAATGTATTTAAAAGCATATATGCACATGTACTCTGAAGAGAGAAAAGACTATTAAAGAATATTCACCCCAAATGTAGAAGGCATGTCTTCTTGCCATGTTTTATAGTATGACATACTTTGTGAGTTTGAAGCCTTCAAAGAACGTGGTTTTTGGTCTTCTCACAAATGCTGACAGATTAGTGTGTAACTTTTCCTTGTAGATATTACAAAGAAACAGGATGGACATTTTGATACACCACCACATTTATTTGCTAAGGTAAGAAGTTTTTATAAGAACCCTCATTTGTAAATTAGGTTTGAAAGAGGGTTGTGGGTTTTTTCCTAAAATTACGGAAATCACAATTACATATGTTCACTTAAAAGAATTAAGACCTTGTAAATTCATAGGTGTCACAACTCTTTATTATAATTATTCTTAAATTCTATTTGTCTGAATTCTCTCTAAACCTTAATGGAAGTTTGAGTTATAATATTAGGTAGGTAGGAGAAGGCACCTGGTAAATCTTTTCACATTGGTAATATTTTAATTATCAAAATAACAACATTTGTAACAGTAGATGTGCTTTCATATAATTCTTTAGGTAAAAGAAGTAGACCAGAGTGGGGAATGGTTCAAGGAAGGAATGAAATTGGAAGCTATAGACCCATTAAATCTTTCTACAATATGTGTCGCAACCATTAGAAAGGTAAGATAATAGGTTTTAAAATATAGAAATGCAATTATAGGATTTGGGTATAAGCTAATAGAAGGAGTCCCCAAGCATATTCGTTTTGACATAAAATGTGTATGTGTATATCTTCACTGGGGAGAAGGTTGCTAGGAATTTCAAAATAAATTTGAATCCTCTGATCTTACATAGTTTATTGTCAAGATTGTCATTTTGAGTCTGCTACACTTATTTATGGAAGTATATCCTAATTTAGAGGAAAAATATTTATTTAAGTTACTTCTAGACAAGGCTAGTCCAATTCAGAATTGTAACAAGGCCAAGTTTATCTTCAGTTTCCTGTGTTTCCTCTTTAGGCCTTTTTCTTCCTTTTGGTAGTAGTTTTTGCTGCTTTTCTCTTTTCCCCCTCATCTGAAACTGCTCTTACAAAAAGACCTAGAAGAGAAATTCTTGGGTTTTTTGTTTGTTTGTTCATTTTTTTTTGAGACAGTCTCTCTCTGTCGCCTAGGTTGGAGTGCAGTAGTGTGATCACAGGCTCAAGTGACCCTCCCACTTCAGCCTTCAGAGTGGCTGGGATCACAGGTGTGTCCTATCATGCCTGGCTAATTTTCTTATTTTTATTTTTGTAGGTACAGGGTCTCCCTAGGTTGCCCAGGCTGGTCTCAGATTCCTGGGCTCAGGCAATCCTCCTAAAGTGCTAGGATTATAGGCATGAGCCACGGCACCCAGCATTTTTTTTTTTTTTAAAGACATGGTCTCACTCTGTCATCCAGGCTGGAGTGCAGTGGCATGATCTCAGCTCACTGCAACCTCTGCCTCCCAGGCTCAGGTGATCCTCCTGCCTCGGCCCCCTGAGTAGCTGGGATTACAGGTGCATGCCACCACGCCCGGCTAATTTTTGTATATTTTGTAGAGATGGGATTTCACCATGTTGCCTGGGCTGGTCTCGAATTCCTGGACTCAAGTAACCCACCTGCCTCAGCCTCCCACAGTGCTGGGATTACAGGCATGAGCCACCGTACGTGGCATTTTTTTTTTTTTTTTTTTTTTGAGATGGTATCTCGCCCTGTCACCCAGGCTGTAGTGCAATGGCGTGATCATAGCTCACCACAGCCTTGAGCTCAAGCAATTCTCCCACTTCAGCTTCCTGAGCAGCTGGTACTGCAGGCAGAAGCCACCACACCCAACCAGTTTTTTTGTTGTTGTTGTTTTCTTAGCAATGGGGTCTCACTGTTGCCCAGGATAGTCTCGAACTCCTGAGCTCAAGCAATTCTGCTGCCTCAGCCTCCTGAGTAGCTGGGATTACAGGCAGGAGCCACCTGCCTGGCTAACATTGGCATTTTTTTAAGGTCTCAGGTGAATATCATGTACAGCCATGGTCAAGAACCACCTAAGGAAAGTCTACTTACATAAAGGTGTAACTTAAATCGTGATTTGCATTTCAACAGTTTAAAACCTTCAGCTAAAAGAAAAACAATTATGATGGCCCAGGCATGGTAGCTCACACTTGTAATCCCAGCACTTTGGGAGGCCAAGGCAAGCGGATCACGAGGTCAGGATATCAAGACCATCCTGGCTAACACGGTGAAACCCTGTCTCTACTAAAACTACAAAAAATTTAACTAGGCGTGGTGGCACACACCTGTAGTCCCAGCTACTCAGGAGACTGCGGCAGGAGAATCACTTGAACCCGGGAGGTGGAGGTTGCAGTGAGCCAAGATGGTGCCACTGCACTCCAGCCTGGGTGACAGAGCGAGACTCTGTCTCAAAAAAAAAACAGAAAAAAAGAAAAAGGAAAACAATTATGATGGCTGCCATGTCACATGGTCAGACAGCTGGACAAGACTGGCTCCAAACCCTGTTCTTCCTCTTTTCCTCACTAGTGATCAGAATGACCCAATAAGATTTAAAACAGGCCGAGGGGGGCGAATCACAAGGTCAGGAGTTCGAGACCAGCCTGGTCAATATGGTGAGACCCCATCTTTACTAAAAATACAAAAATTAGCCAGGCGTGGTGGCGGGTGCCTGTAGTCCCAGCTACTCGGGAGGCTGAGGCAGAAGAATCACTTGAACCCAGGAAGGGGAGGTTGCAGTGAGCTGAGATCGCACCACTGCACTCCATCCTGGGCAACAAAGCAAGACTGTCTCAAAAAAAAAATTTTTTTAAAACAGTGATTCCTGAAACACCTTGATCATGTTAAAAAGAAAAAAAAAGGCTGGGCCCTTTTTTTATTACAATTACAGGTGGCTCACACCTGTAATTCCAGCACTTTAGAAGGGCAGATCATGAGGTCAGGAGTTCAAGACCAGCCTGGTCAACATGATGAAACTAAAAATACAAAAAAATTAGCTGGGCCTGGGGCCAGGCACCTGTAATCCCAGTTCTTGGGAGGCTGAGGCAGGAGAATGCTTGAACCCAAGACACAGAGGTTGCAGTGAGCTGAGATTGTGCTATTGCACTCCAGCCTGGGCAACAAGAGCAAAACTCTGTCTCAAAAAAAAGAAAAAAATAAAGACTGCGTGCAGTGCCTCATGCCTGTAATCCCAGCACTTTGGGACTCCAAGGCAGGTGGATCACTTGAGGTCAGGAGTTCAAGACCAGCCTGGCCAACATGATAAAACCCCATCTCCATACAAAAATTAGCCAGGTGTGGTGGTGTGTACCTATAATCCCAGCTACTCGAAAGGCTAAGGCAAGAGAATCACTTGAACCTGGGAGGTGGAGGTTGCAGTGAGCTGAGATCGAGCCACTGCACTTCGGCCTAGGCATAGAGCGAGACTCCATCTCAAACAACAACAACAAAAATCACGTGGATTCCCATGATCGACTCCATGTCTACATGACCGGAATCACAGTCAAGGCCAGGCTTGGTGGCTCATGCCTGCAGTTCCAGCACTTTGGGACGCTGAGCTGGGAGGATCCTTTCAGTTCCAGATCCCACCCATGTGACAACAGTCTCTGTGTCTGTTAATTCTGATTACTGAGAAAGAGTCTGAATAGCTGAGCTAAGCCTTTGGTTTGGTTCCATATGTGATACATACAAGTCCCTAGTCTAGTCACCTGTATTTAGAAGAATGAAGAAAGGAATCCCATGTAAGTGGGGTAGTTCTGTCCAGAGGTCTTAGGCAAAGCTCTCAAGCTTGAGAGTAGTAAATTTAGTGTACATGTTTACCATATAGAAATAACGAGAGAAAGGAACTTGGGGGAAGAGACCAAAAGATAATGTGGAACCATTATTACAGGCTTTAAACACTTGGTCAAGTCATCCGAGAGTTCTTTAGTAGACAGGATAACTTGGTACAGGTACTGGCCTGAACAGAGGTTGGACTGAAGGAAAGTTTTACTGTCTAAGAGGGGCAGCATCCATAGAGGATGGCTGAAAGCAATTATATCAAATAAGATAGCAAAGTCAAGACAGAGATTAATGGCAAGTTGAGGTGGAGTTGTGGAATATGGTGATTGATAACCTCTAAAGGAGTAAGAGGAGTTGTTGATTTGACACCCTGTACTAACTCAGAGACTGTGTTCAGCATGCGGATAAAATGCTGGACCGAGACACTGGAAGAGAGGCAAACTCATGATAAAACTTTAGGAATCACTGGTGTAGAAGCTCATCATTGTAGCACTGGGGTGGATGAGGTCATCAAAACAGAAAAGAGCTAAAATCAGAAACTTGATGGTTGGAGGTGAAAGAGCATTCCAGAAGGAATGCAGAAAGAATGATCAGAGAGATGAGAAGATTGATTGGTAGACCAGAAGGTGATAAGAGACTAGGAGAAAATGTTTCAGAAAATTAAGAGTAGGCTGGGTGTGGTAGCTCACGCCAGTAATCCTAGCACTTTGAGAGGCCGAGGCAGGCAGATTGCTTGAGCCCACCTTGGCCCCCAGAGTTTGAAACCAGCCTGAGCAATAGGGCAAAACACTGTCTCTACAAAAATTAGCTGAGTGTGGTGGCACACCTATAGACCCAGCTATCCAGGAGGCTAGGGTGGGAGCATCACCTGAGCTCAGGGAAGTTGGCTGCAGTGAGCCATGATTGTACCACTGCACCCCAGCCTGGGTGACCTTGTCTCAAAAAAAAAAAAAAAGAAAAGAAAAATTAAGAGTAGTGAGCAAGTAGCAGAGACTCAGTGAGGTTGGGCAAATTAGGAGTTTATTCATGAATTTAGCAGTTTAGATAAAGGCAACATACTGCAGGAAAAAGCCAAAAACAAAAATTCAACAAGTAAAACTATGAAGGAATATTTGGGAGGCAGAGGCAGGAGAATCACTTGAGGCCAGGAATTTAAGACCAGCCCAGCCAACATGGCGAAACCCCATCTCTACTAAAAATACAAAAATAAGTCGGGTGTGGTGGTGAGCACCTGTAATCCCAGCTACTTGGGAGACTGAGGCAGGAGAATTACTTGAACCCAGAAGGGGGAGGTTGCAATGAGCTGAGATTGCACCACTGCACTCCAGCCTGGGCAACAAAGCAAGACTCCGTCCTCCATATATATATATATATATATATATATATATATATATATATATATATATATATATATATATATATATATATATATATCTTGTATATATAATAATAGATAAAGACAAAAATCAACTGCAAGGAGTTGCGTGGTATGTAACTTGAATTGAGTGTCTGGGTGAATAGAGTTTATTCTACTACTCTATAACCTTGAACCTATTTCAAAGGAAAAAAAATTTTTTTTCCCCTTTGAAACAGTCTTGCTCTGTCACCCAGGCTGGAGTGCAATGGCATGGTCTCGGCTCACTGCAGCCTCTGCCTTCCAGGTTCGAGCAATTCTCCCTGCCTCAGCCTCCTAAGTAGCTGGGATTACAGGCCCCCACCGCCATGCCTGGCTAATTTTTGTATTTTTAGTAGAGACTGGGTTTCGCCATGTTGGCCAGTCTGGTCTCAAACTCCTGACCTCAGGTGTCTGCCCATCTCAGCCTCCCAAAGTGCTGAGATTACAGGCATGAGCTACCACGCCCAGCCAAAATATTTTTAATATAGTGGAAATTGGGAAACATTAGAGTATAAGAGATGGTCTTTTGAAAGCAAAATTCCAGTGGTAATAGGGCAAGATGGGGAAGTTTGTCTTAGTTTTAAAAAGGGGGGGCAGCCTGGCCAAGGTGGGTGGGTCACCTGAGGTCAGGAGTTCGAGACCAGCCTGGCCAACATGATGAAATCCCATCTCTACTAAAAATACAAAAATTAGCTGGGCGTGGTGGCCCATACCTGTAATCCCAGCTACTTGGGAGGCTGAGGCAGAAGAATCACTTGAATCCAGGAGGCAGAGGTTGCAGTGAGCCGAGATTGACCCATTGCACTCCAGCCTAGGTGACGAGGGAAACTCTGTCTCAAAAAAAAAAAAAAAAAGGCAGGGTGGGCACAGCCAGACGTGGTGGCTCTTGCCAGTAATCCCAACACTTTGGGAGGCCACGGCAGAAGGATCACTTGAGCCCAGGAGTTTGAGACCAGCCTGAGCAACATGGTGAGACCCCATCTCTACAAAATAAAAATTAAACAATTAGCCGAGTGTGATGGCATGCACCTGTAGTCCTAGCTACTCAGGAGGCAGAGACAGAAGGATTGCTTGAGCCGGGGAGGTCAAGGCTGCAGTGGGCCATGTTCGCACCATTGCACTCCAGCCTGAGTGACAGAGCGAGACCTTGTCTCAAAAAGGGAGAGTTGGGTACTTGTTACAACAGTCTCTGAGGCGTGAAGAAATGAACAAGAGGACCCTTAATGTGGACCAGCCTTAGCATCTGCCATAGAGGAGTATGGTTATCTGTAGCATAAAAGAGATCAAGTTGGAGCTTGAAGAAGGTAGAGACCGTTTGTAAAAACTCTGTATGTGATAAATCAGAAAGAAAGAAGTCAAAGTGTTACCAAGTAGGATTTGGAGCCTAGCTGAAACTAGATAGGTAAATAGTAAGCACTCAGCCCAGTTTCATGATGCCGTGACAGCAGGCAGCTATAGCTATGGTCAAACGCACTGCTTTTCCCAGACCTCTGAGGTCAGTTATAGGTAATCCTGCTTTTGTTTCTGGAACACACTAGAATTTACATAGATTTTTTTCATTAGAACTTCTGTTATTTAACATAACTCAATAGAGAAGCATGTTTCACTTTGAAGAGACCTTTATATAATAGATTTTCCTTTCTTTTAGAATGTCAAAGTATTATTTTTATAATAGTGGTATCTAATTTCAAGTACTTAGAATTCTCTTCATTGAAAAGGTGCTAGCTGACGGATTCCTGATGATTGGGATCGATGGCTCAGAAGCAGCAGACGGATCTGACTGGTTCTGTTACCATGCAACCTCTCCTTCTATTTTCCCTGTCGGTTTCTGTGAAATTAACATGATTGAACTTACTCCACCCAGAGGTACTTCATCCTAATATAAACACTGGGTTTTAATTGTTGCTTTCTTCTTACATGGTTTTTGTTTACAACATTTAACACAGCCCTAGATTTCCTGAGTACGTATATAATGTGTGTGGATAAACATATACATACAGGAGCTGTAGGTTGCTCTAAAAATATAAAGTACTGTATTCTAGCGTACTTTAATAAATTACAGTAGTATAGAATTTTTCCTGAGCATCTGTGTATTTTATAATATGAATTGGTATTCTCAAACTCTGTTGAGTCAGTAATGTAGGCTCAACAGGCTATGGCATACATGATTTTTTTCTTTTTTTCCCAATAAAGACAGGGTCTTGCTCTGTTGCCCAGGCTGGAGTGCAGTGGCACAATCATAGCTCACGGTAACTTCAACTCCTGGGCCCAAGGAATCCTCCCACCTCAGCCTCCCTAGTAGCTGAAACTACAGCTGAAAGGCACAACCATGTCTGACTTTTTTTTTTTTTTCTTTGTATGTACAGACAGGAATCTCACTATGTTACCCAGGCTGGTCTTGAAGTCCTGGCCTCAACTGATCCTCCCACCTCAGCCTCCCCAAAGTGCTGGGATTAGGAGTGAACCACCACACTTAGCCATGTGGACTTTTTTTTTTTTTTTTTTTTTTTTTTGAGACAGTCTCGCTCTGTCACCCAGGCTGGAATGCAGGGGTGCTATCTCACCTCTTTACAGCCTCCGCCTCCCAGGTTCAAGTGATTCTTGTGCCTCCTCTCCCAAGTAGCTGGAATTACAGGTGTGCACCACCACGCCCAGCTGATTTTTCTATTTTTAGTAGAGACAGGGTTTCGCCATGTAGGCCAGGCTCATCACGAACTCCTGGCCTCAAGTGATCCACCCACCTTGGCCTCCCAGCATGCTGGGATTATAGGCGTGAGCCACTGCACCCAGCCCTATGTGGACTTTTAAAAGGATGGCTGTTTTACTCGTGGTTTAACCAGTGATTTTTCCAATTTTAATACTTGAGCATTAAGTTGTTCCTCTAAGAAAGGAGGAAAGCTATAACAGAGGTCTATAAAAAATAGTATTTGCTCAGCCAGTTTTCTTTCCTTGCAAGAAAGAAAAATATCAGTCCATAGTATTAGGTGCTAGACTCTTCTAAAGCCTAGGATTGAAAGAGCAAAAATGTACCATTGTAGTAAACAGAAAAAGAGAGCCACTTTTGCGTTAGACTAAGTAGGCACACCAGTGTTTCTAGAGAGGGGAGGGAAATCTGTGTAACATGGAGGAATTATTGCACTCAGCAGTATAAATCATATAGGCCAGGTGCAGTGGCTCACGCCAATAATCCCAGCACTTTGGGAGACTCAGGTAGGAGGATTGCTTGAGACCAGGAGTTTGAGAACAACCCGGGCAACATAGGGAGACCCTGTCTCTACTAAAAACAACAAAAAATTAGCCTGTCACAGTGGCATGTGCCTGTAGTCCCAGCTACTAGAGAGGCTAAGGCAGGAGGATCACTTGAGCCCTGGAGGTTGAGGCTGCAGTAAGCCTTTGAGGGCACTACTGCACTCCAGCCTGGGCGACAGAGCAAGACCCTGTCTCAAAAAAAATAAAGTTGATCATATAACCTATGCTCTTAAGATTTTTTGTACTGTTACTTTTTGTCTGCATTTTAATATTATGCTAATTTTAAATGAACTGCTAGTTAAACCAGTTGTGTTTTTTAGGTTACACAAAACTTCCTTTTAAATGGTTTGACTACCTCAGGGAAACTGGCTCCATTGCAGCACCAGTAAAACTATTTAATAAGGTAAATTTAAATGGCAGCATAATTATGTGAGGACTTATTAATGCCCCACAAATACAATTTATGTTCATAAAAATGTCTTTGCCTTGTATTAGAATTTCTTAGTGGAGATATAATATAAACAAATATAGCAATGAAACAATATAAATATTTTCTTTACCTAGGAATCAAAACTTGTTTCCAAACTATGTTTCGTTTTTAATCTGAAGGAAATAGAAATGAAGATTTTTCCTAACTAGTTTTTAAATACTTCACCTTCGTACTATGTTTAAATAGTTAAAGAATTATTTGGAATTTATGGTTTATAATTATGTTATTTAGCTAGTCGCTTCTGTTTTTTGCTTTCTTAGTGATAGTAGGGTTGTGCATTCTTTCTTCTTCATACCAATATTAATGTTTTCTTCTCTGTGTCAGGATGTTCCAAATCACGGATTTCGTGTAGGAATGAAATTAGAAGCAGTAGATCTCATGGAGCCACGTTTAATATGTGTAGCCACAGTAACTCGAATTATTCATCGTCTCTTGAGGATACATTTTGATGGATGGGAAGAAGAGTATGATCAGTGGGTAGACTGTGAGTCACCTGACCTCTATCCTGTAGGGTGGTGTCAGTTAACTGGATATCAACTACAGCCTCCAGCATCACAGTGTAAGTTGGTATACAGAAAAGGTGTCCTTTTGTAAAAATCAGCAATTCTCCAGAGGACTATCTCACATAAGTCATCTTATGAGCTCACAGGACAAGAATATACCTATGTCTGATTGGTTGCCAGGTAAGACATTAAGACTCAACAACAATATCACAGAATCAGACCATGTGTCCCATGGCAATGTGAATCCAATAGTCAATTACATAATGACTATAGAAACACAACAGTCACCAAATTAAACTAGACTTACTATTTTAGTGAGTTAAAAATTACATACTAAAAGTTTATTGGTAGGTAATAAATGCTTTTGAGTAAATAGTGGAAAATGTCTCATGTTGAGGCTATGGTTTTGTAGGAACAAGTACCCTTATTTTCAGAGCATCATGTACTTAAGTATAATGGTCTTGGTAAAGATAGTTCATATAAGTTGTATCTAGACAACTGTATCGTCTAAATTGTAAACAATTATCTAGTACCAATTTTCCCTTTTTATTTTTCAGCATCAAGAGAAAACCAATCAGCTTCATCAAAACAGAAGAAAAAGGCTAAGTCCCAGCAATACAAAGGACATAAGAAAAGTGGGTCACCACGTGGTGTTCACATACATTTTCTAATTGTTAACTAATTGGAGTCACAGTATTCTTGGACAGAAAATGATATATCTTGTGAGAACTGATGATTGTGCATTATGTATTATGCTTAAAGGTGCAGTATGCCATAAAAGGCAAACCCTTGCAATAATGAGAAACACTGATATTTTACTAACAGGAGAAATTATTACCACAGTATTTAAAGTATACGTGGTAAAGAATAGAGTCTGTGAATGATTCTTGAAATAATATGTAAAACCTACTGAAAGTTAATCCTTTTTAAAAACTTTATTTAAAAAGAAAAATTAGCAGCCAGGTGCAGTGGCTCACGCCTGTAATCCCAGCACTTTAGGAGGCCGAGGCTGGCAGATCACAAGGTCAGGAGATCGAGACCATCCTGGCTAACACGGTGAAACCCTGTCTCCACCAAAAATACAAAAAATCTGCCGGGCGTGGTGGCACACGCCTGAAGTCCCAGCTACTCAGGAGGCTGAGGCAAGAGAATCACTTGAACCCAGGAGGCAGAGGTTGCAGTGAGCCAAGATCACGCCACTACATTCCAGCTGGGCAACACAGCAAGACTCTGTCTCAAAAAAAAAAAAAAAAATTAGCAGATGCTTGATGCTTACAGTAGATGTGAAGCCTAATAAACCCATTTTTCCTAGAAAGCAAAACTTTCTAGAGTGATACTGGTAAGAAATCCAAGTTGATGGCAAACAAGCTTTACCAAATTTTTCTAGAAATGCTTTCTATACTAAAAAATTAGCCGGGTGTGGTGGTGCACGCCTGTAATCCCAGCTACTTGGGAGGCTGAGGCAGGAGAATTGCTTGAACCCAGGAGGCGGAGGTTGAGGTGAGCCGAGATCGTGCCATTGCACTCTAGCCTGGGCAACAAGAGCAAAACTCCATCTCGAAAAAAAAAAAAAAAAAGAAATTCTTTCTATACTATATTTTACCTTACAGTGAATTGTTGGCATAAGCCAAAGTAATATAAAATATATTGATAACTATGTTTGATTTTTTTTATCTTATTTCCCCACCATAGAAAGCCATAGCTTTCTCTCTTCATAAAACTTGTCATAGAATGTTTCATTCTTTTTTGAGACAAGGCCTTACTTTGTTGCTCAGGCTGGAATGGAGTGCAGTGGCACAATCTCCGCTCACTACAGCCTTAACCTTCCCTGGCTCAAGCAGTCCTCCCACCCCAGCCTCCTGAGTAGCTTGGACCACAGGCATGTGTTGCCACACACCCAGCTAAGTTTTGTATTTTTTTGTAGAGACAGAGTCTTGCCACGTTGCCCAGGCTGGTCTCAAACTTTTGGGCTCAAGCACTCTGCCCACCTCAGCCTCCCAAAGTGCTGGGATTACAGGCATGAGCCACCACACATGGCCATATTTCATTTCATTCTTAGATAAGGTTATATATATATATATATATATTTTTTTTTTTTTTTTTTTTTTTTTTTTTTGAGACAGAGTCTCAGTCTGTCGCCCAGACTGGAATGCAGTGGTATGATCTTGGCTCACTGCAGCCTCGACTTCTCGGGTACAAGCAATTCTCCCACCTCAGCCCCTGGAGTAGCTGGGACTACAGGAGTATACCACCATGCCCAACTCGTTTTTATATTTTTATAGAAATGGTGTCTCACCATATTACCCAGGCTGGTCTCAAACTCCTGGGCTCAAGCGATCCATCTGCCTGCCTTGGTCTCCCAAAGTGCTGGGATTACAGGTGTGATCCTCTGAGTCTGGCCAATTTTTATTTAAAGATATTTTTTAAATTGGACTGGACGCGGTGGCTCATGCCTGTAATTAATCCCAGCAACTTTGGGAGGCCAAGGCGGATGGCTTTAGACCAGCCTGGGTAACATGGCAAGACCCCATCTCTAAAAACAAAAAAAGGAAGAAAAAAGCAAGCTATTTAAAAAATGTAAAAGTATACTTGAGGATTAAAACTGAAACAGATTTTTCCAGCTGACTTGCCAAATATGCTCAGGTACGTGCTGATTTGCCTCATTAACAACCTAGAGACTGAAGTGGCAAGAAGAATCGAATATACTCTGTTCTAACCTTTCTGATGTTTGCTTGTTAAGTGGGAAACTTAAAAATTTCTACTGTCCACTATAGTAGTACTTTGAAAAATAAGTTTTCTCCCAGCACAAAACCCATGTCAGCCACACACAAGTAGCAACCTACAGGCCTGTCTCTTGACCTCTCGTTTATAGGCACAAGCCTCCCACAGGCCCAGAATTATTTTGCCCACCAGCTGCTTGCCAGGTCTGATACTCACCTAAAAGAACTTTAGGGAGCATTGCCAAACCAGCCTGATGAAAGGGAGTTCTCATGTATCTAAATGAGTAGCAAGAATTCACATGGGAACTTCATTTATGTCAGTGGACTGACAATAGCAGATATGATCACTAAGCTTTCTGTGAAGTAAATAACAAGTCTGCTTTCACTTTCTGTTGGATAAGACTTTGGAATTTCAGAATTTTCTTTCCAAGATGTCAAATTAAAAATGGTTTTTATTACTCAGTGGCTATATGACATTGCTTTTTAGAACTTATCTGTGAGTTTTATGTAGACAATTCATTTGCCTCCCTCAGCGTGACTCTTGTAGGATTTGTTTCTGATTTGTGGAGTTAAAACTGTTTTGAATTAATGGGCTGGGAACATGGAAAGAAATATGTAATTAATGAAGAAATATTAGCACCCCAGTTTTTAGTGATATTTACCATTACTAGAGTTCTGGATTCACTGAAAAAATGAATTTTGGTCTATATGCAACATATTCCTTAACTATAATGTTTCACTATTTCCTAATAGTATGACATCATCTCTACTACCTTTAAATTGTCCTTTGGACATAGAAAAGAAAAGAACTATGGACCCACAGTACCTCATTAGATGCCCTTGGGACCAGATGTGCATTGGAATTCAGAATTTTTTGGATTTTAGAAGAGAAATATAGTCTGTGTAACATACATTATGTAACACTCCAGACTCTGAAACATTTTTAAAGCAAATATATATATAAATATTTACATTAAATGGCCCAAATAAAAATTATAAGTAGTGTCACCAAGTGAGGTACGGCTTTGTTGCCAAAGTTCTTTTTAAAAAAACTTCCTGAGGCCAGGCACGGTGGCTCACGCCTATAATCCCAGCACTTTGGGAGGCCGAGGCAGGCGGATCACCTGAGGTCAGGAGTTCGAGACCAGCCTGACCAACATGGAGAAACCCCGTCTCTACTAAAAATGCAAAATTAGCCAGGCGTGGTGGCGCATGCCTGTAATCCCAGCACTCGGGAGGCTGAGGCAGGAGAATCGCTTGAACCTGGGAGGCGGAGGTTGCAGTGAGCCGAGATCGCGCCATTGCACTCCAGCCTGGGCAACAAGAGCAAAACTCCCTCTCAAAAAAAAAAAAAAAAAAAAAAACCTATTTGAATGTTGGAATTGAGGATAAGGAAGTATAGTGCCGTATTAAGAAGCAGCAGTTTTCACTCTAATGGTGCCGCCGCCTCTTATTTTTTTCTATTACTCAGCAGTTTGTTAGAAAGTTTTCTCACTAAGCTTTAGTTACACAAATAAGTATTTGGGGTTTAGAAACCTGTCATCCATTGCAGGCAGACTGATATAAATACCAGATGGGCTATAAAACCTTTTGTTTTTACGTTTGCCTTGGTAGGTTATCATATTCTGGCTCTGTTGCTTCATCTTACAGCTCGTTGGTCTTTTTGAACTTAAGATCATCTGTTAGTGGTATATTCTTTGGCAGTGCTTATTGTACAGAAACAGCTGATGAGCTTCATTGGTCTAGCTTGCTTTGTAGTAAGTTGTGTTCATGCCACGAAGGAGGGATAATTACTGACACTTTTGAGAATAAGTATAAGGTTCTGCCAGAAGGATCATAGACACTCTCTAGTCTCAAAAGCCTCTTTTCCTTAAGATGTAATTCTAGAGCAGGAAAAGCAGTACTGATTTCTGCTTTAAATCTCACCATTTTCAGGGACTACTGTAAGTAGTAAGAGTGGACATTGCTCCTTGCGTTTTTATCTGTGAGTATGTGGTATATTAGGAAAAAGTCTTAAGTTGTTGCTGCATGTGATTTTGGTTTGGCTCTTGAGAGTTGAATCTACTCAATAACAGCTTAAATCCCACATCATTTTACATAGGAATACTGTGTGGCTTACATTTACCTTTTAGTTTTGATTTTGTGAAGCATAATTTTTTATTGCTCTTACTCGGTTTATTCTGTCATCTGGAAGAAAACAGACATAACTCAGTCACAAAGATAAAGATCCCTTTGCTTTTTTTTTTTTTTTCTTTCTTTCTTTCTTTTTGAGACAGAGTCTTGCTCTGTCTCCCAGGCTGGAGTGCAGTGGTGCACTGTCGGCTCGCCACAACCTCTGCCTCCCGGATTCAAGCGATTCTCCTGCTTCAGCCTCCCAAGTAGTGGGATTACAGGTGTGCACCACTACTTACGGCTAATTTTTGTATTTTTAGTAGAGACGGGGTTTCACTATGTTGGCCAGGCTGGTCTTGAACTCCTGACCTCAAGTGATCCACCTGCCTCGGCCTCCCAAAGTGCTGGGATCATAGGTGTGAGCCACTGTACCCTGCTGATCCTTCAGCTTTCAATATGATTAATGCACTATGCCTGGTTCTTCAATATTTGCAGAGTTCAGAGTATTTTTTTTGGTTGGCAAAAGCATTGTACATGTCTTGGAAGGCTTATATTTGTATAGAAAACTATAGCTGAAGGGTGATACTTTTTTTTTTTTTTTTTTGAGACAAGGTCTCACTTTATTGCCCAGCCTGGAGCACTGTGGTGCAATCATAGCTCACTGCAGCCTTGAACCCTTGGGCTCAAGCAAATCTCCCACATCAGACTCCAGCATTGCCCAGCAATTTTTTTTTATTTTTTGTAGAGATGGGTCTCACTGTGTTGCCCAGGCTGGTCTGAAACTCCTGGCCTGAAGCCATCCTCATTCTTCTGCCTTGGCATCCCAAGGTGCTGGGATTACAGGCATAAGCCACCATGCCCAGCCTGATAAATTTGTTTCAGAATAAATCAGATTGCTTAAGAATTTACAGGCAATAAGCTTTGAATTTGGAAGTACATTTTAGAATAAGAATTGTGTTTTCTAAAAGAGTGAATTGTAAACTAAAAGTTAGGAGAGCACATTTCATATCAGTAACCTCCTACACCCAGATAATACATTTAAATTGTTTTGATTTCTCCACCAGTGTTTGGGCTTATATGAGCTATGAAATGCTACCTAAAAGTAGTGTTTTAAGACCCTTTCTTCCTTCCTTTGGGTTTTTATCCCATCTCAAGCAGAGACTTTCTTGAAAGAAATTGGCCAGCTGTTCAGCTGTTCTTTTTGTTTTGTTTTGTTTTGGTTTTTTTTTTTGAGACGAGAGTCTTGCTTTGTCGCCCAGGTTGGAGTGCAGTGGCACGATCTCGGCTCACTGCAAGCTCCGCCTCCCAGGTTCACGCCATTCTCCTGCCTCAGCCTCCCGAGTAGCTGGGACCACAGGCGCCTGCCACCATGCCCAGCTATTTTTGTATTTTTAGTAGAGATGGGGCTTCACTGTGTTAGCCAGGATGGTCTCAATCTCCTGACCTCGTGATCCACCCACCTCGGCCTCCCAAAGTGCTGGGATTACAGGCGTGAGCCACTGCGGCCGGCCCAGCTGTTCTTAAAGCTCTCTGTAATTCATTTTACTTTGTCTTGTTTTAAATTTGAGAGTCAGAACTAGTTATTACCAGACTCTCGGAGAGTAGAAACAATCTCCCCCAACACACACATTCAGTCAGTCTCTCTTTCCTTCTTTTCAGAAATACAAACTTTGCATAATTGGTTCTCTTTTGAGAGTGTCCTGTGCAGCACAGCTTTCCTAGTTATATAATGCACTTTTCTTACCACGCATGTAAGTGAAAGCTTACTTTAGTCTGACTTGATATTTAGAGAGGAAGATGCCAATTGGGAAGAAGCCTGTCAGTTTGTCGAGCCTGCCCATGACAGGTGGGGTGCGGAGGAGCTTCTCTGGTGACGAAGAGTTGACTCCTCCTCCATATCGAACCCTTCCAGCACAGACAGCCCCGGAGGCCTTCCCACCTCCCAGCACTAGCCGAGAGTTCAGTCCCAGCCTCAAAACAGGTAATTAGTCACATCAGCATCTCAGGTACTTCAGAGGGTAAAAGTACTGGGTAGGGTGGTGGGAGACAAAGCATGGTCTGGCATGACAGATGCTGACTCATTGAATTTTTTTTCTTTTTCTTTCAACTAAAGAATTCATTTCACTAGTGCTTAGTAGTCACTTCACTAAGACAAAACATCAGGGAAGGATTTTTTACTTTGTTATAAAATACTTCCGAGCTTCAAATAAGGGTAGTTATAATGTCAAGTTCTGGAATTGTGAGACAACTTGGAATATTTCATGGTTTTGAACATTCCTCATTGCAGAATTGTATGTGACTTGACGTGGGAACAAGTGTGTCATTAGGGATAAGTCTGATTAAAAAAACAGAAAAACGAGGCTTTGTTCATAACATTTCATAGTATCTCATTCATGGAAAGGATGTGTTTTGAGTTCTAGTTTAATTTTAGTTGTGGCAGTAACATTGATCACAATCTTAGTTGAATAACAAATTTGGAAATTCAATACCTGCATTTTATTATTTCCATAAGTTCATGATTATGTATGTATAGTGATTAGTCAGTGGCATTTGATTCGAGTGTAATTGGTTAGGCCAAGGTAGTCGATTGTAAGGAAGACTGCAGAAGGTTTTGCCCTTTGTAATTCCTAAGAACAAGCATGGTATTATCATAGGGCATGAGAACTTCACTTAGGTATGATGAACTTCAGGCATGAGTACAGATCAGATCATACAGCTTCAAAGCCAAAGTTATACCTGCCTTAGCATATGTTCTGCCATATGCTAACTATTGCTTTTAGACTTGTTTTCTGTAATGAGCATTCTTTAAAATGTCTTGTATGTTGAAAACCTAGATGAGACTTGTTACCTAGCTCTGTTTTCTTCTCATTCTTCTGTTTGCTAATATTTTTGCACCTATGGGGGTTTTCTTGTTTGTTTCCGTTGTTGGTTTTTTGGTGGTTTTTGCCATTTTAGGATATGTTCTTTAGCTTTTGCCTCCCTCATAATGTATTAGGCCATCTTGCCCCCTTCCCAGTCTTTTTCTCTGAAGATCACTGTGATGTTCTTACATCCAGAGGAAATTACACTACTTCTTTTGTACGAAAAACAAATTAGGATTGTAAATCCAGTGTTACCTGCTCTTTAACAGAAAAATGTTCAAAGTCTAAAGAGCGTTCCTGTTTCCTTTCTTGTCTAAGTTTTTTTCTTTTTGCACTTATTTATGAAATAGTCTTGCATTACTTAATTAAGTATGGATATTGTGAGTTCCAAATATATTTGAGCTTTTATTGGATCTTGGATGTATTTTCTTTAAGCATGAGGCTGGTTTTGAAGATGTATGTCACATTTTGTGATAGGTTACTGATTCATTTAAAATGGAACTTCTGGCACTGGCAAAACCCAAGAATTTAGAGTAGACGAACTAGATGGAAACTACCTGGCATCCTATGTGACTTCCTTCTTCCACCGATGTCTATAGTATATTCTGAGCTGGGGCACAACTTGTGGGACTTGGTGTGATTTTTCTCTGATGAAACTAAGTAGGGACTACATTGCTACCTTAACTATCTGAAAGCTATGGTTTCATTAGCTGTTGAAAGAGTTTATTATTTATGGGCTTCGTAGCTGGAAAAATATGATTTCAGTTAGCTTATCTCCTGAAATGGTAGTGATTAGTGTCAACAAAGTGACTTCCTTCTAAAAACAGAGCTGAGAAAAGAAAAGGCATTTGTGTAGAAAGTGACATTCAACCACAGGATCTGTTTTATTTCATCCATCATTTATTGAGAAGGCCTGGAAAGGAGAAATGATTCATGTGAAGATAACCAGACAGGCTTTATTTTAGATTCCATGAAAACAGTGAAACTTTACATTAAAACATTGCACATCTGAGTGAGTGTTTCACCTTTATCTTGAGTGACTTTTTTTAGCACATCATTTTCATATTTTAACATGACTAGAAGCATAATCCAGAAATTTGTTGTTAGCAGTAATGCATATTGCTTCAAGATATGCTTTAGAATCTCAACTTACCTTTCTTACATTTTTTTAAAAAACATCCGTTTGAATGAAACATGTTTGATCTTGAAGCACATTAATTCTTTTCTCATTCATTTAGCCATCCAGTCATCATAGAACAAGATACTGTTTTAATCAACCTTTTATTGTGGGTACTGCACCTTTAATGAAACTTGGGTTTTGTTTTCTTTTCCATGTGTGTATTTTCTAGGTATTGTTAAAATGGCCCTCACGCTGAATGACTGCATGCTGGCTAGATTTGAAGGATAACTGTCATGCATTTGATATCATTCCTCATAAAAGCATTTTTATTTATATTAAGTAATTTTTTAATGAAAGGAAGAACTAACTGCACAGTCTTGTTTGCTGTACCTTTGAACAGTCTGATGGGTGTTTGCTATGATTATATGCATAACGTATTCACTTTTCTGTCTTTGGTCTGTTAAATTTTTGATCACCAGTACCAAAACCAGTACCAAATAAAATAAATTGCCATCTCTCAAAAGATTATTCTTGGCCAGGCGCAGTGGCTTACGCCTGTAATCCCAGCACTTTGGGAGGTTATCCCATGTGGGGAATCACCTGAGGCAGGTGAATCACCTGAGATCAGGAGTTTGAAACCAGCTGGCCAAAATGAGGAAACCACATCTCTACTGAAAATACAAAAATTAGCCAGGTGTGGTGGTGCACGCCTGTAAATCCCAGCTACTTGGGAGGCTGAGGCAGGAGAATCACTTGAACCTGGGAGGTGGAGGTTGCAGTGAGCCGAAATTGTGCCACTGCACTCCAGTCTAGGTGACAGAGCGAGACTATCTTAAAAAAAAAAAAAAAAAAAAAAAAGATTATTCTTTAAATTAGCAAGTAAGATGTCAGCAGCCATTATTTTTAAACTAATTGCTTGTAACTAAAATCAAGACATGGGCCAGGCACGGTGGCTCACGCCTGTAATCCCAGCACTTTGGGAGGCTAAGGTGGGAGGGTCACGAGGTCAGGAGTTCAAGACCAGCCTGACCAACATGGTGAAACCCCATCTCTACTAAAAAAATAAAGACATGAATTATTTTTCTGACTGTACTATTTGACTTTAAAAGTTGTAGCAATTTTAATATTGTTCCACATGATGACACTGCCATTGCTTCATGAAAAACTTAAGTGGCATACTACCTATCCAGATACTCTGCTGAGTTCTCATTCTCATCAGTTGATTTTTTTCTCTGTATGAGCAGTTTCCAATTTACACCCCATATATGTGTATCCTCTCCATTTATTAATGAAAAGATACATAATAGAGAAAAATGAAGAACTTTTACCCTTGATCTGGAGCCAGATGCCTGCAGGGGCTGGTGGTTACCTGTGTGAGTATTGTGGGCAACCTGGGCAGTGAGCTCTGTGGTGGACAGAGATCTCAGGCTGCCCAGATTCAGGGGGTAGTAAGTAGCCAGTCAGTTCCCATTGATCACAGCTCTTTAAGGATGCTGCGCTTATGTTTCCAAGTCTATCTACTTTTCAGATTTTCATGTGAAATCTCTTGTATCGAAATATTCAGTCAAATGTGTAAAGAACCATTCAAATGTATAAAGAGGCCAGGCGCGGTGGCTGACACCGTAATCCAAACACTTTGGGAGGCCAAGGTGGGTGGATCACATGAGGCTAGGAGTTCAAGACCAGCCCAGCCAACATGGCAAAACCCCATCTCTACTAAAAATACAAAAGAATTCGCCAGGCATGGTGGCACACACCTGTAATCCCAGCCACTCGGGAGGCTGAGGCATGAGAATCACTTGAACCCGGGAGGCAGAAGTTGCAGTAAGTTGAGATCATGCCACTGCACTCCAGCCTGGGTGATGGAGTGAGACTATGTCTCAAAAAAAAAAAAAAAAATGCACAGGGCCCAGGCAGGAGTGGAAAAAGCAGTTTCTGACTTCTGATTTAGCAGATCCGTGTATGCTAAAGAAGTTGGGAAAGAAGGTAGCATTGCTCAACACGGGACTAGATTCAAGTGGATGTGTTAGCACAAAAGACCACCTCATCTGTTCTTTAAATTATTTGAGCTCAACTTTGGTTAGACGGTAACCTGAACACAGCCAGGCGCTGTGGCTCACACCTGTAATCCCAGCACTTTGGGGATATGAAACTGAAAAACCGTTTTCCATACTAAAGACCTACGGAAACATGGCTATACTGTTAATTTGTTTTTGTTAAAAAGTAAGTCATCAGATAAGAACTCAGGCAGGCACTCAGCTTTGAACTGGCCTCCCGCCTTGTCCTCCTACATAGCTGGGACTGTAAGCATTAGCCACCACACTCGGCTCAGGAGTTTAATATTAGTTTTTCTTGGTAGGAGGAGAGGTACACAGGGTCTCACTCTGCCACTCAGGCTAGAGTGCAATGACACAATCATAGGTCACTGTAATCTCGAACTCCTGGGCTCCAGCAATCCTTCTGCCTCAGTCATGAGTAGCTGGGACTACAGGCTTGCACAGCCATACCCAGCTTTTTTTTGTTTTTTGTAGAGATGGGGATTTGCTACATTGCCCAGGCTGCTACCACATCCAGCCCAGATTTACTTTTTAAAAATATATGTTACATCCTTATGTAATTTATAATTTTTTAATGTTTTTATTTAACATCAGATTTATATCTTTTTCTTCAGAGAATCTTTTTAATAAAAGTACTCCTTGAGGCCGGGCACGGTGGCTCACGCCTGTCATCCCAGCACTTTGGGAGGCTGAGGTGGGCGGATCACAAGGTCAAGAGATCAAGACCATCCTGGCCAACATGATGAAACCCTGTCTCTACTAAAAATACAAAAATTAGCTGGGCGTGGTGGTGGGTGCCTGTAGTCCCACCTACTTGGGGGGGCGGTGCTGAGGCAGGAGAACCGCTTGAACCGGGAAGCGGAGGTTGCAGTAAGCCGAGTTCACTCCACTGCACTCCAGCCTGATGACAGAGTGAGACTCCATCTCAAAAAAAAAAAAAAAAAAAGATTGTACTTCAGAACCATGAAAGAACTACATCATTGTTTGTACAAACATTGACATAAAAGTGAATACTTAATCACAAACAAAATTCTCATTATCCCAGTCAGATTAGTGAGCACCATTACTGCGAACATTTCATTGAAGATGTCCATTACACAGTACTGTTCCTTTCCAGAATGTTTCTTAACTGCTAATATACTGGAAAATTAAAATTAACTGAAGAAATGAAGAAGTCTTAATAACTGTAAAGCTGACGGAACACGAAGATCACAGGCAATCCGAGTACTCTAGAGAGCCTTAATGCCCATATGTTTCTCTCTCTTTCATTCAGTGACAACACTGCAGCTGAAGGAGGAGTTGCTGGATGGAGAGGATTATAATTTCCTTCAAGGAGCGTCTGATCAGGAAAGCAATGGCTCTGCCAACTTCTACATCAAACAAGAGCCATGAGGTGGCTTAGAAACTGAGGGCGGGTGGGGAAGGATTTTACACAGGACTGATTTATAATCAATCCAGCTGTACAGGGGGCTACTCTACTGGGACATTTTGCTAAACATAGAAGATTTCAGTTCCAGATTTTTCAGGTGGGTGGGGGAGCTATTTTAGTCGGGGGGGCAGGGGGGTGGGAAATTTTCAATTTATAAAGATGGACAATTTTTGTGTTGTATTTGAAGCTTTTGAAAGAATTTTGTAATATTTTCCAAGTTTGGATTTATGTGCATTGTTAACAAGAACTGAAATTCTAACTTTTTTGGTAACATTAAAGTTTAGGTAGCAGGATTGAAGGAAATGATTTAAGAAGGATATAGCTGTTAAATGCAAATGAACTGTCATTACAAATGAACCTTTTTGGTACCTGTTGGGAGATTTTGGGATTTTTAGAAGTTAGGCCAGTCACATCTCCAGCTTCTTTTGCTGCAGAAATATGCAACTGAACTCCTCATGGAGGGGTCATCACCACAAAGGTCATGGAAGGGTCATTATTTCTCTTGTTGGCATTTTATTGCAGCCCATTTTAAATGTTTGTACAGAAATATTTTTCATTCTGTGAAAATTTATTTGGAGTTCTGTATGAAACTGGAAGAACTCTGGATACTTTTATATGTTCTCTTTTAATTAAAAAAATGATTAGAATTATCCTAACACTAAAGTGTTAAACTGGAATGGTTGACAAGATATTCAGGATCTCAGTCTACACATTGAGGGGTTGGGGAAAATGTAATGTTGTCCTTAGTTTATTTTCCTTTCTAAAAAAAATACCCCACGAAAGGGATTCTGATCAGTTCTCTGCCATTTCCCTCTATCTGTGAAATAACAGCTTCGTATAACCACAACCAAAAACAGATGTTCTGTATTAGGAGAATCGAATTGAAAGTTATTCAAAGCCAAAATAAGTTTAGATTTCAAAATCATTCCAGCTCTGCTTTTATCTATCCTGGATTTGGTAGAAAACTAATTTGAAAGAGAATTTAATTTTCTTAAAATTCCATATATATATATATATATATATATATATATATATATATATATATATATATATAAAATTGTCTTTAATTGTATTCAGGATTTATTTTAATAATAACCGATTTGGACCATTTTGAACATTCCCTGTTTTAAAATTCATATGACTTCCTTTTAAAAAAAAAAAAAGGATACAAGGGTAAACTGGTGAAAGGTTTGCTCTCTGCATTTTCTAACTTTCTACTGAGTTGTGACTGAATGAGAGCGCTCTAGCGTTTACCAGTGAGGTTCATAAACTAAACTCTCAGGAATTAATTGCATCTGTTCTAGAAGTGCTTCTGGGTCTTAGCCTGGCCTCTTCAGAGTGGTAATATTGACCATCTCCTCTGGAATATAGGTAGGGCTAATTAGAAATTAATCAAAATGATTAACCTCTACAGTCCTTCAGCCTATGGAATGCTTTAAAAAATGTTAATGGAAAGCCCCAGGAGACCATTTTAGGTAAGACTTTTGTTTGAATTTTAAAATGCATAGAACGTTAAAAAAAACCAGCAATTTATTTTCTAAAATATTGCTCTACTTTTGGGAATAATAGCATTGGTAATACGCACAGGTTTACCTCATTCTATGCAAGAGGGGTTAATAACATAAGGTTTTATAATAGCTACTGGAAGTAAAATTTGTTACTTTATAGTGTAAGAATGTATGGAATCGCATGTCACCATTTCTTAATACTGACTCTTTAGGGGCATAAATGCAGATCACATCAACGCAAGTTGATTCTCATGTGTCAAATATATGTGAATTCAGCTGTTAAATTACTGGATATTTATCTTAACATTGCTGAGAGGGACCTACTGTAAATGTGACATCCTCACACTTCCCATATCTTTAACTTTGAAAAATCTTCTTGTAAACTTAAAGCCTAGAAGTATTCCAAAGCAAGGGTTAGAGCAGTCTTTATTCTCAGGCTCACTGAATTAAACCCAGGACTAATTCCACAGCACAGGCACAAGAAGCCTGTTGTGTAGTGTACTCTGCCAGTACCTTGGATTTAGGAGCTCCATGGGGAACTGACTAAACCAGGAGAGAGAGGATTTGGAGCTAGTCAGTCCTGGTAATCTATGAAATGCTCATTTATACCCAGGTTTCATAAGCTTCCAATTCTATAGCAAACCCAGGCTCTGAGTGTTTTAGAATTTCCTAATTCATGAAGTGTTTCTTGTCTTGATCCCGTGACCAACAGTTGAAGGTTGGTAAGGACTTTTCTACAGTCTGAACACAACCTAAAGCCCTCTTTCATTGTTCACACACTAACTCCTACTGCCGACGAACCGAAAAATAATTAATGCAGAGGAGATTTATGTCTTAGCCATAACTCCAGTTGTACAACTCAATCGCCCCATTCTCTTTTACGGTTCAAAATGTACTGCTGACCTTGGGTTTGTTTTTGTTTTGTTTTGTTTTTCCTGTTAGGATTTATTTGGGGACTTTTGGTAGTTTAAACTCTTTAACCTTTTCCTTGCCGTGTATGAGGAAAGCTAAAGCTGTTATCAACTTCTTATTCTACGATACTAACACGGGTTTTCAGTGTTTGTTTGTTTTTATTATTATTATTAATTTTGCGTGATGTGAATACCCTCTCCCATCAATATTTGTATTATGGTGCTATATATTGGTAATGATCCTTTAATATTGGGAAGGGATTTTAAAAATACTGTGATTAAACTGGGTTTCTTCCTTTGATTTTCATATTTTAAATAAAGCCACAGTCATTTATACAAAAGAAAAGCATCTGTCCCTGGGCAAATCTTTTGAGGACAGAGGTCAAAGTAAACTGCATAAGGTTTTTACATCATTTCTGTATGTATTTGATATATAGATCAATATCTGTACAAATTTAATCTTTTATTTTCTTGGTAACTCGTGATCATTGAGAAAGTGTTTGAAACTTTCTCATGAAGTGTATATATAATGGCGTGAAAAATTCCTTTGGAAAAATTTATGTTCCTTTCATTTTTACCAAATTGCAAATTTTCAGCATGGATGTGAAAAGCATTAAAATTATAACTTTGTGTACAAGATGAAAATAATTCACTAAATTTGCCCTTTTTTACACAAAATAAAATGTTAAAGTTAAGCTGGATTTGAGCAGTTCTTTAAT
The DNA here is from genome assembly GCF_000001405.40 of Homo sapiens. Classification (NCBI taxonomy): domain Eukaryota; kingdom Metazoa; phylum Chordata; class Mammalia; order Primates; family Hominidae; genus Homo; species Homo sapiens. Next base: position 51,177,400 of record NC_000017.11, on the reverse strand, counting down.
ATGCTTTGGTTTGGGGGGTTGCTTTTCTATTGCGTGCCCTCTATAAGCAGTCAGAGACCCCTATGAAAGTTGGATCAGCCCCTTCCTCTTACAAGGGGTAGCAGGCACATGAGTGCTGTAAGGAAGAATTTTCCACTAGCTGCCAAGGGAGCCAAGAGTAGTATGGTTAGACATATGGATGAGGTTGCATTGGAGGTGGGATTTCATGGGCAGGGAGGGAAAGGGCAAAAACCACAGCAGGAGCCAAGGTGAATAGGGACCTTTATGGGGAAATTAAATCATCTTAGCTAGAACATCGTGTTTTGGGGTTGGCATGCTTAGTAGGAGACTTTTTTTTTTTTTTTTTTTTTTGAGATGGAGTCTTGCTCTGTCACCCAGGCTGGAGTGCAGTGGCGCTATATCGGCTCACTGCAACCTCCACCTCCCATGTTCACACCATTCTCCTGCCTCAGCCTCCTGAGTAGCTGGGACTACAGGCGCCTGCCACCACGACCGGCTAATTTTTTGTATTTTTAGTCGAGACGGGGTTTCACCGTGTTAGCCAGGATGGTCTTGATCTCCTGACCGCGTGAGCCACCATGCCTGGCTAGTAGGAGACTTTTTTTTAACTCCATTAACCTCAGCAGCAAAGTTAATTGGATGTAAATAAAGTATCCCAGCTAGCTCTTGCCCTTAACATTAAAAGGGAATGCAAAGAAGCCCTCCTTTACCAACAGCTGGCTCTTTGGAAAATTATTCAACTTTTACTGCAGATGCAGTTGGTAGAGATTTTTATGAATTGGGAAACAATATGTAAGACAGTAATGAGATGGACTGGGCCTCTTCAGGGATTAATTTCACATAACGCATTCCAAGAAAAGAGCCTGATTTCTGCCCTGCTTTCTACCGTAAGTGGTTTGAACAGCTGCTGTAGTAAGCTGGAATTCCTAGGTGGGTGCTCATTTACTATCATGGTGATATATATATATATATATATATTTTTTTTTTTTTTTTTTTTTTTTTTGAGATGGAGTCTCACCCTGTCACCAGGCTGGAGAGCAGTGGCATGATCTTGGCTCACTGCAGCTTCTGCCTCCTGGGTTCAAGTGATTCTCCTGCCTCAGCCTCCCAAGTAGCTGGGAGTACAGGTGCACACCACCACACCCAGCTAATTTTTGTATTTTTAGTAGAGACGGGGTTTCACCATGTTGGCCAGGATGGTCTTGATCTCTTCACCTCGTGATCTGCCTGCCTCGGCGGCCTCCCAAAGTGCTGGGATTACAGGCATGAGCCACTGCACCCAGCATTTTTTTTTTTTTTTTTTTTTGAAATGGAGTCTCACTTTGTCACCTAGGCTGGAGTACAGTGGCGTGATCTCAGCTGACTGCAACCTCCATCTTCTGGGTTCTAGCAATTCTCCTGCCCCATCCTCCCAAGTAGCTGGGACTACAGGCACACGCCACCACGCCCGGCTAATTTTTGTATTTTTCAGTAGAGATGGGGGTTTCACCATATGGGCCAGGCTGGTCTTGAACTCCTGACCTCGTGATCTGTCCGCCTCAGCCTCCCAAAGTGCTGGGATTACAGGCATGAGCCACCGCGCCCAGCCACATGTATTTCTTTGAACCATTACATGCTTCTCGCGAAACTAGTTATGCCCAGAAACAAGTGTCTCAAGCTCAAGGGATGCTCCTGCCTTGTCCTCCCAAAGTGCTGGGATTACAGGCATGAGCCATTGCATCCAGCTAAGGTAATGCATTTTAAATAATAATGCACTTTTACTATTTTTTTTAAAAAAAAAAAGGTTTATTGAAAGCATGAGATGTTCTGAATGATATGTCATTTTCAGCCAGGCGCAGTGACTCATGCCTGTAATCCTAACACTTTGGAGGGCCAAGGTGGGCAGATTGCTTGAGACCAGCCTGGCCAACATGGTGAAACACCATCTCTACGAAAACTACAAAAATCACCTGGGCGTATTTGCACACACCTGTAGTCCCAGCTTCTTGGGTGGCTGAAGCACGAGAATCACTTGAACCCAGGAGGCAGAGGCTGCAGTAAACTGAGTGAACCACTGCTCTCCAGCCTGGGCGACAGAGCCGAGACTGTCTCTCAAATAAATAAATGAGTTGTTACTTTCACACACCTAGCTGGTGCAGGATTAGGACCTAAACTCTCCAGAGGCAGTACTTTTTTTTTTTTTTGAGACGGAGTTTTGCTCTTGTTGCCCAGGCTGGAGTGCAATGGCGCAATCTCGGCTCACTGCAATGTACACCTCCTGGGTTCAAGTGATTCCCCTGCCTCAGCCTCCCAAGTAGCTGGGATTACAGGCATGCACCATCATGCCCTGCTAATTTTGTATTTTTAGTGGAGACAGGGTTTCACCATATTGGTCAGGCTGGTCTCAACGCCTGACTTCAGGTGATCTGCCTGGCTCGGCCTCCCAAAGTGCTGGGATTACAGTTGTGAGCCACAGCGCCGGCCCAGAGGCAGTACTTTAAATCTCACCATAGTCTACTCTGTATTTCTCATTCAGTTCTAACAAATTGAGTCCTAACATCCAAAGCCTTACTCAGCTTTCACCACTACAGGTTGACGTCACTTACCCTCCAAACTCACTTCCTCACATCACTTGGGAAAGTAAAGACAGTTTAAAAAAAAAAAAAAAAAAAGGCCGGGCAAGGTGGCTTACACCTGTAATCCCAAGCACTTTGGGAGGCCAAGTCGGGTGGATCACAAAGTCAGGAGTTCAAGACCAGCCTGGCCAACATAGTGAAACCCCGTCTCTACTAAAAATGCAAAAAAATTAGCCGGGTGTGGTAGCGGGCACCTGTAATCCCAGCTACTCAGGAGGCGAGGCAGGAGAATCACTTGAACCTGAGAGGCAGAGGTTGCAGTAAGCCGAGATCGCACCACTGCACTCCAGCCCGGGCGACAGTGCGAGACTCCATCTCAAAAAGAAAAAAAAAAGGTAAAGCATAGTGGCCGTGGGCATGGAGTCTGAAGACAGCTATCGGGTTGGAAACTGGCTCCTCCTCCACGGCTAGTTATGTAACTTGGCTCAGTTTCCTCCGTTGTAAAATGGGGATACTGGTGCCAGCCACCCAAGAGTCATGAAGATGCAATGAATGCATGTATATAAAGTTCTTTGAACAGCCCTGGCAGAGTAAGCCCATGCTCTGCTGCTGCTCCTAACCGAGGTACCTCCACCAGCATGCATAAGTGTCACTGGTAGCACAGTGAAATGCAGGTGCTCAGGCCCTGCCCCAGACTCTTAAGATGTTAGTATTAAACTCTGCTTAACTGTGATGAGAATGTAGCATATATAAACATATATGAATTACATTTGAAATTGAGGAATGATTTTTAAAATAAACTTATCAATTGTTGACTAGTAACTAGAATCTTTACACATTTTTTTTGTACTAAAACATTAAAAGTATTTCTTACTTCATTCCAAAGGAAAATTGAGCTGTTTTCTCTCTACTCTGTCACTGACCTCAACACTTCTGACACTAGACATAGTGTCCAGCAGACACCAGCTGGGTGTCTTCAATTCTGATACTGTCTACCTGGAGTCAGATCCCATGGGTTAAGGACTCCGGCCCCCAAGACTGCCCGCATTTCAAATGCCAACTGCAAGCCCCAGGTTATGTCTTTGTTCTTCTGACCAATTGGCCATAAATTAAGGGTTCCCATGACCCCCTTCTTAGATTCAGTTAAGTTGCTAGAGAGTATCATAGAACTCAGAGAACTACTACTTACATGTATTGGTTTAATAAAGGATGTGGCTGGGCACAGTGGTGCGCATCTGTGATCCCAGCAACTCAAGAGGCTGAGTGGGGAGGACTGCTTGAGCCAGTTCAAAGCTTGGCCTGAACAACATAGCGAAACCCCCATCTCTAAAAAAATAAAGTATATAGATGGACCAGATGCATGGGGCAGGGTATGTGGAAAATGGCATGGAGCTACCCTCTCAGAGTGTACCACCCTCCAAGCACCTCAGCAATCTGGAAGCTCCCCAAACCCTATTCTGGGGTTTTATGGAGGCTTCATTACATAGGCATGATTGATGGCATAATTGGCCATTGGTGAGCAATTCAACCTTAGCCCCTCTCCTCTTCTTGGAGGTTGTAGGGAGGCTATCCAGGAGCCCCCACAGCCACCAGTCATATCATTAGCATATAAGAAACCTAACATTTGAGATTACAAGGATTTTAGGAGCTGTGTGCCAGGAACCAATGGCAGAGACCAAATACGTACTTATGTCACAATGTCATTGTCTAATATTTACCATAGCAGTATACATAAAAAGCATAGAATTGGCCGGGCGCAGTGGCTCACGCCTATAATCCCAGCACTTTGGGAAGCCGAGGCAGGTGGATCACAAGGTCAGGAGTTGAAGACCAGCCTGGCCAAGATAGTGAAACCCCACCTCTACTAAAAATACAAAAATTAGCTGGGTGTGGTGGCAGGCGCCTGTAAACCCAGCTACTCGGGATGCTGAGGCAGAGAATTGCTTGAACCCGGGAGGCAGAGATTGCAGCGAGCCAAGATCAGGCCACTGCACTCCAGCCTGGGCGACAGAGCAAGACTCCGTCTAAAAAAAAAAAAAAAGCATAGGATTGTTATATATAGGAGTGACATTTAGCTTTTACCAGTTTTTTATAGGAAATATAAATTTATAATTGATTGCAGGTGATAGTGCTACAAATGATTTGTATTGACAGGTGCTATTAACATTTTACAACTGTTCCAATCCAGCAAAATTAACCTCAAAAGCAGGAAATATGCCTCTAGCAACCACTCACTGCATCTAGCCCAGGAAACCAGCATGAATAAGTATCTCACCCCAGGGAAAAAAATTAAGGGGTAGGGTTGCAGAAATATGTACCAACTATAGGCCAAGCACTAGGTTAGCTGCATATACATAATTTCATTAACCTTGAATTACAGTGGTAGATATGTCCATTTCACAGATGTCTTTAGGCTTCCATTTCCTAATAAGTAACTTGCCCAATTTGTAATCAGCAGATACATAAATCTAGAGTATTTCCCTAGTCTGTATGTTTCACTCCAAGTTTCAACAAATCTTTCTTACAAGTGGCCAGGTGCAGCGGCTCAAACACCTGTAATCCCAACTACTCGGGAGGCTGAGGCACAAGAACCACTTGACCAACTAGGCTTGAGCCCAGAAGGTGGAGGTTTCAGTGAGCTGAGATCACGCCACTGCACTCCAGCCTGGGCGACAAAGCGAGACTCTGTCTCAAATAAATAAATAAATAGGCCGGGCGCGGTGGTTCACACCTGTAATCCCAGCACTTTGGGAGGCCAAGACGGGCAGATCACCTGAGATTGGGAGTACAAGACCAGCCTGACCAACATGGAGAAACCCCGTCTCTATTAAAAATACAAAATTAGCAGGGCGTGGTGGCACATGCCTGTAATCCCAGCTACTCAGGAGGCTGAGACAGGAGAATCGCTTGAACCCGGGAGGCAGAGGTTGTGGTGAGCTGAGATCGCGCCATTGCACTCCAGCCTGGGCAACAAGAGCGAAACTCCGTCAGGATCAGATCATTCTTTGACAAGCAGGATTGAGATGTACATAATGCTACTATAGCCAGAGAACCAAGTCACTTCTTTCAGCTCAGTATCAAATAAGCACAAGGAGACAGTGTCCGGCTTCCAAAAGCTTTATTGGCAAATATGCTCTATAAAAGAATGATCAATCCTGTTGCCTCTAAGTCAATGGAATGAAGAGCTGTGTCCAGGGACACACCACGCCGTGCTGAAGGAGACTGCTGTTGTGTCCACCTCTTATTCATAGACCCAGTCATGAGCACAAGACTTGTAGTCAACCAGTTCTTCAGGCTTAAACCATAGGCTGATTTCTTTTTCAGCACTTTTTACTGAATCACTGCCATGAATGATGTTCCTAAGAAAGAAAACAATTACAAGTTGCCATGTTTTAAAGTGCAAAAGTCTGTTTAATGGGTACCGCAATGGACAGCACTCCAGACTCTTTCAGCCAAATTGCCACTTGAAGCAACAGACCAATTTATACCCCCAAAGCATTTCCTTTTAAAAGCAGCTATACAACTGTAAAAGTGCTTGATTTAAAACATTCCTTGTTTCAACTGTATTATGCTTCCAAGTCTGGCCTCCCCATCAAAAGAGTGCTTGTACCCCAAGATTGCCGAAGACATAAAACACTCCTCCGCAAATTTTGGAAAATACAGTGATACTCAAACCCACTGCAGATCAACATCCCAACTAGATATGATGTGTTCATTATCATAGGCCAGCTCTGCTGCATTTTCTTATAACACTGATTTGCAAAGCCCAACCATGACATAACACTGCTTATTAATAAAAATCCCTTTATCCCACTTCAACCTCACAACTTTGTAAAGGTTTTGAACAGACTGTGTACAGGTGAGGGAATCAAAAGGTTAAGTGACACACCCATGGACAAAGTACTCATGGATGTGGCTAGAATGCTTCCCTTCTCCACACCTAGCATTTTTTGCTGTACTACACAGGAATTACCACTTATGGCTCCCTTGTTGTCTTGCTTAAAATTAAGTAACCTAGGGAAGAAGCTATGTGTGAAAGCTTTTTTTTTTTTTTTTTTGAGACGGAGTTTTGTTCTTGTTGCCCAGGCTGGAGTGCAGTGGCGTGATCTTAGCTCAATGCAGCCTCCACCTCCCAGGTTCAAGCGATTCTTCTGTCTCAGCCTCCTGAGTAGCTAGGATTACAGGCATGCACCACCATGCCCTAATTTTTTACTTTTAGTAGAGACGGGGTTCATGTTGGCCAGGCTCCAGGCTGGTCTCAAACTCCTGACTTCAGGTGATCCACCCATCTCGGCCTCCCAAAGTGCTGGGATTACAGGCGTAAACCCCTGGCCTGAAAGCTTTTATACAATGATATACCCAGCCTGAAAGTTTTTATACAATGATAATCACCAACTAAAAGTTCAGGCCAAGTGCGGTGGCTCATGTCTGTAATCCCAGCACCTTGGGGGGCCGAGGCAGGCGGATCACCTGAGGTCAGGAGTTTGAAACTAGCCTGGCCAACGTGGTGAAACCATCTCTACTAAAAATACAAAAATTAGCCGGGCGTGGCAGTGTGCACCTGTAATCCCAGCTATTTGGGAGGCTGCGGCAGGAGGATCGCTTGAACCCGGGAGGTGAAGGTTACAGTGAGCAGAGATGGCACCACTGCACTCCAGCTAGGCAGAAGGAGACTCCGTCTCAAGAAAAAAAAAAAAAAAAAAGGGCACAGATTCTTCTGAAAGTAGGATACGCCATGACGTCTGCTTTAAATGGTGTTGCATAAAAGTCATCCACCCTCCTGTCCCCGGACTTACCTGCCAACCTGAATGCAGAAGTCCCCACGAATGGTGCCTGGCTTTGAATCTGCTGGATTGGTCTCCCCAAGCATCACTCGGCCTGTCTTCACCACGTTCAGCCCCTCCCAGACCTCGAAAGTGTGAAAATGGATTTATAATCAGACCTGCCACTCAGGACAGGTAGGGTCTAACATTTACTCCTACCTGACACGACACATCAATGAGACCGATCAGTGACATGATTATCAGCTAACCCCAGCAGAGAGTAGGGGCCTATATAAAAACTGCATTCCAAACGTATTGCTAGGATTCAAAGAAAAGTCTGTCCAACTTGGGGACTTCCCAGTTTAGCTGAGACAGAGATAAACAATGTTGCAGAATCCTTATGCAGCCATCAACACAGAAGAACTGGTGAAGAAAGGAGAAAGTGGCCAGTCTGGAATAGGATCAGTGGGAAGGGCATCCCAGAAGACTGCTAGAAGAGGGAAAAGAAAGACTAACATGCTAGGGTAAGGATTCCAGGGAACAGCAGAAGGAAGAAAAAGGTGAACAGGAAATAGATCTACTTTCTCAACAATTTCACTGCCTCCCTATTTTACTCTCTCCAATTTTTTTTTTTTTTTTTTTTGAGACAGAGTCTTGTTCTGTTGCCCAGGCTGGAGTGCAGTGGCTCAGCTCACTGCAACCTCCTCCTCCTCCCAGTTTCAAGCAATTCTCCCACCTCAGCGTCCCGAGTAGCTGGGATTACAGGCACACGCCACCATGCCCAGCTAATTTTTGTATTTTTTTAGTAGAGATGGGGTTTCACCATGTTGGCCAGGCTGGTCTTGAACTCCTGACCTTGTAATGCACCCACCTCGGCCTCCCAAAGTGCTGGGATTACAGGTGTGAGCCACCTCGCCCAGCCACTCTCTCCTCATATTCTCTCCACTCCCAAATGGACATTAGCACCATCCAGAAGAAACTGCTTCTAGTATAGGATTGAGAACTTCTTACATCCTTACCTTTGAATTTTTCATGAGAAAATAGGATAAAGTTTTTTAATCTAGGAAACATTAAGGTCTAAAACACTTGTCAAACAGAAGAAATTGAGTATTATTTTTTTTTGAGATGGAGTCTTGCTGTCGCCCAGGCTGGAGTGCAGTGGCATGATCTCGGCTCACTGCAACCTCCGCCTCCCAAGTTCAAGCGATTCTCGTGCTTCAGCCCCCTGAGTAACTGGGATTAACTCCTGGCCTCAGGTGATCCACCCGCCTCAGCCTTCCAAAGCGCTGGGATTACAGGCATGAGCCACCAAGCCTGGCCCGAAAATTTACCACTCTTGCAGGCAGTGAGATTCTATTTAACCATAGAGACATGTACCTGAAAAAGTCCTTCCCATATCTTTTTTCTTTGTCGAGACAGAGTCTCGCTCTGTTGCCCAGGCTGGAGTGCAGTGGCACGATCTCGGCTCACTGCAACCTCCGCCTCCCAGGTTCAAGCAATTCTCCTACCTCAGCCTCCCAAGTAGCTGAGATTACAGCCGTGCACCACCACACCCAGCTAACATCCTTCCCATTTCTAAGGTCTGATTTGCTTTCTCCTCCCAAGCTCCTAGTTGCTCAGTTAAGTAACTTCAGCAGGTTCCATTCATAAAATAAAATTTAGATTAGCTGAGGGAGATGTCTAACAAAGAACACTGAGCACTTTTTCCTCATTTTCTCTCATTCCCCACGAGCACTCACCATGGCCACAACCGGCCCTGAGTTCATGTACTTCACCAGCCCAGGGAAGAATGGTCGGTCTTTCAGGTCAATGTAGTGCTGCTTCAGGTGTTCTTCAGAGGCCTGGCATTGGAGAGGAGGCACCAGTTAGGAGCTAAGCTGGAAAGACTCCAACCCATCCTCTGAACCTCCCATTAGCAAGTCCGGTTTTATATTCTAGCCCACGTTCCTAAGTGGTGTGTGGAAATATATATATATATACACACATATACACACACATAAATATTTTTTAAATCCCATCCAAACCATGAAACTAATGCCATTTTAACAGAAAGACTGTTCTTTTTTTGGTGTGTTGTTTTGGTTTGTTTTAGGAGACAGGGTCTCACTATCATCACCCAGGCTGGAATGCAGTGGCACAATGATGGCTCACTGCAGCCTCAACTTCCAGGGCTCAAGTGATTTTCCTACCTCAGCCTCCCAAGTAGCTGGAACTACAGATGCACTCAACCATGCCCAATTAATTTTTATTTATTTATTTATTTATTTGTAGAGACAGGGGCTTGCTATGTGGCTCAGGCTGATCTCCAACTCCTGGGCTCCACCCACCTCGGCCTCCCAAATTGCTGGGATTATAGGCGTGAGCCCCGCGCCTGGCCAAGACTGTTCTAATCGTAAAGACACCCTCATACCGTCAATGACATTAGGGGTTTTGTAAGCCTAAAAAGTAGGTGGTTTGAGGATCTAGATTTAGGGAATTAAATTTTGGCTGCAACTGAAGTACATATGTCAGGTCATCTGCCTGGCAGAGGTCATGTTAAACTCCCCTGGGCTACTCACAATGCCCTTTTAAATATTTCAGATAATAACTGAGAACATTCTCTTCACCGATGAGCCTGGTTGAATTTCAGTACTTAGATTCTTACCCGTAAGTGTAGGGATTCAGATCTGTGCCCCAAATTTAATGTGGAAAATACACTCACTACCCTATGCTAAAGGAGGAGCACCGCACTGGAACTCGGAGTTTCAGACTAAAGCAAAGGAGATTCCAAGCCTCCATTCTGTGCCTAGGTGGACCCGAGTGGGCAGGCGCAGGGGGTCTGGGGCCCGGGGTTTTTCCGCTCCCTGCTGCCCCCCTGCGGCGGGTGGGCAGGTAGCGGCCCGCGGGAAGGAACCCAAACCCGGAGGGCGAGTCACGCTACCAGCGCTTCACCTTCCCAAGGGCGTCTGTCCCCACCACCCCGGGAAAGGGTCGGCGGGCCCAAGCCGCCGTGGGCGGGGGCAGAGGGCAAAGGGATTTCGCGGCAGCGAAATGAACTCGGAAAGCAGACGCGGACAAACCGCCGCCGGGAGGGAAAAACACCCGCGAGCCGGCTGCAGCGGGGAAGGGGAGACGGGGGCGAGTTACCCGGAGGAACTTCATGGCCACGAGGCGGAATCCCTTCTGCTCGAAGCGCTTGATGATCTCGCCCACCAGGCCGCGCTGCACGCCGTCCGGCTTGATGGCGATGAAGGTGCGCTCCAGGTTGGCCATGGTCCTGCGGGGCGAGAGGTGCGGTCAGGGCCCGGGCGCAGGCTCTGGCGGGGCCCGCGGAGGCCACGTGGGCGCCGCCGGTCCCTCCTCCCCCACCACGCGCGGCCGCGGGGACACGTGGCTTCCCGGCCGCTTCCGCCCCGCGCAGGGCCGGCGTCCCTCTGCGGAGCCCGAAGGCCCGCGGGGCGCAAGCTGCAAGGGAATCTCCCGCTCCGACGCCGCGCGGGACCTGCGGGAAATCGGGGGGCGCCCACAGACCGGGCCCACCTGCGGCAGCGCAAGCGGAAGAGGGAACGGGAGGAGTCGCCAGGGGATGCGCCCCCACCGCCTTACCGGGAAGCTGGAGGGGCCGGGCGGCGGCGCTGCGCTGGGAGAGCAGAGAGCTGGTGCGACCACCACACCCGGGAGCCGGCGGCGGAGGAGGGGCGCAGGGCGGAGCGCGGGGTGGCCACACCCCGGAGGGCCCAGCCGCCCAACCCGCAGGAACGCCCCACCCGCCCGGCCCGACGCGGCCGGAGAACAGTGTCCACGCCCAGCCGGGGCGCGCCCTCGCCAGGCAGAGATCGAGACGGATCCAGAGACAGGAAGTGATTCCTTCTCCACCTGGACGTCCTATGAGTTCAACTACGCACGTCCCAAATCCCACTCCTCACCTCTCAGTACTTCCCGTGACCCCAAAAGCTCCTACACACACACACACACACACACACACACAGAACCTGCTCCTGTGCTCGAGTTCTCTACCCCGGTCAAGGCCATCTGCTGCTTTCACCATCCGCCCGAGCACCGGCATTAACCTTGACTTGGCTCTCCCTCCCCGTCGTGCACCCACGGTCCTTATCCTCCCTACCTCTGAAATCCAGCCTTCCCTCCCCTCTGCTTGAGCCCTGGTTAAGCCTCGGCCTCCCAAGGGGCCTCGATCTCACCTCTCCGCGCAAACCGGGAGCTTTGCTCAGCACCTCAAACGGCCATCTGGTCCTGCCTCTGCCCTGCCTTGATGACTCCCCCGCCTACAGGATGGCGTTCAGACTCCTTAGCGGGATGCTCTTCTCGCAGGATGCCCTGCTCCCTGGCTGCCGCCTCCCCACCTACATTTCCAGCCCCAATCAGCCGCCCCACTCCCACCCTGACATGGGGATCCCTGCCCACCTGGCACTAAAGTGCGGTCGAGTTTTCCAGTTCACCCTGAGGTGCGCCCCTGGACCCTGAGGAAAGTCTAGACCCTGTCATAGAGATTAGGCCTGTCATCGACCTGTAGACACTTCCTACTTGCAGTGTCCCTGGCAAACAAGCTCCCTTTGGTGATGCCCAGCTTCCCTGGGGCGGTCACAAGCCCCTCCTCTCGGCGCCTGCAGCACTGACTGACAGCCGCACAGCAGTGGTACTGCCCTGAGATGGTGAGAGCCCGCTTGCTTCCCCTCAGGACTCTGAGCTGACCACAGCAATCATGCCATCACCCGAGTGCCCCTAGCACTGCGCTGATCACCTGTCACTGGCCAGATGGATGACAATCTGGCCTCTGTTATACCTTATCGGCTTTCCAAACTTCTAGTTACAGAGCATTAGCCCACCACACATTGACAATGACTGTCATGTGCCCTCATCTGGGGGCACTGTTATTTTTTGGCTTCGATCTGAAACACACTCTCATTTGGATTACCAAATGTCAACTGTGAAAACAGGTCTCGAAATTGCACGGACTTTTCTCTGTCCAGGGGAGAGCTATCTGCTCCCCTTGGTCAGGTCACTGATGGCTACTCAGGGTACAGTCAGGACCACCCCTCTGCTTTCACCTCTTCTTTCCTTCCTGGGAAGACTGTCCTTAACTGGGGAGGCTGTAACCCTCCAGCTTCACTACACACATGTTCATTCCCCCAAGTCCTGGTATGCTCATCTCACGCCCCAAAACAAACAGGCCACGCTTTGTGTAAAAGTATTAATAGAAATTCAGGCTGGATGCGGTAGCTCACGCCTGTAATCCCAGCACTTTGAGAGGCCGAGGCGGGTGGATCACGAGGTCAGGAGTTCGAGACAAGCCTGACCAACGTGGTGAAACCCCGTCCCCAAGAAAAATACAAAAATTAGCCGGGCGTAGTGGCGCATGCCTGTAATCCCAGCTACTCAGGAGGCTGAGGCAGGAGAATCGCTTGAACCCCGGAAGCAGAGGTTGCAGTGAGCTGAGATCGTGCCACTGCACTCCAGCCTGGGCAACAGATTGAGATTCCATCTCAAAAATTAAAAAAAAAAAAAAAGGGGGCCAGGTGCGGTGGCTCACACCTGTAATCCCAGCACTTTGGGAGGCCAAGGCAGGCAGATCACGAGGTCAGGAGATCGAGACCATCCTGGCTAACACAGTGAAACCCAATGTCTACTAAAAATACAAAAAAATTAGCTGGGCATGGTGGCGGGCACCTGTAGTCCCAGCTACTCAGGAGGCTGAGGCAGGAGAATGGCGTGAACCCGGGAGGCAGAGCTTGCAGTGAGCCGAGATTGCACCACTGCATTCCCGCCTGGGTGACAGAGCAAGACTCTGTCTCAAAAAAAAAAAAAAAAAAAAAAACTAAATTAAAAAAAAAAATTCATCTCGCCATCATCTGTCTGTAAAGGCAGCCCACCCCAACTACCCTCTTCTCCCCCATCCTGAGAAGTCTCTTCCCCTCTATTGCCTCTACCGAAGCCAGATGAAAAGGAAAGATAAGAAAAACCCTCAGGTGGCCAGTCGCAGTGGCTCACACCTGTAATCCCAGCACTTTGGGAGCCTGAGGCAGGTGGATCATCTGAGGTGAGAAGTTCGAGACCAGCCTGGCCAACATGGTGAAAACCTGTCTCTACTAAAAATACAAAAAATAGCCGGGAGTGGTGGCACACACCTGTAATCCCAGCTACTCAGGAGGCTGAGACAGGAGAATCGCTTGAACCCGGGAGGCGGAGGTTGCAGTTAGCCGAGATCGCACCATTATACTCCAGCCTGGGCGACAAGAGCGAGACTTTGTCTCAAAAAAAAAAGGAAAAAGAAAAAAGAAAAACCCTCAGGGTGGGCGCAGTGGCTCACGCCTATAATCTCAGCACTTTGGGAGGCCCAGGCAGGCAGATCGCTTGAGCCCAGCAGTTGGAGACCAGCCTGGGAAACATGATGAAACCCCATCTCTACAGAAAATACAAAAATTAGTTGGGCGTGGTGGCACGTGCCTGTAGCCCCAGTTACTCAGGAGGCTAAGATAGGAGATCACTTGGGCCCAGAGAGGTCGAGGCTGCAGTGAGCTGCTGTCATCACACCACTGCACTCCATCCTAGGCGACAGAGCAAGACCCTATCTCAAAAGCAAAAAAAAAAATTCTAATTTCTCTTTCAGCTAGATGCAGCCATATGACTAAGTTCTAGCCAGTGGGATGTGAGAGGAAGTGAAGGTTGTAATTCAGAGTTGTGTCTTTAAAAGGGTTACTTCTTCCACTTTCCTTCCCAACTTGCAGGAAGGGACATGGGGTGGTAATCCAAGTAGGACTGATTAGAAGGAACCAGGTGTGTGTAGACCACCTTAAAGATCAGAGCCTTACCACTATCACCACCCCTACTGAGCAGCTAGGGCTTTTTCTTTTTTGAAGACAGGTCTCACTCTGTCACCCGGGCTGAAGTGCAGAGGCGGGATCACAGCTCACTGCTCCAACCTCCGGGGCTCAAGCAATCCTCCTACCTCAGCCTCCTGAGTAGCTAGGACTACAGGAATGTGCCACCACACCCGACTAATTTTTAATGTTTGGCAGAGATGAGGTCTCACTCTGTTCCCCAGGCTGGTCTCAAACTCCTGGGCTCAAGCAATCCTCTTGCCTTGGCCTCCCAAAGTGCTGGGATTATAGGCATGAGCCACTGCAACTGACCACACTTGAACTTTCAAATGAAAGAGAAGTACATTTCTATCTTGTCTCCATTAAAGCAACCAAATCAATACCTAACAAATCAAAGCTACTTACAAGACCTCCTGCTTCATTTGAGGCCATCCCAGGGACTCAGGCTTACTATCTACCTAGCTTTTCTGATTTTTGGAGGAATTACAACTTCCCACACTCCCCCATTCACTGAATCCCCAAGAGCTTCTCAAGAACAGGATGGATATGTTTTTATTTAAGAGATGTCTCACTCTGTCACCCAGGCTGAAGGACAGTAGCATGATCATGGTTCACTGCAGCCTTGGACTCCTGGGCACAATCCTCCTGCCTATGCCTTCCCAATAGCTAGGACTAGAGGTGCACAGCACCAGAGCTAATTTTTTTTTTTTTTTTTTGTAAAGACAGCGTCTTGCTATGTTGCCCACCCTGGACTTGAACTTCTGGCCTCTAGCGATTCTCCTCCTCAGCCTCCTGAATAGCTGGGATTAAAGGCATGAGCCATCGTACCCAGCCTAATTTTTCTTTTTTTTTTTTTAGTGAGACAGGGTCTTGCTATGTTACCCAGGCTGGTCTCCCATCTCAGCCTCCCAAGTAGCTGGTATCACAAGCACAAGCCAGCACACCCAGCCCTCATGTTTTCTTTCATTTCTGATGAATCCTCTGCACCTAGTCCAGTCTTGGCCACGTAGCACATGCTCCATAGATGCCTGTTGAATAGCTCAGTGCCAAGAGTGGAAGGGATGCGGGGGTTAAGAAGGGCAGGCAAAGAATGCCTGTGTGTATGTGAGACCTCAAAATAAATCATTTTTATAGTATTTACACTCTCTATTAGGTCAGGTTATTCAGTGTACATGAAAAGAAGGAAAAAAAAGCAATGCAACAATATGAAGTAACCAACTCAATGAATCCTATGCTGGGAGGAAGCATTTTAATCAGATGGTCGGGGATGGTAACACTGTACAGGGAGAACTCACAGCTCCAAGAGCTTCCCTCCAAATTATGATGAAGTTCCTGTAAATAACTAGATTTCCTACAGCCTGGTCCTCTGCCCATGGGAAGGAGGGGAAATGGATGTGAAAAGCAATGTGGTCTGCCCTCCTGTCATTCATAGATCCAGTTCTGAGCACAGCTCGTGTAATCTACCAGTTCCTCAGGGTGAAACCACAAGCCGATCTCCTTCTCTGCACTCTCCACAGAATCACTGCCATGTATAATGTTCCTGGGTGGAGAAAGAGATAGTCACATGACCAAGACCAGAAGGATTAAAATGCGCCCATTGCCAGAAATCTACAGCCACAGCAGCATAAAAGCTGAAGCTCCATGGACATTAGACCATGTTAAAAGAAAAAGCCTACAATGGCCATTCACTTAAGGCTGAAAAATGCCCTCCCCACATCCAGCCCTCCCGGCCACGCTGGTGCAAACAGTGAGAGCCTTCAGGAAAGACTGGCCAGCAAAGTGTGTTGTACCAGGTTCTACACTTCGTGTAACAGAGGTACGACTAAGTGATGTTAACAACCAAAGCCAAACGCCAACTTAAGAGGGAGGAAAACAATAAACTCCGATAAAATCAACCTGCATATGGTATCATGTCTACCTCCAGCCTCGGAAACCCAAATCCTTGTGGCAACTAAATCAGATTTTGGAAAAGGGGGAAAAATACCAAAATCTCACCTGCCAACTTGTATGCAGAAGTCTCCACGGATGGTCCCAGGCTTGGAGTCTGCAGGGTTGGTCTCCCCGAGCATGACTCGGCCCGTCTTCACCACATTCAGCCCCTCCCAGACCTCCAAGGACAGAAGAAGATATGGTCAAAGAAGAAAACCAATCACAGCAGAAAATCTGGCAACTATTAATTCAAAAAAGGAAAAATAAAAAGGCCCCTTAAGATTATATTCATTCACTGAACAAATGTTTATAGAGTATATCCACTTATTCCAGCACTGAGGATCCTGATCTCCCTGCCCTCATGCTTGCCTTTCTACAATGTATTCTCCATACAGCAACCAGAGCAGCCTCCTTAAAATGCCAAGTGTGGGCAGGGCGCAGTGGCTCACGCCTGTAATCCCAGCCCTTTGGGAGGCTGAGGGGAGTGGATCACGAGGTCAGGAGATCGAGACCATCCTGGCTAACATGGTGAAACCCTGTCTCTACTAAAAATACGAAAAGATTAGCTGGGCGTGGTGGCGGGCGCCTGTAGTCCCAGCTACTCAGGAGGCTAAGGCAGGAGAATGGCGTGAACCCGGGAGGTGGAGCTTGCGGTGAGACGAGATGGCACCACTGCACTCCAGCCTGGGCAACAGAGCAAGACTCCGTCTCAAAAAAAAAAAAAAAAAGAAATGCCAAGTGTGAAGTGTCCCATAGCTTCCCAGCACTCAGGAAGTATATGGTCAACACACCCCTAAGAGAGAAGGCCCCTGCCCATGCCTCTGAACTCTTCACCTCCCAACTTCCCTCCCACCCATCAGGCTTCGGGCATTTCAACTCTCCTCCCGTACTTCAAAAAGCCAAGCTCATTCCCACCCTGGGACCTTTGCACATGCTGTTTGCTTGGCTGGAAATGTTTTTCACTGTGATTCTGTACATGGCTGGCTGCTTCTTGTCATTCAGATCGCTGCTTCTTGTCATTCAGATCACAGCTTAAAAATTGCGTTCTTTGATCACCCAATCTAAAGTGATCATTTGCTACTCCTATTCATTTCTGGGCATATTTCATTTCTGAAGCCTATCACTAACCATTAGCTGGTATATGAAAACAGGTATCTATTTGGTCTCATTCATGGCTGTATCCCCAGTGTCTAGAAGAGAGCCTAGCACAGATGACAAGCAATGCATACTTGGAGTATCCCACACAGGCACACTCACCATGGCAACTACCGGCCCTGAGTGCATGTATTTCACCAGGCCGGCAAAGAATGGACGGTCCTTCAGGTCAACGTAGTGTTCCTTGAGAAGATCTTCGGAAGCCTATTCAACAGGACAGAGAATGAGAATAACCCCCAAACCATCTAAGGACATATAATCCATTTAATTTCCCCTCATCCACCCTGCTATGTAAAACATGAGCGGTTGGGCTCACTGATTCTGTTATAACCCAATTCATTCTCCACACTGGAAGGGAGCAGTGACAGGACTAAATGTACTTCTCCAATTTTATATCAGTTGTCTCCCTATTGGCACTGACTGATAATAAAACCACAGAACATTAAAATTAAATCCAGCTATCTCATTTAAAAAAAAATCAAACTCCTGGGCTCAAGTGATCCTCCTGCCTCAGACTCCCGAGTAGGTAGGACTGTAGACACACACTACCAGACTTGGCTAATTTTATTTATTTATTTATTTATTTTGAGACAGAGTCTCCCTCTGTCACCCAGGCTGGAGTGCAGTGGCGTGATCCTGACTTACTGCAACCTCCACCTCCTGGGTTCAAGTGATTCTCCTGCCTCAGCCTCCCAAGTAGCTGGGATTACAGGTGGCGGCCATCATGCCTGGCCAATTTTTGTATTTTTAGTAGAAACAGGGTTTCGCCATGTTGGCCAGGCTGGTCTCAGGTGACCGCAGGTGATCTGCCTGCCTTGGCCTCCCAAAGGGCCGGGACTACGGGCGTAAGCCACCGCGCCCAGCCATACCTGGCTAATTTTAAAAAATTATTTGTAGAGATAGGGTCTCACTATGTTGCCCAGGCTGGTCTCAAACTCCTGGACTCAAGTGATCCTCCAGCCTCCGCCTCCCAAAGTGCTGGGCTTACAGGCGTGACCCACCATGCCTGGCCCTCAACTATCTCATTTTAGACAGGAAAATCAACAATACAATAAATTTCCATTCCCAGAGCAAACCCCAAATAAAATGTTAGAAGGACACCAGGAAGCAAGTCTTGGCATTTAATGAGCAGCAAACTAAACCAGGCCATTACCCAGGGATGCTTCACGTTTATTCAGAGGATAAAAGCCCAGCAGTGATGACCATGTGATTACCAAAGGTATCTGCAAATCACCCAAAAGTGCATGACATCTAGTAATAAATAATTTTGCTGAAAAATGAATTAGAACCTCTCATACTGCAAGGCTAATATGTGGGAACGAATCAAGTTAGCTAGAGAACAAACCATCTGCTTAGCAGTTTCAACTCAGTTTGGCTGTGTTCTCTCTTGTACTGCATATACGCTTGTTAAAATCTAACAGGGTCCCATGGTTTTTCCAGCTCTGTGGTACTGCACTGTATGACGCATATCACACACATCAGAGACACACACAGATGTGGAGACTGGCTGCCCAGAAGCCCCATCATTCAGCCACCAGTTATCATCACTTGCCAAAGTAAAATTACATGGCCATATAATCACTCCGTGGTAGGGATCCAACCCTCGCCCTGTCCTTTCCTATCCAAATGGAAGACTTTTGTTGTGGAAGTCTAACAGACCCTGAGGTGACCTTCCCTTATCAGAATACTTTTTTAATTCTATTAATTGGTTCCAATTATCTTTTTGTTGGTTTTGTTGTTTGTTTTGAGACAGGGTCTTTCTGTCACCCAGGCTGGAGTGCAATGGCATGATCATAGCTCACTGCGGCCTCAAACTCCCAGGCTCAAGCAATCCTCTTGCCTCAGATTCTCAGTAGCTAGGACTACAGGTGTGCACCACTACACCCGGCTAATTATCTTTTTTTGAGACAGGGTCTTGCTCTGTTACCCAGGCTGGAGTGCAGTGGCTCGATCTCCGCTCACTGCAACCTCCACCTCCCGAGTTCAAGCCATCCTCTCGCCTCAGCCTCCCTGGTAGCTGGGACTACAGGCATGCGCCATCACACCCAGCTAAATTTTGTATTTTTAGTAGAGACGGGGTTTCACCACGTTGGCCAGGCTGGTCTCCATCTCCTGACCTCAGATGATCCACCCACCTTGACCTCCCAAAATGCTGGGATTACAGGTGTGAGCCACCACGCCAGGCCCTAACTGATTATCTTTAGTCTGCAAAACAGATCACGGGCTTTTTTTAAGGGCTTGGGGGTTGGGAACCTCAAGTTCTCCCTTGCTTCCTGCCTCCACACCAGATTTAAATGCCCCTTTAGAGTCATGGCAGCTATCCTTCCGTCCATTCTTCACCAAACCCATATATCCTTAATAGGAAATTCAATGTAAAGGAGAAAGTATCTGCACTCAGGGGTCAGAGAGACTCAAGTTAAAATTCCAGTGGCATCACTGTATGCTATCAGGCACATCACTGAACCTCTCCAAGCCTTAGGTTGCTCATCACTAACAACCACGAGAACAGGAGTAAGTACTTCTCAAGGCTGGCATGAAGACTAAATCAGAAAACATATGTGCCCAGCATATGGTAAATGCCTGATCAACAACACATCCATCTCATGTTACCTTCTGCTGTGATCTGAATGTGTCCCCCAAAGTTCGTATGTTGGAAATTTAATCCTCGATGCAACAATGTTGGGAGGTGAGGCCTAATGGGAGGTGTTTAGGTCATGAGGGCTTCACCCTCATGAACAGATTAATGTCTTATCTCAGGAGTGGGTTTGTTATAAAATCAACATCAGCCCCCTCTTGCTCTCTCTCACTCTTGCACTCTCTTGCTATTCCATTCTGTCATGGGATGATACAGCAAGAAAACCTTCATTAGATGCCAGCTCCTTGACCTTGGACACCATATTCTCCTCTCAGCATGAACATCAGTCTACCCTCTTTTACATTAAAGCAGTTTTTCTTTTCTTTTTTTTCTTTTTTTTTGGAGACGGAGCCTCCCAAAGTGCTGGGATGACAGGCGAGTCACTGTGCCAGCCCTAAAGCAGTTTTTCTAAAATATCACATAGGAAGTAAATTGCAAGTCAAACTAAATTTTAAAATGCACTAGAAGGGTCCAAAATTGATTCCCTTTTAGAAAACATACTATCCCCTATTTGATTTGAGAATTGGAATTCTTTTTTTTTTTTTGAGACAGAGTCTCCCTCCCTCTGTTGCCCAGGCTGCAGTGTGGTGCAATATCGGCTCACTGAAACCTCCGCCTCCTGGGTTCAAAAGCAATTCTTTTTTTTTTTTTTTTTTGGAGATGGAGTTTTGCTCTTGTTGCACAGGCTGGAGTGCAATGATGCGATCTCGGTCACTGCAACCTCCACCTCCCCAGTTCAAGCGATTCTCCTGTCTCAGCCTCCCGAGTAGCTGGGATTACAGGCGCATGCCACCACGCCTGGCTAATTTTTGTATTTTTAGTAGAGACGGGGTTTCATCATATTGGTCAGGCTGTCTCGAACTCCTGACCTCAGGTGATCCGCCCGCCTCAGCCTCCCAAAATGCTAGGATTACAGGTATGAGCCACCGCACCTGGCTGGTTCAAGCAATTCTTATGTCTCAGCCTGCCGAATAGCTGGGATTACAGGCACCCACCCTGATGCCCAGCTAATTTTTGTATTTTTAGTAGAGACGGGGTTTCACAATGTTGGCCAGGCTGGTCTTGAACTCCTGACCTCAAGTGACCAGCCTGCCTTGGCTTCCCAAAGTGCTGGGATTACAGGTATGAGCCACTATGCCTCACCCAGCCGAGAATTTGGATTATCTCTAGAATTTGTTTGAAGAAGGGTTATTGGTCAATCAATCCTTTGCATTTATCAAAAGATTGCTTTGTAAGTAGCTTGCAGGTACATCTGCTCTCTGCTGTTTCTGAAGAACCTCCCCAAAACCAAAACCATAGTTTTCCTCCACCAGCTCCTATGATACCTAATATATGCTAAACAATAAGCATTTATTAGTGTCTAGTAATTGATGATGGAAAGACTTTCTTGCTAAAAAACAACCTGTCTCAAAGGGGGAAAAAAATCTCTCTAAAATTATCTGCTCAGGAAGCTCAAGACCAAGAACTCAAACATGCTCAGCTCTCAGTCAGAAATTACAGAGATGCAGTCATATGTGGAACTCTGCACTGCTTTTCCCGTAGCAATGCACCTCCTATTACAGAGACTATTTTGGAAAATCCTAAATAACTTGGTTTGTTCCAAGATGTAGCCAAACGCTAGGGCACTGAGGAGTTTCCAGGTCTCAAGACACTTGTGTTCACTCTACCGTGGAGAACTTTAAATAAGAAAGACGGGGAGAAACAGGTTAATCACAGTGTTCTCCTATACTATGAAGGAATCAAAATGGGAACAATGAAGTCCACTTACTTGCATGAATTTCAGACCAACAAGGCGGAATCCTTTCTGCTCAAAACGCTTGATAATCTCTCCCACAAGACCCCGCTGGACCCCATCTGGTTTGATCGCAATGAAGGTACGCTCACAGTTGGCCATGGTTCTGGGGATAGGCAGGTAGAGGAATGAAACAGCAGTGAATCACTTGCCTACAGCGTCATCCGTCTCAAGCGGATTATCCCATAAAGCTGGTTTAAATCTGTCAGGTCAGCTCCAGGTCTCCCTCTGGTAAAAACCCAATTCCTCCCCAGTCCCCTGATCTATGAACTAATATGTCAATGTGGGAAAGGATCCAAAAGCAAGGACTATAATTTCTATCCCATTTGATTTATTTTATTTTCATTTGTTTTGGTTTTTGTGGGGTTTTTTTAGAGATGGGGTTTCGCTATGTTGCCCACGCTGGTCTCGAACTCTTGTCCTCAAGTGATCTGCCCACCTCAGCCTACCAAAGTGCTGGGATTATGGCCATGAGCCACCACACCCAGCCCCATTTGATTTTTTTTTTTTTTTTTGGTATGGAGTCTTGCTCTTTCGCCCAGGATGGAGTGCAGTGGTGCGACCTTGGCTCACTGCAACCTCCACTTCCCAGGCAAGCAATTCTCCTACCTCAACCTCCTAAATAGCTGGGACTACAGGTGCGTGCCACCACACCCAGCTAATTTCTGTATTTTTTTTTACTAGAGATGGGGTTTCACCATGTTGGCCAGGCTGGTCTCCAACTCCTGACCTCAAGTAATCTGCCCACCTCAGCCTCCCAAAGTGCTGGGATTAAAGGCGTGAGCCCCATGAGCCTGGCCACCATTTGATTTAATAAGCTTCTTTTAAACATCTACTGTGTACCAAACACTGCGGTGGAACTAGGATACAGGATGTTAAAAACAAGGCACTATCTTTCTCAATAATCAAGCTTGGGAGAAACTACACTGATGAAAAGTTTTACTAATGTGAAAGTGATGTCCGGTACAAAGCAGTAAGAAATAATAGTTTGACTTAATGCCACAGCCATAGCATTAGGGGTTTTAGAGAATATATCTTTACAACCCCCTTCATTTTACAAATGAGGAAACAGGACCACAGCACCAGAATGAAGGCCAAAACCCAGCATTCCCAACCCATTAATCCATTCTTGTAATGTTATGCTACACTTTACAATGCAAAGAATATTTTGACTAGCCAATAAACGGTGGGGTGTGGGAGAACTACAGACATTAGGAATATCTGATACGGGACATCATACTGAAAGGAAGCCTAGAGAGTAACTATTCCGTCCAGATCCCTCATTTTACAGAAGACTGCGCTCATGACCTACCCTGTATCACAGCTTGAGATAGGAGGCCCCTCGCCTTGAAAGACGATCCCTAAAGTAGACAGTAGCACCATCTCTTGGCCCCATCTTCCTGTCCTTTAGTTAACCTCTTCTTACAGCATCTTAGCACTGTAGTCCAATTTTCTGTTTGTGTGTCTGCCTCCCCTGCACACCAGGCTGACTTAGTCCTGTGTAGAGACTCTATGGTACCTAGCCACAGGGCCTAGCAGTCAATAGGAGCAAAGAAAATCATTTATCACCATTCTGCAACTTCCAAAAAAAAAAAAAGAGAGAGAGACAAAGCCCAAAGACTGCGGAGAATCGCACGATGGGGTGCGGGGCAAGCATAAATTGTCCAGGAGAAAACAGGACTAAAGCGCCAGAAATACACCCTAAAAATGTCCCTCCACATCGGTCCCGGTGACACAACAGTAAGCACTCAGTGCTTGCTGAATGAATGACACACACACCCGTCATTTATTCAGCAAGCACTTACAGAGCGCCAACTCCGTGCCCGGCACTGCTCTCGACAGACACAAATAAGGCACAGCCCTGTCGTCGCGGCCTGACGAGAAAGGCGGCCACCGACAAAGGCGAGTCCACGTGGCGTGGGACGTGCGCCGACCGGTCTGCACTTGTCCACAGGCGCTCCCTGCCCCTCCTCCCATCCGATCCTCCTCGCCGCCTCTTAGAGCTGAACTCATCTCTTCACTAACTCCTCACCTAACCCACTCCCGCGACTACACTCCTTTCTTTTTCCTCTCAGGATCCCGAACACCTCTTACCCTTCCAGCTGCTTAGGTTTGAACTCCGGCTGCAGCCGCCAGCACCCGAAACGCGCCCGGGACCCACGTGGTTCGCAGCACTTGCACGCACGGAACGCTTCTGCGCAGATCCGCTGCCGGAGAGCCCATTTTGCAGAACACCGCTCGCCCACGCTTCCTCTTGGGAGTAGGCAGTCATTCTAGGGAACAACTTTCTGCAGTTTAACTTCCGGCGCTAGCTTTTTCAGACCTTTCCGGTTAGCTGCTTGCTTTCTTCTCTCCACCCCCGGGTTCTCTGACTCACTTCCTTCGTTCGCGAGCAAATTGGCTTCCCGAGAGGTGGCGCTCACACGTTGCGTGAAGTCCAAAGAGTGCCTGACCTAGAAGTAGACTTTTCGCTCCCGCTTTGTGTTTATTCACCTTTTCTAGCCTGTCAAGCAAAAAATTTTGAGTACCTACTACGTGGACGCATTATTCTAGGCCCTAGGGATAAAACAGTATGCTCTCTTGGAGCTTCTGGGAGGGATGGGAGTATAGGAAAACAAGAAGCAAATAAGCAAATTAATATGTAATAGATCGCATTTTGTAAGTGCTGTGAAGAAAAGGCCAGAGAAATCTCTGAGTAAGTGATAATAGAATAGACCTGCATGAAGTGAGGGAGCCAGCCCAGTGATTCTTCGAGAGCCAAGTATTACGGTGGACATCGAGTGGTGGAAAATGCCGTTAGAATAGAGCCAAATCTTATGTTGTGAGATGCTAATACAGATTTTGCACAAGGCATGACATCATCACTAACAAAAAAACATTCCCACTGCTCTAAGGGGAAATGAACGGGGGAAAGGTACAAAAATGGAATCAGGAGCCGTTTCAACAAATGATGCTGGAGCAATTGGACGAATATAGACCCAAAGAACCTCAACCTAAACCTCTCACCTTATACAAAATTTACTCAAAATGAATCATAGATTTAAATGTAAAACAATAAATCACTTATGGGGAAAAAAAAAGTTAAAAAAAATCCTCAGGACCTAGGGCCAGGCAAATAGTTTTTAGACGACACCAAAAGACCAATCTATACAGGGAAAAAGTTGATAAATTGGAACTTACTGAAATTTAAAACTTTTGGCCGAGCGCGGTGGCTCACGCCTGTAATCCCAGCACGCTGGAAAGCAGCGGCGGGAGGATCACTTGAGCTCAGGAATTCGAGACCAGCCCGGGCAACATAGTGAAACCCCGTCTCTACTAAACATACAAAAATGAGCCGGGCGTGGTTGCAGGCGCCTGTAGTCCCAGCTACTCGGGAGGCTGAGGCAGGAGAATCGCTTGAACCCGGGAGGCAGAGGTTGCAGTGAGCCGAGATTGCGCCAGGGCACTCCAGCCTGGGTGACAGAGCGAGACTCGGTCTCAAAAAAATAAAAAATAAATAAAATAAATAAGTAAAATTTCATTATTCTCCTGTTTTCTTTTTTTTCTTTTTGAGACCGAGTATCGCTTTGGCGCCCAGGCCGGAGCGCAGTTGCACGATGTCGGTTCATTGCAAACTCCGCCATCCGGGTTCAAGCGATTCTCGTGACTCAGCTTCCCGCGTAGCTGGGACTACAGGCGTCTGCCACCACGCCCGGTATTTTCTTTTTCTTTTTTTTTTTTTTTTTTTGAGACGGAGCCTTGCCAGGTCGCCCAGGGTGGAGTGCAGTGGTGCGATCTCGGCTCACTGCAACCTCCGCCTCCCGGGTTCAAGCGAATCTCCTGCCCCAGCCTCCCGAGCAGCTGGGATTACAGGTGCCCACCACCACACCCGGCTACTTTTTGTATTTTTAGGAGAGACGGGGTTTCACCATGTTGGCCAGGTTGGTCTCAAACTCTTGACCTCGTGATCCGCCCGCCTCAGCCTCCCAAAGTGCTGAGATTACAGGCATGAGCCACCGCGCCTGGCCCTAATTTTTGTATTTTTAGTAGAGACGGGTTTTCACTATGCTGGCCAGGCTGGTATCGAACTCCTGACCTCAAGTGTTCCATCTGCCTCGGCCTACCAAAGTGCAGGGATTACAGGCATGAGCCACCGTGCTCGGCCTTTATTTATTTATTTGTTTATTTATTTATTGAGATGCAGTCTTGCTCTGTCACCCAGGCTGGAGTGCCTTGGCGGATCTCAGCTCACTGCAACCTCTGCCTCCCACGTTCAAGTGATTCTCCTGCCTCAGCCTCCCGAGTAGCTGGGACTACAGGCGTGCACCACCACGCCCGGCTAATTTTTGTATTTTTAGTAGAGACGGGGTTTCACCATGTTGGCCAGGCTGGTCTCAAACTCCTGACCTCAGGTGATCCGCCCACCTTGGCCTCACAGAGTGCTGGGATTATAGGCGTGAGCCACTGTGCCCTGCAGAAAAGAAATTTAAAACCTTTGTCCTGTGAAAGACCTTTTGAAGAGGACGAAAAAACAAGCTAGAGTGGAAGGAAATATTTCCAAACCACATATCAGATAAAGGCCTTCTCTTCATTTGAAGGTTTGAATATTTGAAGAACTCTGAACGCTCAACAGGTTAAAAAAATCCAATTAGAAAATGGGCAAAAGACATGAATAGACATTTCATTGAACAGGATATACAGAGGCAAGAAAGCACATGAAAAGATGTTCAACATCATTAGCCACCAGGGAAATTCAAACTAAAACCAAAATCGGATATTACTACATGCCTATCAGAATGCTAAAATGAAAGTAGTGATACACCAAACGCTATTAAGGAGGTATAGAAACTGGATCCACATTACTGGTAGGAATATAAAATTGTACAGCCACTCTGAAAAAGTTTGATAGTTTCTTTTTTTTTTTTTTTTTTTTTTTTTGAGACGGAGTTTCGCTCTGTCGCCCAGGCTGGAGTGCAGTGGCGCGATCTCGACTCACTGCAAGCTCCGCCTCCCGGGTTCACGCCATTCTCCTGCCTCAGCCTCCCGTGTAGCTGGGACTACAGGGGCGCGCTACCATGCCCGGCTAATTTTTGTATTTTTAGTAGAGACGGGGTTTCACCGTGTTAGCCAGGATGGTCTCGATCTCCTGACCTCGTGATCCGCCCGTCTCGGCCTCCCAAAGTGCTGGGATTACAGGCGTGAGCCACCGCGCCCGGCCGATAGTTTCTTAAAAAACTAAACATGTGCTTACCATATGACCCAGCCATTGCACTGTTGGGCGTTTATCCAACAGGAATGAAAACTTATGCTCTGTTCACACAAAAACCTGTGCGCAAATGTTCATTGCAGCTTTATTTGTAATAACCAAAAACTGGAAACAACCCAAATGTCTTTCATCATGTGAATGGTTAAACAAACTATGCTACATCCATACTGTGGAATGCTACTCAACAATAGAAAAAAATAACAAACTATTAATACATGCAATATACATAATTCCCTTGGATAGATTTCAAGGGAATTATGCTGACTGAAGAAAAGCCAAACATAAAAAGTTATCTATTGTATTATTGCATTTAACATTTGTGAAATATTAATAACAAAAGTATAGACATAGAGGATAGACTAGTTTAGTGGTTGCCAGGAATTAGAGATGAGGGAAAGGGCCAGGTATGGTGGCTCTCACCTGTAATCCCACCACTTTGGGAGGCTGAGGCAAGAGGATCTCTTGAAGCCAGGAGCTCAAGACCAGCCTACACAGTATAATAAGATACTGTCAGAGGCTTTCGAACCAGAGCAACTCCATCTTAAATAGGGGCTGGGTAAAAAGAGGCTTAGACCTACTGGGCTGCATTCCCAGGAGGCTAGCCATTCTTAGTCACAGGATGAGATAGAAGATCGACACAAGGGCTGGGCACGGTGGCTCATGCCTGTAATCCCAGCACTTTGGGAGGCTGAGGTGGGTGGATTACCTGAGATCAGGAGTTCGAGACCAGCCTGGCCAACGTGGTGAAACTCTGTCTCTACTAAAAATACAAAAATTAGCCCGGCGTGGTGGCGCGCGCCTGTAGTCCCAGGTACTTGGGAGGCTGAGGCAGAATTGTTTGAACCCAGAAGGTAGAGGTTGCAGCGAGCTGAGATCGCACCACTGCACTCCAGCCTGAGCAACAGAACAAACCTCCGCCTCAAAAAAAAAAAAAAAGATCAACATGAGACACAGATTACAAAGACCTTGGTGATCAAACAGTGGTAAAGAAGCCGGTCAAATCCCACCAAAACCAAGATGGCAACAAAAGTGACCTCTGGTCACCCTCACTGCTCATTATATGCTAACTATAATGGATTCACATGCTAAAAGACACTCCCATCAGCACCATGACAGTTTACAGATGCCATGGAAACAACCAGAAGTTACCCTATATGGTCTACAAAGGGGAGGAGCACTCAACTGGGGGAGAGGGGAAATTGCCCATCCCTTTCCCAGAAAACTCACAAACAATCCACCCTTGTTTAGCATATAATCAAGAAATAACCCCTCTGCCTGTAGAGTAGACATTCTTTTATTCCTTTACTTTTTTTTTTTTTTTTTTTTTCAGACGGAGTCTCCCTTTGTTGCCAGGCTGGAGTGCAGTGGCGGGATCTCGGCTCACTGCAACCTCTACCTTCCAGGTTCAAGCAGTTCTCTGCCTCAGCCTCCCGAGTAGCTGGCATTACAGGCACCCGCCACCACGCCCAGCTAATTTTTGTGTTTTTAGTAGAGATGGGGTTTCACCATATTAGCCAGGATGGTCTCGATGTCCTGACCTCGTGATCCACCCACCTCAGCCTCCCAAAGTGCTGGGATTACAGGCATGAGGCATGGCACCCGGCCTAGTCCTTTACTTTCTTAATAAACTTGCTTCCACTTTATGGATTCACCTTGAATTTTTTTTTTCCTGCCTCAAATTATTTCTTGCACGAGGCCAAAGAACCCTCTCTTGGGATCTGGATCAGGACCCCTTTCTGGTAACAATACTGCCACTCCAAAAAGAGAAAGAAAATGTTTTTAATTAGCTGGGCATGGTGGCACATGCCTGTAGGCCAAGCTGCTCAGAGGAGGCTGAAGCGTGAGGATCAGTTGAGCCCAGGATTTCGAGGCTGCAGTGAGCCATGATCGCACCATCGCACTCCAGCCTGGGTGACAGAACAAGACCCGTCCCAAAAAAATATTAAAATGGGGCCGGGCCAGGTGGTTCACGCCTGTAATCCCAGCACTTTGAGAGGCCAAGGTGGGTGGATCACAAGGTCAGGAGATCGAGACCAACCTAGCTAACACGGTGAAACCCGTCTCTACTAAAAAAAATACAAAAAGTAGCCGGGCGTCGTGGCGGGTGCCTGTAGTCCCAGCTACTCAGGAGGCTGAGGCAGGAGAACGGCATGAACCCGGGAGACGGAGCTTGCAGTGAGCCAAGATCGCGCCACTGCTCTCCAGCCTGGGTGACAGAACAAGACTCCATGTCAAAAAAAAAAAATTAAAATTAAAGAGATGGGGAAAAGGCATGGCTGTATTCATAAGGAGATCACACAGGGAATCAGAATCCTATGGTTCGGAAGGGGTAAAACCACCAGAGTGACAATCTTTGAATGCTAAGAAGTATAGACCCTGAACTGTGGTTAATGGGAAGCCATTAAAGTCTGGAAATAGGACAGTGACATGAGAAACATCTTAACATTCTAGGACTTAATAAAACTATTGAAGGCTGGGCGCAGTGGCTCACGCCTGTAATCCCAGTACTTTGGGAGGCCAAGGCAGGCAGAGCACGAGGTCAGGAGCTCAAGATCAGTCTGACCAAAATGGGGAAACCCCATCTCTACTAAAAATACAAAAATTAGCTCACTTTACAGAGAAACAGACTAAAAGAAATGACCCATTTATTTAAGATTATACTGGGGCAGTGACTCATACCTGTAATCCCCAGCACTTTGGGAGGCCAAGGAGGGCGGATTGCCTGAGCTCTGGAATTCCAGACCAGCCTGGGCAACATGGTTAAACCCCATGTCTACAAAAAATACAAAAAAAAAAATTAATGGAAAAAAGAAAGAAAAAAGATTACAGTGGTATATGGGGAGGCTATGTTTTAGACCATGGAGAATCTAGCTACAGTCTGGGGGATAAATTGGACAGGGAGAGGCTGGAAGCAAAGAAACCTAATAGGAAGTTGTTGACATAATCAATAATTAGGGCTGGTCATGGTGGCTCACACCTGTAATCCCAGCACTTAGGAGGCCAAGGCGGGAAGATCACTTGAGGTCAGGAGTTTGAGATCAGCCTGGCCAACATGGTGAAACCCCGTCTCTACTAAAAATACAAAAAATAGCTGGGCGTGGTGGTGGGCACCTGTAATCCCAGCTACTCATGAGGCTGAGGCCAAGAATTGCTTGAACCTGGGAGACAGAGGTTGCAGTGAGCCGAGATCACACCACTGCACTCCAGCCTGGGCAACAGAGCAAGACTCTGACTCAAAAAAGCAAAACGAACAAACAAACAAAAACAAGCAATAGAGAGAAACTACAGCATAACCATGATAGTGCTTAAGAGCATGGGTCTGTTTTCAAAACATGTGGGTGTAACTCTTGGCTGAGTCACTTATTATGAATAGTTACATGACCTTCGACAAGTCATTTAACTATCTGTAAGCATCAGTTTCTAGAGTTGCTAGAGTTGCTAAATGGAGGTAGTAATAGCCCCTGCATCAAAAAATTGTTGTGAGAATTATATATAAGTAATCCAATAAAGATTTAACATGGTGTCTGGCACACAGTAAATAATAAATGTCAACTGTTTGTTCAGGGTTTTTTTAAATAGTTTTGAGTGACAAAATTACCTCTAAAAAGCTATAAACAAAAATAGCATTAAGAGAAATAGGGAAGACCAAAGGAGCCAGTCAGAAGACTGAGTTTGATGTAATGTGAATGATGGAGGATGATACAGAGAGAAAGTGTGCAGTAATCAATGGAAGACATTTATCTGGGGTTCAGAAGAGATGTTATCCTTGAGGAGAGAAGTGGGAATTTTCTGCATAAAGGTGATCTATAGGTCTAAAAAGTATTTAGAAGGGGTGATAATTACCATTCATTTGTTACACAAAAATTGATAATAGCCAACAGTGATTGAAAGATTGCTCTGTGCCAGGCACAAAGTACCTTGCCTGAATTAATTTGTTTAAACTGCACAACTACTCTGTGAGTAAACACAACAATTACCCTCATTTTTTTTATGTGAGGAAGCAGACTCATGGAGACAGAGTAACTTGCTCAAGTGCAGAGAGCTCAAAGAGGTAGAACCAGGGTTGTGTGTGTGTGTGTGTGTGTGTGTGTGTGTGTGTGTTTTGCGCACACAGTGTCTCTCTCTCTGTTGCTGAGGTTGGAGTGCAGTGGCGCAATCTCGGCTCACTACAGCCCTGACCTCCCAGACTCAAACGATCCTCCCACCTCAGTCTCTCTAGTA
The DNA here is from genome assembly GCF_000001405.40 of Homo sapiens. Taxonomy (NCBI): domain Eukaryota; kingdom Metazoa; phylum Chordata; class Mammalia; order Primates; family Hominidae; genus Homo; species Homo sapiens. The sequence continues at coordinate 51,146,290 of NC_000017.11, read as the reverse complement.
GCTGGGACTACAGGTACACACACTACCAAGCCAGGCTGATTTTTTTTTTTTTTTTTTTTTTTTTTGTGAGACAGTCCCTCTGTGTCACCCAGGATAGAGTCCAGTGGCATGATTTTGGCTCACTGCAACCTCTGCCTCCCAGGTTCAAGCAATTCTCCTGCCTCAGCCTCCCGAGTAGCAGGGATTATAGGCGCACACCACCAAGCCTGGCTAATTTTTGTATTTTTAGTAGAGACAAGGTTTCACCATGTTGACCAGGCTGGTATCCATCTCCTGACCTCAAGTGATCCGTCCGCCTCGGCTTCCCAAAGTGCTGGGATTACAGGCGTGAGCCACCATGCCCAGCCAATTTTTTTGTTTTGTTTTGTTTTGTTTTGTTTTGAGAGGGAGTCTCACTCTGTCACTCAGGCTGGAGTGTAGTAGCGCGACCTCGGCTCCCTGCAACCTCTGCCTCCTGGGTTCAAGCGATTCTCCTGCCTCAGCCTTCTGAGTAGCTAGGAGCACAGGTGCTCACCTCTATGCCCAGCTAATTTTTTGTATTTTTTTTCTTTTTTTTTTTTTTTGAGACGGAGTCTCACTCTGTCACCCAGGCTGGAGTGCAGTGGCGTGATCTCAGCTCACTGCAAGCTCCACCTCCCGGGTTGACGCCATTCTCCTGCCTCAGCCTCCGGAGTAGCTGGGACTACAGGTGCCCGCCGCCACGCCCGGCTAATTTTTTATATTTTTAGTAGAGACGGGGTTTCACCATGTTAACCAGGATGGTCTCAATCTCCTGACCTTGTGATCCGCCTGCCTCGGCCTCCCAAAGTGCTGGGATTACAGGCGTGAGCCACTGTGCCCAGCCATTTTTTGTATTTTTAATAGAGTCGGGGTCTCACCATGTTGGCCAGGCTGGTCTCGAACTCCTGACCTCATGATTCGCCTGCCTCAGCCTCCTAAAGTGCTGGGATTACAGGCATGAGTCACCATGCCCAGCCCAGTCTGCACAGTGCCAGAACCCAGGCCCTTAACCATGTGTGTGCTGCATCATGATGCACAAGGCTTTATTCTTGGGTCTCACTACCATTCAGTGAGATGGGGTGCAAATAAAGGAGAGACAAGGAAATAACATAATTGTTTTTTGTTTTTTTTTATTATTACATAGAGACAGGGTCTCCCTGTTGCCCAGGCTGGTCTCGAACTCCTGGACTCAAGGGATCTTCCTGCCTCAGCCTGCCAAAGTGCTAGAATTACAAGTGTGAGCCACTACACCCGGCCAACATAATTGTTTTTAAATGCAACTTGAGACCAACAAGACGGCTAGCTCTAATACTGTACAAAGAATGGAATTGATTCAGGACATGACTCCCTGTTATTAATGATTTAAGGAATCAGAACAACTAATGCATTATGCCTGTGTGTGAGAAGAGAAAAACATCTTGGGATGCAGGGCAAAGAGAGAACATTCATAACACCAATTGAGAATGAGCCCCCAGGGAATCTTCACTGCTTATAATCAAGAATGAAGTACGAGCCCTCCCACCTTTGACTCCAGAGTCAACCAACAAATCAAACAGCAGGATCATTTGGTGAGGGTAATTGCCTGTGCTTTACAAAACCCACACATAGGTCATCTGTCTGCTTCTTGCTCTGGAATATGCATAGGTAAACTACCTCCTCAATGCTTCTGAGGCCCTGATTCCTGAGGGAGGGAGGAAGAGAGTTTTTAGGGAAATGTGCATTATTTGCTGATTGGGGAAGGTAGTCATGAGGGACTACTCACATAGTCTGGTTCTACAACCATATGAGGCAGGCACTATTCTTTTTTTTTTTTTTTTTGGCGCGATCTCGGCTCACTGTCTTTCCGGCAGTTTAGCCTAAAAGACTGTACCAGGGTCAAAGTAAGTGGAGAGACTGTTACAGGCAAAGAGCCTGTGGTTTTGCTAAAGGCTTTATTGTACCTAATCTCAGAACATGGAAACAAGAAGAAGGTTATAGGAGAATATAAAAATAAGTGGAGAGATGGTCAAGGAGCTTAAGGAGAAAGGTCGATGGTATTAGAATCATTGTTGATAAGAGCAGAAAATGAAAGGTGTGGCCTCCCGGGTTCACACCATTCTCCTGCCTCAGCCTCCTGAGTAGCTGGGACTATAGGCGCCTCCTACCACACCCGGCTCATTTTTTTGTATTTTTAGTAGAGACAGGGTTTCACCATGTTAGCCAGGATGCTCTCGATCTCCTGACCTTGTGATCTGCCTGCCTCGGCCTCCCAAAGTGCTGAGATTACAGGCATGAGGGGCAGGCACTATTCTTATTTCTGTTTTACAGATGGGAAAACTGAGCACCGGAAGGTTAAATAACCTGCCCAAGGCCACAAAACTAATAAGTGGCAGAGCCTGGTTATGAACCCATCTTACTCTTGCTCCAGAGGTCACATTCTTTTTTTTATTTTTTAGATAGGATCTTGATCTGTCACCCAGGCCGGAGTGCAGTGGTGCAATTTTGGTTCACTGCAGCCTTGAGCTCCTGGGATCAAAGAATCCTCTCACCTTAGCCACTCAAGTACCTGGGACCACAGGTGTGTGCCACCATACCCAGCTAATGGTTTGGTTTTGTTTTTTGTAGAGATGGGTTCTCACTATGTTGGTCCCACACTCCTGAGCTAAAGCAATCCTCCTGCCTCAGCCTCCCAACCTGTTGGGAATACAGGCATGAGCCACCAGGCCCAGCCCAGAGTTCACATTCTTTTTTTTTTTTTTTTTTTTTTGGCCGAGTTTCACTCTTGTTGCCCAGGCTGGAGTGCAATGGCGAGATCTCGGCTCTCTGCAACCTCCGCCTCCCAGGTTCAAGTGATCTCCTGCCTCAGCCTCCCGAGTAGCTGGGATTACAGGCGCCCGCCACCACACTCGGCAAATTTTGTATTCTTAGTAGAGACGGGGTTTCTCTATGTTGGTCAGGCTGGTCTCGAACTCCCAACTTCAGGCGATCTGCCTGCCTTGGCCTCCCAAAGTGCTGGGATTACAGGCTTGAGCCACCGCACCCGGCTCAGAGCTCACATTCTTAACCACCATACTGTGTACCATAGGCTATGATGTCCTCAGAAATCATAGACTTTCCTGGTATGATGAAACCTTAATGGTCACAATCCAAACCAAATTATATCAGTCATGTTTTTCCTTCTATTGAACTATACTACCTTGCTTTGAAAGCCTTTCATTTTCTGCTCTTATCAACAATGATTCTAATACCATCGACCTTTTCTCCTTAAGCTCCTTGACCATCTCTCCACTTATTTTTATATTCTCCTATAACCTTCTTCTTGTTTCCATGTTCTGAGACTAGGTACAATAAAGCCTTTAGCAAAACCACAGGCTCTTTTCCTGTAACAGTCTCTCCACTTACTTTGACCCTGGTACAGTCTTTTAGGCTAAACCTCTCTGGGGGAAAGGATTATGTAGATGAAGAGGCTCAACATTCAGGGTAGTGATTTAGCATTAATCTTCTTGCTTTCATGTGGTTTGACCCTAGACCCTATTGGGAGTCTTTGACAGAGGCCCTATATATTTTGTCTTTACCAATGGTGATTCTTGACTGGCTCCAGGTCTTCTTCGTCCCTTCAGCCTGTCTAGTTTGGAGCTGAATATCATGTAATCTATAATCTCTAGAATACTATTTTTGTTTTTGTTTTTGTTTTTTCAGATGAAATATCGCTGTGTTGCCCAGGTTGGAGTGCGGTGCCGCAATCTCAGCTCACTGCATTCTACGCCTCCCAGGTTCAAGCGTTTCTCATACATCAGCCTCCTGAGTAGCTGGGATTACAGGCATGCACCACCATGCCCGGCTAATTTTTTGTATTTTTAGTAGAGACAGGGTTACACCATGTTGCCCACGCTGGTCTTGAACTCATGGCCTCAAGCAATCCGCCCGCCTAAGCCTCCCAAAATGTTGGGATTACAAGTGTAAACCACTGCAAGCCCGGCTACAATACTATTGTTGAAGTGCCTTTTTGTATTTATCAGGATACGCCAGGTTATGCCGCAACGAGGTTATGCTGCAACGAGACATCCCATGTCTCAGTGGTTTAACAGAACCAAACTTTCTCATTCACCTAAAATCAAGGGCCAGCATCTCTTCAGTTACCTGACCTCTGCAGCGACTCTAAGAACCTTTCCAAAATGTAGCTCTGCCATCTCAGTACAAGGCCTAAGTGTATCACCGCGGAGTAAAGAAAGCTGGAGGATCACACAATACCTATTAAATGGTTGGTTTGGCCTAGAGGTGACACCTATCACTTCCAGCCCATTGACCAAACTAGTCAAATGGCTCTGCCTAAAGCTAAAGGATTTAGGAAATATGCGGGAACACTTGGCTTTCTGTGAGCCAGAGATGTCTTTGCCTTTTTCTCACTAATATATCACACACTGGCCGGGCACCGTGGTTAGCGCCTGTAATCCCAGCTCTTTGGGAGGCCAAGGCAGGTGGATCACCTGAGGTCCGGAGTTTGAGACCAGCCTGACCTACATGGTGAAACCCTTTCTCTACTAAAACTACAAAAATTGGTTGGGCACGGTGGCTCACACCTGTAATCCCAGCACTTTGGGAGGCCAAGGCGGGTGGATGACGAGGTCAGGAGTTCGAGACCAGCCTGGCCAACACAGTGAAACCCCATTTCTACTAAAAATACAAAATTTAGCTGGGCATGGTGGCATGCGCCTGTAGTCCCAGCTACTCGGGAGGCTGAAGCAAGGGAATCGCTTGAACCCGGGAGGTGGAAGTTGCAGTGAGCCAAGATAGAGCCATTGCACTCCAGCCTGGGCAACAGAGCAAAACTCTGTCTCAAAAATAATAAAAATAATAAAATAGGCCGGGTGCGCTGGCTCACGCCTGAAATCTCAGCACTTTGGGAGGTTGAGGCGGGCGGTTCACGAGGTCAGGAGATCTAGACCATCTTGGCCAACATGGTGAAACCCCGTCTCTACTAAAGTACAAAAAATTAGCTGGGTGTGGTGGCACATGCCTGTAATCCCAGCTGCTTGGGAGGCTGAGGCAGGGCAGTCGCTTGAACCTGGGAGGCAGAGGTTGCAGTGAGCTGAGATCATGCCACTGCACTCCAGCCTTGTGATAGAGCAAGACTCCATCTCAAAAATAAATAAATAAATAAATAATAAGTAAATAAATAAAATAAAAATAAAAATACAAAAATTGCTGGGCGTGGTGGTGCACACCTGTAATCCCAGCTACTCAGGAGACTAAGGCAGGAGGATCGCTTGAACCTGGGAGGTGGATGTTGCAGTGAGCTGAGATCACGCCACTGCACTCCAGCCTGGGTGACAGAGCAAGACTCTGTCTCAAAAACATAACAAACAAAACAAAACAAAAAAAACACCAACAAAACAAATATATCAGACATTGCAATCTTTATTATTTTTTTTTATTGTTGTTGTTTTTGAGATGGAGTCTCGCTCTGTCGCCTAGGCTGGAGTGCAGTGGCACGATCTTGGCTCACTGAAACCTCTGCCTCCCAGGTTCAAGCAATCCTCCCTCTGCCTCCCAGGTTCAATCGATTCTCCTGCCTCAGCACCCCCAGTAGCTGGGATTACAGGCAAGTGCCACCATGCCCGGGAGGATTTTTTTATTTTTGTATTTGTAGTAGAGACGGGGTTTCGCCATCTTGGCCAGGCTGGTCTCGAACTCCTGACCTCAGGTGATTCACCCGCCTTGGCCTCCCAAAGTGCTGGGATTACAGGTGTGAGCCACCGTGCCTGGACTATTTTTTCTTTTCTTTTTTTTTTTAAAGACAGAGTCTCACTCTGTCACCCAGGCTGGAGTGCAGTGGTGTGAACTCGGCTCACTACAACCTCTGCCTCCCAGGTTCAAGCGATTCTCCTGCCTCAGCCTCCCTAGTGTTTGGGATTACAGGTGTGAACCACCATGCCCAGCAATTTTTGTATTTTTAGTAGAGATGGGGTTTTGACATGTTGGCCACACTGGTCTTAAACTCCTGGCCTCAAGTGATCCACCCTCCTTGGCCTCCCAAAGTGCTGGGATTACACCATGGGAGCCATTGTGCCCCGCCAAACACACTGCAATCTTTTTTTTTCTATTTTTTTTTCCCTTTTCTCAGCTTTCTGATCTGTTTCTGAAACACTATGATCTTATCTCTTCCTTTCCCAGTCTAGTCCCTGACCATACACTTGTACTTTGGGCTTTAACCTTCTACCTCTAAATGCACTAATTATAGCTTAATCCAATTCTTGTTCTTTGGAGTGTTTTAACCTGCCAGATGACTGTCACAGCTCTTTAACTTACATGCCTTACAGTTGAAATATTTTCTCCCTCTTCTCCATGCCTAACTTTGAAACTTGTCATTTATCAGGAGTTACCTAGCTGACAGTGGTCTGAAAAGACTCCTGAATTTTCTATAGTTGGAGCTTTTGAAAAAAAAATTTTTTTTTTTTGAGATGGAGTTTCACTCTTATTGCCCAGGCTGGAGTGCAATGGTGCGATCTCTGCTCACTGCAAACTCCGGCTCCCAGGTTCAAGCGATTCACCTGCCTCAGCCTTCCAAGTAGCTGGGATTACAGGCACCCACCAACCCGCCTGCCTAACTTTTGTATTTTTAGTAGAGACGGGGTTTCTCCATGATGGCCAGGGTTGTCTTGAACTCCTAACCTCAAGTGATCTGCCAACCTTGGCCTCCCAAAGTGCTGGGATTACAGGCATGAGCCACCTGGTCCAGCCAAAAAAAAAAAATGGTTTTATATAGAGATGGGATCTCACTATGTTACCCAGGCTGGTGTTGAACTCCTGGCCTGAAATGATCCTCCCACCTTGGCCTCCCAAAGTCCCAGGATTACAGGCATGAGCCATTGCTCCCAGCCAATTGGTTACTAAGAGCAAGAAACACTCTTTCTGTGAAGTAGGGTGAAGAAAGAGAGATGGAAGAAACACTGAAGGGATAAAAGCAGGTTTGAACAAATCCTCTGGAAGCCAGGTCCAAGAGTCATTCCTGGTGTGCTATCTCCCTAGGACAGTTTATTATTATTATTTTGTAACAGGATCTCATACTGTCTCCCAGGCTGGAGGGCAGTGGTGCAATCATGGCTCACTGCAGCCTTGACCTCCCAGGCTCAAGTGATCCTCCTATCTTAGCCTCTCAAGTAGCTATGACTACAGGCGCAGGCCACCACACTTGGCTAATTTTATTTTATTATTATTTTTTAAAAATTTTTAGTAGAGACAAGTTCTCACTATGTCGCCCAGGCTGCCTTAGACAGTTTAATACAGGTCAGACATAAAGGGAAAAGGCCACATAACTCTGGCAGAAAAGGGCCTTCCTCTTCCACAGTTTATACACTAGTCCAAATGATTATTAATGTTGTGCTTTTGTTTTTAATTAAACACACTATAAGATTAAACATACTTTAAGCAAGTTTGTCCAACCCACAGCCCAGGGCAACTTTGAATGCAGCCTAACAGAAATTCGTAAACTTTCTTAAAACATTGTGAGGTTTTTTGTGATTTTTTTTTTTTAGCTCATCAGCTATCATTAGTGTTTTCTTTTGTTTTTTTGAGACAGTCTCACTGTCTCCCAGCCTGGAGTGCAGTGATGCAATCTTGGCTCCCTACAATTTCCACCTCCCAGGCTCAAGCAATTCTCATGCCTCAGCCTCCCCAGTAGCTGGGACTATAGGCAGATGCCACAGCACCCAGCAAATTTTTGTATTTTCTTTTTAGTAGAGACAGGGTTTTGCCATATTGGCCAGGCTGGCCTCAAACTCCTGACCTCAAATGATCTGCCTTCCTCGACCTCCCAAAGTGCTGGGATTATAGGTGTGAGCCACCGCACCTGGTCAGTGTCAGTGTATTTGATGTGTGGCCCAAGACAATTCTTCTTTTAATGTAGCCCAGGGAAGCCAAAAGATTGGACACTCCTGATTTAAGGAAACTTCTTTTTTTTTTTTTTTTTGAGACAGAGTTTTGCTTTTGTTGCCCAGGCTGGAGGGCAATGGCCCAATCTCGCCTCACTGCAACCTCCGCCTCCCTGGTTCAAGCAATTCTCCTGCCTCAGCCACCCAAGTAGCTGGGATTACAGGCATGCGCCACCACACCCAGCTAATTTTGTATTTTTAGTAGAGATGGGGTTACTCCATGTTGGTCAGGCTGGTCTCAAACTCCCAACCTCAGGTGATCCACCCACCTTGGCCTCCCAAAGTGCTGGGATTACAGCCATGAGCTACCATTCCTGGCCAAGAAACTCAAAAGAAAGAAAAATTAATTCTCCCAACCTAAAAACTGTCATTGTTTGCATACTTCTTTCCAGTCTTGATTTTTATATGTTTGTAATTATATCAAACATACAACTAGCAAATGAGCAATTCCTTTAAACGGTGTGTATCCCTGAGAAGAGAACACATAAAGTGTTAGTCGTTTATGTCATAGTAAGAATTAGTTAAGGGAGCCATTTTTTTTTTCTTTAACAACCGATTGGAATCTGTACACTAAAAGTTGGGTACAGAAAAGCAGGGGAGGGGTAGCTGATAGGTTGGTGGGAAGTACTGCATTTGAGACTTTGGGTAACTCATGGAACAAGCAATCCTTAGGTCTTGGGGAATGGAGGCCATGGGGGTAGAATATCAGAATTAGAAAAAGGAGTAGAAGAGGGAAATAGTTGGCTTCAAAAGCAAATTTTGCCGACCTAAACATTTTAAGATCTGGTGAACAGGATCTTAAAACGCACCTATTCCAGCTGGGCACGGTGGCTCATGCCTGTAATCCCAGCACTTTGGGAGGCCGAGGTGGGCAGATTACCTGAGGTCAGGAGTTCAAGACCAGTCTGGCCAACATGGTGAAATCCCGTCTCTACTAAAAATACAAAATTACTTGGGCATGGAGGTGCGCACCTGTAATCCCAGCTACTCGGGAGGCTGAGGCAGGAGGATCGCTTGAACCCAGGGAGTGCAGGTTGCAGTGAGCCGAGATGGCGCCATTGCACTCCAGCCTGGGCAACAACAGCAAAACTCCATCTCAACAACAACAACAAAACAAACAAACAAAATCCTTACCTATTCCAACTCCCATGTTTTGTTTCTCTTGACCACATCCCTGCCATATGCTGTCCAAGTCAGGTGTGAAAACTGCAGTGGTGGAGACTCCACTATTTCCCAAGATCCCCCTAACCATTTTTGGACAACTCCCACTGATATTTTTTAAGTTCTTTTATTTTTTATTTTATTTTTTTTGAGACAGAGTCTTGCTCTGTCGCCCAGGCTGGAGTGCCAGTGGCGTGATCTCACCCACTGCAACCACCACTTCTCAGGTTCAAGCGATTCTCCTGCCTCAGCCTCCTGAGTAGCTGGGATTACAGGCGTGCACCACCACGCCTGGCTAATTTTTGTATTTTTAGTAGAGATGGGGTTTCACCACGTTGGTCAGGCTGGTCTTGAACTCCTGACCTCATGATCGGCCCACCTTGGCCTCCCAAAGTGCTGGGATTACAGGTGTGAGCCACCGCATCCGGCATGTTTTTTTTTGTTGTTTGTTTGTTTGTTTGTTTGAGACGAGTCTCGCTCTGTCATCCAGACTGGAGTGTAGTGGCGGGATCTCGGCTCATTGCAACCTCTGCCTCCCGGGTTTAAGCCATTCTCCTGCCTCAGCCTCCCAAGTAGCTGGGACAACAGGCCCGTGCCACCACGCCTAGCTAATTTTTGTATTTGTAGTAGAGATGGGGTTTCACCATATTGACCAAGCTGGTCTCAAATTCCTGACCTCAAGTGATCTGCCTGCCTCAGCCTCCCAACGTGCTGGGATTACAGGCATAAGCCACTGCGCCCAGCCTAAAGTTCTTACATTGAGAAAAAATGCATGTCTTGAAAGCTTTGGTTATCATCCTCCCTCTAGCTGTCTCTCTATATGACACGCTATTTGAAGACAGCTCACTAATGTCACAGGCTGCTCTTCAATAGCATGATCGTGTCCAATGACTTCAAACTTTCTTCTTATCTCAAGACTTCAAGTCCCCTCTCCAACAAGGACACTTTCCTCAAAAATACCTGGCTACTGTAGTTTTCAAGGGATAAAAGTCAGCTGGCATTAACACTTAAAAAGCAAATATGGCATCCTTCTAAGAGACTGGAAAGCCTGCTACAGATATGCTGAGTGTGCTTTTGAAACAGTAACATGCAGGCCAGGCATGGTGGCTCACACCTGTAATCCTAGCACTTTGGGATTACAGGCCAAGGCAGGAGGATCACTTGAGGTCAGCAGTTCCAGCCAGCCTGGGCAACATAATGAGATCCCGTCTCTACAGAAAAAATGAAAAAATTAGCTGGGCTTGATGGCACGTCTCAGCTACTCAGGAGGCTGAGGAGGAAGGCTTGCTTGAGCTCAGGAGTTCAAGACAAGCCTGGGAAGATCATAGCTTACATTTTGTATTAGTCCATTTTCACAATGCTGACACAGTTCCACGTGGCTGAGGAGGCCTCATAATCATGGCAGAAGGTGAAAAGCACATCTTACATGGCAGCAGACAAGAGAAGAGAGAGCTTGTGCAGGGAAACTCCGTTTTGTTTTGTTTTGTTTTGTTTTTGAGACTTGAGTCTCACTCTGTCACCCAGGCTGGAGTGCAGTGGCGTGATCTTGGCTCACTGCAACCTCCACCTCCTGAGTTCAAGCGATTCTCCTGCCTCAGCCTCCGAAGTAGCTGGGACTATAGCTACTAAAAATACAAAATGTATTTTTAGTAGAGACAGAGTTTCACCAGATTGGCCAGGCTAGTCTTGAACTCCTGACCTCAGGTGATCCACCTGCCTCAGCGTCCCAAAGTGCTGGGATTACAGGCGTGAGCCACTGAGCCTGGCTGAAAACTCCGTTTTATTTTTTTGGAATGAAGTCTCGCTCTTGTTGCCCAGGCTGGAGTGTAATGGCGCGATGTTGTCTCACTGCAACCTCCACCTCCCAGGTTCAAGCGATTCTCCTGCCTCAGCCTCCCAAGTAGCTGGGATTACAGGTGCCTGCAACCATGCCCAGCTAATTTTTGTATTTTTAGTAGAGACAGGGTTTCACCAGGTTGGCCAGGCTGGTCTCGAACTCCTGACCTCAGGTGATCCGCCCACCTTGGCCTCCCAAAGTGCTGGGATTACAGACATGAGCCACCGCACCAGGCAAAAACTCCATTTTTTAAAACCATTAGATCTCATGAGACTTATTCACTATCATGAAAACAGCATGGGAAAGACCTGCCCCTGTGATTCAATTATCTCCCGCCAGGTTCCCCCTAAAACACGTGGGAATTATGGGAGCTATAAAATGAGATTTGGGTGGGGACACAGAGCGAAATCACATCACATTTATTGAATATTTATATGCCAGGCACTATTCTAAGTGCTGTGTGTATATTATCTCATTTAACCTTCACAAAAACCCTATGAGATAGGTACTGTTTTTCTCAACCTCATTTTACAGGTCAGAAAACAGGTAGAAAGAGTAACTTCAGGCCAGGCACGATGGCTCACGCCTGTAATCCCAGCACTTTGGGAGGCCGAGGTGGGCGGATCACGAGATCAGGAGATCGAGACCATCCTGGCTAACACAGTGAAACCCCGTCTCTACTAAAAATACAAAAAAATTAGCCAGGCGTGGTGGTGGGCGCCTGTAGTCCCAGCTCTCAGGAGGCTGAGGCAGGAGAATGGCGTGAACCCGGAAGGCGGAGTTTGCAGTGAGTCAAGATCATGCCACTGCACTCCAGCCTGGGCGATAGAGCAAGACTCTGTCTCAAAATAAAAATAAAAATAAAAGAGTAACTTCACAGCTAGTAAGTGGCAGAAGCACAGTTCAGACTCCGCAGCTAACCCCAGATCCTTGCACTCTCAGTTGTTCTTGTTTGTTGCTGATGCTTGATGAAGATTTTGAATTTTAACAAAACAGTAAAGAATACATCCCTCTGGGGCTGGGCATGGTGGCTCACACCTGTAATCCCAGTACTTTGGGAGGCCAAGGGGGGGATGGATCACCTGAGGTCAGGAGTTCAAGACCAGCCTGGCCAACATAGTGAAACCCTGTCTCTATTAAAAATACAATTAGCTGGGTGTGGTGGCACACACCTGTAATCCCAGCTACTCGGGAGGCTGAGGCAGGAGAATTGCTTGAACACAAGCAGAGGTTGCAGTGAGCCGAGATCGTGCCACTGCATTCTAGCCTGGATGACAGAGCAAGACTCCATCTGAAAAAAAAAGAAAAAAAGAGGCGGGGTGCGGTGGCTCATGGCTGTAGTCCCAGCAATTTGCGAGGCCGAGACTGGCAGATCACCTGAGGTCAGGAGTTCGAGACCAGCCTGACCAACGTGGTGAAACCCCATCTCTACTAAAAATACAAAATTAGCTGAGTGTGGTGGCATATGCCTATAATCCAGCTACTTGGGAGGCTGAAGCAGAAGAATTGCTTGAACCCAGGAGGTGGAGGTTGCAGTGAGCCGAGATCACGCCATTGCACTCTAGCCTGGGCAACAAGAGCGAAACTCTGTCTCAAAACAAAAAAAAGAATATATCCCTATGGGTCTTGATGTCTACTAATTTCATAGTGAACAACAGAATGTTATCTCCTTATATTCAACATTTAACTTACATTATAATGGGATATCAGCCCTGAATATGTCCTCTTCTTCTGGAACTATGGTCTCGTGTCAAACATGTGCTATTATTTAGCTTTTGACTAAGGAATGTGGAACAATGGAGATACAATGAGGCACTGGGCTGAGAGTCCAACATAGCCACAAACTTACATGTGACTGTGGATGATTCCTCAGTTATAAAATGAGTGAAATGGACTCCACTCACTGCTGGCTACGGGTCTCCTCATACTGAAATTTCAAGTCCAAAGGAGTCATTCTCCCATTGGGAGGTTCCAATACTGTGGCAGAAAGAAAGAAAGAGCAAATATATATCTTGAAAGGGGCAGACTCTCTTGTGCCCCTTGAGTCACACATATTAGTTGAAATGAATAAATATTTGTTCCCTGCTTCTGATGTGTGAGGCTGTTGATGGGCAATAGTTACTATGCTTAGGTTTTCAACTGGCTCTGTTGCCCCTACTAAAAATAAACCACAGGGTGTTAGGGCTGAGTCATTTTCATACATGAATATGTGGAGGAAAAAAGTGACAAAGGTCACAGGGGATCTATGGATTATTTCCTTTCTGACCAGACACCACCCCTTGTTCCCAACCAGCCCCTCTTTTTCTGTTGTATTTCAGATAAGCTGTAGACCTTAAATAGAACATATATTCCACAGCATGTTATTGTGTTCCAGTTTGTTCATATCCTGTTCTCTGCTTGTGGATTGAACTTGTCCTTAGACCTGGGATTTTTTTGTTTTGTTTTCTATTTGTTTTTTTTTAGACGGAGTCTCGCTCCATTACACAGGCTGGAGTGCAGTGGCATGATCTTGGCTCACTGCAACCTCCACCTCCTGGATTCAAGCGATTCTCCTGCCTCAGGCTCCCAAGTAGCTGTGATTACAGGTGTGTGCCACTACGCCCAGCTCATTTTTGTATTTTTAGTAGAGACAGGGCTTCGCCATGTTGGTCAGGCTGGTCTCAAACTCCTGACCTCGGGTGACCCACCTACCTCGCCCTCCCAAAGTGCTGGGATTACAGGCGTGAGCCACCGTGCCCAGCCTAGACCTGGGTTTTTTATGTTTTTGAGGAATAATGGTTGATGTTAGCAACACTGGTAACTGGACTTTGCAGCTTGCAAAGTGATTTCATATACATGGTTTCTTTGGAACAGTTGGTCATCCCCCTGGTGATGGGGCAACTTGGGGACAAGTTCCTGGTATTCGTTTAAGGTAGTAAAGTCTTATTGGAACAGGACTCATCCTAGGGTTTTGTTTTAGGGTAGTTTTTCTATTCAGCTTTTGGGGATTATTTCTCACCTTCTTGAACCTCCTTTTTCCACTCTCCTCTCCCCAGGGCCAGTGCCCTCATTTTGCTTGCTGCTCAAAGCCTTTAACCCTTTAGGCCCTAATTTCCTCAGCAATAAAATGGGAGGAAAGGTTGGGAAGAAAAACACTAAAGTTCTTTCTTTCTTTCTTTCCCTCCCTCTCCCTCCCCTTTCGCTTTCCCTTTCCCTTTCCTTTCTGACGGAGTCTCATTCTGTCACCCAGGCTGGAGTGCAATGGCGTGGTCTCAGCTCACTGCAACCTCCGCCTCCTGGGTTCAAGAAATTCTCCCACCTCAGCCTCCTGAGTATCTGGGACTACAGGCACGTGCCACCACACCTGGCTAATTTTTGTATTTTTAGTAGAGACAGGGTTTCATTATGTTGGCCAGGCTGAGTCTCCAACTCCTGACCTCAGGCAATCCGTCCGCCTTGGCCTCCCAAAGTGCTGGATTACAGGCGTGAGCCACTGCGCCCGGCCCCAAGTTCTTTCTTAATCTTCATTTTTCTCCCCAAATTTGCTTTCCTAAGAAGTAGTGATATAAATCCCAAAATTAGCTCAGGTTTCTTTCCCTTACCCAGCAAAATTTGCATTCCCTTAGGGGAGGATATTTCAAATAGCTATTTGGTAGAAACAGTTGACTAAAGAAAATATAAAGGGTAGGCCAGGTGCAGTGGCTCACACCTGTAGTCCCAGCAGGTGTGAACTACTGCGCCCAGCCTATCTCCTTTGAGAGGCCGAGGCAGGCAGATCACTTAAGCCCAGGAGTTTGAGACCAGCCTGGGCAACATGATGAGACCCCCGTGTCTACAAAAAAATACAAAAAATATATATCATGGGTAAATATTGGGCCAGCTATGGTGGTTCACACCTGTAATTCCAGCACTTTGGGAGGCTAAGGCAGGAGGATCAATTGAGGCCAGGAGTTCAAGTTTGCAATAAGGTATGATAGTGCCACTGGGAGTGCACTGGAGTTAGCCTAGATGACAGAGTGAGATCCCGTCTCAAAAAAATAAAAATAAAAAGGGTAAATGTTGGATGATGTGTTTCACAAAATAATTCTTCCTAGGAGTATTATTTACAAATAAGACTTTACTACATTTATAAATTAATGACTTTAAAAGATTTGTACAGCCACCATTATTTTTTGAGATTCAATCCAGAAGTATCTCAAACCAAAGGAGTCCAAAATGAATTCACTGTTTTATTTTCAAAAGCTGCTTTCCTTCCTGAATTAGCTATTTTGATTGCTGGGACCACCATTTACCCATTTACTCAAACCAGAAATCTGTGAGTCCCCTCTCTATCACCCTCTAAAACTACCAAGTTCTGTTCATTAGATTTGTCAAATGTTTCTCATACCCAAACCATTGCCATTATATTAATATTAGCATAGAGGGGCCAGGCACGGTGGCTCACACCTGTAATCCCAGCACTTTGGGAGGCTGATGGGGGGCGGGTGGCGGGGGCGTGGATTCCAAGGTCAGGAGTTCGAGACCCGCCTGGCCAATATGGTGAAACCCCGTCTCTACTAAAAATACAAAAATTAGCAGGGTGTGGTGGCAGCCACCTGTAATCCCAGCTACTTGGGAGGCTGAGGGGAGAAAATTGCTTGAACCTGGGAAGCGGAGGTTGCAGCGAGCCAAGATTGAGCCACTGCACTCCAGCCTGGGTGACAGAGCAAGGCTCCATCTCGGGAAAAAAAAAAAAATACACATTAGCATAGAGGATGGGGAGGCATCTATGAAGACTAGACAGACAGAGATTGAATGCAAACAGAAAGATCTAAGTAAGATCAGCTTAAACATATGCACCAAGACTAGCACCAACCACAGCTTTGTTGTTGTGGTTTGTTTGTTTTTGAGAGAGGGTCTTGTTCTGTCACCCAGGATAAAGTGCAGTGGCACAATCATAGCTCACTGCAACCTCAAATGCCAGGCCTCAAGCAATCCTCCCACCTCAGCTTCCCAAATGCTGAAACTATAGGCATAAGCCACCACAACTGGTCTCACTTTTTAGTCTGGAAGATTGGCGAGACGGAAGCAAAAAAACAGGAACGGGCTAGGCGCAGTGGCTCACGCCTGTAATCCCAGCACTTTGAGAGGCTGAGGCAGGTGGATCATGAGGCCAAGAGATCGAGACCATCCTGGCCAACATGGTGAAACCCCATCTCTACCAAAAATACAAAAAATTAACTGGGTGTGGTGGCGGGCACCTGTAGTCCCAGCTACTTGGGAGTCTGAGGCAGGAGAATCACTTGAACCCAGGAGGCGGAGGCAGAGGTTGCAGTGAGCTGAGATTGTGCCACTGCACTCCAGCTTGGCAACAGAGCAAAACTCCAACTCAAAAAAAAAAGACAACAGGAATGAAGAGAATAAAACTGTCAGATATGTGCCCACATTTTTGGAAGTCCAGGTTTCATCCCAGAGAGTAGGAGATGGGCTGGATAATGGAAAGTAATCCTGAGGGCCCTACCCTCTTCTCATTTGGGGTTCAGAAAGATGCTGCCCTGAAGACCACCCCATACCAATCTAAAAAACAAGCGTATCAAACTGGCTGTGCTGTGGGATCAGGCCATGGAAGGCTCAGAGGTTTATCTTTCCCCACCCTAGCCTGGATGCTGGGGTAGGGTGGGTGGTAGACAGCAGGTGGCTCTGAGGAAAGGGTTGCAGTGAAGGCTACCATCACAGCCACACTTCAGAGATGACTTGGGTAGCATTAGAGTCAAAGGTGGCCAAGTTATACAGGGAACAATGCGAAAAGAATGGATTCTGAGTTCTAGTAGCTCACAGCTACAACTCTCAAGGCCAGTTGGATATTCAGAGACCAAGAAAACAAGGAACATTGTTTTGAGACCAGAAGACAGAGAGCAAAGGTCACTATATGAATCCAAAGTCTCCATAAATCTTTATCCACCTTGATCAAGTAACAGAAGCCATATTCCACTCCCATACTTTTTCTTTTTTTGAGGCAGAGTCTCGCTCTGTCACCCAGGCTGGAGTGCAGTGGCACGATCTTAGCTCACCGCAACCTCTGCCTCCTGGGTTCAAGTGATTCTCCTGCCTCAGCTTCCTGAGTAGCTGAGATCACAGGTGTCTGCCACCATGCCCAGCTATTTTTTTGTACTTCTAGTAGATACTGGGTTTCACCATGTTGGTCAGGCTGGTCTTGAACTCCTGGCCTCAAATGATCCACTCACCTTGGCCTTCCAAAGTGCTGGGATCACAGGCATGAGCTACCACGGCCGGCCTATATTTAGCAAATTTTCTTCTTCTTCTTTTTTTTTTTTTTTTGAGATGGAGTCTTGCTCTGTTGCCCAGACTGGAATGCAGTGGCGTGGTTTCAGCTCACTGCAACCTCTGCCTCCCGGGTTCAAGCAATTCCCCTGCCTCCGCCTCCCGAGTAGCAGGGATTACAGGTGCCTGCCACCATGCCCAGCTCATTTTTGTATTTTTAGTAGAGACGGGGTTTCACCATGTTGGACAGGCTGGTCTTGACCTGACCTCGTGATCCTCCCGCCTCAGCCTCCCAAAATGCTGGGATTACAGGTGTGAGCCACCGCGCCTGGCCATATTTAGCAAATTTTCTTCTCTCTCTCTTTTTTTTTTTTTTGAGACGGAGTCTTGCTCTGTCGCCAGGCTGGAATGCAGTGGTGCGATCTTGGCTCACTGCAACCTCTGCCTCCCAGATTCAAGCAATTCTCCTGCCTCAGCCTTCTGAGTAGCTGGGACTATGGGCGTGC
Organism: Homo sapiens; assembly: GCF_000001405.40. Taxonomy (NCBI): domain Eukaryota; kingdom Metazoa; phylum Chordata; class Mammalia; order Primates; family Hominidae; genus Homo; species Homo sapiens. The sequence continues at coordinate 51,128,636 of NC_000017.11, read as the reverse complement.
GCCACCATCCCCAGCTAATTTTTGTATTTCTAATAGAGACAGGGTTTCACCATGTTGGCCAGGATGGTCTTGAGTTCTTGACTTCGTGATCCGCCTGCCTCAGCCTCCCAAAGTGCTGGGATTACAGGCGTGAGCCACCGTGCCTGGCTCATATTTAGCAAATTTTCTATAGTGAGTATGCATTTCTTGTATAATTGGGAGGGAAAAACCCAAGCAACCTGAGGTAGGAGGCAGGGACTGGACTCCAGAGGCAGAGGTTGGACACTGGACCAAACTGAGGACTAGCTTAAAAAAGCCCCAAGGCAGAAGCAGTTTTCTATAAGACACACCCACCAGCGTGCCCTGTCAGTTTACCATTGCCATGGCAACACCCAGAAGTTACCACCCATTTCCATGGCAATGACCCAACAACCCAGAAGTTACAACCCTTTTCCTAGAAATGTCTGCATAAACTGCCCCCTATTTTGCATGTGATTATAAGTGGGTAAAAATATGAGTGCAGAACTGCCTCTGAGATGCTATTCTGGGCACACCGACTATGGGGTATCCCTGCTCGCTAGGAACAGTACCTCTGCTGCTGCTATACACTGCCACTTCAATACAAGTTGCTGTTTAATACCACCAGCTTGCTCTTGAATTCTTTCCTGGAGGAAGCCAACAACCCTCCCTGGCTAAGCCCCAATTTGGGAGCTTGCCTGTCCTGTATCAAACCTACTGTTTTGAAAATATGTCTTTTATTCCCAGATGAATGCAACTCTATGTGTACAAAGTATACTGAGAGGTGGTGGTGGGCCTCCTCTTCATCCACTCAGCCCAAGTCAGAAAAAGTGGAGAGAGAAAATAGACCTGCACACAAATATGACCGACATTCCTTGGCCCCATCAAAAACAGCCTCAATACTGGGATTCCTGCTTCAACCATGTGTACAGCCTCTTCTTAGAGGCAATTCCAGTGAATCCAAAGCTCTTGGGGAACAGGGAGTAAAACAGAATAGTTATTGTCTAGAGGCCTTCTAACTTCAACCTGGATACATTTACCCATCTTGTTTTGGCACATTAAAAAGGCTTTCAAGGACAGACATAGTGGCTCACTCCTGTAATCCCAGCACTTTGGGAGGCTGAGGTGGGAGGATCACTTGAGCCCAGGAGTTTGAGACCAGCCAGAGCAACAGAGCCAGACCTTGTCTCGATAAAAAGTAAAAAAATAAATTAGCCGGGGTGGTGGCGTATTTGTAGTTAGTAGGCTGAGGTGGAAAGATCCCTTGAGCCTGGGAGGTCAAGGCTGCAGTGAGCAGCGATCGTGCCACTGTGCTCCAGCTTCAGTGACAGAGTGAGACCCTGTCTCTTAAAAAAAAAAAAAAAAAGAAAGGCTTTGGCCAGGCATGGTGGATCACGCCTGTAATCCCAGCACTTTGGGAGGCCGAGGCCAGTGGATCACTTGAGGCTTGGAGTTCGAGACCAGCCTGGCCAACATGACAGAACCCTGTGTCTACTAAAAATATAAAAATTAGCTGGGTGTGGTGGCATGCACCTGTAATCCCAGCTACTCAGGAGGCTAAGGCATGAGAATCGCCTGAACCTGGGAGGTGGAGCTTGCACTGAGCTGAGATCTTGCCACTGCACTCCAGCCTGGGTGACAGAGTGAGACTGTCTCAAAAAAAAAAAAAAAAAAAAAAAAAAAACTGAGGGCAGTGGCTCACGCCTGTAATCCCAACACTTTAAGAGGCCAAGGGGGGCAGATTGCCTGAGGTCAGGAGTTTGTGATGAGTCTGGCCAACATGGTGAAACCCCATCTCTAGTAAAAATACAAAAAAAATTAGCTGGGTGTGGTGGCGTGCACCTGTAGTCCCAGCTACTCGGGAGGCTGAGGCAGGGGAATTGCTTGAACCAGGAAGGCAGAGGTTGCAGTGAGCTGAGATTGCGCCACTGCACTCCAGCCTGGGTGACAGAGCGAGACTCCGTCTCAAAAAAAAAAGGCTTTCAAAGGAAAAACTGAGGACTCAGAAAAATACCCTGGTGCTTTTCATTCTGAGCCTGGAATTCCATAGCTAGACTGCCTCACCAAACATATGTTAGTTTGTACCCAGTGATGAATTACTTATCATTTCACACTGCCATGACCAGAGGGCCTTGTGCCCGGGGAACCCCATCTTCTCTTCCTTTTTCAGTGACTCTCTCCTTGCAGGTGGGAAAATGTCATTTGTGAAACTAGAGAAATTGATTCACATAGAAATAACTATATATGTTCCAGAAGGCTGGACAAACAACAGGACTAGTAATTTCAGCCTTCCAGTGATTATAGTTATTATGCTTAGGAAGAAACTCCTCCCTTCCTGCTCTCATTAACTGCTCCCCTCTGCTGCCCCCGTGACTGTCCTCACTATTTTTGCAAGGCCAAGGAATCTCTTGAAATGGAATTTCCTTCCCTGTAGGAATCAAAAGTAAACACTTTACTCTAAAGTCCACAAGATGACCTATTTTTCCTTAACAACTCTTAGTTAATGATACTCTCATTGTGGGTCAGGGGTGGAAGTTGGGAATCTATCCAGCCAATTGAATATAGGAGGTAGTAGTACTGCCTACATAAGAAGGAGTTCACTAACGGGACTCAATATCAAGACCCTGTCTCCTGTCTGTCATTACAACCTATTATACAAGAGAATCATAGGATTTTAGAACTGCAAAAACCCTTTACAGGCCAGGCGCGGTGGCTCATGCCTGTAATTCCAGCACTTTGGGAGGTCCAGGTCAGTGGATCACGAGGTCAGGAGATCGAGACCATTCTGGCCTGTAACATGGTGAAACCCCATCTATACTAAAAATACAAAAATTAGCTGGGCGTGGTGGCACATATCTGCAATCCCAGCTACTTGGGAGGCTGAGGCAGGAGAATCGTTTGAACCTGGGAGGCAGAGGTTGCAGTGAGCTGAGATCGCACCACTGCACTCCAGCCTGGCGACAGAGTGAGACTCCATCTCAAAAAAAAAAAAAAAAAAGGCGGGGGCGGGGGGGAGCTAGGTATGGTGACTCACGCCTGTAATCCCAGCACTCTGGGATGCCGAGGTGGGCAGGTCACCTGAGATCAGGAGTTTGAGACCAGCCTGGACAACAAAGTGAAAACCTGTCTCTACTAAAAATATAAAAATTAGCCGGGCATGGTGGCAGGCGCCTGTAATCCCAGCTACTCGGGAGGCCAAGGCAGGAGAATCACTTGAACCTGGGAGGCAGAGGTTGCAGTGAGCCAAGATCATGCCATTGCACTCCAGCCTGGAGGACAAGAGAGAGACTTCATCTCAAAAAACAAAACAACGAAAAAATGCCTTTACAGATTTTTCTTTTTTCTTTCTTTCTTTCTTTCTTTTTTTCTTTCTCTTTTTTTCTTTCTTTCTTTCTCTTTCCCTCTTTCCCTTTCTTTCTTTTTTTTTTCTCTCACTCTCTTCCTCTTTCTTTCTTTCTTTATGGAGTTGTGGTATTGCTCTGTTGCCCAGGCTGGAGTGCAGTTGTGCCATCACAGCTCATTGCAGCCTCAACCTCCTGGGCTCCAGTGATCCTTATAGCTTAGCTCCCCAAGTAGTAGCTGGGACTACAGGCCTGCATCAGCACAACCTGGGCTTTATTTTTTATTTTTATTTTCAGAAATGCTCTGGCTATGTTGCCCAGGCTTCTCTCAAACTCCTACCCTCAACTGATCCTCCCACCTCAGCCTCCCAAAGTGCTGGGACAGATTTTCTAACAAACCCCTTCATCATACGGATGAATAAGCTGAAGTTTACAGCCCTTATCCTTGTGACTGTCACTAAGTGGGTAATCAGTAACTACTTGCTCTTTTGTTTATGGCCTAAGTTGTTCAAAATGACCAGTCCATACTAGAATACAAGGTTCCTAATTTCAACACCAGTTTCTTTCACCTCAATCATACTGAGTGATGTGCTTTCATTGGGTCTACTATAAAAATCATTATAGCCATAAATTTTATTTATTTATGTATTTATTTGAGATGGAGTCTCGGTCTATCGCCCAGGCTGGAGTGCAATGGCATGATCTCAGCTCACTACAACCTCTGCCTCCCAGTTCAAGCGATTCTCCTGCCTCAGCCTCCCGAGTAGCTGGGATTACAGGTGCACGCCACCATGCCCGGCTAATTTTTGTATTTTTAGTAGAGATGGGGTTTCACCATGTTGGCCAGCTGGTCTCGAACTCCTGACCTCAAGTGATCTGCTCGCCTTGGCCTTCCAAAGTGCTGGGATTACAGGCATGAGCCACCACGCCCCACCAGCCATAACTTTTACTTCATATATTTTTTTAATAGCTTGAGATATAATTCACATACCATATGATTCACTCATTTAATGTGTAAAGTTGAATGTCTTTTAGCATATTTTCAGAGTTGTGTATTCACCATTATAATCAATTTTTAGAACATTTTCATTATCCTAAAAAGAAACCCCATACCTATTAGCAGGCACTCCCATTTCCCCTCATCTCACCCTCTCATGCCCCTGAGACCTAGCCAATCACTAAATTCACATTTCATACGAATGGAATTGTACAATATGTGGTCCTTTGTGACTGACTTCTTTCACTTAGCTTTTTCAAGATTCAGCTGTATCTCTGGGCATGGTGGCTCACGCCTGTAATCCCAGCACTTTGGGAGGCCAAGGTGGGTGGATCACCTGAGGTCAGGAGTTTGAGATCAGCCTGGCTAACGTAGTGAAACCCTGTTTCTACTAAAAATACAAAAAATTAGCCGGGTGTGGTGGCGCACACCTGTAATCCCAGCTACTCGGGAGGCTGAGGCAGGAGAATCGCTTGAACTTGGGAGGCGGAGGTTTCGGTGAGCTGAGGTTGCACCATTGCACTCCAGCTTAGGCAACAAGAGCGAAATTCCATCTCAAAAAAAAAAAAAAGATTCAGCTATGTCATGGCATGTACTTAAAATTTTTGTTTTCTTTTCTATTCTTTTTTTTTTTTTTTGGAGACGGAGTTTTGCTCTTGTTGCCCAGGCTGGAGTGCAATGGCTCGATCTTGGCTCACCACAACCTCCGCCTCCCAGGTTCAAGCGATTCTCCTGCCTCAGCCTCCTGAGTAGCTAAGAATACAGGTGCGGGCCACCACGCCCGGCTAATTTTGTATTTTTAGTAGATACAGGGTTTCTCCATATTGGTCAGGCTGATCTTGAACATCTGACCTCTGACCTCAGGTGATCCGCCCGCCTCGACCTCCCAAAGTGCTGGGAGTACAGGTGTAAGCCACCGTGCCTGGCCAAAAAAAATTTTTTTTTTTTTTTTTGTCAGGGATGAAGGTCTCACTATGTTGCCCAGGCTGGTCTCCAACTCATGGCACAAGCCATCCTCTTGCAAGTGCTGAGATTACAGGCGCGAGCCACCACGCCTACTCCCCTCCCCTCCAACGACTTTCTTTTTATTGCCAAATAATAGTCCATTGTATACCTATGTCACATTTTATCCATTCATCAGCTGATGGTTATTTAGCTGAATTTTATTTTAACTAAATGTTATCTCTGATAACTGGCAGAAGCTTAAAATCAAGACATAAGTGTGTATCTTTCTATGTTGAACGTATACCTAAAGAAGTATACTTATTAGGAATGACAATTAAAATCTCGTACTTGAAAAATCGATACTTTTTTCTTTTTTCTTTTTTTTTTTGAGATGGAGTCTCACTCTGTCGCCCAGGCTGGAGTGCAATGGTGTGATCTCTGCTCACTGCAACCTCCGCCTCCCAGGTTCAAGCTATTCTCCTGCCTCAGCCTCTTGAGTAGCTGGGATTATAGGTGTGCACCACCATGCCCGACTAATTTTTGTACTTTTTAGTAGAAATGGGGTTTCACCATATTGTTCAGGCTGGTCTTGAACTCCTGACCTTGTGATCCACCCGCCTCGGCCTCCCAAAGTGCTGGGTTACAGGCATGAGTCACCACGCCCGGCTGATACTTTTTTCTTTAAATTTTTTGATGTGTATGATAATATTGTGGAAAGAAAAAGTAAAGCCTTGCCCTATGTTTTTTGGCTCTTCTGATCCCCCAGGAAAAGAGAGGCATGCATATAGGTAGACCAGGTGAGTGACAGCCCTCAGGAAGAGAAAATAAAAGAGGAGAGATTCAGATCAAGACTTTTTCTAGTTTTCAAATATGAAAGGTTAAGAAGAGAAAGGGCATTTGCGGCTCACAGCCAACCAGCTGGTCGGCATTCCTACTACCCAAATATCTAAATGACATAAGGGTGAATGTGGGGTGAGGGTGAGAACGGGAAAAAACACAGGCCGCAAATTCAGTCCCATCTGGCACTTCATAAGACTTAGTATTTTCATCTTTGTCCTTCCAAATTTATAGGTTTACTCTTGCCCAACCTTCATATTGTTTTTATGGGTCTCCAGGTGGGTCATGCGTAGGAAACTTTAGGGGACTACTTCATACTTGGTGGGAAGTACTTAAACTTGTAAACCCCAAGCTAAGGGTAGTTATGATCCCGGTGGGTGGCCAATTCTCCCCTTAAACCTATGTTTATCCTGCCTTTCCTCCCCCTTTTCTTAAACGAGTCGGGACGGAGAGCTGAGTCACCTGAGACACAGAGAAGGGACTTTTGAGAGTGTCTTCCGTCCCATTTGCGGACGTTAGATGAGCACACCGGGATCCTTGACTCAGCCCGCTCTAGGCGTGGGCGTTGTGTCATTCCCCACACGTGACACTCTCCCAGGCGGCAGAAACCTCACTTGTCATGGGACTTATTCACTCCAGTGACTCCACCCCTTACCTCCTCTGTTCCCCAACCTCCCACTTACCCTTTCCGCCCCACTTCAAGACTTGAGGAGAGGAGGGTGGCTGGAGCCTGGAAATGTCCCCGTCCCAAGTTGGCCAGAAGTAGCAGACACACTATGTGGGAAAGTGCCACATGTAACGTTCCAGTTTCACCCTTCTCCAGAATGCTATCACCCTTCCTGTTTATTTTTTAATAACTTGAGATATAATTCACACGCCATATGATTCACTCACTTAACGTGTAAAGTTGAATGTCTTTTAGCATATTTAGAGTTGTGTATTCATCACTATAATACATTTTTTAGAACATTTTTATTATCCCAAAACGAAATCCCATACCTATTAGCAGTCACTCCCATTTCCCCTCATCTCACCCTTGCTCTTCCATAGCACAAAACAGTTCTATTCTATTCGAGACCACCTTTCCACTTGGGCAGACCCTGGTTATGGTTTTTTTTCCCTCCCTTTCTGTTTCCAGTTTTTTTCGGAGCCCGGAATTCTCAATCTGGGTAATTGGTTTGAGTCCCGGCTCAGCCCGTTTCCCGTTGTAGCTGCGTGACCTTGAGAGCAACGCCACTTTCCTGGGCCTAGTTTCTTTGTCTGTGAAACGAGGTCCAAATATCTACCTCTTTACGCCTGTTGTGGGGATGAAGTGAGTAGGTGCTTTGTGAGCTTTAAAAAGCCATAGAAATGCCAGCTAAGTTAACTCGTCACTCTTCCCGAACCCCTCCCTTTCCCCTGGGACCCGCCCCGCGAATCCCGCTGTGGATGGATACTTCTCCCCACCCGCCGACCGCAGTCTTTCCCATTGGCGCCCGCACCGTCTTCGCGGCGCCGGGTGTTGACGCCATGGCTTCCTCCGCCAGCGCCCGAAGACGCTTGGCCCCGCCCCCGGCCGCGCCTGGCCTCCCGCGGCGCCCCGCCCATCGGGCCGACGCGGCGCCGGCCCCGCCCCGCGGATGACGTGTGGCGCGCGCGGCCGGGCCGCCCCGGCAGTTGGTGCAGCGGCGGTTGGGGTGAGAGCGCCTACGCCACCCCTCCCCTCCTCCGGCCCCGGCCCCCACCCCGCCGGGCCCAGCCCCAGCCCCGGCCCGGGCTCCAGCCCTAGTACCCGTCCCAGCCCGAGTCGGGTCCGTCCCGTGCGGGCAGGTGCCGCCCCTCTGCCGGCGACGCCCCGGGCCGCCCGCCCGTCCGCTTGCCACCATGGAGCTGGAGGACGGTGTGGTGTATCAGGAGGAGCCCGGCGGCTCCGGGGCCGTGATGTCGGAGCGGGTGTCCGGCCTGGCCGGCTCCATCTACCGCGAGTTCGAGCGGCTTATCGGGCGCTATGACGAGGAGGTGGTCAAAGAGCTGATGCCGCTGGTGGTGGCTGTGCTGGAGAACCTGGACTCGGTGTTCGCGCAGGACCAGGAGCACCAGGTGGAGCTGGAGCTGCTGCGGGACGACAACGAGCAGCTCATCACCCAGTACGAGCGGGAGAAGGCGCTGCGCAAGCACGCTGAGGAGGTGAGGCCGGCGGCAGGGCGGGGGCCGCGGGATCCGTCTCCGGGGGCGGCCGGGGCGGGGTCGCGGCCCGGTCGGGGACTAGAGGCGCGACGGGCCTCCTGGAGGGCGGGCCTGAGGCCGATGCCCCCTGGGACCGATCCCGGCGGCCTCCAGGTACCCCGGGAGCCAGGCCGGCGTTGGAAGCCGAGGCCGGCTACTGAGTGTCCTGGGAAGGGAGCGAGATGGAGGAGGCAGGGCCCGGGGAGGAAGCGGCAGCCTGGCCTGAGGACACCTGGGGTTGGCCAAGGGCGGAGATTGTTGGGTGTCTGGTTGCTTCTTGTTGAGGGAAGTTTCCGACCACCGTGGGATAGTCAGATGGCGGTTCAAAGTTTTACCCTTGGGGAGGGGGACACTTCTGCCCTGGATATGTAACTTCCGCTAGTTCCAGTACCTTTCCAGGGGGTTGCCTTGCTTTGGGAAGTTAGAGATCTCCCTCTTTCGGTCAGTTTCTTCTTGACGTTTTAATCTTGTTGAGAAAGACGTCTTATTTTATGTTCTATGTGCCTTGGTTGACACTTTGTCAACTTTTAGATGTTGTGTGGCAGTACTCAATAAATATATAAACAATTTCGTTGGTATCCCAAACCAAAGCATTCCTCCGTATCAGGTTGTAACCTTGGACAGTTCCCTTCAAAAACCCTCCGTTTATTTATAAAAAGGATTGGGGGGCGGGGTTGGGAAGATGTAGGTGACAGTTGGCAACACTTTTTCCGTCTGAGTTTCCTTCTTAGACTGCTGTTTATACGTGCATTTGGCCACCTGTTAACTCTAGCACCCGAGCAGTGACCTGGGCGCCCTCACCTCGACTCTGTGAACCTTTTGGAGTTCTAGGGTGCAAGTGATAGGTCCTTGGCTTCTTGAGACTGACAAGGAGTTTAGCTTTCAGCCTGCGTTGGCGTTATTTCTGTGGACCTTATCAAAGGCAGGTGATGTGTCCTATTTTTGTTTCTCAAGCACCTAGCACACCTGCTTAAATACATGGTGATCAAAGGAGGCGAAATAACTAATTATTGAAGGAATGACATAGTATTTTTCAAAAAGACTTGAAGAGTTTTTAGGATGTGAGGTTTGTAGCTCATTTCCTGACACTGAATAGTAACACCATTAAATTTTTGTTTTATTTTGTCACGTATACCTTTGCATCTGGTTAAATAGTTCTTTTTCCTTTTTTAAAAGCTTGACTGTAGTGATGATTTTTAGTTCTGATTGTGGGATCCAATTTTCTCAAAGGAATGCTATTGAATTTGCCAAACAAAATTGCCTTTTTTTTTTTTTTTTTTTGAGACGTAGTCTCACTCTGTCGCCCAGGGTGAAGTGCAGTGGAGTGATCTTGGCTCACTGCAACCTCTGCCTGCCGGGTTCAAGCGATTCTTGTGCCTCAGCTTCCTAAGGAGCTAGGACAACACTCCCCGCTCATTTTTGTTTTTTGTAGAGACAGGATTTCTCCATGGTGCCTAGGATGGTCTTGAACTCCTGGCCTCAAGTGATCTGCCCACTTTGGCCTCGGGCTGACCATCCCAGTGCTGGGATTACAGGCATGAGCCACCGCACCCCGCCAGAATGGACTATTTCAAGAGCTTTTCCTTTCATATAGGGAAGGAAGGGATGAAAAACCAAATAATGATAGGATCACAATTTCCGCTTGTTTGTTAGCACTCTTTATAGAACAGAGGTCAAGTGCTACTTGCTGCTTCATGCTCATATAGCCCCTTGCCAGTGTGTGGATATACATGGAAGTGACTGGGAATTAACCACATGTACACACAGGTGACAAGCAAGCCTGACATGACCTTTTACCTCACGTAAAATAAATGCTCCCTCCAGCCTTAAACTCCTGTCAGTCCGTGTAAATATGGGCAAAATGCCAGGGTCACACGTGCCAAGAAAACCATCTGCCACAGGTTGCAGAATCAGAAAACAAAATTGCCCGACTGCTAGACTCTGGGTTCCCTATTAATTTCTTGAGTAAATGACTCTAAAAAAAATAGGTTATCCAATGAATTTATTTGTAGTTTATATTTTTTCAGTTACATCTGTAAATTCTCCATAGTGAAACCATTGGGCAAAGGGTCATGACCTGAGAACAGAGAACATTTATGAAATGCTAAATGAGCCCACTCCCAGGCCACAAACATAAACACACCTTGTTATCAGTTTTCTTTTCTCTTTTTTTTTTTTTTTGAGACAGAGTCTCTCTCTGTCGCCAGGCTGGAGTGCAGTGGCACGATCTCGGCTCACTGCCTCCCGGGTTCAAGCAATTCTTCTGCCTCAGCCGCCCGAGTAGCTGGGACTATAGGCACGTGCCACCCCGCCCAGCTAATATGTATATATATTTTGTATTTTAGTAGAGACGGGGTTTCACCTTGTTGCCCAGGCTGGTCTTGAACTCCTGAGCTCAGGCAATCCACTCGCCTCAGCCTCCCAAAGTACTGGGATTACAGATGTGAGCCACCACACCCGGCCATCAGTTTTCACATAAGATCATAAATTGTGTGTTGCTCAGTATCCAGAAATTGTCTCCCTTTGGCCAATATGTAGAGTGAATTCTGTGTTTAGTTTTCTGTGAGTGCTTTGTTTGCGCCTTTTTTTTTTTTTTTTTTTTTTTTGAGACGGAGTCTTGCTCTGTCACCCAGGCTGGAGTGCAGTGGCACAATCTTGACTCACTGCAGCCTCCGCCTCCCGGGTTCAAGCGATTCTGCCTCAGCCTCTTGAGTAGCTGGGATTACAAGCACGTGCCACCACGCCTGGCTAATTTTTTTGTATTTTTGGTAGAGACGGGGTTTCACCATTTTAGCCAGGATAGTCTCAATCTCCTGACCTCGTGATCTGCCCGCCTCAGCCTCCCAAAGTGCTGGGATTACAGGCATGAGCCACCGTGCCGGCCTGTTTGTGTCTTTAATGCGGAGACCAAGAGTCTTTTATACCAAAGTAAGTGCCTCAGGGTATTTACAGCAAAAGTGATTTGAAAGCATGGAAATTATCCATCACCAGAGAGAGTAAAGTAAATTCTGAGCACCTCTGTGGAAACTTAGGTGGGTATGTAGATAGAATGTTTTAGGAATGTGTGAGGTGCTATGATCTCTTGCTTGCAGGAATTCTCAGCAAGGCATCAAAAATTTAATCTTTATATTGATAGGACATATTTTGAATACCTTCTGACTTTTTCCTTTGCTTTTATTTGAATTTCTAGTGTGGAGCTAGTCTGCTGTTTTAGGGATTCTTTAAAAACAACCTAAAGAAGGGCTAATTTTAGATAGATTTGGACCGGTTTCAGATGCTAATCAAGAAATCTGTCATCTTATCGCCCATCACTCTCTCCTTTGGGCTGCCTGTGACACACCTCTCCATTCTTTAACCAAGACCCGTCTGATGCCTTTGCCCATGCTCTAGAATGCTCTCCTTAGAATTTTACATAGCTAGCTCCTCACTTTCTACTCTGTTTCAATTTCACTTTTTCAGCCAGAACATCCTGTTGACTCTATCCAGAATAAGCCCTGTGAACCTATTGAATAATTTATTTTAAAATCAGTGACTTTTAAATTTAAATTCTTTTTGGAGACAGAGTCTCAATCGCCTAGGCTGGGGTGTAGTGGCACAGTCACAGTTCACTGCAGCCTCAATCTCTTGGGCTCAAGTGATCCTCTTGCCTCAGCCTCCTGAGTAGCTAGGACCACAGACATGCGTTACCACACTGGGCTAATTAAATTTTTTACAGAGACAAGGTCTCACTGTGTTGCCCAGTCTGGTCTGGAACTCCTGGGCTCAAGTGATCCTCCTGCCTTGTGGATCCTGCCAAAGTGTTGGGACTTACAGGGGTGAGCCACTGTGCCCCAGCCCAGTGATTTTTTAAAATAAAAATCTGGATACAAAATGATCTGGAGAGAGAGGTTATAACTGGGTATGTTAGGGTTTTTCTGCAACTTCTGATTCTTTTAAAACAGGCATGATTTGCTGTAACTTTTAAAAAAGGGCCAGGTGTGGTGGCTCACATCTATAGTCCCAGCACTTTGGGAGGCCGAGGCAGATGGATCACTTGAGGTCAGGAGTGTGGGACCAGCCTCGCCAACATGATGAAACCCTGTCTGTACTAAAAATACAAAAATTATCTGGGTGTGGTGGTGGGTGCCTGTAATCCCAGCTACTGGGGAGGCTGATGCAGAAGAATTGCTTGAACCCGGGAGATGGAGGTTGCAGTGAGCTGGGATCGTGCCTCTGTACTCCAGCCTGGGCAGTAGAGTGAGACTACCTCTCAAAAAAGAAAAAAGAAAAAAAAAAGAAACTTCTGAAAAGTAGACATACGAGTTTAAAGAACCTTTAGGAATTTAGTTCTTAGTGATTCTGTGGGTCTTTTATGTTATCACTGTTATTCTCAAAGTGAGAGCTCATTTAGCATCATTCAGTAGAGGGAGATTACACATAAAAACGAAGAGGCATTGTCTTCCTTCCTTTTCTTTTTCTTTTCTTTTCTTTTCTTTTCTTTTTTTTTGAGATGGAGTTTCTCTTGTTGCCCAGGCTAGAGTGCAATGGTGCCATCTCGGCTCACTGCAACCTTCGCCTCCTGGGTTCAAACAGTTCTCCTGCCTCAGCCTCTCAAGTAGCTGGGATTACAGGCATGCGCCACCACGCCTGGCTAATTTTGTATTTTTAGTGGAGTTGGGGTTTCTGCATGTTGGTCAGGCTGGTCTTGAACTCCTGACCTCAGGTGATCCGCCCGCCTTGGCCTCCTAAAGTGCTGGGATTGCCACTGTGAACCACCGCGCCTGGCTCCTTCCCTCCTTTTTGAGATAGACTCATACATGCAGAGAATGGACTGAAGAGAGAATATCTTTACTGGGAATGGATTATGTGATTTTGTGTCTGCTTTTTTGTGGCCTTTTGCTTTAAAAAAAAAAAAAAAAGGATGAGTTCAAGCCTGGGCAACGTAGTGAGACCCCTCTTCCCCAAAAACCATAAAAAAAATTAGTTGGGTGTGATGGTGTGAGCCTGTAGTCCTAGCTACTCAGGAGGCTAAGGCAGGAGGATCACTTAAGCCCAGGAGTTTGAGACTGCAGTGAGTTATCATGGCCACGGCACTCCAGCCTTGACAACAGGGCAAGACCCTGTTTCTTACCAAAAAACAAAACAATAGGATGACTGAATGCAGAGGTGAGAGACACTACTGAGAATTTTCTAACTTGTTCCCATGGAATCAGCACTTAAAGCAGTAACAAAATGATTTTTGTTTAAATGGAGACTTTTGACACTTCTTGTCTTTGGAAGTGTATGAACATGGGACCCGTAAGACTCATGGGCAGGAAAATAGGTATTGACATTCATTGTTCTTGTTTTAGTGTTCTCATTCATTCATAATTTTTTTTTTTTTTGAGACAGAGTCTCACTCTGTCACCCAGGCTGGAGTGCAGTGGCACTATCCCAGCTCATTGCAACCTCTGCCTCCCAGGTTCAAGCAATTCTCCTGCCTCAGCTGCCTGAGTAGCTGGGATTACAGGTGTGCACCACTACACCCGGCTAATTTTTGTATTTTCAGTAGAGACAGGGTTTCACCATGTTGGCCAGGGTGGTGTAAAACTCCTGACCTCAAGTGATTCATCTGCCTCAACCTCCCAAAGTGCTGGGATTACAGGCGTGAGCCACCACACTTGGCCCACACTTGATATTTTATTTTTTAATTTTATTTATTTTTGAGACTGAGTTTCACGCTCTGTTGCCCAGGCTGGGGTGCAGAGGCACGATCTTGGCTTACTGCAACCTCTGCCTTCTGGATTCAAGCAGTTCTTCTGTCTCAGCCTTCTGAGTAGCTGGGATTATAGGCATGAGCCACCATGCCCAGCTACTTTTTGTATTTTTAGTAGAGATGGGGTTTCACCATGTTAGCCAGGCTGGTCTTGAACTCCTGACCTTGTTATCTGCCTACCTTGGCCTGCCAAAGTGTTGGGATTACAGGCATGAGCCACCATGCCTGGCCCATTTTTTAAAAAATTTATTTTTGAGACAGAGTCTTGTGCTGTCGCCCAGGCTGGAGTGCAGTGGTGCGATCTCAGATCACTGTAACTCCCACCTTCCAGGTTCAAGCAATTCTCCTGCCTCAGCCTCCCTAGTAGTTTGGGATTACAGGCACGCGCCAGCACGCCCGGCTAATTTTTGTAGTTTTAATAGAGAAGGGGTTTCACCATGTTGTCCAGGCTGGTCTCAAACTCTTGACCTCAGGTGATCCCCCTGCCTCGGCCTCCCAAAGTGCTGGGATTACAAGCGTGAGCCACCGCACCTGGCCTAAAAAACACATATTTTAATATTTTTATAGATCTTTTGATTGATTGATTGAGACGAGATCTCACTCTGTTGCCCAGGCCAGAGTGCAGTGGTGTAATCCCGGCTGACTGCAACCTCTGCCTCCTGGGTTCAAGCGATCCTCCCATCTCAACTTCCGGAATAGCTGGGACTACAGGATCATGCCGCCATGCCTGGCTAATTTTTGTATTTTTTGTAGAAATGGGTTTCCCATGTTGCCCAGGCTGATCTTGAATATTTGGGCTCAGACATTCCTCGCACCTCAGCCTCCCAAAGTGCTGTGATTACAGGTGTGAGCCACTGCACCCAACCTATTTTCTTTTGTTGTTGTTGTTTTTTTTTTTTTTGAGATGGGGTCTTGCTTTGCCACCCATGCTGGAGTGCAGTAGCGCGATCTTGGCTCACTGCAACCTCTGCCTCCCGGGTTCAAGCAGTTCTCCTGCCTCATCCTCCTGAGTAGCTGGGACTACAGGTGCTCACAACCACACCTCGCTAACTTTTGTATTTTTAATAGAGATGGGGTTTTACCATGTTGTCCAGGCTGGTATTGAACTCCTAACCTCAGGTGATCCACCTGCCTTGGCCTCCCAAAGTGCTGGGATTACAGGTGTGAGACACTGTGCCCGGCCAACCTATTTGCTTTTTCTTTTCTTTCTTTTTTTTTTTTTTTTTTGATATGGCATTTCACACTTGTTGCCCAGGCTGGAGCGCAATGGTGCGATCTCAGCTCACTGCAACCTCCGCCTCCCAGATACAAAGGATTCTCCTGCCTCAGCCTCCTGAGTAGCTGGGATTACAGGCATGTGCCACCATGGCCAGCTAATTTTGTATTTGTAGTAAAGATGGGGTTTCTCCATGTTGGTCAGGCTGGTCTCGAACTCCCAACCTCAGGTGATCCGCCGGCCTCGGCCTCCCAAAGTGCTGGGATTATGGGTGTGAGCCACCACGCCCGGCAGCGGCCAACATTTTTTCATATTTTTAAAAATACCATTTTTTTTTTCTGAACTGTTTGTTTTTGTGATTTTTTTTTCCTTTGGTTGGGTTTTTTTTTTTTTCTTTTTTTTAGAGATGAGGTTCAGGCTGGAGTGCAGTTGTGCAATCATGGCCCACAGCAGCCTTGACCTCCAGGGCTCAAGTAGATCCCACTTCCTCAGCCTCTGAGCAGCTGTGACTACAGGCATGCGCCACCATGCCTGGCTAATTTTTAATTTTTTTTGTAGAAACAGGGTCTCGTTATGTTATGCAAGCTGAACTCACTATGTTGCCCAGTCTGGTCTGGAACTCCTGGGCTCAAGTGGATCCTCCTGCCTTGTGGATCCTGCCAAAGTTTTTTTTTTTTTTTTTTTTTTTTTTTTGTTGAGACAGAGTCTGGCTCTGTCGCCAGTCTGGAGTGCAGTGGAGTGTCTTGGCTTGCTGCAACCTCCACCACCTGGGTTCAAGCGATTCTCTTGCTTCAGCCTCCTGAGTAGCTGGGACTACAGGCGCGCGCCATCACACCCAGCTAATTTTTGTATTTTTAGTGGAGATGGGGTTTCACCATGTTGGCCAGGATGGTCTTGATCTCGACCTCAAGTCATCTGCCTGCCCCAGCCTCCCAAAGTGCTAGGATTACAGGTGTGAGCCACTGCGCCTGGCCTTTTTTTTTTTTTTTTTTTTGTAGAGATGGGGTCACACTGTGTTGCCCAGGCTTGTCTTGAACTCCTGGCCTCAAGACATTTTCTTACCTCAGCCTCCCAAAGTGTTGGGATTGTAGGTGTGAGCCACCACACCTGGCCATGGTTAACGATTCGAATAATGTTCACACTGCCCCTAGCCAGAGTAGATAGAGATATGCCCCTGCACCTAGTCATTCAGACACTTTCTGAAATGAACAATCTATGTTTGTTTTCTGGCGGGAGTGGGATGGGAAGGGGTATGGTTGTTGCTTTATGAAATAATAATTTGTTAGTTAATTATTACTTAAGCTCCTAAGACATTTTTTTTTAAAGACAAAGACTAGCTCTGGATTAAGACATCTTTTTTTAAATTTGAGATTTCTGAATGTGAATATCTAAATGAGATACCATTATGTGTCCCTGCTGTAGTGACACTCATATTTTTATTTAGTTAAAAATCACAAAAGAACGCTACGCATGGTGGCTCATGCCTGTAATTTCAGCACTTTGGGAGGCCGAGGTGGTGGATTGCCTGAGGTCAGGAGTTCAAGACCAGCCCTGACCAACATGGTGAAACCCCGTCTCTACTAAAAATACAAAAATTAACTGGGCATGGTGGCGGACGCCTGTAATCCAAGCTACTCCGGAGGCAGAGGAAGGAAAATCACTTGTACCTGGGAGGCGGAGGTTGTAGTGAGCCAATATCTTGCCATTGAACTCCAGCCTGAGCTACAGAGTGAGACTGTGTCTTCAAAAGAAAAAACAAAACAAAAAAAAATCACAAAAGAGGACACCAAACTGGGTATAGTACCAAACTGGTTCAGAGGGTAGATTAGTAGATTGACTATTCACTGGATTGCTGAAGTGTGTGCCATAGGTCACACATCCAGTTCTGTGCTTGAGAGAGTACAGGATTCCTGCTTCTTGAAATCTTTACCTTACCTTTAACTACATGCTGCTTACTTATGTTGTACTGAACTTTGCTTCTCAGGAGAACTGATGTTAGAACCTACCCAAGTTATTTTGCTCTGCTCTGCACTCAATGAATACAGCTGTTATCTAAATAAGTTATTAGGTTGTGGTCAGAAATATCTGCATAGACCAGTTTAATAATGTATGTAATGTTATATATATTTAAAAAGCTGTTATTTGGAAATGGGTATATATAAGTTCTGTTTTTTACTTTGAAATCTTGACCAGTGATATTTGATTATTGCTTTGAACATAGCACTGTGTTTTCTTTTCTTTTTTTTTTTGAGACGGAGTCTTGCTCTGTCACCCTGGCTGGAGTGCAGTGGCGGGATCTCGGCTCACTGCAACCTCCGCCTCCTGGATTCAAGCGATTCTCCTGCCTCAGCCTCCCGTGTAGCTGGGACTACAGGCGCCCGCCACCACACCCGGCTAATTTTTTGTATTTTTAGTAGAGATGGGGTTTCACTGCGTTAGCCAGGATGGTCTCAATCTGACCTCGTGATCTGCCCGCCTCGGCCTCCCAAAGTGGTGGGATTACAGGCATGAGCCACCCACCCGGCCATACTGTGTTTTATTTTCTTAAGAATTACAGCATTCAGTAGTTTGGCATAATAGGCACACCCAAAAATGTGTGAGGTGAACCATGGGAATTTATATATTAATGTAATAGAGAAGTACCAAGTTGAGGGTATAGAATTTTATTTTATGTTATTTTTTTCGAGACAAGGTCTGGCCCAGGTTGGAGTGCAGTGGTGCGATCTTGGCTCACTGCAACTGTTGCCTCTTGGGCTCAAGCCATCCTTCCGTCTCAGCCTCCCAAGTAGATGGGACTACAGGTGTACACCACCACGCCCAGCTAATTTTTGATATTTTGTAAAGACGGGTTTCACCATGTTGCCCAGGCTGGTCTCGAATTTGTGAGCTCAAGTGATCTGCCTGCCTCGGCCTCCCAAAGTGCTGGGATTACAAGCGTGAGCCACCACGTCCAGCTAGGGTTTTTTTTTTTTTTTTGTAAGGTTAGTAAACTTTTTCAGTAAATCCACCACCACCCCTCCCAGCTTTTTATTAGGTAAACTTTCAAACATATAGAAAAATGGAAAGTACATTTGTCATTTGTATACCCACTATATAGATTCAGTAGTTGTTGTTTTATTTATCTGTCTGTATATGTGGATGTGTGGGTGTGGATACACATATACACACATACACATATTTAATTGCTGAACCATTTTAAATTGCAGACATACTTTGCCCCTCAGTACTTAACATATTTAAATTACAGACATTATGATACTTTGCCTCTCAGTACTTAACATATTTATCTCCTAAAAAATGAGAATATTCTGCCATATAACCACCATATTATTTACGTTTGAGAACATTTCCAAGGCCGAGTGTAGTAGCTAATGCCTGTAATCCCAGCACTTTGGGAGGCTGAGGTGGGCGGAACACTTGAGCTCATGAGTTGAAGATCAGCCTGGGTAACATAGCAAAACCTTGTCTCTACAAAAAATATAAAAATTAGCGTGGTGTGGTGGTGTGTGCCTATAGTCCCAGCTACTTGGGGGGCCGAGGCAGGAGGATCGCACCAGCCTAGGAAGTCAAGGCTGAGGTAAGATGTGTTCATGCCACTGTGCTCCAGCCTGGGCAACACAGTGAGACTCTGTCAAAAAGAAAAGAAAAGAAAAAAAAGAACCTTTGTAATATCATCTAATATTAATTTGAATTAATTTTTAAGAGCACAGTATGTGTCAGTTATTATATAGCTAACTAGCTTCTTAATATGTTTATAATGAATTAATGAAACTCATCTGGGAGGAAGTGTTTGCATTTTAGTTACTTTTCTATAAGAAATTTAAATTTGAGGCCGGACGCAGTGGCTCACGCCTGTAATCCCAGCACTTTGGAAGGCCGAGGTGGGCAGATCACGAGGTCAAGAGTTCGAGACCAGCCTGACCAACATGGTGAAACCCCGTCTCTACTAAAAATACAAAAATTAGCTGGGCATGGTGGTGTGTGCCTGTAATCCCAGCTACTCCGGAGGCTGAAGCAAGAGAATCACTTGAACCTGGGAGGTGGAGGTTGTGGTGAGCTGAGATCGTGCCACGGCACTCCAGCCTAGGCGACAGAGCAAGACTCCATCTCAAAAAAGAAAAAAGAAAAAGAAAAAGAAATTTAAATGTGAAATATATAAAACGGAATTAAAATTGGCTAATTTTGTTTTAAAATTAGCACATTGGCCAGGCGTGGTGGCTCATGCCTGTAATCTTAGCACTTGGGGAGTCTGAGGCGGGCGGATCACCTGAGGTCAGGAGTTCGAGACCAGCCTGACCAACATGGAGAAACCCTGTCTCTACTAAAAATATAAAAGTAGCTGGGCTTGGTGGTGCACGTCTGTAATCCCAGCTACTCAGGAGGCTGAGGCAGGAGAATCGCTTGAACCCAGGAGGCTGAGGCAGGAGAATCATGTGAACCCGGGAGGTGGAGGTTGCAGTGAGCTGAGATCATGCCATTGCACTCCAGCCTGGGCAACAAGAGCGAAACTTTTGTCTCAAAAAAAAATAAAAATAAATAAATAAAATTATCACATAAAAACTATTATGGACCAGGCACAGTGGCTCATGCTTATAATCTTAGCAGTTTGGGAGGCCAAGGAAGGAGGATAGCTTGAGCCCCAGAGTTCCAGAACAGCCTGGGCAACATAGTGAGACCGTATCTTTACAAAAAATAGAAAAATTAGCCGAGTGTGGTGGTATGCACCTGTGGCTCCAGCTACTTGAGACGCTGAGGTGGGAGGATCCCTTGAGCCCAGGAGGTTGAGGTTGCAATGACCCCTGATTGTGCCACTGCACTCTGGCACACAGCACCACTTGCTCTGGGTGACAGAGCAAGACCCTGTCTCAAAAAGAAAACAAATTATTTTTCCCCTTTTTGAAACTTTGAGATATAGAAATACAGAAAATGACCCTATATTTAATATTTTTGCTAGTAACTATTTTTTTTTTTTTTTTTTGAGACAGTCTTTCGCTTTGTCACCTAGGCTGGAGTGTAGTGGTGCAATTTCATCTCACCACAACCTCTGCCTCCTGGGTTCAAGTGATTCTTGTGCCTCAGCCTTCTGAGTAGCTGGGACTACAGGTGCCTGCCACCACACCCAGCTAATTTTTGTATTTTTAGTAGAGACGGGGTTTTGCCATGTTGACCATGCTGGTCTTGAACTTGCAACCTCAGGTGACCTGCCTGCCTCAGCCTCCCAAAATGCTGGGATAACCAGCACCAGCCACCGCCCCATGGCCATCTTTTTTTTTTTTTTTTCTTAAATCATGTATTTCCAGGATATCTTGTTTCTGACTTGTTTACCTACTCTGCCAGGGTTATAGAGCCTGAGAAATTCTTTTACCTGCTGATAAGATTTCCTCTGGGGTATAGGCCTGGAATTTTTATGATTCTGGATTCTATTACTGCCCCCCTCCCTTTTTTTTTTTGAGACAGTGTCTCATGCTATTGCCCAGGCTGGAGAGCAGTGTTGCAATCAGAGCTCACTGTAGCCTCAACCTCCTGGGCTCAAGCTATCCCCCTACCTTAGCCTCCCAAGTAACTGAGATTATAGTTGTGAGCCACATGCAACATCTATTATTGCCTTTTTTTTTTTTTTAACCTTTTTTTTGATGGAGTCTTGCTGTCGCCCAGGCTGGAGTGCAATGGCATGATCTCGGCTCACTGCAACCTCCACCTCCCGGGTTCAAGCAATTCTCCTGCCTCAGCCTCCCGAGTAGCTGAGAGTATAGGCGCGTGCCACCATGCCCAGCTAATTTTTGTAGTTTTAGTAGAGATGGGGTTTTACCATATTGGCCAGGCTGGTCTCAAACTCCTAACCTTGTGATCTGCCCACCTTGGCCTCCCAAAGTGCTGGGATTACAGGCGTGAGCCACCGTGTCTGACTATTATTGCCCTTTAAAGTGTGTTTTCTCTTGTTCTTCCTGCAGTTTTAATTAAATTAATTAATTTTTTTTGGTAGGGATGGGGGTCAGACTATGTTGCCCAGGCTGGTCTCAAACTCCTGGCCTCAAATGATCTGCCGCCTTGGCCTCCCAAGGTGCTGGGATTGCAGGTGTGAGCCACTGCATCCGGCCTTCCTGCAGTTTCTTTTAAAGAGCTGGACAGGAACTTTATGATTCTCTAGTTCTACCTTATCCCATTCCCCCAAGTAGGTGGAAAGATAAACAGAAACATAGATGCTTAGAAAGAACAAATATTTATTGAGCCAGGCTCTGTTCTTTTTCTTTTTTTTTTTTTTTTGAGATGGAGCACTCGCTCTTGCCCAGGCTAGAGTGCAGTGGCGGGATCTTGGCTCGCTGCAACCTCCGCCTCCCGGGTTCAAGCGATTCTTCTGCCTCAGCCTTCCAAGTAGCTGGGACTACAGGCGTGCACCGCCATGCTTGGCTAATTTTTGTATTTTTAGTAGAGACGGGGTTTCACCATATTAGCCAGGCTGGTCTTGAACTCCTGACCTTGTGATCTGCACACTTCAGCCTCCCAAAGTGCTAGGATTACAGGCGTGAGCCACTGCACCCGGACTTTTTTATTTTTATTTTTAAAAATTAAGACAGAGTCTTGCTCTATTGCCCAGACTGGAGTGCAGTGGCTTGATCTTGGATCACTGCAACCTCCGCCTCCCAGGTTCAAGTGATTTTCCCACCCTAGCTTCCTGAGCAGCTGGGATTACAGGCACCTGCCACCACACCTGGCTAATTTTTGTATTTTTGGTAGAGACAGGGTTTCACCATGTTGGCCAGGCTGGTCTTGAATTCCTGACCTTGAGTGACCCACCTCCCTTGGCCTCCCAAAGTGCTGGGATTACAGGCATGAGCCACCGCGCCTGGCAGAACAAGGCACTGTTCTAAGCCCTGGGGATGTAGCCACTAATGAAACAGACAAGGAAGGTAGCCTATCTTGTCTTGGAGTTTACATTGCAATAAACAATAAGCAAACCAGTTAATTACAGATTGTGATAGATGTGATGGGATAAAGACTAGAGTGGCAGGTACTTTATTTTACTTAAAAATTTTTTTAAATTTTATTTTATCTATTTATTTTGAGACACGGTCTTGCTCTGTCACCCAGGCTGGTGTGCAGTGGAGTGATCATAGCTCACTGCAGCCTCGAATTCCTGGGTTCAAGTGATTCTTTTGCCTCAACCTCCTGAGTAGCTAGGACTACAGGTGTATGCCATCATGCCCAGCTAGTGTGTGTGTGTGTGTGTGTGTGTGTGTGTGTGTGTGTGTGTGTGTGTGTGTAGAGATGGGGGTCTTGCTGTGTTGCCCAGGATGGGCACTTGAACTCCTGGCCTCAAGTGATCCTCCTGCCTCTGCTTCCCAAAGTGCTGGTATTACAGACATGAACCACTGCGCCTGGCCATAATTTTATTTTTTTTAACCAAGCAAGCAGCAGTGAAGAGGTAGGCACTTTAGATGGAACAAACAAGTTAATAAAGGTTAAGCTTTAAGTGTTTTTTCTTTTTCTCTTTTTTTTTGAGACAGCCTGCTCTGTCGCCCAGGCTGGAGTGCAGTGGCGCAATCTCGGCTCACTGCAAGCTCCATCTCCCGGGTTCACGCCATTCTCCTGCCTCAGCCTCCTGAGTAGCTGGGACTACAGGCGCCCGCCACCATGCCCAGCTAATTTTTTTGTATTTTTAGTAGAGACGAGGTTTCACTGTGTTAGCCAGGATGGCCTCGATCTCCTGACCTCGTGATCTGCCCACCTCGCCTCCCAAAGTGCTGGGATTACAGGCTTGAGCCACTGCGCCCGGCCAAGCTTTAAGTGTTTTTTCAAGCTACTGGGGAAGAAAAGGGAAGAAGAAAAGGTTAAGCTGCTCTTTCAGCAAATAATTCATTTCATCTCATAAGATAATTATTTAGATCTGAAACTTTAGATACATATTCAGAGTGTCTCCTACTCATTATTCTTGAACATTCAGAAAAGTTAGCTCTCATAAATGCCTGTCTTGTTTTCTATCTTATTCCTTCTCATACTTGATGTCTCAGCAGTGTTTTTTGGCTACTTCTTCCTTTGAGAAACATTACATTTAGTTTGTTTGACTTTGAAATTCCTTGGCTTTCCTCTTACCTACGTGACCATTCTGTGGATTCTTCTTACTCAGATGAATGTTGTGCTCCTGGGCTTTCTTTCTAAGAATTTCTATTCCCAGGGGTTCAATTTACCATTTGTTGATTATTACAAAATGTTTAACCTACTCATCTAACAGATTTTATTTATTTATTTATTTATTTATCTATTTATTTTTGAGACAGAGTCTCGCTCAGTCGCCTAGGCTGGAGTGCAGTGGCGTGATCTCGGCTCACTGCAAGCTCTGCCTCCCCAGTTCACACCATTCTCCTGCCTCAGCCTCCCGAGTAGCTGGGACTACAGGCGCCTGCCACCACACCCAGCTAATTTTTTTTTTTTTTGAGACGGAGTCTCGCTCTGTCGCCCAGGCTGGAGTGCAGTGGCGCGATCTCGGCTCACTGCAAGCTCCGCCTCCCAGGTTCACGCCATTCTCCTGCCTCAGCCTCCCGAGTAGCTGGGACTACAGGCGCCCGCTACCACGCCCGGCTAATTTTTTGTATTTTTAGTAGAGACGGGGTTTCACCGTGTTAGCCAGGATGGTCTCGATCTCCTGACCTCGTGATCCGCCCGCCTCGGCCTTCCAAAGTGCTGGGATTACAGGCGTGAGCCACCGCACCCGGCCTATTTATTTATTTTTGAGATGGCGTTTTGCTCTTGTTACCCAGGCTGGAGTGCAATGGTGTGAACTCGCCTCGCCATCACCTCCACCTCCCGGGTTCAAGCGATTCTCCTGTCTCAGCCTCTGGAGTAGCTGGGATTACAGGCAAGCGCCACCACACCTGGCTAATTTTGTAGTTTTAGTAGAGATGGTGTTTCTTCATGTTGGTCAGACTGGTCTTGATCTCGCGACCTTGGGTGATCCGTCCACCTTGGACTCCCAAAGTGCTAGAATTACAGGTGTAAGCCACCACGCCTGGCCTTACAGATACTTTCATTGAGTGCCAACTATGTGCATGATACTGTGCTCATTGGGCATACAGTGGTGAGTAAAACAGACAAGGTCCTTCTCTCATGGAACTGATAGCCTACTTTAAGGCCAGATCTCTCTCTGGAGTTTCAGATTCATCTTATGATTGTTTATTGGGTGTGAATATCTCCCAGCGTGTCCAAAACTGAACTTATTTCCCAAACCTGGTTCTCTTTTCTTCCCTATCTTCATGAAGGATACCACCATCTACCTGGCCAGAAATCAGGTTACCATCCCTAACTCTTCCTCATTCCCATTGCTGCTTTCTTTTGTTTTCAACTTTTAAATATTGCTGGAATCTCATTACTTTCTAAATCCATTTATACTACTGTGGTACAGGACACCAATATCGCTCACCCTGAATGCAAACTCCATAGACCTGGAAGTTTGTCATTCACCACTATATCCCAGTAGCTAGCACGTTGAAAGTGCCAGGGAAATTTTTCTGAATAGATGAATGGACAACTGAAACTAGTCCATAACTGATTTTTCTGCTTCCAGTATGGCCAACCTATAAACCGCCCATCTCTCCAAAATGGAAATCTGATCAGATCATTCCACAAGCCCTTAGTGGCTTTTTCTCAAATTCCTGGGCTCAAGTGGTCCTCTCACTTCAGCTTCTCAAAATGCTGAGAATACAGATGTGAGGCACCGTGCCTGGCCAGTTGCTCTTTCTAAAGCTCTTGAAAATGACTTAAGTTCCTAACATACAAGACCTTGTGATCTGGCTGCCCCAATCTTGTCAGTCTCATCTGTTTCTTTTTGAGCCACAGTGAACATTTTGAATTTGGTTTGTAAAAAGTATCCTCTCTCCAGGCCTTCCTAAAAGCTGTCCCTTTGCTTGGCACTCACTTTCTCTTCTTTTCTGTTGCCTTATTTTATTTATCTTTCAGGTTTCAATTCTGGAAAGCCTTAACACCCGACTGTGGTTTGGGCACATTTTATATCCTTCCACAGCTTACAGTCCTCTTGCCCTCTTGTAGCACTTTCAGCGCTGTGTCAAACTAACCTATTGCTTTTATTCTCCCACCAACTAGGATGCAGTAGATAATTAACAGAAATTTGTTGGTTGGATGGATGGATATGCTAAAGGTCAAATTGCTAAGACTAACCATTTAAAGTTCTCTTTGTGCATTCAAATTATCGTTCCTACTTCTGGTGCCAAGTTATGCTAAAACTTCCAAAAAGTTTTTCAATAAGTCCTTTCACTTTTGCATATACAGAAAAACCATGACTTCTCCTGGGTATAATTATTTCAGACTTATTTCAGACACTTTACCTACATTGCCTTATACTTACTATTCTGTAAATATTTATGCATTTAAAAAATCTAAATGTTAAGATCATTGGAATTACTTTCAGAAGTATTGTAGGAATTCAAGCCGGGTATAGCAACACACGCCTGAAGTCCCAGCTACTCAAGAGATTGAGCCCAGGATTCAAGGCCAGCTGGGCAACATAGCGAGACCCCATCTCTAAAAATAACAGTGATAATATTAATAATGCCAGGTGCAGTGGCTCATGCCTGTAATCTCAGCACTTTGGGAGGCCGAGTTGGGCAGATTATTTGAGGTCAGGGGTTCGAGACCAGCCTGGCCAACATGGTAAAACCCCATCTCTACTAAAAATACAAAAAATTAGCCAGGTGTGGTGGTGCACACCTGTAATCTCAGCTACTGGGGAGGCTGAGGCAGGAGAATCGCTTGAACCCAGGAGGTGGAGGTTGCAGTGAATGAAGATCATGCCACTGCACTGCAGCCTTGGGTGACAGAGCGAGACTCCACCTCAAAAAAAAAAAATTTCCATACAAATGAAGATTAAGTGCCAAAACTTAATTTTAACTCTTCGTTTCTTCTCTTATGTTAGACATTTCTATTTTTTTCTTTTCTTTTTTTTTTTTTTGCAGACAGAGTCTCACACTGTCACCCAGGCTGGAGTGAAGAGTCATGATCTTGGCTCACTGTAACCTCTGGCCTTTAGGTTCAAGCGATTCTCGTGCCTCAGCCTTCCAAGTAGCTGGGACTACAGGCGTGTGCCACCATGCCTGGCTAATTTTTTGTATTTTAGTATTTTATGTTTTTTGTATTTTAGAGACGGGGTTTCACCATGTTGCTCAGCCTGGTATCAAATTCCTGAGCTCAGGCAGTTCGCCCACCTTGGCCTCCCAAAATGCTAGGATTACAAATGTGAGCCACTGTGCATGGCCCATGTTAGACCTTTCTAATCAGGATTCAGCAGTACCTTAGAGTAACAGATAAAATGGTGAGTAAAACAACATTTATTTCTGAAGAAAACATTTGTTCTAAAGAAAAATAAACAATTATTTTTGGGGGCGTGGAAATCCATGTTGGTTAAAAGCCTGTGCTAGACTATTATGGTATAGGCCAGGCGCGGTGGCTTATGCCTATAATCCCAGCACTTTGGGAGGCCAAGGAGGGCAGATCACCTGAGGTCAGGAGTTTGAGAACAGTCTGGCCAACATGGTGAAACCCCGTCTCTACTAAAAATACAAAAAATTAGCCAGGCATGGTGGCGGGTGCCTATAATCCCAGCTACTCCGGAGGCTGAGACAGGAGAATTGCTTGAACCTGGGAGGTGGAGATTGCAGTGAGCTGAGGTTGCACCATTGCACTCCAGCCTGGGCAACAATAGTGAAACTCCATCCCTCCCCTGTCCCCCTCAAAAAAAAAAGGACTATTATGGTATAAATCAAATTTCTAGTTTTAATTATGTACTCCTCAATTTTGAATTTTCTTTCAGTTACCTGTTCTAGCCTAGCCACATTTTGTTACTGCTACCTGTCAGAAACAAATACCTTTTTTGTTTGTTTGTTTTCTATTTTTATTTTTTGCCAGGCATCAGATGATGGCAAAACAAATACCTTTTTAAAGGTTAAGCAGTTTTTTCAAAGTGTAGCATCAAACCAGAAAGGTAATTTTTTTTTTTTTTTTTTTTTTTTTTGAGACAGAATCTCACAGTGTCACTCAGGCTGGAGTGCAGTAGTGCGATCTCGGCTCACTGTAACCTCTGCCTCCTGGGTTTGAGCAATTCTCCTGCCTCAGCCTCCCAAGTAGCTGGGACTACAGGTGTGCGCCACCAAGCCCAGCTAATTTTTGTATTTTTAGTAGAGACGGTGTTTCACCAAGTTGGCCAGGATGGTCTTGATCTCTTGACCTCGTGATCCACCTGCCTTGGCCTCCCTGAATGCTAGGATTACAGGCATGAGCCACCATGCCCAGCCCCATAAGGGTCACTTTTAAAAAGACGATTGCCTATGGTTTCTCTGTGAAAATAGTCCATTTGAACTTGTTTGATGTAATTTGGACACATTTGGCAGAAATTACACACTCATTTTTGGCTTTGTTTAGTTTTAACTTTTTTTTTTTTAGACGGAGTTTTGCTCTTATTGCCCAGGCTGGAGTACAATGGCGCAATCTTGGCTCACCGCAACCTCTGCCCCGCCAGGTTCAAGCGATTCTCTTGCCTCAGCCTCCCAAGTAGCTGGGATTACAGGCATGCACCACCATGCCTGGCTAATTTTGTATTTTTAGTAGAGAGGGGGTTTCTCCATGTTAGTCAGGCTGGTCTGGAACTCCCAACCTCAGTTGATCCTCCCGCCTTGGCGTCCCAAAGTACCAGATTACAGATGTGAGCCACTGCACCTGGCCATTTTTTTTTGAAGGCAGGGTCTCTCTGTCCTAGACTGGAGTGCAGTGGCACGATTATGGCTCACTGCAGCCTTGACTTCAGTCTCATGTGATCCTTCCACCTCAGCCTCCCAAGTAGCAGGTACTGTAGGTACTGTCACAAGTATTATAGGCATCAAGCCAGACACCACCATGTCCAGTTAATTTTTGTAATTTTTGTAGAGACAGGATCTCACCATGTTGCCCAGGCTGGTCTGAAACTTCTGGGCTCAAGCAGTCTGCCCACCTTGGCCTCCCAAAGTGCTGGGATTATAGGTGTGAGCCACTGTGCCTGACCCTAGTTTTAACTCTTTAAAAAATACTTTTATCTTGGGATAGGAATTCAGTCCATAATTGGCTCAGTTTTAACCATCCTTAACCTAGCCAAGGGCCAGGAATTAAACAGAATTCTCAGCAGCCAAATTAAATGTCTCAAGCATTAAAGTTTGTTATCTTGGCTTACTGAAGAAACATTTAAGTGCAAAGTGCTTATTTACCCTTATTTTATTTTTATTTTTTTGGAGACAGAGTCTCACTCTGTTGCTCAGGCTGGAGTGCAGTGGCACAATCTCGGTCCATTGCAACTCCCGCCTCCCAGGTTCAAGTGATTGTCTTGCCTCAGGCTCCTGAGTAGCTGGAGTTACAGGTGCCTTCCACAATGCCTGGCTAATTTTTTTATTTTTGGTAGAGACAAGGTTTTGTCTTTTTGGCCAGGCTGGTCTCGAAGTCCTGACTTCAGGTGATCCACCTGTCTCGGCCTCCCAAAGTGCTGGGATTACAGGCGTGAGCCACTGCGCCTGGCTGGGTCTTTTTTAAGATAACAATTTCTAGTTTTTTTTTTTTTTTTTTTTTTTTTTTTTTAGTAATAGAAGAATATTTTCATAACAGAGTCAAGTGTTGAAGCAAAAACCACAGTGTCAGGATTGAAGATCTGTAAATTAAAGTCAGAAATGTAAGATGTTGGCCATATACCTACAGAAGCACATAACTGTGTAACAAAGTTAGTAAGGCATCACTTGGCTGATGTAGCAAACATCATAACACAGGTAGAGCATTCCTAGTCTGAAAATGTGAAATCTGAAATGCTTCAAAATCTGAAACTTTTTGCATGCTGAGATGACGTCACAAGTTACTTTGAACATACTACTATTTCACTGTATTTTTTTTCCTTTTTTTTTTTTTTTTTTGAGACAGAGTTTTGCTCTTATTGCCCAGGCTGGAGTGCAATGGCGCTATCTCGGCTCACTGCAACCTCCGCCTCCTGGGTTCAAGCGATTCTCCTGCCTCAGCCTCCCAAGTAGCTGGGATTATAGGAATGCGCCACCACGCCTGGCTGATTTTGTATTTTTATTGGAGACGGGGTTTCTCCACGTTGGTCAGGCTGGTCTCAAACTGCTGACCTCAGGTGATCTGCCCACCTCGGTCTCTCAAAGTGTTGGGATTACAGGCGTGAGCCACCACGCCTGGCCAATTTTCACTGTAGTAATGGTACATCATATTCTTTTTTTTTTTTTTTTTTTTGAGACGGAGTCTCGCTCTGTCACCCAGCCTGGAGTGCAGTGGCACTATCTCAGCTCACTGCAGCCTCTGCCTCCTGGGTTCAAGCAGTTCTTCTGCCTCAGCCTCCCCAGTAGATGGGACCACAGGCAAGCGCCGCCACACTCGGCTAATTTTTGTATTTTTAGTAGAGACCGGGTTTCAGCATATTGGCCAGGATGGTCTTGATCTCCTGACCTTGTGATCCGCCCGCCTTGGCCTCCCAAATTGCTGGGATTACTGGCGTGAGCCACTGTGCCCGGCCCAAAGTAACCAATTCTTTAAACCCATCCGGCTGGGCACAGTGGCTCATGCCTATAGTCCCAGCACTTTGGGAGGCCGAGGGGGGCGGATCACCTGAGGTCAGAAGTTCAGACCAGCCTGACAACACAGAGAAACCCCGTCTCTACTAAAAATACAGAAAATTAGTCTGGCGTGGTGGCAGATGCCTGTAATCTCAGCTACTGGGGAGGCTGAGTTAGGAGAATCGGTTGAACCCTGGAGGCAGACGTTGCAGTGAGCCGAGATCACACCACTGCACTCCAACCTGGGCAACAAGAGCGAAACTCCGTCTCAAATAAATAAATAAATAAGTAAAAACCCATTTACCCCCACAGGCTTGTGAGACTGGTTGGAAGAAGTGCTGCTAGGCAGGGCCTGTGTGTTTGGAAAAAAAAATCACTCAGGGTGTTTGTGATTATAACTGTCTCACCCTTCCCTCTAATTCAGAAACCATTGCTTAAGAGTGGAAAAAAAAAACCACGAACTGTCTGTCTTCTGCTCTCACACCAAAAACAATCAGCCCGCTGTATTTGTAGTTCATGAGCATGGTGATTGGGTGTTCATGCAGGTGTGTGAGATATGCCACCCTTGAACCTTGTTACAACACTGGCACATTCTCAGACCTGAAAAAAAAAACACACATAACACAGAAGACTTCTGTGACCAAATATGTGGGGTAGGGCAGGTGCAGTGGCTCATGCCTATAATCCCAGTGCTTTGGGAGGCTGAGGCAGGTGGATTGCTTGAGCCCAGGAGTTTGAAACCAGCCTGAGCAACATGATGAAACCCTGTCTCTACAGAAAAATACAAAAATTAGCTGAGCATGGTGGCATGTGCCTGTAGTCCCAACTACTTGGAAGGCTGAGGCAGGAGGATTGCTTGAGCCCTGAAGGTCGAGGTTGCAGTGAGCCCTGAAGGTCAAGGTTGCAGTGAGCTGGGATCGTGTCACCTGCACTCCAACCCAGGCAACAGAGTGAGACCCTATCTTAAAAAGCAAACAAATAAAAAAATATGGGAGTGTTTTTCCCTACCAGCAAGCAATCAGTTCTGCATCAGGCACCAGCTAGGTGTCATCTAACTTAATACTGACACTGTCTACTTGAGATAGTGTCACATCCCACAGTTTGAGGTCTCAGTCCCCAAGACTACCGACAACACTTATGCCAATCTCAAGCCTCAGGTTATTTTACCTGTGCTTCTGACCAACCTGCCATGTATATATATGTACATATATATGTATATGTGTGTGTGTGTATATAATGTAGATACCATAATTTTTTTTCTTTATGAGATGAAGGTCTTGCTGTGTTGCCCAGGCTGATCTTGAATTCCTGGGTGCAAGCTGTCTTCCTGCCTCAGCCTCCGAATCACTGGGATTACAGTCATGTGCCACCTTGCCCAGCTACTGTCTTTTATTTTTGATGAATCCTCTGTGTCCAGTACAGTCTCAACTGGCTATAAACTGGGGTTCCCACAACCCCCTCCTCAGGTTCAGTTGACTTGCTGAATGGTTTGCAGAACCTGGGGAAACAGTTATGTTTACTGTTACAAAGGATGTAGATGAAAAGATGCGTAAAGCAGGGTATGGGGGTAGTGGTGCAGAGCTTCCATGCCCTCCCTGTACATGTCACCCTGCAGGAACCTCCATGTGTTCAGCTATCTGGAAGATCTCTCAACCTTGTTCTTTTGAGTTTTTATGGAGGCGTCACTACGTAGGTATGAAACCATTGGTCATTGGTGATCAACTTCACCTTCAGCCCCTTTCCCCTCCTGGGAGGTTGTGTGGGGTGGGCTGAAAGTCCTAACCCTCTAATTATGCTTTTGGTCTTTCCAATGACCAGCTCCCATCCTTAAGCTATGTAGGGGCTGCCAGCCATGAATCTACCCATTAACATACAAAAAGACATCTCTCTGGAGATTCTAAGGATTTTAGGAATTATATTTTAGGAATTATATGTTAGGAAACTGGGTCAGAGACCAAATACGTATTTCACGATATCACACTGTTACATTCTTATATAATCTTGCATTTTATTTTTTTTTACCTGTTGATCTGTCCATGTTGATATACATATGCATCTAATTCTTTCCTTTTAACTGCTGTGTATTCCATCGATGACATGAATATACCACTATCCATTCTTCATTACCACATTATATATTACAAATGTTGTTGTAGTAACATTCGGTGCATATGTAAGATCTTCTCAAAGTATATATTTTAGAAATAGGATGCCAGGTTTTAGGATATGTATTTGTAAAATTAACTAGATAAGGTAACATTGCTTGTCAAAGGAGTGCAGTGATTTATATTCCTATCAGTAGTATAAAAGACTTCTTATTTTCTTGTATCTTTGCCAACACTTCCTGCACTATCAGACTTTTTGGTTTCTGTTGCCTGTCTGATGTGGTTGAAACCACTTCTTTCTTTCTTTCTTTTTTTTGTTTTTTTTTGAGACAGAGTCTCACTCTGTCACCCAGGCTGGAGTGCAGTGGAGCAGTCTTGGCTCACTGCAACCTCCGCCTCCTGGGTTCAAGCAATTCTGCTGCCTCAGCCTCCCAAGTAGCTGGGACTACAAGTGCATGCCTCCTCCATGTCTGGCTGATTTTTGTGTTTTTAGTAGAGTCAGGGTTTTACCATGTTGACAAGGCCGGTCTCGAACTCCTAACCTCAAATGATCCACCCACCTCAGCCTCCCAAAGTTCTGGGATTACAGGTGTGAAACCACTTTATATATATATATATATCACTATATATATATATCACTATATATATATATCACTATATATATATATCACTATATATATATCACTATATATATATATATCACTATATATATATATCACTATATATATAACTATATCACTATATATATCACTATATATATATCACTATATATATCACTGTATATATCACTATATATATCACATCACTATATATATATCACTATATATATCACTATATATCTCTATATCTCTCCCTATATATATCTCACTATATATCACTATACGTATATCACTATATATATCACTATATGTATATCACTATATATATATCACTATATGTATATATCACTATATGTATATATCACTATATATATCACTATATATATATCACTATATATATATATACACATTTTTTTCTTTTTTTGGAGATGGATTCTCACTCTGTCGCCCAGGCTGGAGTGCAGTGGCATGATCTCGGCTCACTGCAGCCTCCACCTCCCAGGTTCAAGTGATTCTTCTGCCTCAGCCTCCCGAGTAGCTGGAACTACAGGTGCGCACCACCATGCCTGGCTCATTTTTGTATTTTCAGTAGAGAAGGGGTTTCATCATTTCTCAGCCTTTGGCTAAGATCAAGTGAGACGGGGTTTCACCATGTTGGTCAGGCTGGTCTTGAACTCCTGACCTCATGATCTGCCCCTTCAGTCTCCCAAAGTGCTGGGATTACAGGCGTGAGCCACCGTGCCTGGCTGCCACTTTTTTTTTTTTTTTTTTTTTTTTTTAAAGATGGAGTCTCACTCTGTCCCCCAGGCTGGAGTGCAGTGGCGAGTTCTCGGCTCATTGCAAGCTCCATCTCCTGGGTTCCTGCCATTCTCCTGCCTCAGCCTCCCGGTAGCTGGGACTACAGGTGCCCGCCACCACGCCCGGCTAATTTTTTTTGTATTTTTAGTAGAGACGGGGTTTCACAGTGTTAGCCAGGATGGTCTCGATCTCCTGACCTCGTGATCCATGCACCTCGGCCTCCCGAAGTGCTGGGATTACAGGCGTCAGCCACCGCGCCCAGCCTGGCCACCACTTCTTATTTTAATTTGCTTTTGTCAGATCAGTAGTGTGCTTGAGCATGTTTTACATTTACTGGTGATTCTACTTCTCTGTGAATTGCCTATTCAGTTTCATTCACTGATAACTGGCACAAACTATGTCTGGAAGTACATAGCTATATATTTTTAATGGTTTTATAGTATTCCATTATAGGATCATCACTTAGGTGAAAAGGATCATTACTTGGGGAATCCAGAGTTTAAAAGAGACTTAAGAGATATATTATCCAAATGTAATGTATGAACCTTGTTTGGATCTTGAGTGTAAAAACATATATGAGACAACCTGGAAAACTGGATATTCCTTATTATATCATTAGGGGTTGGGAAATGGTGCTATTTCAATCCAGTTATTCCTTCAACATTTATCAGCTAAATTTTCTTGTAAAGGAAACTTCCCCTCATCAACTGTTTGGTTACCCTAAGGTATAGTTTGTATATAAGAAAGACAAAAAGTGCTGGATTCGTCAATTCATACTTTAATAATTTCCAAGTGCTCTTTCCTGTTTTGTTTCCCTCCTCACTACTTTTAAAAATAGCATACTATTCTGGTTCCATGGGAGCAATGACTTTTCTTTGGTCTCTGAGTATATTAATTATAGTTTTCATTTGTTCCCTGCTTTGTCTGTTTTGTCAGAGTCCCATTTTTATTTCTTATAGTTTTGGTTTCTCTCTTTCAGGCTAGAACTTAAAGTGCCTTATAATTCTTAATTATCCTTCATGTTTTAAAAGTGAGACACTAAAAAAGGAGGGTTGGAAGCTTTGTGTGCCTGGATACAGTTTACTGCCTCTTGGCAACCCAGATTTCAATATCCCATGGTCCTTTCGTAGAGACACTTGAGTTTTTCCAGAGAAGGATAGTCTCTTTGAGGTGTGGCTGGTGGAGTGGTAGGTAAGCCTAGATATTTACATTATTGCAACCTGGATGAAGGCAGGAAGGAGGCCCTATTACTGTTTAGTACGTAGACTTTAGACCTTCATGTAATTCCACTTGTCATTTGGCACCTGCCTGGCTGTGCCTAGAGTGTTCCTAGTCTAAAATTTCTGGTTGAGTTTATTGAGAAAACAAACCTCTTATTTCCTGTGTGGGTGAGCAAGGAAGGCCACCTGGCCAGTCTGGTGTGGGACTGTCTACCTACTAGGGATATTACTAACTAGTGATTTTAGACTTCCACTCAACCCTCCTGTTTTCAGTCCCACCCTCACACACCACACCAGTTTTCTATTACATACTTTCCATAGTATGGATCTGTTATAATTTTCTTTTTTTTTTTTTTTTTTTTTGAGACGGAGTCTTGCTCTGTCGCCCAGGCTGGAGTGCAGTGGCGCAATCTCGGCTCACTGTGAGCTCCATCTCCTGGGTTCACGCCATTCTCCTGCCTCAGCCTCCCGAGTAGCAGGGACTAGAGGCACCCGCCACCACGCCTGGCTGATTTTTTTAGTAGAGACGGGGTTTCACCATGTTAGCCAGGACGGTCTCGATCTCCTGACTTTGTGATCCACCCGCCTCAGCCTCCCAAAGTGCAGGGATTACAGGCGTGAGCCACCATGCCTGGCCAGATCTATTATAATTTTCTTATCCACTGTCTGTTGATAGACATTTAAGTTATCTTCCAGTTGTGAACTGTTACAAATAGCCCTTCAATGAATGTCTTTGTACATGCCCCTTTCTGCATATTTGCTTTTTAATGGCAGGACAAACTTTTTTCATATTAAACACCACTGATACTTTTATTCCAATAATTTATTTTCATTTTTTTGTTTTTTTTAAAAAGAGGGTTTTGCTATTTTGCCTAGGCTTGTCTCGAACTCCTGAGCTCAAGCAATCTGTCCACCTCAGCCTCCCAAAGTGCTGGGATTACAAGCATGAGCCACTATGCCTGGCCAACTTTTTTTTTTTTTTTTTTTTACAGAAATATCTAAACATTGATGATTACCGAGAATAGTAGAATATATTTGAACTCCCATATACCCATCATTCAACTTCAGCAGTTACCAACAAAATGCCAATATTTTTTCTTTAGAAAAAAAAATTTTTTAAGAGACATTTGCTTGCTCTGTAGCCCAGGCAGGCGTGCAGTGGTGTGATCATAGCTCACTGCAGCTTAGAACTCCTGGGCTAAAGCAATCCTCCCAGTTTAGCTTCCTGAGTAGCTAGAACTACAGGTGTCTGCCACCACGTCCAGCTAAATTTTTCTTTTTCTTTTTTTCTTTTTTTTTTTTTTTTGTAGAGACAAGGGTCTCTCTATGTTCCCCAGGCTGTTCTCAAACTCTCGGCCTCAAGTGATCTTCCCACCTTTGCCTCCCAAAGCACTGAGATTACAGGCGTGAGCCACTGTGCCTGGCCAAACCAATTTTTCACCATAATATTAAGGCAGACCAAAGACTATATCATTGTATCTTTAGGAGATAGGGCTGTTTAACAAATATAACCACAACACCATTAACACATCTAAAACTTATAAACAATTACTCTTTAATAATATTTAATACTTAATAAGTGTTCATATTTCCCTAATTGTCTCTTAAATGTAGTTTTGTAGTTGGTTGTTTTCAATCAGTATCTAAACAAGAGAGTCTATACATTTATACTTGGTTCAATATGTCTCAAGTTCCTCTTTATATAATGGTTCTTTTTTTCTTTTTTTCCCCACTTGACATTTATTGTAGAAGAAACCAAATCATTTGTGTTAAAAAATTTTCCACATTTTGGACTTGGAAGGGATTATATCCCTTGAGTGTTATTTAATATGGTCTTCAATCCTGTCTTATTTCTTAAAAGAAATTACATTTAAAAACAATTACATTTAACTAATTAATATAATATCTTGATGGACACTTAATAAGCCAGCCCTTTATTTGATACTATTTTTTAGACAAGTACTATAGTCAAAGTATTTAAATGGCTATTCTTTTTCTTTTCTTTCTTTTTTCTTCTGCATCTTTACTCCAACAAGCAACAACCTTTAGGGAATTTTTTTTTTTTTTTTTTTTAACTTTGGGAGCTTGTCTTTTCAAAGTATTCATTTGTTTTTCCCCAGAACAGTGGGGCGAAACAGTCCCTATAAGCCATCTGGACTTAAAAGCATTTTGCTTCATCACAAAGCTTACTCTTTTTAGATCCTGACATAAGTCTGTATTGTCCACTGATTTTTTTTTTTTTAACGGTGTCTAGTTGCTCCCAGGAGAGTTGTCTGAAGTCACTTTAATGTTGTTGCTGGCCTATTAGTTATTGAAAGGGAAGAGGGGTATTTAGTGAAGATGTGTTATTATACCTGCTGAAAAAGCTCATTCACAGGCCCTTAATCCCCCTAGTC
Organism: Homo sapiens; assembly: GCF_000001405.40. Classification (NCBI taxonomy): domain Eukaryota; kingdom Metazoa; phylum Chordata; class Mammalia; order Primates; family Hominidae; genus Homo; species Homo sapiens. Next base: position 51,091,661 of record NC_000017.11, on the reverse strand, counting down.
CTTAAAAAAAAGTGGGTATGTGTGTGAGAAAAACAGAAAAGGGGAGGAGTATGTGCGTTTCATACCAACATACCTGAGTGATCTGACAAATGCTTGTGCTGAGGGGACTCTCTGGAATTTCCAGGGCTAATGTGGTTTTATAATATGCAAACAACAACAACAACAACAAAAAAACAGAAAAACAAACAAAAAAAACTGCTGCGCTTCTCCTGCCACGATTTTGCTGTTGGCCTAACCCTATCGTGGTTATTCTAAGGTTTGCCAAGCGTAGTAGAGGGTGACCAACTTATAAAGTCATGCCACTGGCAAGCAATTAAGTCACATTAAATCATTAATGACTATCCTAGACTTTTTATGAGCATTCATTTCCTTTTTTTTTTTTTTTTTTGTATACAGGGTCTTGATCCGTCGCTCAGGCTGGAGTGCAGTGGCTCACTCTCAGCTCACTGCAACCTCTGCCTCCTGGGCTTGGTGATCCCCTCCCACCTCAGCCTTTGAGTAGCTGGGACTACAGATGCACACCACTACACCAGGCTAATTTTCATATTTTTCGTGGAGACAGGGTTTCGTGGAGACAGAGTCATATTGCCCAGGCTGGTGTCGAACTCCTGAGCTTGAGTGATGAGCCCTCCTTGGCCTCCCAAAGTGCTGGGATTATACAAGCATGAGCCACCGTGCCTGGCCTGTGCTTTTTCTTGTTCACATATGTAATTTCAGTGTGGTTACATTATATGCAGACTTGAACTATGTGATTTTTAAAAGTTTCATTTCATATTCAGAGTTTGAAATGTTACCTTCTCATTTCAGAAAGTCTTCAGAAATCATGTTATATGAAAGCCTGACTGAGCTGTAAACCAATGTTGTGCTGTTATCCTATGTTGGTATTACCTAGGCAGTAACAGAAATATCAGCCATCTCTTATCAGCCTTAACCTCAATTAGGTGACTGTTGAATTATGCAAGATCTTTTGTAAATCGATCTTTTTTATAAAATGTAATTACCCATGATTAAGACCTTTCATCTTCTGTTAAATTTCAATCAATAGAACATAGGGCTCTCTTGTAACTTACTACATTTCCCAGTACCTTGGAATATTTAAAACAATAGGGGCTCAAGTTGTGTTTTGAAAAGATGGATGAATGTAATCTTTTTTTTTGAGATGGAGTCTTGCTCTGTTGCCCAGGCTGGACTCGGCTCACTGCAACCTCTGCCTCCCAGGTTCAAGCAATTCTCCTGTCTCAGCCTCCCCAGTACCTGGGATTACAGGCATCTGCCACCACACCTGGCTAATTTTTGTATTTTTAGTAGAGATGGGGTTTTGCCATGTTGGCCAGGCTGGTCTTGAATTCCTGACCTCATGATCTGCTTGCCTCGGCCTCCCAAAAATGCTGGGATTACAGGCTTGAGCCACCGCACCTGGCCAAGTGGAATCTTACTTGTCTTTTTTACTCGCTTTGTGAATCAGAGAGATTCTCAACTTATTCTTTAGTTTATAGTTTACCTTTACATCGACTCAAAATTTAATGGTGAATTGTAGTTACCTGGGCATGCCATGATCTTTAGACGTTTGCATGTGCTGTGACCTCTGCCTGGAATGTCTTTATCTCAGTAAAGGTTTTAGGCAAACCATTCCTTTTAGAGTAAGCTAAAATGACTTCTCTCTTTTTTAAAAAAATAGTATATATGGCCGGGCACGGTGGCTCACGCCTGTAATCCAGCACTTTGGGAGGCTAAGGCAGGTGGATCACCTGAGGTCAGGAGTTCGAGACCAGCCTGGCCAACATGGTGAAACCTTGTCTCTACTAAAAATACAAAAAATTAGCTGGGCATGGTGGTGGGTGCCTGTAATCCCAGCCACTCGTGAGGCTGAGGCAGGGAGAATTGCTTGAATCTGGTAGGCAGAGGTTGCAGGGAGCCAAGATCATGCCACTGCACTCCAGCCTGGGTCACAGAGCGAGACTCCATATCAAAAAAAAGAAAGTGTGTGTGTGTATGTGTATATATATATATATATATATATATATATATATATATATATATAAAATAAAGTGTATATATATACATATAATAAGTAGATATACACATATATATTATAATTATATATATATAATTTTATTTCAATATTTTTTGGGGAACAGGTAGTTTTTGGTTACATGGATAAGTTCTTTAGTGGTGATTTCCGAGATTTCGGTGCACCTGTCGACTTCTTTTTTGTTTGTTTGTTTTTTTGTTTTTTTGAGACAGAGTTTCACTCTTGTTGCCCAGGCTGGAGTGCAATGGCACAGTCTCACCTCAGTGCAACCTCTACCTCTTGGGTTCAAGTGATTCTCCTGCCTCAGCCTTCCAAGTAGCTGGGATTACAGGTGCCCACCACCAGGCTCAGCTAATTTTTGTATTTTTAGTAGAGACAGGGCTTTACCATGTTGGCTAGGCTGGTCTCGAACTCCTGACCTCAGGTGGTCCACCTGCCTCGGCCTCCCAAAGTGCTAGGATTACAGGCATGAGCCACCGTGCCTGGCCCAACTTCTGTTTTTTTTTTGTGTGTGTGTGTTTTGTTTTGTTTTGTTTTTGAGACAGAATCTCCCTCTGTTGCTCAAGCTGGAGTGCAGTGGCGCAATCTCGCTCACCGCAACCCCTGCCTACCAGGTTCAAGTGATTCTCCTGCCTCAGCCTTCCGAGTAGCTGGGACTACAGGCGGGTGCCACCTCGCCTGGCTAATTTTAGTATTTTTAGTAGATGCGGGGTTGCACCATGTTGGCCAGAGTGGTCTCCATCTCTTGACCACATGACCCACCTGCCTCGGCCTCCCAAAGTGCTGGGATTACAGGCGTGAGCAACTGTGCCCACCTCCCATTTTTTTTTTTGAGACGGAGTCTCACTGTGTTGCCCAGGCTGGAGTGCAGTGGCACGATCTCGGCTCACTGCAAGCTCTGCCGACCAAGTTCATGCCATTCTCCTACCTCAGCCTCCTGAGTAGCTGGGACTACAGGCGCCCGCCACCAAGTCCGCCTAATTTTTTTTGTATTTTTAGTAGAGACGAGGTTTCACCGTGTTAGCCAGGTTGGTCTCGATCTCCTGATCTCGTGATCTGCCCACCTTGGCCTCCCAAAGTACTGAGATTACAGGTGTGAGCCACTGTGTCCAGCCTTGACTTCCCTTTTTTAAAGCAGATTTAGTCACTTCTTCCTCTCTGCTTTCATTATAGCACTTAGCGTGTTACACTGTAAATGTTTATGATACGTCTTTGATGGCTCTCATACAGTGAGTACTCCTATTGGATGGGTGGGCAAAGAGTTTTAGTTTTATATTTAACATGTTATTTTATCTAAGAATAAGTCCTATGAATGACATTACCTAGTTTGTAGTAAATATCATCATGCTGCCTAACTGCCTAGCATTTGGAGAATAGGCATTGTGAATAGGTGTGTGGCTTAACTATTACAACAGCTTTTTCCTAGTCTCTTAACTATGACAAGTTTTTCTTTGACTACAGAGTGACGGACTGGGATGTTTCCTATTTTTGTTATCTCAGTTAGTGTGTTAAGTGGAAATTATAGAAGTAGAAGGCAGACATGTTTCTTTGAAGTAAATCAAGAAGACTTTAAAAAGAGGGTCAGGGCCAGGCATGGTCGCTCATGCCTATAATCCCAGCACTTTGGGAGGCTGAGGCAGGAGGATCGCTTGAGCTCAGGAATTCGAGACCAGGCTGGGCAACATGGTGAGACCTTGTCTCTACTAAAAATAAGAAATAAAAAAAATTTAGCTGGGTATAGTGGCACATGCCTGTAGTCCCAGCTACTCAGAAGGCTGAGGTGGGAGGATCGCTTGAGCCCAGGAAGTCGAGGCTGCAGTGAGCCATGATTGTACCACTTCACTTCCAGCCTGGATGACAGAACAACACCTCATCTCTAAAAAATAAGTAAATGAAAATTAAAAATTAAATTAAACAATAAAGAAGGTCAGCCATGCTTGTACTATACAAACCTAGTAATGAGGTTCAGCAGAACTCATGTGCTACCAGCCCAACTAAGATCTCTGAATGTAGAAGGGAAGCAGAAAGCCCTGAGAACTTTCTTTTTAGTGTAACCCATGCCACTCATTGCCCAAGTATTTTGTTGATAGTATGAAAAGGTTAGGTATAGAGACAAAGAAACTATTCTCATTACTTCCCTTATGCTATACCTCCAGCCTTCATCCAGGAAAAAAGAGGACTCTTACTAGGACCACGAATCCAAACCTTTTTCTGCCAAGAGCTGTATTTTGGCATCTGTTTGAATTTCATGACACCGTCTCTGTTTCTATTCCTGTTTTCTCATTCATAAATTCTTATATCAATGTTTCCCACTTTCACATGATTGCTAATTGCTATATAGAGCTATGCCATTTCTGAAGTATTTTTGTAATTATGAGTGTTCTGCTTTCTGAGCTATTCTACCCTACAGCAACTTCTGTTTATGAGGTTACCTATATTGTCAGGGATATTTCTCAAAACAGTGGCCCAAAACTAGACTATTTGATGGATATTTTTCTTGGATAGCAATTTAGAAACTTCCAGTCACTTGTTACTTTTTCTTGATTCTTGATTATTCTTTGAAAGTTAGTATTACATTTATCCTACTCAGCTTTCAGTGCCCTGTGTAAGCTATTAGGGATGTCTTATCAGAACTGAGGAACTTTTATTTTTGTTGCATATTAGTGATTAGCATTTTATTTTTTATTTTATTATTTTATTTATTTTTTGAGACGGAGTCTCACTCTGTCACCCAGGCTGGAGTGCAGTGGCACCATCTCAGCTCACTACAACTTCTGCCGCCTGGGTTCAAGCAATTTTCCTACCTCAGCCTCCCAAGTAGCTGGGATTACACACACCTGCCACCACGCCCAGCTAACTTTTGTGTTTTTAGTAGAGACTGAGTTTCACCATCTTGGCTAGGCTGGTCTTGAACTCCTGACCACCCACCTTGGCCTCCCAAAGTGCTGGGATTATAGGCATGAGCCTGTAATTTTTGGAGACAGAGTCTTGCTCCATTGCCCAGGCAGGAGTGAAGTGGTGGGATGTCGGCTCATTACAGCCTCCACCTCCTGGGTTCAAGCGATTCTTGTGCCTCAGCCTCCCGAGTAGCTATGACTACAGGTGCATGCCACCATGCCTGGCTAATTTTTTTTTTTTTTATCGTGTTTTCAGTAGAGATGGGGTCTCACCATGTTGCTCAGGCTGGTCTCAGATTCCTAAGCTCTGGCAGTCTGCCCACCTCGGCCTCCCAAAGTGCTAGGATTACAGGAATGAGCCACTGCACATGGCTGTGATTAGCATTTTAAATGAGGATGGCAGCTGTACGTTTCCAAACCAAGACTTAATACACATTTAAAATTGGGATTTTCAGCCGGGTGTGGTGGCTCACACCTGTAATCCCAGCGCTTTGGGAGGCCGACGCAGGCAGATCACCTGAGGTCAGGAGTTTGAGACCAGCCCAGCCAACATACTGAAACCCTGTCTCTACCAAAAATACAAAAATTAGCTGAGTATGGTGATGCATGCCTGATTCAGCTATGGTGATTCAGCTACTCCAGAGGCTGAAGCACGAGAACTGCTTGAACCCAAGAGGTGGAGGTTGCAGTGAGCTGAGATTGCACCACTGCACTCCAGCCTGGGCGACAGAGTGAGACTCTCTGTCTCAAAAAAAAAAAAAAAAAAAAAAAAATGATTTCCAAGAGGATAAAAAATTATTTTTACAAAATCAACCTCAATAGTGTTTATAAATGGGGAAAAATCCTCCTTGATTTCTTTTAGAACTTGAAGATGCACTGATAAATGTATATAGCTTTGAGTTTCACCTATTTATCTTTCTGGGTATAAGATCTGTTTTCACAATATACTCAAAAGAGTTTATGATTCCAAGAAGTTTAAGATCTACTTAGAACAAGAAAGGAGAAAATGTGCACACGTTTGTGAAAGACAACATTCCATTTTGTAATCTCTAAGTTTATCTGTTTTAATTTGTTTGAAGGAAATGACTCAAAGTATGTATTTGCTTTGAAATATTTTTATTATTGCTCGTACTTTCCTGTGAAAGGAAACTAAAGAAACGAGATTTCTCTTTGGAGATAATAGCCTTGCCAATCCAAGACCTGTCACATCACTTAAAAAAAAATCTCTTTTCTCTCTGCCATATTTATTTAAAGTGATATAGATAAAAAGCCTCAGTAGTCATAATAAAACGTGAAAAATTCTGAAGCTTGAATCATTCCACAAAGGTAGGTCTTTTTGGAATTGTCGTATTCTGTGGTATCCATCTTCTGAAGCTGAACTTGGTCGCTAAGCAACAAAGCAGATGTGAAACTGTGTGTCCCTTATTAGGTGTCTCCTATTAGGCAGAAAGGAGTTGTAAATAAGCAAAATAGTGGTAAAAATTTTTGGTAGCAGTTTAGTAGCACAGCATCTTCATAATGCTATATGTTTTTTAAAATAGTATTTTATCCATAGCACAAAAGGTGCCTAAGATAAGAATTTCTGGGCTGGGTGCGGTGGCTTACGCCTGTAATCCCAGCTCGGCCTCCCAAAGTGCTGGGTTCACCTGAGGTCAGGAGTTGGAGACCAGCCTTGCCAACAAGGTGAAACCACATCTCTATTAAAAATACCAAAATTAGCCAGGCATGGTGGCTCATGCCTGTAATCCTAGCTACTCGGGAGGCTGAGACACGAGAATTGCTTGAACCTGGGAGGTGGAGGCTGCAGTGAGCCAAGATCATGCCACTGCACTCCAGCCTGGGCAACAGAGCCAGACTCCATCTCAAAAAAAATAAATAAATAAAAAGCAAAATAGTGGTAAAATTTTTTGTTAGCAGTTTGATAGCACAGCATCTTAAGTGTTACTTGGTAAACATAATGCTGTATGTTCTTTAAAACAGCATTTTATCCGTAACACAAGAGGTGCCTAATATAAGAATTTCTGGACTGGGTGCAGTGACTCACACCTGTAATCCCAGCACTTTGGGAGGCCAAGACAGGCAGATCGCTTGAGGTCAGGAGTTCGAGACCATCCTGGCCAACATGGTGAAACCCCGTCTCTACTAAAAATACAAAAAAATTAGCTGGGCGTGGTAGCCCATGCCTGTAGTCCCAGCTACGCAGAGGCTGAGGCAGGAGTATTGCTTGGAGGCAGGAGTATTGCTTGAAGCCAGGAGATGGAGGTTGCAGTTAGCTGAGATGGCACCACTGCACTCCAGCCTGGGTGACAGAGCAAGACTCCATCTCCAAAAAAAAAATTTTTTTTTTGGTTACTTTCCCAGATATAGTAGTTAAGTTAGCCAAGGGAGCATCATTTTCAAAGCAGGCCAAAAAATAATTACATTTTCCTATTAATTCTTAGTCTTTGCTTATATATCAAGGCAAAATGTTGAAATAACTTACTCAGACTTCATAGTTTCTGCTTTTCTATTTAACGTAACCTTACATCATCTGCTTGCATTCAGTTCTAGCCAATGAACACTTGGAAGGCAGGGCTAGTTGGATACTCATAGTCATGTTCCCTGTGCCTGGTACATAGTAAGTAGTCAGTAGATGTTTCTTGAATGAATGAATGATTTATTAGTTTGCCTCTTTTCCTATATTTACTGTAACCTTTACTTTTCCTATATATGGTCATCTTGAATATTCTGAAAAATAAACAGTGACTTGATTTCCCCAGAAGTCCCACAAATATGAAATGTTTTCATAGAAAAGTATAGCGAAGAGGTGCTAAACTTGGGGTTTGTGGAAGGAACTACAGTGTCTCTAAGCCCTCTGAGAAAAATAGGTGGCATTTGACATGGGCGGGGGCGTTTTTTCTGGGGAAATATGGTTCATAGATGGATCAAATTTCCAAATTGGTCTTTGGACCCCCTAATGATTAAGAACCAATGTTATAGGGTTTGTAGTTTTCAGGCTTCAAAGATCAGGAAAGTTAAACATGGTGGCTCACACATGTAGTTCCAGCTACTCTGGAGGCTGAGGCAGGAGGGTTGCTTGAGCCCAGGAGTCTGAGGCCAGCAGTTCAGCAGTTGTAGACCAGCCTGACAACATAGTGAGACCTACATCTTAAATAAATAAATAAATAAATAAATAAATAAATAAATAAAATAAAGAGGCTGTGTGTGGTGGCTCACGCTTGTAATTCCAGCACTTTGGGAGGCCGAGGTGGGTGGATCACTTGAGGTCAGGAGTTCGAGACTGGCCCGGCCAACATGGTGAAACCCCGTCTCTACCAAAAATATACAAAAATTAGCCGGGTGCGGTGGCAGGCACCTGTAATCCCAGCTGTGCGGGAAGCTGAGGCAGGAGAATCACTTGAACTCGGGAGCCAGAGGTTACAGTGAGCTGAGATGGTACCAGCGCACTCCAGCCTGGGGGACACAGCGAAACTCAGTCTCAAAAAAGAAAAAAAAAAAAAAGAAAAAAGAAAAACCAACTCAAGCTTATGTAAAAAAGGAATTTATTGGATTTTGTAACTGAAAAGAACAAAACACACTGGGAAAATTCTGGCTCCAGGAATCCTGGGTACAAATAGTATCTTTAATTAAAGTTTTTCTCCCCTTTGCTCTTTTTCTCTATATTGGCTTTAGTCTCAGGCCTGCTCTTCTCTATGCTGGAAAAAGATGTCAGTCTGCAGCCTAGGCCTGCTAGGTTTTTAGAGTTTAAGAACTGGCAGATGTCCCAGAGAGGACATCTCAGTTTGGTTCAAATCATGTGCCCACCCCTAGGGAGTTGGGGTCATCACCAATCAAATTACATGGACTGAATATACTTAGCATGAAACTGGAGAGAGAAAGTTCCCCAAAGGAACGTAATGTGTGTAGACAAAAAAACAAAAACAAAAACCCATGTCCTCTGCAGTGATTGAAAAGTTTGAGGACAGTTAATATAGGTAATAGACTGACAATTTCATGTTAAAACTAGGATATATTGTAGTGATACCTAAGTTTTTTGTGAATTATAAATTTTTCTATAAGGGTTTCAGTTTTTTTAACTTGGAAAATTTTCTTCATTTATTCATTTGTTTAACAAATATTTGAGAACCTGCTATGTGCTGCTATCATCATTCTTTGTACTGGGTATACAGCAGTGAACAAAACAAAAATCCCTGACTTCATGGAACCCACATTCTAGTGAGGACAGACAAGTAATAAGTAACATTAATTACTAAAATAGCATGTTGGATGAGGTTAAGTACTCTAAAGAAAATAAACAGGGAGGAGAGATAGGGAGTAGGTATCACAGGTTTTTTTTTTTTTTTTTTTTTTTTTTTGAGACAGTCTTGCTCTGTTGCCCAGGCCAGAATGCACTGCAGTGGCACAATCTAGGCTGACTGCAACCTCCATCTCCTGGGTTCAAGCAATTCTCCTGCCTCAGCCTCCCGAGTAGCTGGGATTACAGGCGTGCACCACCATGCCTGGCTAATTTTTGTATTTAGTAGAGATGGGGTTTCACCATGTTGGCCAGGCTGGTCTCAAACTCCTGACCTTAAGTGATCCACCTGTCTTGGCCTCCCAAAGTGCTAGGATTACAGGCGTGAGCCACCATGCCTGGCCTGGTATCACAGTTTTAAATAGGTTGGCCAAAGAAGCCTTCACCAAGAAGGTGAGATTTGAACAAAGATGTGAAGGAAGTAAGTAGAGAGCAAGCTGTTTGGATATCTGGAAGAAGAGAATTCTAGGTAGTAGGAAGCAAGTGCTGAGGCTTGAAGTGTTTGAGGAACTGCATGGATGCTTGAATCAGAGAATGGGAAGGAGAAGAGGGTAGGAAGAGAAGTAGGGGATGATGTCAAAGAAGTAAGAGAATGGTGGAAGCATGTTGTGTAGATCCTTAGAGGCTATGGTAAAGAATTTAAACCACTAGAGCGTTTTAAGCAGAGGATAAATTGTTTTTACTTTTTTTTTTTTTGAGACAGAGGTTTGCTCTTGTTGCTCAGGCTGGAGTGCAATGGCGTGATCTCAGCTCACCGCAACCTCTGCCTCCCGAGTTCAAGCAATTCTCCTGCCTCAGCCTCCCAAATAGCTGGGATTACAGGCATGCGCCCCAGACCCAGCTAATTTTATATTTTTAGTAGAGACGGGGTTTCTCCATGTTGGTCAGGCTGGTCTCGAACTCCTGACCTCAGGTGATCTGCTCGCCTCAGCCTCCCAAAGTGCTGGGATTACAGGCATGAGTCACTGCTCCTGGCCTGCTTTTTTTTGAGAGGGGGTCTTGTTCTGTCGCCCAGGCTGGAGTTTAGTGGCGTGATCTCAGCTTACTGTAACCTCCGTCTCCTGGGTTCAAGCGATTCTCCTGCCTCAGCCTCCTCAGTAACTGGGATTACAGGAGCCTGCCACCACGCCCAGCTAATTTTTGTGTTTTTAGTAGAGACCGAATTTCACCATGTTGGACAGGCTGGCTGGCTGACTTTTTAAAGAATCCTCCTAGATCCTCTAGAATATATTGTAGAGGATTAGGGTGGAAGTAAGAAGACTAATTAGGAGACTTTCACTGTTGCAGTAATCCAGGCATTAGATGATTGTGGCACACACCAGGATGGTGGTGGAAATGATGAAAAGCGGTCAGATCTGAAGGTAGATTTGCTGATGGATTGGATATGTGAGGTACTAGAGAAACAGAAGAGTCAAAGCTGACTCCAGAGTTTTGGTCCTGAGTAACTGACCACAGTAATTTAATGAGCTAGAGAAGACCAGGAGAGGAGCAAGTTTTCACATGCTAAATTTAAGAATTTAAGATGCTTTTTTTTTTTTTTTTTTTTTTTTTTGAGATAGAGTCTTGCTCTGTAGCCCAGGCTGGAGTGCAGTGGTGCGATCTCGGCTCACTGCAACTTCCACCTCCCGGGTCCCGGTTCAAGCAACTCTCCTTCCTTAGCCTCCCAAGTGGCTGGGATTACAGGAACGTGCCACCATGCCCAGCTAATTTTTGTATTTTTAGTGGAGACAGGGTTTCAGCATGTTGGCCAGGTTGGTCTTGAACTCCTGACCTTGTGATCTGCTCTCCTCAGCCTCGCAAAGTGCTAGGATTACAGGCGTGAGCCACCACACCCAGCCTTAAGATGCTTTTTAAACATCCAATTGAAGTTTTCTAGTAGGCAGTTGGACATACAAATCTGGAATTCAGGTCTGGGCTAGAGATAGAAATTCAGAAGTTGTCAGCATATAGTTCGTACTTAACGCCATGAAACTGGACGCGATCACTAGGGAATAAGTGTAAACAAGGAAGAGAAGATGTGTCCAAGGACGGAGCATGCCAATGTTAAGAAGTTGGGGAGAAAAGGAGGTACTACCAAAGAAGACCAAGAACGAGCAGCAAACAAGAAAACATCCTGGTAGCCAAATTAAAAAAAAAAAAAAAAAGTTTTAAGGAGAGCGGATCACTTGTCAGATGTTGCTGATACAACAATCAAGATGAAGACTGAGATTTAATGATTGCACTTAGTGTTACTATCCTTGATGAGAACAGGTTTGGTAAGTTAGATTTGAGTGGTGGAGTTATTCCTAGGACATGTCCTTTTCTTAGGAATTTAAACTCCATGGTTCAGGTGAATCTATGACTATTAATCACACAACCATTTAACAAATATTTATTGATTATTCCATCATTCTTTTGTTCTCTATTGTACATGTTATAGATTTTTAAGTTGTCTGGAAGTCAAGATGCATATGCAAGTATACAAAAGGGTTTATATATTTGTAGTAAGATATGTATATCATATGGAATGCCTATAACATGAAGTGGAAACAATTATTTTGTTATTTTTTTCTTCTATATTTGGGAGTTTTTTAAACTTAATTTTTATAGAAAAACTAAAAATCAACCCAAGGTCATAATTCTGAGATCTAAGTAGTTAATACCTAATTGTGATTATTGATTCCAAGAAATAACAGGAGTTGAAAATGTAAAGTTTAATTTCTCTGATTAAATTTATATTGTTCTTCTTTATTAGAAATTCATTGAATTTGAAGACTCTCAAGAACAGGAAAAAAAGGACTTACAGACCCGAGTGGAATCTTTAGAATCTCAAACAAGACAACTTGAGCTGAAAGCGAAAAACTATGCTGACCAGAGTAAGTAAAACATTTCTTCTCATAAGTACACTAAAGATTGGGCTTGGCCAGACGTGGTGGCTCACGCCTGTAATCCCAGCACTTTGGGAGGCCGAGGTAGGAGGATCACTTGGGTTCAGGAGTTCAAGACCAGCCTGGTCAACATGGTGAAACCTCGTCTCTACTAAAAATACAAAAATTAGCTGAGCATGGTTGTGCATGACTGTAATCCCAGCTACTTAGGAGGCTGAGGCACGAGAACCATTTGAATCCGGGAGGCAGAGGCTGCAGTGAGCCAAGATGGTGCCACTGCACTCCAGCTTGAGCAACAGAATGAAACTGTGTCCCCCCACCCCCCAGAAAAAAAAAAAAAGGAATTGGCTCTAATGGTGCAATGACTCATCCTGAAATTCGACTAAGGTTCTAAATACAAACTTGGAATTGTCATCCCAGACTCAAGAGTGAGACCTAGGACCTAGGGTTAGTTCTTTTTTATTCACATTTTCACATGGTACCCATGTGTGCAGAACTGACTAAACCAGATATATCGATCAGACTCACTTCAATTTAGATCTCAGCCTTTGTTTGTAGTTAACATTATGCTTTAACCATTATGCAAGTGTGTGTGTATGTGTGGATCATTTCCTCTATTTTTGATCAAGTACACAAAGCTCCATTTTTTCTGTTTTGCTTTGAAATGTAAAAATGTAAGGTAAACTTACAGCTTTGAAGTATGTATTTAAAAATTACCTAAGCATGTAATTAGATACTGGAGAAAAAAAAGTACTGAATCCTCTTTTTTGCTCCTTTTTTTAATGGAAAAATGGGGCCATTTGGGGGGAATAGAACTTCATTTTTCAGAATCATTTTATTTTTAATATAATTTCATATTTTCTTGGTTTTTAAAATTATTGTTTCAAACCTCAAGGATGATTTTCCCCTTTGGCTAATAAAAACAGACCTAATTAAGTCAAAATTAGAAAAAAAAAAAGGTGAGAAACTTTATGGCCTATTTTCATGTCTGATATAGGTAGGCAGACAATTCTCTGCTTTTCTCCCAGCATTGTAAACTTTCAGAATCCTAGGGAGCAAAGGATGGCCAGGCAGCTACTCTATCCACATTACTCATGAAGGCTACATAGTGACACCAGCTATAAAGGTACAGCCATTCATGATGGAATGCCTTCGCCAGCACTCTTGGGGCGTGTGTGAGAACTGACTGTTCTCTCTAGTACTCTGGAAAGACGGAATAGAGCTAAATTAAAACCACTGGAAATCTGGAGTTCAAGCATTCTAGAATTCAAGGAGAACTCAAGTGGCTATTAAGCAGATGTCCTAGAAGAGGGCCAATGGATGTTTGGTAACAGAAGCCAACTTGAGCGAGAGAAAATGAGCCGTGTGTCATGCTTTGTGTTTTTAGCCTTGTGGATACCCAGAGTTGTTGGATACCTTTGTTACCATTGAATACATTGAGTGACTTCTATGATTTCTACCATAGAAATTTGAGGTTTGCTGGGTATGATGGCTCATGGCTGTAATCCCAACACTTTGGGAGGTGAAGGTGGGAGGATTGCTTGAGCCTTGGAGTTTGAGACCAGCCTGAGCAAGATAGCGAGATCCTGTCTTTATGATAAAAAAATTAAGAAAACGAGGCCAGACGCGGTGATTCACACTTGTAATCCCAGCACTTTGGGAGGCTGCCGAGGCGTGCAGATTGCTTGAACTCAGGGTTTCGAGACCAGCCTGGGCAACATGGTGAAACCCCGTCTCTACCAAAAATACAAAAATTAGCTGGGTATGATGGTGCGCACCCGTAGTCCTAGCTATTTGGGAGGCTGAGGTGGGAGGATCACTTGAGCTTGGGAGGTGGAGGTTGCAGTGAGCTGAGATTGCACCACTACACTCCAGGCTGGGTAAGAGAGTGAGACCCTGTCTCAAAAGAATAAAAAAATTTGAAATCTCGGAGGACTGCATGATGGACTCCACAGGGCATCCACTAATAGATATAGTACTGTAGTCACATTACTATGAATACTATTCATCTGGAGAAATGGTCTTGTGGCAATTGCAAGCTTTTGGTACATTTCAAGAGTTGAACCTTTTCTGTTCAAGAAAGAAAATTTAACTATTGGAGGTAATGTTTAAATCCTAATTTGATTGTACTTTTTTTTAAATAGAGACAAGGCCAGGCACGGTGGGTCACACCTGTAATCCCAGCACTTTGGGAGGTCGAGGCGGGCGAATCACCTGAGGTCAGGAGTTTGAGACCAGCCTGACCAACATGGAGAACCCCGTCTCTACTGAAAATACAAAATTAGCCGGACATGGTGGCACTTGCCTGTAATCTCAGCTCCTCGGGAGGCTGAGACAGGAGAATCGCTTGACCCCGGGAGGTGGAGGTTGCAGTGAGCCGAGATCACACCACTACACTTGGCCTGGGCAACAAGAGTGAAACTGTCTCAAAGAAATAGATAGATAGCTAGCTAGATAGCTAGATAGCTAGCTAGATAGATAGCTAGCTAGATAGCTAGATAGCTAGCTAGATAGCTAGCTAGATAGCTAGATAGCTAGATAGATAGCTAGATAGCTAGCTAGCTAGCTAGATAGCTAGATAGCTAGATAAGATAGATAGATAGAGACAAGATCTCATTATGTTGCCCAGGCTGGTCTCGCACTTCTGGGCTTCAAAGTGCTGGGATTTCAGACATGAGCCACTATGCCTAGCATGAAGGGATTATATAATCTTTTAGAACCAAACACTAAAGACACAGTTGACAGACTCAGCCTACCTTTCATTGTTTTACGTATTAAGTTTTCTTGTTGATATCTGCAGGGTACACAAAGTTTTCTTTCTGTCTTTTTTTTTTTTAAGACGGAGTCTTGTTCTATCGCCCAGGCTGGAGTGCAGTGGTGTGAGCTCGGCTCACTGCAACCTCCGCCCCCTGGGGTCAAGTGATTCTCCTGCCTCAGCCTCCCAAGTAGCTGGGACTACAGGCATGCACCACCATGCCTAGCTAATTTTTGTATTTTTAGTAGAGATGGAGTTTCACCATGTTGGCCAGGCTTGTCTCGAACTCCCAACCTCAGGTGATCCGCCTGCCTCGGCCTCCCAAAGTACTGGGATTACAGGTGTGAGCCACTGCGCCCAGCCTGGGTACCAAGTTTTCAATAAGAAATTATTATTTATTGAAACCGGATCTCACTCTGTCTAACGTGTGCAGTGGCAGGATCGCTGTTCACTGCGACTTGTGCTTCCTGGGCTCAATCGATCCTCTAGCCTCAGCCTCCTGAGTAACTGAGACTACAGTCACAAGCCACCATGCCTGGCTAATTTTTGTATTTTTTGTAGAGACAGGGTTTCGCCATGTTGCCCAGGCTGGTCTTGAACTCCTGAGCTCAAAGCAGTCCGCCCGCCTCGGCCTCCCAAAGTGCTGGCATTACAGGCATGAGCCACCTTGCCCAGCCTGAAAAAAATTTTTTTTCTTTTTCTTTTTTCTTTTCCTTTTTTTTGAGATGGAGTCTTGCTTTGTCACCCAGGCTGGAGTGCAGTGGCGCGATCTTGGCTCACTGCAACCTCTGCCTCCTGGATTCAAGTGATTCTCCTGCCTCAGCCTTCCTAGTAGCTGGGATTACAGGTGCCTGCCATCACCCCCAGCTAATTTTTTGTATTTTTAGTAGAGACAGGGCTTCACTGTGTTAGCCAGGATGGTCTCAATCTCCTGACCTCGTGATCCACATGCCTCGGCCTCCTGAAGTGCTGGATCTTTTTCTTTTTTTCTCAGAGACCGAGTCTGGCTCTGTGTCCCAGGCTGGAGTACAGTGACACGATCATAGCTCACTGTATCCTTGAACTCCCAGGCTCAAGTGATCCTCCCACCTTAGCCTCCCAAATAGCTGGAACTACAGGCATGAGCCACCATACCTGGCTAATTTTAAAACTTTTTGTAGAGATGGGGTCTTGTTATGTTGTTCAAGCTGGTCTCGAACTCCTGGTCTCAAGTGATCCTTGCACCTTGGCCCCCCAAATGCTGGGATTACAGGTGTAAGCCACTGCGCTCGACCAGAATTCCTTTTTTGACTTGGAAAAGAATTCCTTGTCTAACATCCTTTTGTGCATTAAGTAATTGGCTTCTGTGATTAGAGGAAGAATTACCTTATACTTGAAATTGCATTTTTGATATCAAAGTACCTTTAAAATGTCTCACACTCAAAAAAGAAGCAGAAGATACTGCTTCTTTTTTTCCCAAAAGTATCTAAGTGGAATGAATTACTAATTATTTCACATACATTAGCCCTTTTATTACTAAATTTAAAAAATCTGTTTCCTATTCCTTTCTAATAAATGTAAACAAAATATAGTGGTTTCTTTTCTTCTTCTTCTTCTTTTTTTTTTTTTTTTTTTTTTTTTTGAGATGGAGTCTGGCTCTGTTGCCCAGGCTGGAATGCAATGGCATGATATTGGTTCACTGCAACCTCCGCCTCCCAGGTTCAAGCGATTTTCCTGCCTCAGCCTCCCGAGTAGCTGGGATTACAGGCACCCGTCATTATGCCTGGCTAATTTTTGTATATTTGTAGAGATGGGGTTTCACTATGTTGGCCAGGCTGGTCTTGAACTCCTGACCTCAGTTGATCCACCTGCCTCAGCCTCCCAAAGTGCTGGGATTACAGGCATGAACCACTGTGCCTGGCCTAGTGGTTTCTTAATTAAGGGAAGTGATCAATTTAGGGGACTGTTTGAGTATGTCAATTTTTTTTTCATTGTCCCAGATTTGTTATCCAGTCCAGAGAGTCATACCTTTTTTGGAATTGTCATATTCTGTGGTATCCATCTTCTCATTCCTCTCTCCAAAAGCATTAATTATGTTTTCCATTTTAATTCAAAGACTTTATAAAAATGAGATCATTTAAAAATAATTGACAATACTCTAGGGAAAGGAGGAAGAAATTCTTCATCAAGTATTAGATATGGTCTTGAGCTTAATTTGATCTAAAAACTTTATTTTTGTTATGAATATATTATCCTCCAAAGAATTTCTCCCCTGGGAGTCTGCTGTTCCTTTCTGAAATAAAGCTTGCTGTATAAAGAACAATTAAGGAACTTACAAACTGTGGTTAATCAAAATTGACCGTTCAGATGCACGAAGTTGATAACACGAAATCTTTTTTCTATGAACTGAGTTATTTTTTGAGCTGGACCCTTGCTCTGTCACCCAGACTGGAGTGCAGTAGCACCATCTCGGTTCACTCTGCCTCCTGGGTTCAAGCAATTCTCCTGCCTCAGCCTCCCGAGTAGCTGGGATTACAGGCGTGCACCACCATGCTTGGCTAATTTTTGTGTTTTTTTTGTTTTGTTTTGTTTTTATTTTTTTGAGACGGAGTCTCGCTCTGTCGCCCAGTCTGGACTGCAGTGGTGTGATCTCGGCTCACTGCAAGCTCTGCCTCCCGGGTTCACGCCATTCTCCTGCCTCAGCCTCCCGAGTAGCTGGGACTACAGGCGCCCGCCACCACGCCCGGCTTATTTTTTGTATTTTTAGTAGAGACGGGGTTTCACCGTGTTAGCCATGATGGTCTCGATCTCCTGACCTTGTTATCCACCTGCCTCGGCCTCCCAAAGTGCTGGGATTACAGGCGTGAGCCACCACGCCCGGCCTAATTTTTGTATTTTTAGTAGAGATGGGGTTTCACCATATTGGCCAGGCTGGTCTCGAACTCCTGACCTTGTGGTCCGCCCACCTCGGCCTCCCAAAGTGTTGGGATTACAGGCGTGAGCCACCGTGCCCGGCCTGAGTCATCTTTTATTAATGCTTTGGAACTTACTCCCTTCTCCTGAAATTGGAGTCTTTTTCTCTTTTCTAGTGAATTGTTTTCCTTTCTCTTCCTTTTGTTTTTTTCTAAGCCTTAACTGGTGTAATATGAATTCTAAGTGTATCTTAAATTTTCTTCAGAGTTTTTATTTTACCACACTTAAACATTCCCCCACTTTTTCTGGGGGGAAATTATTTGACTGTTTTTTCACTTTACCACCTTAGGTTTTTGTTTTTTGTTTTTTTTTAAATCTGCAATATGAATCAAAGCTTCTTATTTTTAATTTTAAAAATTACTTATTTCTTAATTTTTTTGAGACATTCCAGCTCTATTGCCCAGGCTGGAATGCAGTGGTGTGATCATGGCTCACTGTAGCCTCAACCTCCCAGGCTCAAGCAGTACTCTCACCTCTGCTCCGAGTAGCTGGGACTACAAGCACATGCCACCACACGTGGCTAATTGTTTTTTTTTTGAGACGGAGTCTTGCTCTGTTGCCCAGGCTGGAGTGCAGTGGCGTGATCTCGGCTCACTGCAAGCTCCGCCTCCTGGGTTCACGCCATTCTCCTGCCTCAGCCTCCCGAGTAGCTGGGACTACAGGCGCCCACCACCACGCCCGGAAAATTTTTGCATTTTTTCAGTAGAGATGGGGTTTCACCGTGTTAGCCAGGCTGGCCTCAAACTCCCGACCTCTGGTGATCCGCCCACCTCTGCCTCCCAAAGCGCTGGGATTACAGGCATGAGCCACCGCGCCCGGCTGAAGTTTTGTATTTTTTGTAGAGCCAGGGTTTTGCCATGTTGCCTAGGCTGGTCTCAAACTCCTAGGCTCAACAATCTGCTTGCTTTGATCTCTCTCATGTTAGAATTACAGGCATTAGCCACTGTACACAGCCTAAAAACTTCTTATTTTTTAAAAAGGTGATGTAGGAAGTAATCTTTAAGTATCATTAGTTCCCTATACTATTGGAAAACCAAGATTGGGAATGAGTGCTTTTTAAAAGATGAAAACAAATTGAAATAAATGTTATGTCAGGAGTTCATTAATTCTTGTTTTGTATAATAGAAAACAGATGATCTGGGCTATCTAATCTTAATGTGACTGATTTTATTTTATTTTTTGAGACAGAGTCTCGCTCTGTTGCCCAGGTTGGAGTGCAGTGGCGCGATCTCGGCTCACTGCAACTTCCGCCTCCCAGGTTCAAGAGATTCTTTCTGCCTCAGCCTCTTGAGTAGCTGGGACTTCAGGTGCGTGCCACCACACCTGGCTAATTTTTGTATTTTTAGTAGAGATGGAGTTTCACCCTTTTGGCCAGGCTGGTCTTGAACTCCTGACCTCAGGTGATACGCTCACCTTGGCCTCCCAAAGTGCTGGGATTACAGGCATGAACCACCATACCTAGCCTGATTTTTTGTTTTTTAAATAAAATATGAGACCAGGCGCGGTGGCTCACGCCTGTAATCCCAGCACTTTGGGAGGCCGAGGCAGGCGTATCACCTCAGGTCAGGAGTTCAAGACCAGCCTGGCCAAAAGGGTGAAACTCCGTCTCTACTAAAAATACAAAAATTAGCCAGGTGTGGTGGCGCATGCCTGTAATCCCACCTACTTGGAAGGCTGAGGCAGGAGAATTGCTTTAACCTGGGAGGCGGAGGTTGCATTGAGCCAAGATCACGCCACTGTACTCCAGCCTGGGCAATAAAGCAAGACTCAGTCTAAAACAAAAAAAGAAAATATGAATTTTGTGACAAAGTAAATGTAACCCAACATTTAATTTAAAATAAACATTTATTTAGGGGCACTGAGATGACTGTTCGCAGTACCTGTAGTGGGAGGAGAGGTGGATGCAATTTTTTTGTTGAGTGCCATTTGTTTGAGTGCTGGATGCCTTTTCTAGTTTTCATGTTTATACAGTGTATTAGTGTCTTTAATTTTAAAAGACTGAGTTTGTCAATTCTCATGAACATATTTTAGGAGCACACATCCCTTTTAAAAAATAGCCACAATAAAAATTCAAGTTCTGCTCTAAAGACTACTTCCTTTGTTAAAAGGGGAAATTTTGGTTAAAGTTATTTGCTATTTGAGAAGCAAGAAAAAGTAAAGAAATAGGAACTGAATTAAAAGACACACTTTACAGCTTTTGATAGTATGGAATCTATCATGTTGCATGATTTAACAATGTTGAAAAGTTGAGTCTATAATATGTTTTTTAACAATTTTTGGTCATGTTTGATTTTGGAGATTTCTGATTACTTTTCAAAATCTAAATGAATATAAGAAATTTTTTTTACTTTTTCCAACATGAATAAAGGATTTTTTAAAATGCTGTATATTATTCCTTATCTGGAGCAGCAATAATACGTCCTGTTAATATCTTATGAACCTTAAGGAAGAGTCTGTAATCGATATTGTGTGGAATAAGGAAGTTGTGAATTGAGAAAGCCTTGGTGCTTTTCAAGTGTGTAAGGAGTGTAATCAACTTTGCCATTCATAGTGTGGCAGTAATAGGTCTTTGTCAGAAAGTACTTTTTATATTTATTGTCTCTGTTGTATGTTGTGTATTTCTATCTTGTAAGCCAAATATCTAAAATTTGAGTCAAGCAAGTATAGATATTTTAATACAGTTGAAAATATTAAACTGGTCCAGTATGCCTAGCATTCTGCCTAGGTATGGTTGTGGTACACAAGAGTATGATATGGTCCTTGTGGTTAAAGAAATCATAGTTTAGTGGGGGGAGGAAGGGGAAGATTATGCGTATGGCCTACTAGTCTTTTTCCCATATATATTATATTTTTATATCATTGTGGTTAGGATGTATATTTAATTTTGTATCTTTTCCTTAACATTATCATAAGTATTTTTCCTTGTTGTATAATCTTCATTATTATTTTTATGTCCACATAAATCCACCATCCAGAAGCTATGCCATCTATTAACAATTTTTGTTTTCCCTGAGGACTATGCTTTATTTTTTCCTCTAATGAGAATTATTTAATGGCCACTGTGTTTTTTACCATGGCAGCCCAGAAACAGAACAAACGTTGAAATGCAACCATAACAACTAGTTTGAACCTTACCTGGTTGGCATATTTAAATTGTTTTTTTTCTTGATCCACGTTTTATACATGTATAATTAATATATTATGCTCTATTGTAAACTGTCTCAAATCCTTTGTGGAATGAAGAGGTGAATCAGGGTAAAATAAATGTAAGAAATTTAAAATAAAAAAACCAAAAACTTCTGTTGGTTGGTTGGTCATTTTTTCTGGTATACTGAATCATATTGCAGTAAATATTTTTTTACATCTACAAGTTTTCCCTTCTATTGGTAGTTTTCTTAGAATATATTTAAGGAAGTAGGTCAAAGAATTTTAGTGCTTTTTGGCATATAATAGTTTGGCCATTTCTAATGTCAATAGAATTGGAGAAGTAAGGGTTAGTAGTAAATTCCATTTTGCTTGTCATAACTTATGAATTTGAAGCATTATTTACAGCATATTAGCACACAGAGCTGATATAGAATCATTTATTATTTGATTCTCTCTTAGGAAGCTTCTGTTGCCCTCAGGCTCCTTGGATTTACAACTTATTCTTCCCTGAGTATAGAGCCATTGCCTTTTGTGGAGAAGATGAAAAGATTTAGATGACAGTGATATTTTTTTTTTAGTGAGTACTTCTTAATTTGGTGGCTATGTTTTTTGGGGAGTACAGGTTTTTTTTTTGTTTTTTTTTTTAAGAGATGAGGGTCTAATTCCTGTGTTTAAGTGATCCTCCCACCTCAGCCCTCCCGTGAGGGAGCCCACCTCAGGTGCATGCCACTGCACCCGTGGCTGTGATTTTAAGCTGTTATATTTAGACTCTTCTTTAATTCCGCCCTTCCTTCCTTTAAATGAAAATTCGTCTTTTTGAATTAAATGGAAAAATGTTGTTGGCACTGAAGTCAAATGTGTTAGATCCTTATACTTTGACCTTTCTACCTTTTTTGTCCCCCATGTAACATTCCTTTGCTTTTTACATCTTGTGTCAGGATCTTAGTCTAGTAAAATACCTGCAAGCCTTCACTTTGAAACATTATTATTAGAAGGAAAACACTTCTTATTTCTTGGTCATAAGAATAAGCACTCCACTAGATAGAAAGTTGGGGGAGATATTAACATAAACAATAACATAATTTTTATTTTAAAGGAATGTTTAAATTTTATTTAATTAATTAAATTTATTTAAAGGAATTAAATAAGGCTTAAAACAGACCTTCAACACAAGGTGATTGATAAATTAAGAATTTTCACAGCACATAAACCATTTTAAAGTTGCCAAGTATCATTTCATATCAAAGTTAATATTTGAGAGAGCCTAAATATTTTCTGTCGCTGTTTTTCAAATCACCTAAAAAAATACATTCAGGCTTGTACAAAACTTTATCAGATCCTTTACTGTGCTTTGTGATTAGCAATGAATGTTAGTATTTTGAAAAAATTAAATAATACTGTAATAGGACACTTTTTCCACTTTAGTTCTATGTCAATAGGCAATTCCTTCTACATAATTTTAAGAATGATAAAAGTAGATTACGAAGATTTATATATATATATTTTAATGATGATATGTGTTTTTGTTGAAAGTTTTTTTAATGAGGCAGCTTTAGGAGTTTGAATTATATCTTTTGGTTTTAAAAGAATGACAAGTTAATTATTTAGAAAGCTACTTTTAGTCTGTTTAATCAGAATCTAGTTCTTTGCAATACTAAGAATATCTATATATTTAATAAACAATATATATCAGCTGTTTCTTATTTAGAGCCTACATATGAGTGGGAAAGTAGAAAATTAGGCACAAGATAGTTTTTGCAAACACTAACATTACTTCTGCTTCATTAGGTAATACTTGTGGTCTTTAGCTGTTTTATGTTTTATTATCTGTATTTGGGCTCTTTCATTTTTGAGTCTAGTGTTGTCTATTGAGAAGCTTAAAGTTGTAATTTATAATTAATATCTAGAACTAAAGGTATCAGAAAATTAAGTTTATGAGTAAAAGTTAAAGGATTTCTGGTGATTTGCTTAGAGAACAGGGAAAATACGAATAATTTGATTATTCTTTCAAACATATAAAGGGATGGATAAGGAGTGTAGCAAGCTGTTTGTCTGTTATTTTGGAAGATTAAGTGAGAGAAAATGAATTTTTTGGCTTTGGTTGGTCATGAGGAAGTATTTCTTGGCCATGAGGGTGATACACAGGAATATGTGCAGAGGTTAAGCGTGGACTGTCCCTACGTAGAGACTTTAGGTAGGAGAATCATCAGCTTTGTTGTGGATGGCTTAAGTAACATCTTCAAGACAGGGAACTGTCAGATCACTAGAAGTTTCTACCGCTGGGATTCTTTGAAGTTATCCTACTCTGTTTTGAGAATATGATCATTGATTCATGATAGCTTTAAAATATGTATAATTTCACATTGTGTCATTGATTAATAACATATAATATCTGAAAATTTTTTGAAGTTGAGAGACATGGTAAAGGACTTAGTTGGTGAGGAGAGGTTGTTATTACTGTTTTGATGTGGTTGTCTGAGATTTCTTTGCTCTTAAGTCAGCCTTGCTTACCTGTTGGGACTTCTGATGCTAAATTGTTCAAGGAGAAGTTTCTGAAAGACCACATGTCAATCTTCTGAGGCCCAGCAACAGTTGGACTATCTGCCTTCCAGGAACAGTAAAAACTGATGATTCCTTTTGAGAAGGCAAATAATGAGTTGGATATGGCATTCTAGCAGGTCTGTTTCTCTTTCTTCCCCCCGTAGGCCTATCAGCAGTCTGATGGGGCAGAAGACAACAGAGATGGAAGGTGTTCCAAACTTGGCAAAGGCCATCAATCTCAGGAGGTAAGCTCTGATTTTGAGCCGGCAGAGCAGGTGGCTCTTCCTGCCTTAATCTTATCCTCTTGCTTTTTGGAAAGACGGATAGAAAGAGCGCTCAAAATGAGGCTGAAGTATCTCCATCATTATTCTAAAGGGGAAATTTTGGATTTGTCTTTTGATTGTTCTTTTTTCTTGCCCCCTCACCTTTTTTTTCTTTTTAGATAACATGATTTGCCTTTTTTTTTTTACTCCCCAGAAAATTAGCAATTTTAAAAATGGCAGTTACTTATCAGTTGTTTTGGGATAGGATGAACAGAATCTTGTTTATTTCCAGTTAATCTCGGCTTGGAGCTAGTTTTGATGAGTAAAATGACAAGGTTTTAGAATTTTCCCTGAGATCGTTTTGAAGTTTAGGTTTATGTGATAACTATTAAACAAGAAATGACCTTTTAATACACTTCAAATGGAATGCAACAATATAGGTATAGGTTAACTTCATGGTACTTGAGGCTTTCGAGGATGTCTATAGTCCTTGCCAGGTGGGCTTTTCTTTCCTGCTTTCCCCTTCCCTTCTACTTCCTTTTCTTTTCCCTTTAACTGATTCCTTAGTGGCATTCAGGACTTTAAAGAGATGGCTCTTCCACACTTTAAAATGACTTCTCAAAAGTGTTTATACCATCTTATGGGACTTAGGCCTTGAGTAAGCTGAGTTCATTGGATATGTTGTTGTACTGAGTTATTGTAAGTATTTTCAGAAAAGAAAGGTTCTGAATTTGTATTATTTGATCTTGGTGTATGTGTGTATATTTTCTAATATTTTCTATGTATTATATGATCAATTATATATGATCTTTATGTTACATGATTTATATTGTAAGTACCTACAAAGATAATAATAAAATTTAGGATCACAGTATATGTAAAGAAAACATGAAATACACAAAGTCATAAAACAGTTTCTGTTCAGGTTCTTGCTGTGGGTGTTAGGCAGGAGAGAATATACCACCAGAAAAACATTCAGAAAATCATTTATAATAACAGACGTAAACTATCCTTTTTTTTTTTGAGATGGACTCTTGCTCTGTCGCCAGGCTAGAGCGCAGTGGTGTAATCTCGGCTCACTGCAGCCCCCACCTCCCAGGTTCAAGCGATTCCCCTGCCTCAGCCTCCCTAGTAGCTGGGACTACAGGAGTGTGCCACCATGCCTGGCTAATTTTTTGTATTTTAGTAGAGACGGGGTTTCACCATGTTGGCCAGGATGGTCTTGATCTCGGGGTTTCACCATGTTGACCAGGATGGTCTCGATCTCCTGACCTCGTGATCTGCCCACCTTGGCCTCCCAAAGTGCTGGGATTACAGGCGTGAGCCATGGTCTTTTTTTTTTTTTTCTTTTTTTTTTTTGAGACAGAGTCTCACTCTGTCGCCCAGCCTGGAGTGCAATGGCATGATCTTGGCTCACTGCAGCCTCTGTCTCCTGGGTTCAAGCAATTCTCCTGTCTCAGCCTCCCAAGTAGCCGAAGTAAACTATTTTTAAAACATAATGGGGACTGGAGGCAATGGCTCACACCTGTAATCTCAGTATTTTGGAAAGCTGAGGCGGGAGGAGTGCTTGAGACCAGGAGATCGAGACCAGCCTGGGCAACATAGTGAGACCTTGTCTCTACAAAAAATCAAAAAATTATCTTGGCCTGGTGGCACACGCCTGTAGTGCCAACTGCTTGGGAGGATCACTTGAGCCTGGAGGATTGCTTGAGCCCAGGAAGTCAAGGCTGTAGTGAGCTGTGATTGTGCCATTGCACTCCAGCCTGGGAAACAGAACAAGACCCTGTCTCAAGAAAAAAAAAAAGCGTAATGGGGTAACATACCTTTGATAATTTGGAATGCTAACTTTTAAGAGGATTTTAGTACATGTTTATAAGCTGATATATGTTAAGCTAACTGTAGTTGCTATAACGAACTAGCCACAAAAATTATATATTAATGACTCAAATGTTATTTCTTGCTTACGTAAAGTTTAAAAAGTGGATGTTTCAGATAAGTGGGTGGCTTTTGCGGAGACATGGGCATTTCCCCCTTTATAGCTTCTAAGTTTGTCTTACCTGCATTAAGTTGGAGGAAGGGTAAAGGGCATGGAGCATCGTGTGTGGAGGGTTTTTACTGGACCAGGCCTAGGAGTAGCACACATCACTTTTACTACTACTTCAGTGGCTATAAGTCAGTCAGAGGCTACCTGCAGGGGCTGGGGTGGATAGCCTAGCTATTTGCCCAAGCAAAAGAGGAAACTGTTTTGGTTAACATCTGGCCAGTCTTTGCCTCAGCTTAACAGCCTTAGTGGGGGCCATTAGTATGTTATTTTGCCCAAGTGTTGAGGCAAAGGAATGATTCTGCCTAAGGCTTAGCAACCATCTGCCTATTCTTTCTACTGTGAATTATCTGAGGAAGAGAAGAGAAGGACATTTTAATGAAATGTCCTTCTCTTATAACATAAATGTTGAGATTTTCTTTTTGATCCCTTACCATTTGACTTTTTCTTTAAAAAACAGGTTATTAAATTAAGACATAATTTGCTCATACTTGTGTTAAGGGATAGGTTTCAAATGACTCTGTTTAAAATTGAAATCCAGGCTGGGCCTGGTGGCTCGTGCCTATAATTCCAGGAATTTGGGAGGCTGAGGCGGGAGGATTGCTTGAGCCCAGGAGTTCATAACCAGCCTGGGCAAAATAGCGAGACCCTGTCTCTATTTAAAAATAAAATAAAATTAAAAATTGAAATCTAATTCACATATCATAAAATCCACCATTTTATTTTATGTATTTATATATATATTTTTTGAGATGGAATTTTGTTCTAGTTGCCCAGGCTGGAGTGCAATGGTGCGATCTCAACTCACTGCAACCTTCGCCTCCCAGATTCAAGCAATTTTCCTGCCTCAGCCTCCTGAGTAGCTAGGATTACAGGCACCTGCCACCATGCCCAGCTAATTTTTTGTATTTTTAGTAGAGACGGGGTTTCATCATGTTGGCCAGGCTGGTCTCAAACTCCTGATCTCAGATGATCTGTCCGCCTTGGCCTCCCAAAGTGCTGGGATTACAGGCCTGAGCCACCGCACCCGGCCAAAATTCACCATTTTGAAGTGTACAATTCAGCGGTTTTTAGTACAATTTTCAAGGTTGTACAATCGCCACCACTAATTCCAGAACATTTTTATCACCCCAAGAAGAACCACCCCCTCATACCTGTTACACTTACTTCTGCTTTTCTGCTTCCCCTTGTCCCTGAAAACCACTAATCTAATTTTTGTCTCTATAGATTTGCCTGTTCTGGACATTTCATAATAATAGGATCATACAATATATGGTCTTTTGTGACTGGCTTCTTTCACCTAGCATAAAGGTTCATTCATGTTGTAGCATGTGTCAGTACTTCCTTCCTTTTCATAACCGGATAATATTGTTTTATGGGATACCCTCCACCCCCATTTCAATTGCCTATATATCCTGCTAGAGCTAGAAACAACCAAAACTCTAACTTTGCTATCTGAAAGTCTGTAGTAATACAGTTTTGAAGAGCTGAGTATAATGAACAACCACTTTGGGAAGATATTCCTTGGGTTTCCTCTTGGCATCTTGACTTGTTTAGTTCCTCATAAATGGGTAAGTAGATAACTTAATGTTTGAACCATCTTTACAATGCTGTGGTTGCCTACTAGGAGTAGGTAGTATATTAGTCATCTTGTTTTATTTGTATAATTAGCTATCAGTGACACATCTGAATATAACTAAGCAGAATGATAAACCTTCTGTTTAATTTTAATGGGAAAGATAAATGAATTAGTTAAGGGCCTTAAGTAAGTAGACTGAGGTGAACAGGCTCTCATTTACTCCTCTACTGGAGTGGAGAGGAAGATGGAAGTGGATATGATACTTATGCTAGAGGATAATACTTAACGTCTAATTTATGTAGATATTTTAACCCTTTTATTTTTTGTCTGCTTTTATTTTATTTTTTTAAAATTCCATTTTATTATTATTTTTTACTTACTTACTTACTTACTTATTTATTTATTTATTTTTGAGATGGAGTCTGGCTCTGTTGCCCAGGCTGGAGTGCAGTGGCACGATCTTGGCTCACTGCAACCTCCACCTCCCAGGTTCAAGCAGTTCTCCTGCCTCAGCCTCCCAAGTAGCTGGGATTACAGGCATGTGCCACCACACCTGGCTAATTTTTGTTTTTAGTAGAGAAGAGATTTCACCATGTTGGCCAGGCTGGTCTCCAACTCCTGACCTCAGGTGATCCACCCACCTTGGTCTCCCAAAGTGCTGGGATTACAGGTGTGAGCCACTACAACTGGCCCTGGCCTGCTTTTATTTTAGATGTTGCAAAATTCAGTATTTTTCCTGTTATTTAACAGGTTACAGACAAAATACATTTATATGAAAAGCTGAGACAGAGGTTAATTTAAGTATACTTTATGATTTATTTTGTATCAAAAACTTAGCGAAAAGATAGACGTGGTCAGCATACAATTTTTTTTTTTTTTTTTGAGATGTAGTCTCGCCCTGTGGCCCAGGCTGGAGTGCGGTGGCACAGTCTTGGCTCACTGCAACCTCCACCTCCCAGGTTCAAACGATCCTCCTGCCTCAGCCTCCCAAGTAGCTGAGATTACAGGCATGCACCACCACGCCCAGCTAAATTTTTTTGTATTTTTTGTAGAGATGGGGTTTCGCCATGTTGGCCAGGCTGGTCTTGAACTCCTGACCTCAGGTGATACGCCTGCCTCGGCTTCCCAAAGTACTGGGATTACAGGCGTGAGCCACTGTGCCCGGCCAGCATACAAGTTTCTAATATGTAACAGTAAGTTGAAAATATCTTAAAATACCACTTTTTGTGCATTAAAAACATGAAATTTTGTGTGTGAAAGAGATAGTAAAAGTTTGAGACCTGTAATTTTAAGACCTTTAGCTCTTATGAAAATAACAGGCATAAACTATGGTAATCTAGACAATGGAATATTAGTCAGTGCTAAAAAGAAATAAACTGTTTGTCCAGGAAAAGACGTGGAGTAGGTTGTGTGTGGTGGCTCACGCCTGTAATCCCAGCACTTTGAGAGGCGGAGGCAGGTGGATCTCCTGAGGTCAGGAGTTCGAGACCAGCCTGGCCAACATGGCGAAACCCTGTGTCTACTAAAATACAAAAATTAGCCAGGCATGGTGGTGGGTGCCTGTAGTCCCAGCTACTCAGAAGGCTGAGGCACGAGAATTGCTCGAACCTGGCAGGCGGAGGTTGCAGTGAGCTGAGATCATGCCACTACACTCCAGCCTGGGTGAAAGAGCAAGACTCTGTCTCAAAAACAAACAAAAAAAAGATATGGAGTAACCTCAAATGCATATTACTAAGTGAAAGAAGCCAATCTGAAAAGGCTAGGTACTATATGATTCCCACTATGTGACATTCTGGAAAAGGCAAAACTATGGAGACAGTAAAAAGATCATTGATTGCCAAGGTTTGGGAGATGGTAGGGAGGGATGAATAGGTGGAGCACAGGATTTTTAAGGCAGTGAACTTATTTTGTTTGATACTATAATGGTGGTCACATGTCATATTTTTGTCAAAAGCTGTAGAGTATACAACACCACGAGTGTACCCTAATGTAATTGATATATTTTGGGTGATAAGCATGTGTCAGTGTAGGTTCATCGATTGTAAAAGGTATACCACTCTGATTCTGGATGTTGATGGTAGGGGAGGTTGCGTGTGTAGGGGGCTGCAAATACATGGAAATTCTCTGTACTTTCATTCAATTTTGCTGTGACCCTAAAACGGCTCTAAAAATAAAGTCTATTAAAAATTAAAAGGGACAAGTCATCTGTAACTCCAGGTAGTTTGCATGTGCTAAATGCCCTTTTTCTGTGATAAATGGTTGCTATTAAATAAAAAAATATAGATATGTATGTATATTATTTATATGAGATTAGTAAATATAACCATTTCACCTTTTGAAAGAGATGGTTAGAGAATGGATTGATAGTTTATCAAATGTTATTTCTGAGGTGAAAGTAAGACTGTGTTGCCAAATGGAAGTAAATTTAGCAAAAAGTAACCCTGATGGGTTAGAAAGCTGTGAATGGAGGCTGAAGGAATTAATGATAGAAATAATTCAAAATGCTTAAGGAGAACAAAATGATTACTAGAACTTTAAGGAATTTTTATGGATGAACCTAAGCTTATGTGAACAATGGTCATATTCATTTAGATAAATATTGGAAATCTCCCAAAATTAATGGTATATTCTGTTATATGTCTCCTTCCCACAAGCCTTTTTTTTTTTTTTTTTTTTTTTTTGGAGACAGAGCTTTCGCTCTTGTTGCCCAGACTAGAGTGCAATGTTGTGATCTCACCTCACTGCAACCTCCACCTCCCAGGTTAAAGTGATTCTCCTGCCTCAGCCTTCTGAGTAGCTAGGATTACAGGCGTGCACCACCATGCCCAGCTAATTTTTGTAGTATTAGTAGAGGGGTTTCACCATGTTGGCCAGGCTGGTCTCGAACTGCTGACCTCAGGTGATCAGCCCGCCTTGGCCTCCCACAGTGCTGGGATTACAAGTTTGAGCCACCGCTCCTGGCCTAATCTCACTATTAAGTGGTGTACATTTGACACAAAGCAATGCAAACAAATTGATTAGGAAACTGGCATAAAATCAGTCAGGACCTGACTTTGTTTTGTGGCATTATAATGTTTTGTTCTGTAAGGTATAAACCCAGCTCTCTGACCAAGTCAGTTGACAAACATCTTATATAAAAGCTTCTCTCGGTGGGGCGCGGTGGCTTACGCCTGTAATCCTAGCACTTTGGGAGGCCGAGGTGGGTGGATCACGAGGTCAGGAGATCGAGACCATCCTGACCAACATGGTGAAACCCCATCTCTACTAAAAATACAAAAATTAGCTGGATGTGGTGGTGCACGCCTATAGTCCCAGCTACTCAGGGAGGCTGAGGCAGGAGAATCGCTTCAACCAGGGAGGTGGAGGTTGCAGTGAGCTGAGATCGCACCATTGCACTCCAGCCTGGGGACAGAGTGAGACTCTGTCTCAAGGAAAAAAAAAAAAAACAAAAAAAACCCTTTTCTCTGAGGTTTGCTTAATGGTATAAGTCAGCTAGGGCCGCCATAACAAAATATTACAGACTGGGTGGCTTCAATAGCAGAAATTTATTTCTCACAGTCTGGAGGCTGGAAATCTGAGATCCATGGTACAAGCAGATTTGGTTTCTCCTGAGGCCTTTCTCCTTGGCTTGCAGGTGGCTGCTTTACCTCTGTGTCCTAATATGGCCTTTTGCCTATCTCTTGCTGTTATAAGGATACCAGCCCTGTTGGATCAGGGCCCCACCTTAATGACCTCATTCAACCTTAATTACCTACCTTCTTCTGCCTTTTTTTTTTTTTTTTTTTTTTAAAAAGACAAAGTCCCGCTCTGTCACCGAGGCTGGAGTGCAGTGGTACAGTCTCAGCTCACGGCAACCTCCATCTCCCAGATTCAAGCGATCCTCCTGCCTCAGCCTCCCGAGTAGCTGGGATTACTGCTATTTGCCATGACGCCTGGCTAATTTTTGTATTTTTAGTAGAAACAGGGTTTCACCATGTTGGCCAGGCTGGTCTCGAACTCTTGCCCAGGTAATCCACCTGCCTCGGCCTCCCAAAGTGCTGGGATTACAGGTGTGAGCCACCTCGCCCGGCCCTTAATTATCTTCTTAAAGGCCCTATCCCCCAAATGCAGTCATATTGGGAGGTAGAGCTTCAACCTATGAATTTGGGGGGTGAGGGAGCACAATTCAGTCCATAATAGGTCAGGAGATAAGAGTTCTCTGTGGGGATGGGAAGCAAAGAGTGTTGTGACTTGACAATCAGATCCAGAAAAGTCTTACAGACCATTGTAAGAATTTTTTTTTCCTTTTAAAAATGAGATCGGAAGCTTTGAAGTTTTGAGCGGTTAGTCACTGTTTGATTCCATCTCTATTTTGAGAATGTAGGGAACAAAGACTAAGTAGAGAAACTAGTCAGGAGACTAGGATTATTATTGTAATAACCTAAGCAAGAGATGATGTCTTGGGTCAAAGTGAGAGTGATGAAGGTGGTAAAAGTGGTGAGATTCTGGTTTTTGGTTTGTTTGTTTGTTTGTTTGTTTGTTTTTTGAGATGGAGTCACACTCTGTCGCCAGGCTGGAGTTGCAGTGGCGCAATCTTGTCTCACTGCAACCTCTGCCTCACTGCAACCTCTGCCTCCTGGGTTCAAGCGATTCTCCTGCCTCAGCCTCCCAAGTAGCTGGAATTATAGGCATGCACCACCACGCCCAGCTAGTTTTTGTATTTTTAGTAGAGATGGGGTTTCACCATGTTGGCCAGGCTGTTCTCGAACTTCTGACCTTGTGATCCGCCCACCTCGGCTCTCAAAGTGCTGGGATTACAGGCGTGACCCACCAAATTTTCTTTATCCAGTCTATTCGGTAACATTTTTGTTCTCTCCCTGAGAATGCTACAGTCAGAGCAATAAAGCTTGTTTGTTATGGTTCTGAATAGTTTGTTTAAATCCCATTCTACATGTTGAACTCATAGCCATTGTAGGATAACATAAGGAAGAATGAGTATTCAAGCAGAGGAAAGTGCCTGTGTGAATGGATGCACATCGTGTTTGAACTGAGGTGGGCTGGGGCTATACAGGCATAAATACATCAGATCACTGACTCCTCCCCAGAGGTAACTACTATCCTGACTTGTAACATTTCAGATTAGTTTTGTGTTATGTCTTTGAATTTTGTATTCTTTTGTTTCTGCTTCTTTCCTTCAATATCATATTTGTGCTATTGGTCCATGATGTTGTGTGTGGCAATAATTTGTTTATTCACGTTGTACAGTATTCCAGTACATGAATATTTATCCATTCTACTCTTGATGGACAGTTGGATTGTTTTCAGATTGTGCTTCTTTGAACATTGTTTTAAATACCTTTGGGTGGACATATATATAGGCTTTCTAGCAATGACATTGTTTTGTGATAGGGTTGGCAAACATTCGAAACTTAACTAAATCTTGCCAAACAGTTCTTAAATTGGGCATACCAAGTTACGGTGTATGAAACCATACACCACAGTTTATGAAAGTTCCAGTAGTTCCACATCCATACTGGCACTTGGTGTGTTGTGTTTTTCACTGTAGCCATTCAGAAGCATGGTGGTGTTGCATTTTGGTTTTAATGTGCATCTCCCTGACTTGGGTACACATTTTGCTTGGCAGTTTGATGCCCTTTGTATCAAAGTATCTGTGAATGGGTTGTTTCTGTAAGAACAGAGGAGTTTTTTGTTTGAAGCATACTCCCCTCTGCCCAAAGTGATATCTTAAAGTAAACTCCAATATACAAAACAGATTAAAATGAGTATTTGCTGAGAAGCAGTATAGCATGGTAATTAAGAACACAGATTCTGGAGCCAGATTCTGATAGGAATCCTTGCTTTGCCATTTTCTATCTGTGTGACTTTGGGCAAGTTACTTAGCTCCTATTTGCTTCAGTTTCCTCATCTCTACCATGGATGTAATAATAATACTTTCATCGTAAGGTTAATGTTAGGCTCAAATAAGTTAGTTTATATGCAGTTCTTAGGACTGTATGGTACATAGTAAGCACTTGATGTTGTTGGCTGCTATTAGTAGTGGTGGTGTTGGTGATACAAATTTATTTATGAATTTATATCAGCTGACAAGAATAATAAGGCTCTACTATTGAGCACAAATTTGAAATTGAGGATTATGAATGATAGTTGGATTTTATTTCAGCCTCAGCATCCAATTTTTGTTTTTGTTGCACATTATCAAGAAAATAATGATTCAAAAAGATGAACAATTGAAAATAGATATGGTTTGTCCAGTAGTCTCAGAATTCCTTTAAGCTTTTAATCAGTTTAAATGACAAGTAGTAGAAAATGTTTATTTTGAAATTATTAAATATCCATAATTTGCTTGGATTTCCTGTTTTTAAATAAAAATCATAGAATTAAATTTTATTAAAAATTAATTTGTGGTTTTAGCATCTATTATTTTATCACAACACATCTGCATAATAAATTTGCTTATTATCGCTTTCAGCCACAGGATAAGATGAGCAGCAGATGTATTCAACACTTGTGTGGCATGATAAAATGTGCTCCGTGGGTACTGTAGTGTGTGTTTGCTCTCTGGTGCAAATGTAATGAGCCAGCGACACATAAGCTTGAATTAGAAACAAATCAAAACAAAGACAGCTACAGTTTTCCTAATCACATATTTTCAAGATATTTAAACAAATTATGGCAAGTAAAGGTACACAAACCCAAAATGAATTTTCTGGGCAGCACAAGGTATGTTTTGTTTGGTGTCTGGTGTGTTAATACTAGGAGGCATATAAAACATTCATTTATCTGCTGTCAGAATATTAGTTCATACTAGTTCCTTCTACAGCTGTCCTCCACAGTCACCAGTTGTAGATTACACACAGCCTTGCCTGTTTGCGGCCAGCTGACCCTTAAACCCAGGGAACATTTTCAACTATGCTAAGGCTTTCCAACAGACTAAATGAGTACCCTGATAAACTCCTCTAGCACCAGCTTTATTTCTCCCCAGACTGTCTCCCACTGCTCCTTAGCCAAGTATGGGCTCCTCCAGTCTGGCCAGTCTCCCCTCTGCCTCACCACCACCCTCTGCCTCACCACAGGCATGGTTTTGTGTTCCCTTCTCTGTGGTAACAGTGTCAGGAATGCTCTCATTACCATCTGTCTTGAGTACTGTAATTTCTTCCTTTGTGGTTCTGTGTGGACACCACCTCCTCCCTGAATCATTCCTCTTTGCTATCAGTTATTCTTTCCTGTGGAATCCTGTCCTGACATTCTGTATCTCAGGATCTATTAATAAAACTTTTTTTTTTTAAATATCCTGAAGTTGTACTCTGTGAGCACTACCTCAAGTCAGTGCCACTCACAAAACCCATCAGCAGAGGGAGCTAAATAAAAGAAGATGAGTCCCTGAAATTGAGGAGACCTGAAGCAGAAAAAGTACTTATAAACAATCAACTTTCACAAACTGCCAGTGCTAAAGAGCTTGAGTAGTGTTGGAAATACATTATTTGGGCCCTAATCCCAGTTTAAAACTTTGATGAGGTGATTTGTGTTTTTGAAAGAGTTAATTCTGTATCATGTTAAAAAAAAAACTGTTTAGGGGGATGACCTGATAAATATAGGAATATTAGAGAACCAATCTAAGGTATTCCGCTCGTCTGAAAGTTTTCATTATTAAGGATAATGAAATGAGGTCACTGCTTTGTGAAGACTTGCATATGGAACACTGAGTCTGAAAGTTGCTAAGGATTATGGATAGCCCATTCTGAGTCTAACATGTACTTTTTCAAGTAAATTTCTTATTTTGTTTTGATCAAGTGTATGTATCTTAATTTCAGTTAGCAGACTTGAAGAAAGAGAAGCAGAACTGAAGAAGGAATATAATGCATTACATCAAAGACACACTGAGGTGGGTTTCTAGGTTTTTCATTACCATGCTATTATTGAGACAAAGAAATGAACCTTAGAAAATATGTCTTAATTTTTCTTTGAAAATCAGAATTTTTTAAAAAAGAATAATTCTTGGGGATTCTTTCAAGAAAACATTAAATTTCATGTGGCATTTACCTAGTTACCAAATGTCAACTTTTCTTGGAATTAGCTTTTCATGGGGTGAATTAGTATGCTACAGAATAATTTAGTTATTTAAGGCAGCTATAGTACTTCTCTCCTTGGCTGGCTAAGCAAAAACCTATGTGCACATAATGAAGTTTCTGTGATGCTTAGATGAGAGAACTGATTTGTTTTTTTATGAGTTTGGAAATTATGGATTGGTAAGTTATTGGTAAAGGGTCTCTACATCTATTATCCATTGTAAAGGACTTATTTGCATTAAGCTCATAACAAATAATATAAGCACAAATTATAATGTGTTAAAATAACTCAAAAGTAGGTTTTTTGCATGAGTTTTCAGTATTTTAAATTAACAGTTTCAGCACAGTCTCCTCAAAGGAAATTAGAAAATGTACTTGAGGGTTTTTTAACCTTTTTATGATTCCCTGTCAGCCTTTCATGTTGCTTTTGTTTCTGTTATCTTAATGTGAAAATTATTTTTGTATGTCATGGTCAGTCTGGGTTTCACATACCCAGATAAATATAATTTTTATAGTTTTATACAATATTTGTTACATGAAAAAAATAATTCCTCTCTCTTTCCCCTTGCTAGTCCTATATTTCCCATGATACATATGGTTCCAGTCTTAGCCCGTTTTTTTGTTTGTTTTTTTTTCTCCCTAGTTTGTGTGATCTCTTATCCTGCGTCTGGTAGAAACTATGTTGTTGTTTTTCTTTAGAAGAGTATAAAAACCTTTATAATCTATAATCATAAAACAATTTAAAATCATGTTTTGGAGAATATCCACACAGATTGTATTCTGTATACAGTAAGCATATTAATGCTACAAAGATTGTATTTACATTATTATATTGTAGCTATATTCTGTTGTTGCTTGTGTGTGTGTGTGTGTGAGAGAGAGAGTCTTGCTCTGTTGCCCAAGCTGTAGTGCAGTGGCGCAATCTCGGCTCACTGCAACCTCCATCTCCTGGGTTCAAGCGATTCTCCTCCCTCAGCCTCCCAAGTAACTGGGATTACAGGTGTGTGCCACCATACCCGGCTAACTTTTGTATTTTTAATATAGTAGAGACAAGGTTTCTCCACGTTGGCCAGGCTGGTCTTGAGCTCCTCACCTCAGGCAATCCACCCACCTCGGCCTCCCAAAGTGCTGGCATTACACGTGTGAGCCAGTGTGCCTGGACGTTGCTGTTTATTTATTTATTTAAAAAAATGTTTTAATACTAGCCATTGCTTTTAAGGAACAGAAAACCCCACCACACATTGCATTTGAATAATGTGGTTAGCACTTTCTTGGGGTAGGGTGTAGAATTTTTCCCTGTTAGCCTTGACACGTGAGATTTGATTATTACAATCTTAGCTTAATAACCATACCCAAAGCATGAAGTATCACAGAATTGATATCCAGTAGCAGATGGAAAGGATGGTCCATGAAGGGCTTGAACCATAGAGCTCAGGGAAGACAGGAGCAGGTTATACAGCAGCTTTTTCAGTGGTAAAAAATACCCACATTTGGCCAGGTGCGGTGGCTCACACCTGTAATCCCAGCACTTTGGGAGGCCGAGGTGGGTGGATCATGAGGTGAGGAGATTGAGGCCATCCTGGCTAACACGGTGAAACCCCGTCTCTACTAAAAATACGAAAAATTAGCCAGGCATCATGGAGGGAGCCTATAGTCCCAGCTACTCGGGAGGCTGAGGCAGGAGAATGGTGTGAACCCAGGAGGCGGAGCTTGCAGTGAGCCGAGATCACGCCACTGCACTCCAGCCTGGGCAAGAGAGCGAGACTCCGTCTCAAAAAAAAAAAAGCCAAAAAAACCCACATTTTGGCTGGGAGCAGTGGCTCATGCCTGTAATCCTAGCACTTTGGGAGGCCAAGGTGAGCGGATCACTTAAGCCCAGGAGTTTGAGACCAGCCTGGGCAACATGGTGAAACCCCGACTCTACCAAAAAAAATATATACAAAAATAGCCAGGCATGGTGGCCTGCACCTTTAGTCCCAGCTATTCAGGAGGCTGAAGTGGGAGGATCACTTGAGCCCAGGAGGTAGGGGATACAGTGAGCCAATATTGTGCCACTACACTCCAGCCTGGGCAACAGACCCTGTCTCCAAAAAAAAAAAAAAAAAAAAAAAGCCCTCACATTTTAATGACATTTGTTAGCCATTAAGGTTTAATTTTAGTGGATATTAAGATTTAATGGCATTTGGTGGATATTAAGATATTAAGGTTGCTAAAAGGCCTGTTACTGATTTTCACATCATTCATCTCAGTGCCTAAACAATGTACTCTATGTACTGTTTGCTTAAGTAGTACTTATTAAAGCTGATAATTATAAATACATATATGTTTTATATATATATATATATATATATATATATATATATATATATATACTTTTTTTTTTTTTTTTTTAATTAGGGTCTCACTCTGTTTCCCAGGCTGGAGTGCAGTGGCGCAGTCATAGCGCACTGCAGCCTCAACCTCCCGGGCTCAAGCAGTCCTCCCACATCAGCTTCCCAAGTAGCTGGGACCACACACGTGCATGCCAATTTTTTTTTTTGTGTGTGATGGAGTCTCGTTCTGTCACCCAGGCTGGAGTGCAGTGGCTTGATCTCAGCTCACTGCAACCTCCGCCTCCTGGGTTCAAGCGATTCTCCTGCCTCAGCCTCCTGAGTAGCTGGGATTACTGGAGTGTGCCACCACGCCTGGCTAATTTTTGTATTTTTAGTAGAGGTGGGGTTTTCCCGTGTTGGTCAGGCTGGTCTCAAACTTCTGACCTCGTGATCCATCTGCCTTGGCCTACCAAAGTGCTGGGATTACAGGCGTGAGCCACCGCTCCTGGCCAGTGCACGCCAATTTTTAAAATGTTTATTTCATTTTTATTTTTTGTAGAGATAAGGTCTCACTATGTTGCCCAGGCTGGTCTGGAACTCCTGGGCTCAAGTGATCTCCTACCTTGGCCTCCCAAAGTGCTGGGATTATAGGTGTGAGCCACTGTATCCATTATAATTGATAAATTTATAATTTATAATTTTATAAATATATTATAAATATATTTGGGGGAAGTAATTGATAGTGATAAATAATAAACAACGTTTTTGTTTTTAAAATGAAGCTCTAATCTTTTTTAATAATTGAAAATTATTAAATTATGCTATATTAAAGTATAAAATATAAAATACATACTTTTTTTTGTTTTTTGAGATGGGGTCTTGCTCTGTCGCCAGGCTGGAGTGATCTTGGCTCACTGCAGCCTCTGCCTCCCAGGTTCAAGTAATTCTCCCACCTCAGCCTCCCAAGTAGCTGGGATTACAGGAGTGCACCACCACGCTCGGCTAATTTTTGCATTTTTCATAGAGATGGGATTTCACCATGTTGGCCAGCCTGATCTCGAACTCCTGACCTCAAGTCATCCACCCACCTTGGCCTCCCAAAGAGCTGGGATTACAGGCGTGAGCTACCATGCCTGGCCTAAAATATATACATTCTTTAAAAATAACGGTAAAGTGAAATTTCATATTTTTTCCATATATTTAATAAAGGTGAAGATACGCTTCTATAAAGAAGCCTGACATACTAATTTTAAATGAAAACATATACTTTTTTTTTTTTGTCTATTTCTATTCCTTGAGGAAAAGATAGTCTAGGAAGAAAAAAAGATCTCAGGAAAAATTTTAATTACCAAGTCAGAGAGCTAGGTCTGTCCAGTAACCAAGGCAGATTTCCCACGCCGCCCAAAAGCTCTTTTCATAGATCTCCTCCCTCAGTTATGAGCAGCTTCTATCCTCTGACCTGATAGGCTCCCTATATTTTGTTTTGCCTCAAGGAAGGAAGGTTTATGTAACATATATAGGGCTGCTTTGAAATGTGGGTCTGTTCTGCTCTAGCCCACAATTTTTTCTGTTTATACATCTGTTCTAGAGATGTCATTCAATTAGCAATTATAAATAGCTATCTAAAGCCAAAGAACTAGGCGCCCTTAAAACATAAACTCTGAAAACATTCAGGGAAAGGAAGCCTGAAGGGGTTTAACCTTAACCTTTTCACTATTATTTCCAAAGAAGATAATGTCTTTTAATAGTTGTTTAGCACTTTTATGAAACACATTCATTGTTGCTTAAGGGAAACCTACCGTGGCTTTTTAAAATTTGATTTAAGAATAACTATTCTTAAATTTAAATAGTCAACTATTCTTAAATCAAATTTTTGTATACATTACTGAATTTGCTTAAAAGACATGCCTTAAAGAGGGCAGTGGAAGAAATATAAAGGACAATTTTGAAGCACTCGGGCCCACATGTGTATGCTAATCACCAAAAACTTTAGCCCTTTGGAATCTTGGGAGAGTCTCACATCAGGGAGTGTTTGAATGCATTCTCATTTTATCCTTTGACCAAATTCTCATCCATTCCCATTTTACAGATTGAGGTTTAGAAAGAGTCTATAAAATGATTTGCCCCAAATTCTAGGCTAGTTAGTGACTAGATTTGAAGCCAGGTTTGTCAGATTCTATTGCCTGATTTTTTTTTAAGAGGGAGTCTCGTTGTGTTGCCCAGGCTGGAGTGCAGTGGCGTGATCTCGGCCCACTGCAACCTCCGCCTCCAGGGTTCATGTGATTCTCCCACCTCAGCCTCCTGAATAGCTGGGACTATAGGCACATGCCACCACGCTCGGCTACTTTTTGTATTTTTAGTAGAGACTGGGTTTCACCATGTTGTCCAGGCTGGTCTTAAACTCCTGGCCTCAAGTGATCTGCCCGTCCCGGCCTTCCGAAGTGCTGGGATTACATGTGTGAGCCACAGCACCCAGTCTCCCTGAACTTTTAATAACACTAACACCTTGGCCGAGTGCAGTGGCTCACGCCTGTTATCCCAGCACTTTGGGAGCCGAGGTGGGGGGATTATCTGAGGTCAGGAGTTTAAGACCAGCCTGGCCAACATGGTGAAACTCCATTTCTACTAAAAATACAAAAATTAGCCAGGCATGGTGGCAGGCACCTGTAATCCCAGCTACCTGGGAGGCTGAGTCAGGAGAATCGCTTGAACCAGGAGGTGGAGGTTGCAGTGAGCTGAGATTGTGCCACTGCACTCCAGCCTGGGTGACAGAGCAAGCCTCCGTCACAAAACAAAAAAACACACTACACCTTTAGTTCCACTAGACATTTTTCTTTTCCCTCCCTCCCTCCCTTCTTTCTTTTTCTTTTTGTTTTTTTTTTATTTTTAAATTCTCTTTCTTCCTTTCTTTTCTTTCTTTCCTTCCTTCCCTTTCCTCCCTCCCTTCGTTCTTTCCTTTCTTCCTTCCTCTCTTTTTCTCTCTCTCTTCAGTTGTTTATTGCTGAATTGACTCCTGAATGTGTGAATTAATATGCATACCTGAGAAAATTGAGAATTGCAGTTCTGAGACCAGAAGCAATGGACCTGGTGGACCCAAGAATAGATTATCTGAAGCGTGTCCTATTTTACTTTCTCACTTCTCTTTTCTGTCTAACAACACTGGTGCTCCCTCCCACTCACTTTTTTTTTTTTTAACCTGAGTGATACTGTGAGGCCTTATTAATATTTAAATTGTTATGTATAATTTTTGTTCTTTTTTGTGTGTTTATAGACTATAGTGCATATCATTTTATTCCAGACATCAGGAAATGCTTTAGGGTATGGGATTTTCTTGTGGGTATGAGGAAGAAAGGACAATGGGCTCATTGCCTGCTCAGAGAATTAAGTACAAAGGCGGCCTGAGTCCTGTAATTCTTAATAACTCAGATGACTGAGTCAGGCAGGCCAGAGTTCTGGCCCCAAAGCTAGTGACAACTTGAAAAGTTAGTCATTGACCAGACAATCAACTTGGAGTTTACCTATGAAATCATGATATGGTGAGGATTAAATGGAGAAAAAATGGCTGTAACTGCACTGACTGACTTATAATTGGTGCTCAATAAATAATAGCTGCCATTTTGTTGTTATTGTTCTCTCTTTTCTTTTCCCCCTCAGTCATTTTTGGTTGTCAGTTCTTTCCTTTAAAGTGCTAGTTTGGTTGAGTTAGAATTGATTTCATTATATAGATAATTTTGGAATGTCAGAATACTATATCTGTAATTACATTGGACTAGTCATTAAAAGAAAGTTTAGAATAAGATAATAGAGAATCAGTCTGTAGAATGGCTATTGGGGGAGAACTATTTTTGCATTTTGCTTGTCATTCTTTTTCTATATTGAGTTCATAGATTACTATACAGCAATCTGGGGTGAGTTTGTTTTCTTCATCTGAATGCTTAAGGAAACTTAGGTCCTCCATTTGAACAAATCAATCCCATACATACAATTACTTTACTATCCAGTGTATATAAGAATTCACGGCTGGGCGCCGTGGCTCACACCTGTAATCCCAACACTTTGGGAGGCCAAGGCGGGTGGATCACTTGAGGTCAGGAGTTTGAGACCAGCCTGGCCAACATGGTGAAACCCCGTCTCTACTAAAAATACAGAAATTAGCTGGGTGTGGTGGCGGGCACCTGTAGTACCCAGCTACTTGGGAGGCAGAATCGCTTGAATGTGGGAGGCAGAGATTGCAATAAGCCGAGATCGCGCCACTGTACTCCAGCCTGGGCGAC
This sequence comes from Homo sapiens, assembly GCF_000001405.40. Taxonomy (NCBI): domain Eukaryota; kingdom Metazoa; phylum Chordata; class Mammalia; order Primates; family Hominidae; genus Homo; species Homo sapiens. The sequence goes on along the minus strand of NC_000017.11, from coordinate 51,049,641 downwards.
AGAGTGAGACTCATGGTTCACTGCAGTTTTGATCTCCCTGGCTCAAACGATCTTCCCACCTCAGCCTCCCAAGTAGCTGGTACTACAGGCGCATCCCAAAATACCCAGCTAATTTTTAAAAATTTTTTTGTAGAGACAGGGTCTCCCTGTGTTGCTCAGGTTGGTCTCAAACTCCTGGGCTCAAGCAGTCCTCCCACCTCAGCCTCCCAAAGTGCTGGGATTACAGGCATTAGCTACTGCACCTGACCTCTTTTATTTTTAAAGTGGTTTTTTTTTTTGAGGGGTCTCATTCTGTTGCCCAGGCTGGAGTGCAGTGGCATGATCATAGCTCACAGCAGCCTTGAACTTCTGGGTCCAAGCAGTTCTCCCACTTCTGCCTCCTGAGCAGTAGGGACTATAGGCGAGTGCCTGCTAGTTGTTGTATTTTTTTTTCTAGAGCTGGTGTCTTGCTGTGTTGCCCAGGCTGATCTCAAATTCCTGGCCTCAAGCAAACCTCCTACCTCCCAAAGTGCTGGGATTACAGGCGTGAGCCACTGCAAAGCCTTAATTTAGGCCTTCTAAAACCTTTTGAAAATTTAAATTGAGATTGATTAAGCCTGACAGTCACTTTGTTATATTAGTTTCAGTTTGATTTTTGTTCCTGAAAATTCTTCCTGACACAAGGAAGCTCATTATTTCTGACTTGCTGATAGATGAAAGGTGTATTTCTCCAAAACTGTTGTGTAAATGGTGGTAAAATCTATAAATTTAAAATAAAAAGTATGTCAATTAAAAAATTTTAAGATACTATATTCATGTGATTCTGTTTTCATTCTTTGTGGATAACATTTGTTGTTTGGACTAGTCTTCATTGAGGAACAGTCTGGTTAATTTGTTTTATTTCATGCATCAGAGTTCAGCTTTTTGTTTATTTGATGATAAATAACATCTTAAAATTAACTTACATTTCCTAATATTTGTACATGCCAAATAAAATTTCTACAACAAAAGCAAGCTTTGTAAAGTGAATTTAAACTTTTTAAAAATTTTATTTTGTTACTTAATATGCTACAGTGCATATTTTAAGTTATAAAGAGATTGAAATGCATCTTAATACAGCTAAAGTTTAGTGACTTCCAAAGCTATTCTATGTACAGCGTTAAGAATTCAAGTAATATTCCTTAGGAATGGTGAGAAGGGACATTAAAAAAAAAAAGAATTCAAGTAATATTCCCAAGAAAGACATCAACCTTTGCTTGCCTCTTAATATTTACACCCTTTAAATACTAACACACTATTTCTTGTTTTTTAAAATTCATTTTTTTCTTATTCATATCATGTTAGTATCTCTAGCAAAGGCCTTTTGATTTTATGTCTTAATTCCAAATTTAGGCTTTTTAAAAGTGAAACTATATATTATCAAGAATCAAATAGGACATTAGAAGTTCTTGGCAGTTTATGTACTTTATATTCTTGAAGTTTTTACTTTCTTATTCAGCTTGTCTGTCATATGATTCCTTATCTAAGACTCAAAAAGTATTCTAATTTTTTACATTTGTATTAATTTGCTGCTGTTATAATAGATGATTATACCAAGTAATGATACCAGTAACAGTCAAAGGAGAAAGTATTTTAACATTCTTTCAACTAAATATACCGAAAGAAGAAACTTTTCTTGGTATTAAATTAATTAAATTGAAAGTGATCTTTATTCTGTTAATTCCTTTTAAAATGGAAGAGATCAGCACATAAGGATATGGTTTCTTCAGAAGTTTCACATTAATTTCTTTGTTGTGTCTCATTTTAGTGAATGGCTTTCTCAAATGCCATCTATTATTTTTAACCAATGGTCTTTTATGACTTCTTTCCCAGTGTCTGTTTACTAATTTGTGTTCTTTATATCAATATTATTTTAATAGCATCACATATTGTAAAAAAAGTGGGTTTTTTTTTTTTTTTTGCCATCCTAAGCAAGATATTAGCTACTTTTGTGGACACCAGCATCCTTAAATGTAAGCATTTGCATATTACTTTCCCTTAAAATTTTTTTCATTCCTTAATATTCTCTTACTTGGAATCGAGTAGTCTGATAGATAAGAAAATTGTACCAAAATGTTTTCCTTGTTATAACACTATGATTTTATTCCAGGTATTAGCCTTAAATATTGTGTATTTTTTCTTTCTTTAAAATAGATGATCCATAATTATATGGAACATTTAGAAAGAACAAAACTTCATCAGCTCTCAGGGAGTGATCAACTAGAATCCACAGCTCATAGTAGAATTAGGTAAGCTTTGTTATATATTTTGCCTTGAGAAAAAGTAAAATAAATAATATGTTTGTTTCTGTTTTTCTCTGTTCTTTAATCCTGGAACAATAGTTAGGCTGATTCAAAAAGCTCTCCACTGTGGTTGGAATGCTGCAGGAGAGAATAGCACAGAAAAGTAGAAACGGTTTTTACCATTAAAAAGATAAATTATGAGCCATCCATATAAGCAGCACATTGAGTATTTAGATTGTTTTCTGATACTTGATGGAGATTATACTAGGTTTAAAATTTTGTAATTTATGGGAATGCTGAAATATTTTATTTCTCCCGTGTAATTGGTTTGAAGTCCTTTTTGTTACAGAGAGGCATGTTTGAAAGGGTTAGCTAGCCATCTGTTTGGTGTAGGAGTGTGAATAAATTATGTAGATCTTCAGGCATTGTAGCCAATGAGCTAAGCCAGGACTCTTAGTGGAGGGGAAAATAGTTAATAGGCTGGCTGTCGCTTGGGGTTGCTGCATAAATGCTAGGAGCAGCAGCTCTATGGTTATGAGGTGGGGAGAACGGAATGACGTCATCGCTTGGGAGCTGCTGCAGGATGGAGTGGAAAGCTGCTGCTGATGGCATTGTTTTTGTGGCAGCAAGCTGAATGACAGATCCTCACTACAAAGATACCCCTTTGGCCCCCGTGTAGGCCTCCTTGGTTCGGGTGTTTCACCATGCCAGCACAGCGCCATGAGTCCTGGATGCATGCTGCTGTTTGTGTTTGGCTTTGTTGGCGGGGCGGTGGTCATTAATTCTGCTATCTTAGTATCTCTCTCTGTTTTGCTGCTTGTGCACTTTTCTATTTCTACCGGTGTGCCAGCTCTGACGCAGAACCTACCAAGGATACTCAGGTACTCCCATCTCTCTTAGAAGCCCCTGCTTAGCTGGTTTTTATTAAATTTTTAGCTCAACGGGTCTGCTTTGTAACAATTTCTGTTGCAGATTGAAACAATGGAAAATGGCCTGAAGCTAGGATTTTTGATTCTAATTTATAGTAATTTATAGACCATCAGTTAGGATTATAGCTTTATGTTTGGAAACCACTAACTAAAGAAAAGGATTTTCATATTGTACTTACACACAAGTACAAGGTCAGTGTGGTCTTGTTTTAAGCAGAATGTTCAAAGTAAAAGAAGAGCAAGAGTAGAGCACCGGCTCCAAGTTTATACAACCTCTGCATTTAGCTTCTGAGCATTTAGGGACAAATATCTTTTATGCTTGGACTTGCAGTCAGTTAGATACAGGCCGTAAGCTTATTTTGTTTTAATTATCCTTTGAATGATAGAGTTTCAGGTATCATTTTTGTAATTTTTGATAATAGCTCATGGGAACTGACAATTTAAATATTTTCCTCCTAAAACAAAATATGTTTTAAAGTGAAAAAATTTAAGACTTTTAGGTTAAGGAATGCCTTTTTCCCCATTATTTACACATCAAAGTTGTGAAAGCTTTACAAAGCCTATTCACTATTGTTTTGTCAGATGTTGCCCTTTCTTTTCTTTGTAGTCTTGGGTGACAAATATCCATGCCTGCTTGTGGGGGTAGTCATTAATCTCTGTAGCTTTACTGTTGCTCACTCTACTTACACCCTGTAAGAGCCATCTTCTGTATTTTAGAGGCTTAAGGTTGTGGTTTCTTTTGTTTTCTAAACCGTCAGACTAGCAGTCTCTGATTTGTTCAGATTTCTGCTTTGTGCATGGTTTTAAATGAAAGTTCATAGTATATAGTTTTTATTTATTATTTAAATGTTTATAAAATATTTAAACCCTAATTGTAGATTTAGATAAATTAAGAAGAATTAAAGTAGTAACTTCCCTTAATGTGTTTCTTTTTATTCATAGGTCAGTTCAAGTTTAATATTAGTTGAAAGCCCAGAAATTAAATTTCATCAATGACTTAAAACTAGATACTTGGTCTTTTATTTTCTTTCCTGATTTATAAAAATTGGGAATAATCTTACTACTTGTATATATATTAGTACATAAAATATTTGTGTACGTGTATCTGTATATTTAGGCTTTGAAGAAATTAAAAGCAACTGAACTTAAGAATATGTAGAATATTAATATAAGACTAATGTTAAGGGGATGTCTTGGGTTTAGGCTTCATTTGAGAGGGCAGTGCCGTGAGCTGCTGTGCGGCGCCTGCAAGTGGGTACAACAAGGCTTTGGAATTGAACTGCCTGGGTGCAAATGCTCTATTGCACGTGGCCGTAGGAGCTTTGGCAAGTTGCTTAATCTCTCTGCCTGAGTTTTCTCTCCTGATGGGACTTACCCCGTTGGGTGGTTTTAAAAATCAAGTGATTTTATTATTTTGTATTTAATTATAGTTGTAAGATATATGGTAAATTACTTGAGTAAATAATTTTCAGTTACTTATATGTGTCCATTTTTAGCAGAAATTGTTTTAGCTACAGCTAAAATACCTTATAATTAAAATTTTAAAGTTCTTTACCACAAAAATTGCTACTGATCTGATTAAATAAAGATATCAAAGTCTTTGATATTAAGATTAAATTGTCAAAAAGTTGGTAGTTCCAAGTAGGAAGTTCCAAGGAAAGCAAAGGGCTTGGAATTGAACAGTACTGGCTTTGAATCGAAACTCTGCCAATTACTAGTGCCTAAAATCTCTGAGCATCACTTTTCCTACTCTGAAAAATTGGAAAAATAATCCCTGTTTCTTGATAAGGATTAAATGCGATAATGTAAATAAGTCATCTAGCTCAGTACCCACCACGTGGTGAGTGTTCAACAAATGTACTTTTTCTTTTATCTGCCTTTATATATAAAGCAGATTTTACTAATTAGTTGTATCAAATGTGAATATAGCCAAAAAGCTGTTCCAAAAATGTAGTTGTAAAATTATTTATATACATAAGCTAACATTTAATAACCAACTCAAAAATGGATATATGGAAGTAGGGCAATTAAGAAAAAAGAATTCTGATAGTTGTTGATAGCTTCGTTTTCTAGACAAGTAATAGCAGATGTTTTGGTCTGCAGGTATAAATCTGCCACTTGATAGTTTTCCACGTGTATCTCATTTTTTTCCTTCTTCTGTGAGTTTGAAGCATTTAATGCATGCCAACATAGTACTGGACTAATGTTTACCTTTCAGGGTTTCTTTTCAAAAGTAGGATTCTCATGAACTTGCCTAATTATGCGTCCTTCTCTCCCTTACCCCAACTGTATGTAATTTGTAAGTAAAGTAAGGGGAGGAGTATGTAGTAATTATTTTTTCAGAGTTGGAACATTGTAACCTAGAGCATCATTGACCCACTTGACAGATAGCTGTCAGTCTCTGAAGAGATCTCCCCTCCCTGTAGAGTAGTTTCTGAATGATTGATACAAGCAAATTAAAAAGGTGGGAATTCTATTTGCAATTTGGGTTGTAGATTTTGTTGACTGTTGATTGTAGATTTTGTCAACTGATTTTGTTTACTTTTTGGAAAGTAAAATTTGGATTCATAGAAGACTCCCTCCCCCAATAGTTTTAAACTTTTTCAATATTTGTTATGTGTGAAAATGAATGGCTTATATTTTGATTTCTATTAGTGTGAGGGAGTCTTATGAAGTCTGTATATCATCTTCCTGGTTGTCTTTGCATTTTGAGTTAGAGAGCTTTCCATTATATTCAGTCATTAAATTCCCAGTCACCTTTTGCTTAACTCATTAAGGTATGTTAGAAAATAAATAAAAGTCAGCTAGTAGCTCTTAGTCCCCTTGGATTTTCGGTTCACAAAATATGGGGGGAAAACATCAGATTGACAACTTTTTATTTTGTCCAGAATGAATATGAAAAGGAAATCTAGCTACTTATCACTGTCACCATCATTTAATGAAAGAAAGGGCATTTTAAAATCAAAGAAGAAGAAAAGATGTAATTTAAAATAAGGGTCAGTCATTTTCAAGAAAGAACAGGGTTCTATAGTATATGGGAATGTGTATGTGTACAATAGGTACTATATTATCTATGCACTAAGGAAATAATAAATAACGCCTCTTTTTTCATGGACTTATTATAAAAACTTTGTTGCTGAACAGCATTTGGGAATAACTGGTGTAAACATGGTAGCTGACTAGTCACTTTAATTTTTGTCATTTGGTTGTCCCGGCAGCTCATAGTCGCAAACTTAGATTTGGTGTTAAAATTTACCCTCTTGGCCAGGTGTGGTGGCTCACACCTGTAATCCTAGCACTTTGGGAGGCCGAAGCAGGCAGATCATGTGAGGTCAGGAGTTCAAGACCAGCCTGGCCAACATGGTGAAACCTTGTCTCTACTACAAATACAAAAATTAGCCAGACGTGGTGGTAATGCCTGTAATCCCAGCTACTTGGGAGGCTGAGGCAGGAGAATTGCTTGAACCTGGGAGGCAGAGCTTGCAGTGAGCCGAGATCGTCCCACTGTACTTCAGTCTGGGCAACACAGCAAGACACAAACAAACAAAAACTACCCTCTTATTGTACTGCCTTCCTGCTTTTGAATTTTCCCCCTAAATCAAAGTTCTGTTTTTAAATTTTATTTCCTTGTGCATACAACTTTGACTAAATGTAGTCTCTCAACCCCTTTGCTTCACCTCATTTTTAAGAAGGCATTGGGATAGTTTTACTAGTCCTTTTAGATTGTTAGGAATGGAAGAACACACCCTTTGTATTAAGTGAAGACACATTTCAAAAGTGGCTGAAGTTTCTTGGAATAAAAATGAACTACAGAATTAAAGACTTACTTAGCAAAACTGAAATTTTCCCACTTTAATTAATGAGCTCATTGTTTTTATTCTAACTTACATTCTTACCAGTAGAGGTAGGAATTCCAGGAGGCACCAAACCTTTAGTGTATCATTTCTTTCTAGTTTCTACACTTTTGAGTTAATGACCCAGGATGACCCGTTAGTAGGCTTGTTTCCACCCTCTAAAAGCTCTTCGATTTGGAATCTTGTGTGCATCAACAAAGGATGTGTTTCTCGTTGAAATTCTGTTAGTATTAAAATTGTAACTCTTGTTCATTGAAACTTCTCACAAAGCATTGGAAATTCAGTAATCTTTTATAGAATTATTTGACCTTCTTATTTGGAAAAAACCGACAATGGTTTTCTCATATGTACTGTGCTTGAAAGGAACTCATATAGTGGTTCTGTAGAAAAACAGAGCTTTCTTACTTGGGTGGTGGGGAGAAAGATATTTTGAGTTCTTTTCATCATTTAATAGGTAGCCCTGATTTAGATAATATATTGATTTTCCTCTAGGCAGGAAAGTCATACCCTGAAGAAGCTTCAGTAAACATCCAGGGATTAGCGAGAGGATTTGGGAAGAAATGGGTTGGATTCACTTCCAAAGAAGGAGGTTGCAAGTTCCCTAGGGCTAAGCTACGTATGGTTAAAAACCCAGCAGCAGCTCTTCTCCAGACCACACTAGACCACTGACTGCTTCTTGGGCAAGGAACTCGTCAGTAACTTTTAAGATTTCCTTAACCCTTCTTACCACTTTTCTTAGTTGATTTCTTGAGGCTAATTTCCTGAGGCTAACTAAACTGAGACTGTCCTTCCTCTTTGGTAAGTCTGTTTTATTCAGATGGGCAGACAGTGTCATTTTTGAGTGATGGTTGTAAAACAGTGGCAGTCCAGGCTTATTACTTATAGTCATGGCAAATAAAAAGTCAAAATAAATGAATGCCGAATTTTTTCTCCCCTCTTCAAATAGAAAAGAACGCCCTATATCATTAGGAATTTTCCCATTACCTGCTGGAGATGGATTGCTTACACCTGATGCTCAGAAAGGAGGAGAGACCCCTGGATCTGAGCAATGGAAATTTCAGGAATTAAGTCAACCACGTTCTCATACCAGCCTGAAGGTAAGCTTTATGCTGCTGAAATTGTGTCAGTTTATATTTCATAAACTTTCTTATCCTAATTGAAGTGCTAGACGACCACAGTATAGTAAAATGTAATTGTTTGTATACATTTAGTTTGTAAAATTGGTTTTTTAAATTGGAAATGAGCTCTTACCAAAGAGTGTGTTTTTTACTATTTTATTTCAAATTATATAGGAAAAAAAGTGAAGCATTATATCATCTTGATTAGTATACTAATGACAAAAATTAATTTCTATTTGATTTAGGCTATATGAGTTTAGAGTAGGGTAACTAGTGAACCTAATTATATTAGAATTGAAAATCGCTATTACCAGAAAGTCTTGGTTCATGTTAGAGGCTTTCCAATTTAGTAGGGTTTCACTTACAGAAAAACAAAACAAAACAAACACACTGTTCCTTCTTTAAAACCGCTTCATAGAGCAGTCTACAAAAATGCATTATGTTTAGCTAAAAAGGCGTGGTGTAAATTAATTATAGATATGTTCTTGACCAAGAACTTGTCATCAAATAAGTGATAAATATAAACAATAATATATGCTGAGTGGATATAAGCTAATAATTAACTTTTAAGAATATTTGAAGTTCTGTATCTTTTAAAATGAAATATTCATCATATTGATTATAAAAGATCTTTTGTTACCTTATAAAATCAACTCATCATGAAACAGGCCACCTGCAATGAGTAGAAATGAGTTACATGTATCTTATTTCCTTTTCCTGCTTTATTTTTCTCCATAATACTTATCATGGTCTAAGCATGTAAAGATAGCTCTTAACAATGCTTCTAAAATACTGTCATTTACTGTATTTAGTTGCCTCTAGACTCTTCCCTAAGAACATAAATTCTATGAGGTTTATTTACTGCTGTATCCCCCAGCACTTGGAAAAGTGCCTAGCACATTATAGGTACTCAGAACATGTTTGTTGAGTGAATGATTTGTTTTAGATGTTAGAAGGAATCTTTGGGGACAATATAAGTGGTCTTTCTCTCAACTCTAGAATGTAGAGGCATTCAGAATCATTCTATTGACCTTTGAAATGTGCTCAAAACAGTAAGCAGTTGATAAATATTTGATAGCTTTTCTCCCACTGAAAATCATTTTTAACAATAGGGGTTACCTTACCTTTTCTCCCTTCTTGCCCCAATTTGTTAGAAGCTAATAGTGCTCAGTATTAGCCCACAGTGATGTTACTGGGCAACTCGCTCGCTCTCACTTTTTTTTTTTTTTTTTTGAGACAGAGTCTTGCTGTGTCGCTCAGGCTGGAGTGCAGTGGTGAGATCTCAGCTCATTTCAACCTTGGCTCACTGCATCCTCCTCCTGGGTTCAAGCAATTCTCCTGTCTCAGCTTCCCAAGTAGCTGGGATTACAGCACCCACCACCACACCTGGCTAATTTTTGTATTTTTAATAGAGACAGAGTTTCACCATGTTGGTCAGGCTGACCTCGAACTCCTGACCTCAGGTGATCCACCCGCCTCAGCCTCCCAAAGTGCTGGAATTACAGGCGTGAGCCACTGCGCCTGGCTGCAACTCTCTCTTTCTTTACTTCTGTACCACAATGGGTCTTTTAGCCTTCCTGCAGGTTTAATAGATTTTCCAAAACACTCATCTCTCAATTGCCTACTTGCTGTGTGTGCTTTCCCAAAACAAAAGTAGGAGGGATACTTTTAGTACAAAAAAAAGTATCCCATATGGTAACTATATTTTAATACTACCCAAAAGTGCGCCTTAAGAGATTATTATAATTCTCTTTATTTTTTACTCCACTGATAGGCTATGCCAGAACTTTATTGACAACTTATAAACCGATTAACAAATTATTAGTATAGACTTAAGCAGAGGAGTTTCTCGTGTCCTCCCTAGAGGAGGACTTGCCTTAGTATAAGGCAGGTACTCACCAGAGAGTTTCTAAAACAAAACCCTGTCTCTCTCTACTTGGTCTGGAACTGGAGCCACCGAATGAGATAAAGACTCAATGAATAAGGATTTCCAGGAATGGGGTGGTGCTTACAAAATGGCAAAAGTCTAGTTTGTAAATCATGTTACTAGTTGGGATGTACAGTATTTTATTTTTCACCTAAGCCCTTGTCGTTCACTAGATAACTTTCTACTTTACCAGGGCTGGAAGTCAGGGGTTTAGGATTCACTTGTGGGCTATGCCACAGGTATGTCACATGCCCTGTCATTTTGGTTTCTGTGTATAACAGGAATTGGACTAGACTCTAATTTAAAATATCATTTCCCCTGAGATTGAGGATGACCTAGCCATCTTAGGGCATGTTTTGACTTCATTATGAAAAAATGGAAGGTGTAAATTTATAATTAATGTTAGTGTTACTACCACAATTTTTCTGTGAAGTAAGGTTAAGGTGAAAATTTCCTGTGAGAGAACGACAGAAAACTTTGTGGCAGAATAGCAGCAGATAAGGGGATTTGCCAGTGATTGTAAAGTTATGGGCCTTCTTTGTTGGTGTATTACAAATTTCTCACTGTGAGAGACCTGTGGTGAGTGAGGTTGTAAATAATCTAATAGATTTTCTAGGAATGATGCACCTAGAAAAATGTACAAGTTCTTAAAAAGAAATATTTGTACATATTCTTGATTTATCACAATCTCATGGAGATCGACAAACAAGTAAACAAATAAATGAAATAATAGAACTTCAAGTATTGTTAAAGCAAGGTAAGCTAAAGAGTAATTAGTAAGGATGGGTACTCATTTTAGGGTATGAGAGAAAGCCTCTGGAAGATGACTTTCATCCTGACATGGGGATGTGCAGGTGCATGGAAAGGTCTGGAGGAGTACGTGTTGAGGAAGATGAGATGGCAATTGTGAAGGCCCTGAAGTGGGGAAGCACTTCAGCATGTTTAAGTGGTGGTTTTCTCTTCATCACACTCAGACTTTCAGTCCTACCTACTGCACCAACATGCCTTCTGTCAAGGGTGCCAAAAGAATCCATCGTTCCAAATATAATGGAAAATTCTCAGTCCTCATCTTACCTTTTAGTAGCATTTATATATTTCAATATATTCAGCTTCTTGAAATACTTCCTTCAGTTTTCTTCCAGGATTCCCCATGGCAAACACACACTGATTTTCTTCACCATTCCTTCTCCATTGCTGGTTTCTCTTCTGCTTTTGGACCTCTAAATGTTGGGGTACTCGTCAGCCCTTCTTTTTACTTAATCTGGGTAGATCAAATTCCATGTCTGTAAATGCCATCTATGCATCAGTGCTCACAAATTTGAATCTACAACTCATATCTCTTCCCTGGACTCTAGACCTCTGCATCTAATTGCTTTTCTTTATAGTTTCCTCACATACATATGCTTTACCTTGCCTAGATTACCACTAGTAAAAATACCCTAATTCAAGGCCAGTGCAAATACCACAGTTTACATGTAGTCTCACTAACGCCCTAGAGACTAACACCCTGTTGATTGTCCTCAAATCGAGTTTGGAGATCAGTTCAAGAAGAAAGCAGAGGAGTTTTGTATTGCTTCATTAACAGGAATTTCGTACCGGGGGACTTCTAGTGAAATTGATAAAAAGAAACTCCTTATATTAAATTATCAAAGCTGTTGCGTTAAAGAGCATATTATAAAAGTGCTATAGGCTGGACAGGTGGCTCGTGCTTGTAGTCTGAGTACTTTGGGAGGCCAAGGCAGGAGGATCACTTGAGTCCAGGAGTTCAAAACCAGCCTGGGCAACGTAGTGGGACTCCGTCTCTTTTTCCTTTTTTTAAAAAAATGTTTATACACACACACACACACACACACACACACACACACACTATATATATATATATATATAAAACACATATATTTACTTATTTTATTTATATATATAATTTTTTTTTTTTATTTGAGATGGAGTCTAGCTTTGTCCCCCAGGCTGGAGTGCAATGGTGCAATCTCGGCTCACTGCAACCTCCACCTCCCAGGTTCAAGTGATTCTCCTGCCTCAGCCTTCCAAGTAGCTGGGATTACAGACGTCCACCACCGTGCCTGGCTAATTTTTGTGTTTTTAGTAGAGACGAGGTTTTGCCATGTTGGCCAGGCTCTTGACCTCAAGTGATCCACCTGCCTCAGCCTCCCAAAGTCCTGGGACTACAGGCTTGAGCCACCGCGCCCGGCCTATTTTTTATGTATTTTTAAAATTTATTCCTCTAGTGTCAAGCGACTCTGTCTCTACAAAATATTTAAAAATCAGCTGGGCATGGTGGTGTGCGCCTCTAGTCACTGCTACTCAGGAGGCACAGGCAGGAGGATCAACTTGAGCCTGGGAGGCTGAGGCTATAGTGAGCCATGATCATGCCACTGCACTGCAGCCTGGGTGACAAAGTCCTTGTCTCAAGAAAAATAATGAATAATAATAGTAATAGTCATGGGCTAAGACTGAGAATGGACAAAATGTTAAGGTGAGACAGTTAATCTTACTGAATTATATTCACAAAGAAGCTACAAATGAAGGAATTGGAAAACAAAAGGCCAAGTATAACCAAGACAGTCCTGAAGAACAGTAAGTATAAGAACTTGCTCTACCAGGTATTAAGATTTACTATAAAGCGTAATTATTAAGGTGGTATAGTATTGCTTCATCTTCCCTTTCTCTTTCCTTTCTGCACAATTTAGTTCTAAAGCCACCAGGCAGGGCAGAGGAAGGTAAGGCTTTCCATGGTGCTTAGGAGCAGGGGTGGGGTTGTTATCATAACCTAAGCAAAGTTACAAGGGTAATCCATATGGGGTAGCCTGGTGTAGAGAGTCAGGGCCCCAGCAACATTAAGGACATCCCTGCAGGATGGCAGCCAGGCTTGGGGGTACAAGACCCTAAACAGGATGATGAGAGCCTCCCCAAGGAGAGGTCCCAGGTATAGAGTGTCAGAGCCTGAGCAGATGAGGAAGGCAGCATCTGTGTGTGGTAGGGGGAGAGGGGGCTGGAGTGGAGAAGAAAGAAGATGCATGGGAAAAGAAGGGCATTAGTGGAGGGCTGTAGTGGCAGAGAAGAGAGACCGTAAGAGACTTGAGCGCTGAAAGTCGAGGCACAAAGGGAGTTTTAGAATGGAAGAAGATGTCAGCAGGGTCAGCTGGTGTGGGGAAGTCAAGTAGAATGAGGACTGAATTTGTAAATTTATAGGTGTAGATTTGAGCAGTTTAAGTTGTAGGGCCAGTAACAGGAGTAACTGTAAATCATAAAAAGAGGAAATAACATGTGTAGACTACTCAAAATGGTGATTGTGGTGGGAGGAGAGAAAAAGGATAACTTGAGGTGGAGATTGGCAGAGCAGAGGGAAAAGTATAGAATGGGAGAGACTGGGTTGTTGCTATGCTTACAAGAAGGGTTCAATAGAGAGAAAAATTGAAGACAAGGGAGTGAAGAAAGATAATTGATGTATCAGAATCTTAGAAGAAGGGCAGAGGGGAAGGGATCACATATCCCAGCTGCAATTCAGATCTCCTTCGTTGCTGAGACAGCTTCATTTTTCCTAGTCTTTTGCTGTTACAAATAATACTGTGGTAAATAACCATCCAAGGCCTAGAAAGCATCATGAAAATTATATGGCTGGCATAGAACATGCACACACATGTATGCATGTGTATACATATGTACTCCAAAAAAGTATTTTTTTCTTTGAAGAGCATCCTTGGTTGTTGATTATTAGTAGAATGTGACCTTTAGATCTGAGAAAAGCAATTTTAACTAACTAAACCAATTGGATAGACACCTACTTGTGAAAATTTTAGAGAGTTCTCATAAAATCACATGACTTGTGATACTTTAGTAAACTGCTGTGAGAAGCTCTTGTTAGCAGAGTTTGGTATGTAAAGCCAGTCAATGTGTGCTGCATTCTTCAGGGGATGTGCTTAGCATGCAGAACAGGAAATGTCTAAACAGAGCCAGCATTCTTGTTGAGAGAATTTTCCATCCTCCTCCATTTGTGGTTAAGTTCTGAAATTGTTCCTATTTCTTTAGTTTCTACAAGCTTTAATCTCTATAGTAGTTGAATCATATCTATTGTTATTTGCAATTCCTATTATAAAATGCATATGTAATTTAAAAAGTTAAAGTTCGCAGTTTTAAATAACTTTTTTGAAGTAATTTTAGACTTACAGAAAAGTTGCAAAAATAGTGCAGAGTTCCATATACCCTTCACGCAGCATCCCCTGATGTTAACTAACCATAATACAATCATCAAAGCTATGAAATTAACTTTGGTACAATACTGTTAGGTAAACCTGTATTCGAGTTTTACCAGTTTTTCCACTAATATCCTTTTTCCCTTCCAGAATCCAGCCCAGGATCCCATATTGCTTTTTTAAAAAAAATTTTTATTACAGACAGGGCCTCACTATGTTGCCCAGGTTGGTCTCAAACTCCTGGCCTCAGGTAATCCTCCTGTCTCAGTCTGCCAAAGTGCAGGGATTATAGGCATGAACCAGCACACCTGGCTTCCACATTGCCTTTGTACATTATGTCTCGCCAGTGTTCCCAGTGTGTAACAGTTCCTCAGTCTTGTCTTGTCTTTCATGACCTTGAGACTTTTGAAGAGTACTGGTTAGTTGTTTTGTAGAATGTCTCTCCCTTTGGGCTTCTCTGATTTCTCATTATTAGATTGAGGTTATGTATTTTTGGCGAGAATATAACAGAATCTAGTATCTTGGTGTGGATATACTTTGAGACTGTGCAGATACCCTGTTTCTGCTCAAACTTTCATTCACTGATTTTAGCATCCACAGTGGATTTTGCCTACAACAATTATTAGTAAAATATTGCTAATAGTTATTTTCTATTTTCTTCATTCTACATTTATTAATTGGAATTCTTCTATCAGGGAGAGTTGTCTTCTTCCCTCCTTCCCTCCAGTCCAGTTTGAATTCAAGGGATATATACATATATTATTCTGTGGGCTATGCGAACCTATCATTTCTTTGGTTTCTCAAATTTTTCTAGCTTTGGACATTGAGAGCTCTTTCAGGTTGGCTCCTGTGCTCTTTTGACATACCCCATCCTTTTTTGAATGCTTTCTTCCTTATTGGCACCATAAGATGCTCTAAGCTGTTGTATTTTCCCTGCCCCACTCTTAAAAATTGGACTACTTCTCAAAGGAGCTCTGGCACATTTTTTGGGAGAAGTGTATTTAGGAACCAAGATCTAGGCATTATTCATTCATTTACTTCTGGTTTGGGTTTTTCCATTAGTTTATACCTCCTTTATAGAATTTTGTATTAGTGTGCCTACTAGGGTAAAATAAAAGTAGAGTTTTAAGAAAAAAATGGATTATGTGTTGTAATATTTCATATTGTTTTGTTTATGACAGTGGATAAGGAATTTGTTCTATAAACTCAATTTTTGCTTATAAGCTTTTTTCCTCACATATATCTTCATGTGATAACTTTAGGAACCACCTATAGGTGACTGTTAGGGTTTGGAAGGAAAAAAAGGGTAAAGATTCTATTGTGTTGTATGTTGACCAAGATGCCTATTATGTATGTTGAGAATAGAAACTGATAAAGATGTAAATAAGCAGCACTTTCAAAATGGCGGTGTTTAAAGCTTGTATTTTAAATGTGACTTCATCTGAGGTAATTGGCACATAGGTATTTATTAATACTTACATTTACTGTTTAAACAGACTTTTAGAATAGGAGAAGTTGTTTAACATTTTCTACTGAAAAAATTACCTTTTTCACTCAAAAAAATTTATTGATGCTCACTGTGTTAGGCACAATGCCATGTACTAGAAATGTTGTTAAGGTGCTCAGAGGTCCAAATATTTTCTAAAAGAGGCCTTTATAATTTCTTTTAAAAAGTTATTTTACTACTCAGGAGGCTGAGGTGAGAAGACTGCTTGAAGCCACGAATTCCAGGTTGCAGTTCACTGTAATGGTACCTGTGAATAGCCACGGCACTTCAGCCTGGGCAATATCGCAAGATCCTGTGTCTAAAAAATTATATTAATTCAGTTTCACAATTTTTAGTAATACTGAAGAATGTGGAGTAGGAATGGGAAGTTTCTTCAACCCTAAATTTCATTTTTTCCCCCAGTCATTGTAAATAGTTGATGTATCCTTGGCCTTTTTCTTTACAGGTGCACATAGATATAATATCTTTTTAAGATAAGTGGGTTTATAAGTGTTTTCCTGCTGCTTGCTTTTTTTTTTTTTTTTCATTTAATGACATAGCTTGACAATCTTTCTACTTTTATATAGAGAGAGCTACCCAAGTTTTTACCTAGTTTTTGATGAAGAGAATGATTAAAGATGATGAGAATCTAGAATCAAAGATCTTATAAATAAACATTAAGTGCTCTTACCACCAAAAAAAGTATGACGTGCTAGATATGTTTATTGGCTTGACTGTGGTGATTGTTTCACAATGTGTATTAAAAAAATCACCTTAACTATATGCTGTATTTGTCAGTTATATCTCAATAAAGCTAGGGGAAAAAAAAAAACCACATCTGTTAAAGAAGAGGCAGTCTGATTCCTACAAAGTGAATCATGCCTTGTTAATCTGTGTATTTTGTATTTTTTATTTTTTTTTGAGATGGAGTTTCGCTCTTGTTGCCCAGGATGTAGTGCAATGGCGTGATCTCGGCTCACTGCAACCTCCTCCTCCTGGGTTCAAGCGATTCTCCTGCCTCAGCCTCCAGAGCAGCTGGGATTACAGGAGCCCGCCACAACGCCCAGCTAGTTTTGTATTTTTAGTAGAGACAAGTTTCTCCATGTTGGTCAGGCTGGCCTTGGACTCCCGACCTCAGGTGATCCACCTGCCTTAGCCTCCCAAAGTGCTGGGATTACAGGTGTGTGCCACTGCGGCCGGCCTAATCTGTGTATTTTTAAGGGCATAACTGAGAGCTAGCAGCCTTTCAAAAAGACTTTGATGAATTTCCAGACCAAGAGTATTTGAAACTGTTGCTTTGTATTTAAGAGAAACACATCCGTCTCATAGAGGGAAAATGTATAGATAGAAATAAAGAATATGAATAAATAGATTTTTATGAAAAAGGATTTGGGACTGGGCACATGGCTCATGCCTGTAATCCCAGCACTTTGGGAGGCCAAGGAAGATGGATCACTTGAGCCCAGGAGTTCAAGACCAGCCTGGGCAACAAGGCGATACCAAATCTCTACTAAAAATACAAAAATTTATCCAGGCATGGTGGGGTACACTTGTAGTCCCAGCTACTTGGGAGGCTGAGGTGGGAGAATCACCTGAATCCTGCGAAGTTGAGGCTGCAGCAAGCCGTGATCGTGTCACTGCACTCCAGCCTGGACGACAGGAGTGAGACCGTGTCTCAAAAAAAATAAGAAAAAGGATTTGGATTTTGGTGATCCTTTGATCATTAGTGTTATCTAACTAATTCAGAAATGATAGAAGGAGGTGTGATAAACATTTCTGAGTATGCTGCACTGGATTATTAGCATGTTAAATAGTCAAAGGGACTGGAATAAACATCAGGAAGATTTCATAAAGTGGTGTAAGTAGAAAAAAAAGGTTAAACAATGAGCTGCATGTTGATAAGTATAAGACACTGATCCAAGTGGTGGCTTCTGAACCATGATATTACTTAAACTAGAGTGTTAAGGTCAGCTTAAGTCAAAATAAAACAAAGCTTCCAAACCCTCATTTTAAACACAGTAGATAATAGATGAATCTTGTATCTTGGGAGATAGTACAAGCCAAAGTTACAGCTGTGTTAAAACCTAGTAAACACATAATTTTTTTCTCTTTTATAATCTTCCCTCTTCCTAGGTCAGCAATAGTCCTGAACCTCAGAAGGCTGTAGAACAGGAGGTGAGAATGGTGCTTCTTAACATTTTGCAAAAAGTATACTAAAGTGATTAACTATTGATTACTTCCTCAACTGCTATTCTCAAGACATCAGATGCTCAGCTTGGAAGACTATTGTTGTAATTCACTGAAATATAAAAGAAAATTATTTCCACTGTAGTGGTTGTCAGGGCTTTACTGCAATCTGTAATTTATTCCTTCCCCAAAGTAAGCATTTTTAAATAAAGGAAAGAAAATATAAGTAAATTCTGTGAAATTCAGCCTGTTTGCATTTATCCAGCTCTATGTAATGGTATACTTTCCAGAAATACCTTCTTCAGGGCATAATGTATGTAACTTGTATTTGTCCTGAATGTGGCCTAGTGTGTCATCTTACAGTGGACTGCTTCCTTAGTTTAATAGAGTTCTTCATCTCCAGTCAGGGCACCATCCAGCTTTATTCATCAAACATCTGTTAAGAGCCTACTACAGGCCAGGTGTGGTGGCTCATGCCTGAAATCCCAGCACTCTGCCCAGGCAGGCGGATCACTTGGTCAGGAGTAGGAGTTCAAGACCAGCATGGCCAGTATGGTGAAATCTTGTCTCTACTAAAAATACAAAAATCAGCCAGGCATGGTGGCAGACACCTGTAATCCCAGGTACTTAGGAGTCTGAGGCAGGAGAATTGCTTGAACCCGGGAGGTGGAGGTTGCAGTGAGCTAAGATGGTGCCACTGCCTTCCAGCCTGGGCAACACAGCGAGACTCCATCTCAAAAAAAAAAAAAAAAAAAGCCTGCTACATGTCAGGCTTGATATGCTGGGCACTGGGGATAACAGGATATCTGTGACTTTCTCCTACGTGCTAGGTCAGGGGTTGACCTGGGTCCATGGAAGCCCTCTAGCATCAACAGTGAAACAGTATCCTCTTCCTTTGAAATATACTCAGAGTTAGGACATTCATACCTTTCCTTTAATAATTTGAATTCTCTTGAAGCTACCATTCTGTTTACACTTAGATGGATTTTACCTAAATGTGAGTATCTAGAGTTAAGGTTTTTAGTGTTTCCTTTGGGTCACAGACTCTTAGGAGTCAAATTATTTGAAACTCTCCAGAAGAATGTATGTACACACCATTTTGTAACTCTTTTATGCCACATAGCTGTAAATCAAAAGAGTTTTAAGAACCAATGCTTTAGAGACTTACTTTTACTTGGGGAGAAAGAAATGTAGGTATAAAAGTATATTTGTGTTAATAGTGAGGGATCCTATGTGGGGCTAGTTACTTGTTTGTAGTTTTGTCTTTATTTTCATTTGGCTTAAAACCCTCAAATCTAAGAGACAAACTTAGGTAGCAGAGTTGCTTGCCTTTATATGACTTATTTCAGAAGTTAGGCTACTCAGGAAAACACTACATTGGCATGTAGTGTCTGTAAGTTGAACTGAATGGGATAATTCATTTTCTCTAGTTGTAAACATAGTTTATAGTCTGTTAGAAAATAGTTATGCTGCAATGCCAGATAATCCATGACATATATATTCTGTATAGCACTAAGCACATGGTGCATTTGGTAAATGGAACAACTGAAAATATTTTGAAGAGCTTATAGACTTTTAGCCTGATATTTAAAACCCATAAGAAAATGGCACAAAGACCAGATTGCTTTTACTGCAGTATCTCAAGTGAAACTGAAAGTAATGACGTTTATTTTGTGTGTGTGGTAAAAACACATAAAAATTACCATCTTATGACCTCTGATGTGGTCTCCACAGGGAGGAAAAAAATGACCATTTTAACCATTTTTAAGTATATAGTTCAATAGTGTAAGTATACAGTTCAATAGTGTTATGTATATTCATATTATTGTAAAACAGCACCAGAGCTTTTTCATCTTGCAAATCTAAAACTCTGCACTCATTAAATAATAACTTCCTTTCCAACTACTGTAGCCCCGGAAACTACCATTTTACTTTATGTTTCTATGAATTTGATGTCACATATTAAATACCGCACATAAATAGAATTATGTAGTGTTTGTCTTTTTGAGACTGGCTTATTTCATTTAGCATAATGTCCTCAAGGTTCATTCATGTTATAGCATGTGACAGAATTCCCTTCCTTTTTAAGGCTGAGTAATATTTATTTGATTGTATGTGTACACCATATTTTGTTTATTTATTTGTTAATGGACATTTGGGTTGGTTTCACCTTATGGCTGTTACGAATAATGCTTTTGTGAATACATACCCAGAAGTGAGATTGCTGGATGATATGGTAGTTCTATTTTTAATGTTTTTAGGAACTTTCATACTGTTTTCCAGAGTGGTTGCATCATTTTACAATCCTACCAACAATGCACAAGTGTCTAATGTATTCACATCCTCTTTTTCTTGATAGTGGTCATCCTGATGGGGGCCAGGTGATGATATCTCATTGTGGTTTTGATTTGCATTTCTCCAGTGATTAGTGGTGTTGATCATCATTTTATATGCTTTTTGGCCATTTGTGTTACATCTATTTTTTTTCAAAGCACAATTTAAATATGCACAGACATGCCATTCTTTTATATGCACTTCCAAATCTTGTACTAGCTTTTTGTGAACATTCTCTAGTGACATGTACACCTATGATGTGGCAGTTCCCTAAAGGCTCTAAAGGGGAAAATGGGGCTATAAAATAAATATGTTAGAAAGAGACTTGATGACTGCGTAAGTCTCCATGTTTGCCACCACTCATGCCATTGAAAAAGATATCTTAATGATGTCAGACAATAGGATTTGATAGGCTAGTGGTCATTTGCAGTCAAGAGTATTAGCCAAAACAGCACAACCTGGCAAGTGACCTGTAAAGTCTAATATAAAATAGGAATTTGCAGTGTCAAGAAGCCACAGATTGAATGTGAAATGACAGCATGCAACTCCCCTGGAACTTTATGTTGAATGATTCATAATAAATGCTTTTCAATTAGGACCTCTTAAGAATTTTCCCTTGTTTGCATACATAGTCATGTGTCGCTTAACAACAGAGATACATTCTGAGAAATGTGTACTTAGGTGATTTTGTTGTAGGAACATCATAGAGTGAATTTACCCAAACCTAGACAGTATAGCTTACTACACACCTGAACTATATGGTATGGCCTGTTGCTCTTAGGCTGCAACCTGTGCAGCATGTACTGAATATTGTAGGCAGTTGTAACACAGTGGTAACTATTTTGTGTACCTAAACATAGAAAAGATACAGTAAAAATACAATATGAAAAATTTAAAATGGTATACCTCTATAGGGCACTTACCATGGATGGAGTTTGCAGGACTGCAAATGCTCTTGGTGAGTCAGTGAGTGAGCAGTGAGTGAATATGAAGGCCTAGAGCATTACTGGACATTACTGTAGACTTTATAAAATGCTGTCCACTTAAACTATACTACATTTATTTAATTTTTTTCTTCAATAATAAATTAACCTTAGCTTACTGTAACTTATTTACTTTATAAACTTTAAATTTTTTTACCTTTTTGATTTTTTTGTAATAATGTTTAGCTTAAAACACAAACACATTGTATAGCTCTATGAAAATATTTTCTTTATATCCTTATTCTATAAGCTTTTATCTATTTAAAAAAAATTTTTTTTTTTTTTGCTTTTTAAACTTTTTTGTTAAAAACCAAGACACACACATATTATTAGCCTTGGCCTACACAGGGTCAGGATCATCAATGTCAGTATCTTCCACCTCCACATCTTGTCCCACTGGAAAGTTTTCAGGAGCAATGACACACATGGAGCTATCACCTCCTATGATGACAGTGCCTTCTTCTAGAGTACTTCCTGAAGGACCTACCTGAGGCTGTTTTATAGTTAACTTTATTATTATTTTTAAGTAGAAGGAGGAGTATACTTTAAAATAACAATGAAAATTTTAGTAAATACATAAACCAGTGACATAATTGTTTATCATTATCAAGTATTATGTACTGTATAGAATTGCATGTACTATACTTTTATACACCTGGCAGTGCAATAGTTTTGTTAACACACTAGGGCATTGCACTGGGATATTATGACAGTTGCAACATCACTGGGCAACAAGAATTTTTCAGCTTCATTTTAATCTTATGGGACCACCACTATATATGCTGTATGCTGTCTATTATTGACCAAAATGTCATTATGCAGATGTGGCACATGATCGTATTATCTTATGAGTGTACTGTTGACCAAAAGTAGTATATTTTAATTTTTAACAGGTCAATGATTTTTTTTTTTTTTTTGAGACAAGGTCTTGCTCTGTTGTCCAGGCTGGAGCGCAGTGGTATGATCTTGGCTCACTGCAACCTCTTCCCCCTTCTGGATTCAAGTGATTCTCGTGCCTCAGCCGCCCAGGTAGCTGGGACTACAGGCATATGCCACTACACCCAGCTAATTTTTGTATTTTTAGTAGAGATGAGTTTTCACCATGTTGGCCAGGCTGGTCTCAAACTTCTGACCTCAAGTGATCCACCTGTCTTGGCCTCCCAAAGGGCTGTGATTACACACATGAGCCACTGTGCTTAGCCTCATTCTGTCTTTAGTTGGAGGCAGTTAGTGAGGTATAATGCAAGAATATTGTGCCCCTGGCCAAATACTTTGTCCGATTTCCCATCTAAGTGCTTTTCTGCTAATCTTAGAAGCTTTATGTCACCACTGCCTGGGATACCAAGAAGAAAGACCTCTTTCAAAAATGGTTTCCCGGCCGGGCGCAGTGGCTCACATCTCTAAACCCAGCACTTTGGGAGGCTGAGGCAGGCGGATCACCTGAGGTCAGGAGTTCGAGACCAGCCTGACCAACATGGAGAAACCTCGTCTCTACTAAAAATACAAAATTAGCTGGGCATGGTGGCGCATGCCTGTAATCCCAGCTACTCGGGAGGCTGAGGCAGGAGAATCACTTGAACCTGGGAGGCAGAGGTTGCGGTGAGCCAAGATTGCGCCATTGCACTACAGCCTGGGGCAACAAGAGCGAAACTTCGTCTCAAAAAAAAAAAAAAAAAAGAAAAGAAAAAGAAAAGGGCTCAACCCCTAAAATCAGAGCTTTTCCCTTCTCAGCTCTCATGCTGTATCTCTGGGATCTAGTTGTCAGAAATATAGCCCACACATTGGGCTATTTTAAAGAGTGTAAAATATTTTTATGTGGTAAGTATAAAAGGGAAGTAAGTTACATATAAGTAAATTTCATTTTATTTGGATAGCCTAGGATAAATTTAAAACATAATTTTCTTCTAAGTAGATCTAAATTAACCACTTCCTTGTAGCCTGAAACCTTGGGATTGCTGAGGTATCATGGTCCCTTTCCTGTTTTAGGTTCAGCTCTCTCCTGGTTATTTTTTTTTTTTTTTTTTTTTTTTTCTCTTTTCACCCCATGATATCTAGACTGTCTCCTGGTTATTTTATTTCATGCTCCCAGATCCACAAATGAATTTGGAAAGTAGGCCTTTGCCACACTTCATATGTTGTGAACTTTTAAATTACTAAATACAATTTTTTCTGAGGTGAAAATAACCTGCCTTTTGTGGGGAGTGGGGGACTGGAATAATAAGGAGGAAGAAGAAATAATTTCTCTATATTTAAGAGGTAAATGAGAATTCCAAGATTGACCTCAAATTATTTATTTTTGACATAGTTTCAAAGGCATATCACTTTCTCATATAGATGAACTCAATATTCTCTAGGGCTTTCTGAATCCGCCGTCTTAATGGGTTTTAAGTGCTTTCATCAACACTGTTTATCAGAAATACAGACTGTTTATTTTATATTTTTTAATGTGTGTTACGTTTGAAACTTTTAAAGAATGAGAATTCATGTACATGATAACATGGGTGCAATCTGAGCTCACTGCAGCCTCTGCCTCCTGGGTTCAAGCGATTCTCATGCTTTAGCATTCCTCGTAGCTGGAACTACAGGCGTGCACCACCATGCTGGGCTAATTTTTGGCATTTTTAGTAGAGACAGTGTTTCACCAGGTTTCCCAGGCTGATCTCAAACTCCTGGGCTCAAGTGATATGCCCACCTCAACCTCTCAAAGTGCTGGGATTACAGGCATGAGCCGACCGTGTCCAGCCAAATACCACTTATTTTTTAATCGAGTATACATCAAAGCAAAGACAATGCAAATGGTGCTCAGAGGGACTTGTAGTTGTTTTCACTATCAATCTCTTTGGCTCCAGAGGTGTTAAATACTGTCAGTTTTTTTTTTTTTTAATTAATACTGTCAGTCTTTTTGACTCAACTCCAAACAAATGAATTTGCTGGAATTAGTAGGTTTCTATCAGATACTTTTATATTTTATATTGGGTGCCAGTTACCAATTCAAGAAAATAGCATTTTTTTTTTTTTTTTTTTTTTTTTTTTTTGAGACAGAGTCTCACCCTGTCACCAGACTGGAGTGTGGTGGCACAATTTTGGCTCACTGCAGCCTCCGTCTCCTGGGTTCAATGATTCCTCTGCCTCAGCCTCCTGAGTACCTGGGATTACAGGCATGTGCCACCATGCCTGGCTAATTTTTGTATTTTTAGTAGAGACGGGGTTTCCCCATGTTGGCCAAGCTGGTCTGGAACTCCTGACCTCAACTAATCCACCTATCTCGGCCTTCCAAAGTGCTGGGATTACAGGCGTGAGCCACTGCACCTGGCCAATTTTTTTTTTTTTTTTGAGATGAAGTCTTGCTCTGTTGCCCAAGCTGGAGTGCAGTGGCGCAATCTTGCCTCACTGAAACCTCTGCCTCCTGGGTTCAAGCGATTCTCCTGCCTCAGCCTTTTTTATTTTATTGTGGTAAGAACATTTAATATGAGATCTACCCTCTAAAAATTTTAAGTGTACAATACATTATTATTGTTTTATGTGATGGGATCTTGCTGTGTTGCCCAGGCCATTCAAGCGATTCTTGTGCCTCAGCCTCCGAAGTAGCTGGGATTACAGGCATACATGAAGTATTGTACAATTTTTTTTTTTTTTTTGAGACAGAGTCTTGCTCTTTTTGCCCAGACTGGAGTGCAATGGTGCAATCTCAGCTTACTGCAACCTTTGCCTCCTGGGTTCAAGTGATTCTCCTGCCTCAGCCTCGCTAATAGCTGGGATTACAGACGTGTGCCGCCACGCCCGGCTGATTTAGAGACGGAGTTTCTCCATGTTGGCCAGGCTTGTCTCGAACTCTTGACCTCAGGTGATCTGCCTGCCTCGTCCTCCCAAAGTGCTGGGATTACAGGCATGAGCCACCACGCTTGGCCAAAGTATTGTACTCTTAACATGGATATGCTATTTTATTTTTATATGTTGTGTAAAATATATTGTACAATATATTATAATTAATATGTACAATATACTGTAATTAATAGTGATACAGTATTGCAACTGCCATTAAAATGATGTTGACATCAGTGTGTAATTTTATCACTAATGCTTTTCCTTTTTTGGAGAGAGTCTCGCTCTATCCCCCAGGCTGGAGTGCGGTGGTGCGATCTCAGCTCACTGCAACCTCTGCCTCCCGGGTAGCTGGAATTACAGGCACCTGCCACCATGCCTAATTTTTGTGTTTTTAGTAGATTACGGGTTTCGCCATGTTGGCCAGGCTGGTCTCAAACTCCTGACCTCAGGTGATCCGCCTGCCTGGGCCTCCCAAAATGTCGGGATTTCAGGCGTGAGCCACCGAGCCTGGCTGCTAATGCCTTTCGTATTGTATTTTCAAATTTTCTATTTAGAAAAATCGGCTGGGCGCAATGGCTCACGCCTGTAATCCCAGCACTTTGGGAGGCTGAGGCCAGCAGATCGCTTGAGGCCAGGCATCTGAGACCAGCCTGGGCAGCGTGGCAAAACTCCGTCTGTACCAAAAATACAAAAAATTAGTGGGGCATGGTGACGCACGCCGGTAATCATAGGTGCTCAGGGGACTGAGGCACGAGAATCGCTTGAGCCTGGAAGGTGGAGGTTGCATTGAGCTGAGATTATGCCACTGCACTCCAGCCTGGGTGACAAGAACGAGACTCTGTCTTAGAAAAAAAAGAAGAATTTCATGTACGCCTGGAAAAATACGATTTACTTAAATATTTCCCAATTATTTGCAGAGGAGCTAGAGAGATTATTTATTGATAATCGGTGACTCTTTATTGCCTTTTAAAAAAATTGTGACTTTCTCTGGGCAAATTTATTTCTTAACCAATTTTTAAAGTACTTTAGAATAAATTACTCAATTAAAATTTCTTTTAAATTACTTCTATTTGTAGGTTGAACTTTCTGATGTTAGCCAAGGTGGATCTAAAGCTACCACTTCAGCATCAATAGCTAAATCGATGTGGCAATAATTCCTGCTGATACTCCCTTAAGGGAATTATATATAGTATATATAATTTATAATTAAAATATTATAAATTAATAAATTATAAAAATATATAATTATGTATTATAATTATACTAATAGTTACTATTATAATAGTTATAAATTATAAAAATATATAATTATGTATTTAGAATTATACAAATAGTTACTATTATAATAATAGTTAATATTTTAAATTCTTAGTATGTGTGAAACACATTGCTAAGCCATAATGTAGAATAACTTAATAAGAATCTTAAGAAGTAGATACTGTTATCTATATTTTACAGATGATAAAACAAAGGTTTAGAAAGAATACATTACTTACCCAAGGTCATACATTTAGTGAATGATAAATTCACTTAATTTACCCTAACCCTGATTTATTATTATTATTATTATTATTATTATTATTTTGAGATGGAGTTTCACTCTTGTTGCCCAGACTGGATGCGATCTCAGCTCACTGCAACCTCTGCCTCCCGGGTTCAAGTGTTTCTCCTGCCTCAGCCTCCCGAGTAGCTGGAATTGCAGGCATGCGCCACCATGCCCGGCTAATTTTTTGTATTTTTAGTAGAGACAGGGTTTCTCCATGTTTGTCAGGCTGGTCTTGAACTCCCGACCTCAGGTGATCCGCCTGCCTCGGCCTCCAAAAGTGTTGGGATTACAGGCGTGAGCCACTGCACCCGGCCTATTGTTATTATTATTATTATTATTATTATTATTAGTGGTGGTGGCTGTAAACTTTTTGTCAGTTTCTCTTTTCTTAAAACCTGGGTGCTCCAAAAGAACTGCTTCATTTTTGATAGCCACTGGACAATTGTTTATAATTATTTTGGAGCTGCAAACCCCTTTGAATATCTGATAAAAGCTATGATTCTTTTCCCAGAGAAATACATTGTACACAAATTTTTGCATACAATTTCAATTTGCATATACCTCTTGAAACCTATCTGTAGATCCTATAATAGTGATCAAATTTCAATGAGTATGTAACTCACCTGGATTGCTTGTTAAAATATAGATGACCTATTCTCACTGCCCAAAGTTTGGTGCATTAAGTCTGGAGTTGGACTTAGACTCTGTCTACTCCTCCCTACTCCCTACTCTTTTCTCTTTTTTCAAAGAGACAGGGTCTTGTTGGGCTCAAGGGATCCTCCCGCCTCAGCTGGGATTACAGGCATGTGCGTGGCTGGAATCTGCCCCCTCTCCCCGCTTTTTTTTTTTTTTTTTTTTGAGATGGAGTCTAGCTCCGTTGCTGAGGTGGGAGTGCAGTGGCGTGATCTCAGCTCACTGCAACCTCCGCCTCCCAGGTTCAAGCAATTCTCCTGCCTCAGCCTCCCAAGTAGCTGGGATCATAGGTGCCTGCCACCATGCCTGGCTACTTTTTGTATTTTTAGTAGAGACGGGGTTTCACCATGTTGGCCAGGCTGGTCTCGAACTCCTGACCTCGTGATCCGCCTGCCTCGGCCTCCCAAAGTGTTGGGATTACAGGTGTGAGCCACGGCGTTTTAACAAGCACTTCAAGCACTTCAAATGATTTAGATGCAGGATATTTTAATACCACACTTTACAAAGATACCCGAGGTTAAGAATTTGGTTATTCTACTTCTGTTTTAGATCAGCTATTACAGAGTATGTGTTCTAAATGTTCTAAAGTAGGTCTTTATTACCAAGTGACTGTACAATATTGCAATTGCCATTAAGAATGATATTGACATTAATGTATAGTTTTATTGCTAATAATTCTTTTATTTTCAAATTTTCTGTTTAGAAAAATATCATTTGAAAAAATACAGTTTACTTAAATATTTCCCGATTATTTGCAGAGGGTCTAAAGAGAGTACTTACCGGTAATCAGTGGCTCTTTATTGCCTTTATTTTGGAAAAAAAAATAGAACTTTCTTTGGTAGATTTATTTCTCAACCCATTTAATGTGGTTTAGAGTAAATTCGTCATTTAAAATTTTATTTTAAATTATTTTTATTTGTAGGATGAGCTTTCTGATGTTAGCCAAGGCGGATCTAAAGCTACCACTCCAGCATCAACAGCTAATTCAGATGTGGCAACAATTCCTACTGATACTCCCTTAAAGGAAGAAAACGAAGGATTTGTGAAGGTTACAGATGCGCCAAATAAATCAGAGATAAGCAAACACATTGAAGTACAGGTAGCCCAGGAAACTAGAAATGTATCTACTGGTGAGTGACCCTAGTTCTTTACTTACTAGGAAAGTATTCAGTAAACCTGGATAATGTGGGTATGAGAAAATATGTCTTTGTGGGTGTTGCCTGCTTTGTATTTATAAAATAGGCAGATATAGTTGGCCCTCTATATCTGTGGTTCTGCATCTGTAGATTGAAAATATTTGAAAAAAAAATGATAGCTGTGCCTGCACTAAACATGTACATACTTTTTTCTTATTATCCCCTAAACAGTACAGTATGACAATTATTTACATAGCATTTACATTGTATTAGGTATTATAAGTAATCTAGAGATGATTTAAAGTATATGGGAGGATATTGATAAGTTGTATGCAAATACAATGCCATTTTATATAAGGGACCTGAGCATCCATGGATTTTGGTATTGTGGTGGGTTCTGGAACCAATCCCCCATGGATACTGAGATAAGACTGCACTTAATTGTATTCAATTGTAAATAA
Organism: Homo sapiens; assembly: GCF_000001405.40. Classification (NCBI taxonomy): domain Eukaryota; kingdom Metazoa; phylum Chordata; class Mammalia; order Primates; family Hominidae; genus Homo; species Homo sapiens. Next base: position 51,020,690 of record NC_000017.11, on the reverse strand, counting down.
GCTTAAAAGAGGTAATGTTTAAATAGTCTTGGAGAGAAACTATTGGGGCCAGGAGTTGGGGGCCAGGAGGTCACAGAACCCAAAAGACGGGAGGACAGTTCTTTTCTGTCCCCTATCTTAGTTTAGTCTTTGTCTTTAGTTCCTTTAAATTCCATCTTTTAAATAAGAATGAAAGCAGGGCCTTGGATACATTGTACTGTGTGTTCCACGAAACACAAGGGAAAACTTTCTTTGGTTGCTTATTAGTTTTTGATACAATCTGTTAACTGAATATGTGATATATTGTATAATGCTGTATTTCCTAAAATCCAGTCTTGCACATTTTAAAAAAATGTTCAAATGATACCTTTACACCCATAAAAACAACAGGATTTTTATATTGGGGTACTGTGTAATATATGTATTGTTTATTTCATCATGTCCTTTTTTAAGGCTCTGCTGAAAATGAAGAAAAGTCAGAAGTTCAAGCAATCATCGAATCTACTCCTGAGCTGGATATGGACAAAGATCTCAGTGGATATAAAGGTTCAAGGTAACATAAATGTTAGATGAAGACATATTCTGCGCCCCCCACCCCCAACTCCCATAAACACTGTTCTCCAGTCTCTGGACAAAATGGATTCAGATGTTTTGTTGAAGAAATGTTAGTATTATATTCTAATTCCTATTCTTGAAACTGGACACTGTACATGGTTTAAATTTTTTGTTAAATGTTATCTTTGCAGGATCACAAATTAGGTGTATGAGCAGGAAGGATGGTGTCTTAGTCTATTTTGTACTGCTATAGCAAAATACCAGAGTGGGTAATTTATATATTTATTTATTTGTTTATTTTTTTGAGACAGAGTTTCGCTCTTGTTGCCCAGGCTGGAGTGCAATGGTGCGATCTCGGCTCACCGCAACCTCCGCCTCCCAGGTTCAAGCAATTCTCCTCCCTCAGCCTCCCTAGTTGCTGGGATTACAGACATGTGCCACCACGCCTGGCTTATTTTGTATTTTTAGTAGAGACGGGGTTTCTCCATGTTGGTCAGGCTGGTCTCGAACTCCCAACCTCAGGTGATCCACCCGCCTCGGCCTCCCAAAGTCCTGGGATTACAGTCGTGAGCCACTGCGCCCAGCCTTGTTTATTTTTTTGAGATGGAGTCTCGCTCTGTAGCCCAGGCTGGAGTGCAGTGGTGCAATCTCAGCTCACTGCAACCTCTGCCTCCCAGGGTCAGGTGATTCTCCTGCCTCAGCTTCCCGAGTAGCTGGGATTACAGGCACCCACCACCATGCCTAGCTAATTTTTTTTTGTATTTTTAGTAGAGACGGGGTTTTGCCATGTTGGCCAGGCTGGTGTCAAACTCCTGAGGTGATCAGCCTGCCTCGGCCTCCCAAAGTGCTGAGATTACAGGCATGAGCCACTGCACCTGGCCAATTTATAAAGAACAGAAATTAATTTTCTCACAGTTCTGGAGGCTAGGAAGGCCAAGATCAAGGTGCTGGCAGGGTCAGGTGTCTGGTGAGGGCTGCTCTTTGCTTTCAAGTTGGTGCCTTGTTGCTGCATCCTCTGGAGGGGAGGAACTCTGTGTCTTCACATAGAAGAAGGACAAGTGAGCCCTGAACACTGGATAAAGCCTCATTATTCTATAAGGACCCCAATCCTGTTTATAAGGGAGAAGCCCTTATGGCCTAATCACCTCTTGAAGGCCCCATCTTAATACTATCACATTGGCAACAGCTGAATTTTATAGGGGACACATTCAAACTATAGCAGATAGGGGAAAAAAGACAGCCAAGACATATCCCATACTTTCTGTAACTTGAAAAAACCAAGAAGCGGGAGTGAAGGAAGTAACAGAGTGGACATGGCAGGGCTGGCAGCGGTGCTACTTTGAGGGCATGAAACACACCGTTGGCTATGGAGCATGCTTATTTTAGGGCCAGCAGCCGGGTACTCCAGCCTGCCGGACACTTCAGTCCAGCCCCCTCCTGACTGGGGCTTGTTACTCACAAGATTGCATTGTCCCGGACACTAACTTGGGTCCAGGGCCCCTCCCCCTAGCACTTACCTGGAGTTTGTGCATGTTTCCTGCTGCTGGGTGGGTTCAGAAGGTGATTTCTTTTTTATGTGTACATATGCTAAATAAATGTGATTTAAAAAACAAAACAAAAAAGTTTGAACAAACTTTTGTACCTTCCACCAGATCAGGAAGAGAGAATGTACTTCCATCTTGAGAAGTGTAATCTCATTATTGGAAGAAATTAGTCTCATTTTGGTATCATTTTACATGGGAAGGCTGTTTAGTGGTAGGAAGAAAATAGTTAGATCTCATCTTTTTTTTTTTGAGATGCAGTCTTGCTCTGTCGCCTAGGCTGGATGCAGTGGTGCTATCTCAGCTCACTGCAACCTTCACCCCACTCCCACCCCCACCCCCTCCCCCGGGTTCAAGCGATTCTCTCACCTCAGCCTCCCAAGTAGCTGGGACTGCAGGCACACACTGGGCTACTTTTTGTATTTTTAGTAGAGATGGGGTTTTACCATGTTGGCCAGACTGGTCTTGAACTTTGAACTCCTGAGCACCAGTGATCCGCCTGCCTCAGCCTCCCAAAGTGCTGGGAGATTAGATATCATCTTAATCAGGATTATCCAAAATACATTGATGCTCAAGAATGTCAGACAGGAGCTACTGCCTTTCTTTTCATTTCTTCCATAAAGTTGATCCTTTAATTAATTAATGACTATAAAAATACAAGCCATTTATTGATCTCTGTTAAGCATTGTGCAGTCAGTACTCTGTAGCGGTTAAAAGCATAGACCCTAGAGTAAGACTGCATGGGTTCAAATCCTGTCTTGGATTTGAATCTTAGGTATGTTTTCTCATTTATAAAACAGCTTTGTGTTAATACCTCAGATGGTTGTGAGGATTAAATGAATCAATATATGATAAATCATTGCAAAATGCCCCATTCAATAAATGTTAAGTAATATTGTTTTCATCATGATTTTATATAATTTGATCCTAATTACAACCTTATGAGGTAGATCTTTTTATCCTTATTTTATAAATAAAGAGACTTAGAACTTGTTCAAAGTAGCTTGTCCCAGATTACCAAGCTAGCAAGAGGTGGACTTGGGATTCAAATCCAGAACCCTCTGTCTCTCTCTCTCTCTCTCTCTCTCTCTCTCTCAGACAGGTTCTCATTCTGTCGCCACTCTTCTTCCTGGATCCTACATCACCCTGCTTCTTGATTTATGCCTTTGTTTTGACAGAGCATATCCTTACTAGCTTTCTGGGTAAAGGGTGCACAACTCTATCACTTCTTAGCTCTCTCTTATGCTGTTTGTCTTCAGGTATCTAAAATAACATGTTCGTCCTGCCCCTCCTTCATCCCTCCCTTTTTCAGCTGAGATTCTGTGAGAAAATGTAGTCCTAATGCCCTAAGGCATCTCTTGTATATAATGAATTAGCTATGCTCCTGTGCGTCTAGAATAGGATTCTAGGTATGTACTTACCTTGGGAGAATGGAAAAAATACTCACTTAAATCCTTTTCTGTATTTTGTAGATCAAATACGGAACCCTGGTTGAAAAAGGCTGTGATGCTAGCTGTTGGCTTTCTGTAGTAGATGAGGATATAATGCCTAAACCACCATCCTTTCATCCTCCTAATATTATATATTTCAAATTCTGTTAGTTAAATTCATTATTTATATCAGTATGACTATATAAAATTAATCTGTAATTCTACTTAGCCACAGAATACAGTATAATTACATTTCATTTATTTTTTTATTTTTTTCCCTCCTCCGAGACGGAGTCTCGCTTTGTCGCCCAGGCTGGAGTGCAGTGGTGTGATCTCGGCTCACTGCAACCTCTGCCTCTCAGGTTCAAGCAATTCTCCTGCCTCAGCATCCTAATTGGGATTACAGGCGTGAGCCACCATGCCTGGCTAATTTTTGTATTTTTAGTAGAGACGGGGTTTCACCATGTTGGTCAGGCTGGTCTCAAACTCCCGACCTCATGATCCACCCGCCTTGGCCTCCCAGTGCTGGGATTACAGGCGTGAGCCACTGCTACGGCCCATTTCATTTCTTTTACAACTTTTTGTTCTTCTGAAATTAATAAAGCCTTGGGTTATTTTGTTTCTTTTCCTTATGTTTCTGTGGACCTGTTACTAAATCACTGGCAGACACTATGCAATTCATAAATGTAAAAGTCCCCAATATGACCAAACACAAAACCTGCCTGTTTCCTAGGGCTTACTCTCCTGCAGCCTCCTATTCCCATTCTCCAATTGAGACTGCTGTCATATTTGTTCTGGTTCTGGAATATGCCCTCACTATCATCCCTGGAATTCTTTTCACCTTTCTCCTCTGTTGTATCTTTTGTTTCCTGGATGCCACATCATCCTGCTTCTTGATTTATGCCTTTGTTTTGACGGAACATATCCTTACTAGGTTTCCTGGCAAAGGGTGCATGACAAGTAAATTTTTTTTTTTTGAGCACTATGAACTTGAATGTTACAAATTTCCTAAGAAGACATACTTGATAGTTTGGCTAGATAAAGAACTATATGGGTTGGGAGATTTTTTTTCCATCAGAATTGCAAAGACATTACTTCATTTTCATGCTGAGTTCAGGGTGTTGTTATTTGAGTTCTTGCTCATTTTTATATACTTTCTGAAATCTTTTAAGATTGTCACTTTCTTGATTTTTTAAAAATTAATGATACTGTGCTTGGTGTAGGTGTCTTTTTTGTATCTTCTTATATGAAGTAAGTCTTTTCATCTGAACATTCCTATCTTCCAGTCCTGGGAAATTTTATCTCTTTCTTCTTATTGTTGTTTCTTCTGCTCTCGTTCTGGAACACCTCTTAGGTATGCATTGAACATCCTGGAGTGACTGTCATAATTTATTTTCTCCCCTCTTTCCTATCTCTTTTATTTTATACTAATTGCTGGCAGATTTTTTTTTAAACCCTCATTCTTTTTTTTTTTCCAAATTCTTTTTATTGGTTGGTACTTTTTATACCATCTTGCTATTTTACGAATGCAACATTTATTCTGAAGAAAATTAAGTGCTTTGTTTTTTTGTTGTTGCTGCTGCCTGCATTGTCTTTTTTTGCTCTTAGTGTCTCTGTCACATCCTCTTTGTTTTGGGCCCTTTCTTTTATAATAGAGGCCTTCTTTAGACATCTGGTACTCTGTGGCTGTTTTATTCATACTTAAGTAAATAATGCTGATTCTCCACTTTCCTGCCTATAACATTTAAACTTGGCTTCCATTATTAGGGAGCTGTGCCAAGAGAAGGGAGGTCTCACTGTTCTGGAGGATTGTGTCTAGGTCCTGTACCGCCTTTTGTACAGTTTTTTTAATCCTGTCCTTCTGTTTCATGTTCCTCCCTGCATGCCCTCCCTGTGGTTGCTGGTACCTTCAAGTCCTAGGCCTTTCAGGGGTTCTGGCAGCATATTGACCTCCTCCCTAAACCCCAGTGGCTTAGGTTTCAGCTTTCTCTGGTCTATTGAATCACTTTCTACTGTTTGCCCATCTGTTTTCCATCTTACAGAATTTTGTTCACATTTCATCTGCTATAGTTTCTTTTTCTATTCTCTTTGTCCTTTTGGGTGTATACCTTTTTAATTTCTTAACTTTCATTTTAGTTGAGCTTCTGAGTTATTAGGTGATAAATGACTATGTTCTCTCCACCATATTTAGCTGGAAATGGTCTACAGAGTTTTTTCTATTAATAATAGTATTCAGGCACAAACATATACACTTCCCCATTCCCCTATACACCCCTGCAAAATAGGGCATATAGTATATACACTGTTTTGCAACTTGATTAAAAAAAAAAACCTTTGTATCATGGGTTTCTTTAGTTTATAAAGCTCTATTTATGTTTTTAACCTTAAAGGTAAAAATTTTAATTTTGTATGTGTATAACTTACCTCATCTGTCCCCTGTTAACAGTCATTTAGGTCATTTCAGTTTTTGCCACTGTGAGAAATGCTACTCTAACCAGCTTTTACATACATAATTGCCTTCTTGTGACATAGGTAATCTATGGGAAGCACTGAGACCAGCACCTGGTATAGAGCAGAGGAGCTGCCATTATTGCTTGTGTTTGCTGGGATCACACAACAAAAACATTCTATAATTTCTTCACCAGCTATTTCCATGGAGCTTAGTGAGAATTTCTTAGGAAGCCTTTGAGAAATCTTTTTAAGTTATATTTTCTAGTAAACGTAAATTATAGGTAAGAAAGTCCTATGTAGCTTAGCCTATTGTATTCATTTTACAGCGTCAAAAAAGTCTTTGTCATTTGTTGATTTGGTTTTGTTGTTCTTGTTGCATAGCACTCCCACCAAAGGCATAGAGAACAAAGCTTTTGATCGCAATACAGAATCTCTCTTTGAAGAACTGTCTTCAGCTGGCTCAGGCCTAATAGGAGATGTGGATGAAGGAGCAGATTTACTAGGTATGATAGCTCATCTGAAGAAATATCATACTGTTTTTAAAATTGATTTTTTAAATGATTTAATTGAAAAGTCCTTTAAAATGTCCCCAACTGCTCAGTGATACAGGGTTATTGCCCTTTTAGGTAATTATTGGGAACATATTCTTTGTGATCATGAAAGTTTTAAATGAAAGCACCTTTGCATATGGGTATGCTTAAAACTGAATTGCATTTAAATTCATGTTTTGAATTCATACAACACAATTTATTGAACTCCTGCTATATTTCAAAACAGATAACTACACATAAGAACATGGTGATGTGTGTGTGTGTATGTGTGTGTGTGTGTGTATGTGTATGTGTGTGTGTATGGATTGATGCCTAGTTATCCCCTGGCTTACATAAATTTCATTATATTCTGTTGACTTTAATTAAATAAGAAATTATAACACTTGATTTTTCTAAGTTTTCTCAGAGTATATTATGTTTTAGCCCTATGGTAAATATAATCATTTTAAAGTTTGTGTTCTAGAAGAATACATGGTCTGAAAAGAATATTGCATTTGGCTCTTAGACTATTTGCCTGCTGACCTTTGCCAAGTGTCTTAACCTTTTTGGACCTTAATTTCTTTGTGTGTAAAATGAAGGAGCTGGACCCTAGTTCAGGAATCTGGCAAACTGCCGCTTATGGGCCAAATCCAGCTGACCCCTTGTGTGCGTGTGTAAATAAAGTTTTATTGGAACACAGACACCACCATTTACTTATTGTCTGTGGTTGCCTTTGCCTACCAACAGCAGAGTTGAGTAGGCAACTGAAATCTGAAGCCTAAAATATTTACTGTCTGGCCCTTTATAGAAAGAGTTTGCCAACCCCTGCCCTAGATGATCTCTGAAGTTCCTTTCAGTGCAAGGTTCTGGCTCCTATGAATTAGTTTTGGTATACCTTCCTTATAACTTAGGACCCTATAGAAATTAAAAACTATATGGAATTAAAAATATATACCTTTGGAGATACTAAGCTAAAAAAATTTGTATCTATTGGTATAATTATAGTACAGATTACACTGTTCTCAAAAGGTTTCGTTTGTTAATTGTTATGACTTTGGAGTGGAGTGACATTGCTTGCATTATTTTATGTTAAATTTATTGATTGCCAGTTATGTCCTTGACATTGTAAAGTGTTTTTGAAGGAAAACACAAGTTCTATCTAAATGTCTATCTAGGCCGGTTGCAGTGGCTCACGCCTGTAATCCCAACACTTTGGGAGGCCAAGGCAAGTGGATCGCTTGAGCTCAGGAGTTCGAGACCAGCCTGGGCAACATGGCGAAAAATATCAAAATTAGCCAGGCATGGTGGAGTATGCCAGTAGTTCAGCTGCTTGGGAGGCTGAGGTGTGAGGATGGCTTGAACCCGGGAGGCAGAGGTTGCAGTGAGCCTGGGTTGCACCACTGCACTCCAGCCTGGGTGACAGAGCCAGATCCCGTCTCATAAAAATAAATAAATAAATAAATAAATAAATAAATAAATAAAGTATCTAGTAAGAGAGATTGAAAGTATTTTAAGTACATATAGTTAGACAGAAAGGGATTGTCACCATTAAAGTTTAAGTAAAACTTTGGAAGAAATTGAATGAATTGCGTTTCTCATGGAGGGCTAAGAAAGTTGTAATTCTTTTTTTTTTTTGAGACATAGTCTCACTCTTTTGCCCAGGCTGGAGTGCCGTGGTGCGATCTTGGCTCACCACAACCTCTGCCTCCCTGGTTCAAGTGATTCTCCTGCCTCAGCCTCCCGAGTAGCTGGGACTAAAGGCGCATACCACCATGCCTGACTAATTTTTGTATTTTTAGTAGAGATGGGGTTTTACTATACTGGCCAGGCTGGTCTCAAACTCCTGACCTCATGATTCGCCTGTCTTGGCCTCCCAGAGTGCTGGGATTACAGGCATGAGCCACCATGTCTGGCCTGAAAGTTTAATTCTTAAGGAATACTCCATTTTTATATTTAATTTTATGTTTTAATTTTAGTTTACATCAAATTATACCTGAAAAGTTTCTTTTAAGGCATAATTAGTTTGAGAAACTAACTCCCTGGCAAATTTGAGGAGCAGATGAAAAAATGTTAGAAGAATTTTAAAATGTATATTCAGTGCAGTAAAATTCACCAGAATCAATATACATCACCCCACAAAATTCCTTTATGCTGTTTGTATTAACAAGAATGAAGTAATTCTGAATATAATTTGTACACTGTGTTACCTCATAATGCAGTAATGAGTGATAAAATGTTTAAGGTTGGTGGCCCCAAACTTTCTTTTCTTATGAAGTATTTAGAAGCCCCATAGTACTTAGAAATATCTGTTGTCTTTTAAATCAATTAAAAGTAATATCCTGATGCTTTGGTTTCTTTTCCACTTTGAAGATAAGAAACAGACTACAAACTATCTTTTCCATTTTGTAGATGTTGATACATTTATCTCTAGAATAGTTCAGATTAGAATATTTTAATATATTACTGTAAGTTTAGTTACTTATGAATATTTTTGGTCAAAGATGGTAAATAAAAATGTTCCTGGCCGGGCACGGTGGCTCATGCCTGTAATCCCAGCTCTTTGGGAGACCGAGGTGGGCAGATCACCTGAGGTCAGGAGTTCGAGACCAGCCTGGCCAACATGGTGAAACCCCATCTCTACTAAAACTACAAAAATTAGCTGGGCATTGTGGCGTGCACCTGTAATCCCAGCTACTTGGGAGGCTGAGGCAGGAGAATTGCTTGAACCTGGGAGGTGGAGGTTGCGGAGAGCCAAGATTGCACCACTGCACTCTAGCCTGAGTGACAAAGCAAAACTCCGTCTCAAAAAAAAAAAAAAAGTCCTTGGCTTCTCTTCTGTGTAATTCAGTGATAACAAATTTGAATCATTATATATGGACTCAGTACTTCAATTACTGTTTTTTTTTTTTGAGGTGAGATCTCACTACGTTGTGTAGGCTGTCCTGGAACTCCTAGGCTCAAGGAATCCTCTTGCCTATAGCCTCCCAAGTAGCTGGGACTACAGGCATGCACCATCACGCCAGCGCAACCTTTTTCTGATTTTACTAATTTAAAAGAATCTCAACAATTTGTCCTTTATCTTGATTGGTGTCTCATCCCTCAACTTTCTTATTTAAAACTCTCTTTGCTGGGTTTCTGTGATATCAACTTGCCTGTGTCCTTTCCTGTCTCGACTCTTACCTTTTCAGTCATCTTAACAGGATCCGCTTCCTTTGCTCGTCTTTCAGGTATCAGCGCTCCTGTCCTAGGCCTGATACTTTGTTTAAGAAATCATGTTTGCTCTCATTGTTTCTTGGTTTTCATGGCTAATTACTCCCAAGTTTTTACCTCCATCTCAGATCTTTTTCTAGAGCCCAAGACTATTATTTCCTAATTGCATGCTAGACACCCCTAAAATGACTTGGAGGGCTTTACGTTTGACATGTATAAAGCTCAGTTTGTTATCTTTATTGTTCTGTCCCCCAAGGCTGCTCTTGGACCAACAGGCACTGTTTTAGTGAATGAATAGCTCTCCATCCTGCACCTCTCACTTTCCCTCACAGCTAATCACCAAGGCTTGTTTGTTCCCTCTCCTAAATGTGTGTGTGTATACATACATATATGTATATATATATATATATATTTTTTTTTTTTTTTCTTTTCTTGCCTTGCTTAAGTGATACATCCTCCAGGAATTCTGCCTTGATCCCCTAATTAAAGCTTAGTTTTCCCTGAAATGTATTCCCATGGCACTGCATTTTATTATACCACTCTTCATACTTTACTGTTATTTTTTAGTTATCTGTCTCCCTGGACAGACTATAAGCTCAATGTGGCTGAGACAACTGTGTCTTTGTTCACTGTTGCATATTTAGCACATAGCAACTGAGTGAATGGGATTGCTAAATAGTTCTGACAGTTTTGTTTCACCTCAAAATCGGTGATTCTTCTCCTTTTGGGATTAAAAATTCTTCACAGGTGAATTTGTAAGAGAGCAATGTACCTTTGGAAAAACACACATGTAGAACTAGATAAAATTGTGCATCTTCTCAAGGGATTACCATATAACTCTGAAGCTCATCTATGGACCTAGCTTGAGAATCAGTGTTAAAATCCAAATGAAACTTCTGTGATTTTAAAAACTGCCAGGCAGTTTTTTTTTTATTTTGCTTGTTTTTAATAAGTAAAGTTTTCAAATGTATTAGACCTAAGTTTGTGCTTCATTTAAGTCTTGAATAGAAATGAGGCCACTTTATGTTTTTCTTATAAAGAGTTATTGATCATTTCAAAATGAAATTTTAGATAATCCTATTGGTTATATATTCAATTTATACACCATATATTAAGATAACTCTTCATTGGGAATGTGTACATTTAATGTAAACTTTATTTATTTATTTTTGCCATCTCGGAAAGGCTTTATTTCTACTTCATCCGGGTCTCATGCAGACTCAAAGGCACCATCATGTGTTTCCATTTGGTATCCTCATGACTTTTTGTAGTGTTTTCCCTTAAGAGTAAGCTCTGTACATTGCCAGTTAATCTTTTAATGATAATTTTAAAATGTTGTTGCTGTTGTATCATTGATGCAAAAAGACCAACAATAGAAGTACAATACAAGGAAATTCACAACATATTATAGTGGGACAGACTGAGTCACATTTAGGTGATGGTGAGGACGCAGTAGCAGTATATTCATGCACCCAAAGACGTGCAAGCCAAGTAGGATAATATATGGATCATACGGTGAATTTTCTAAGCCCACTGAGGACTTTGTACCTTTTCAAAAATGTCCTGTATACCCTCCAGTTTACAGAATTATCTGTCTTGTCTACTGGCTTCATGGCTAATGTAAACTTTAGAAACTATATTATAGGATTTGTTTTTCCTGTAGCACACATTTCAATTTTTTTCCTTTTTATAAATATTTACACTTCATTGTGTTTAGTTAATGGTTTCTCTACATCTTGTCAATTTCTTTGTTTCCTCTCTCTCATTTTAAAGTAAATGAGTTTAGTTCTTGCTTTCTGAAAACAATCTAATTGAGATTCTCATTCATTTTTCTCTTGGGCTGCTTACGTAGGGGAATATTCTGGTGTGTATGATTTTGAATATTTTAATATTACTGCTTTTTAAGCTAGGTGTTCTTGGCTGCTGTTCTCATCTAATGCTTTCTCATCATTTTTTTCTGCTCAACTATTTTTTTGCCTTTCATATATTTTCAGCTTCCACGCTTATCTAACTGCTTGAGAGTTTATAGCAAACATAGTTACTATATAAACTGTTTTCAACCAGTCTACATTCTTATTTCTTCTGTCTCTATAACTTTGTTAAAAAGTTAACATTCCCAGCCATTGTATCTACAAAGGAATAAAAATTTAGCATTAGTGTTTAAAGCAAATATCTTGCCGAAGATCATTTTGGAGTTAGAATTTGGAAACTTTTTTGGGACTTTTATTTTGTTTTGTTTGGTTTCAGTTTGTAGATAATACATAGGTAGATGATTAATCTATTTCTGATATTTAATTCTTTCTGGTGTAAGTACCCTGATCTTTGAGAAAATTAGAATATAGACAAAATATGAGTCCAGGTACACAGAATATGTAGCATTCCTAGGTTGGCTGTTTTTGTTTTAAGTAATTTTTAAATCATTTGGAAAATTACCTTTTTTAAAATAAAGGGACATGTTAACTCCTTTGTCGTATGTAGTTTTCTTTAGAAAGATTTCTTTCCTGTTTACTTGGGTTATGATTATTACTTCTTCCATTGTATGTGATTTTCCAACATTATTAGCTCACAATTCCTTGAAGATGAGTGACTGGTGGGTTTTTTTTGTTTTGTTTTGTTTTGCTTTGATTTTTTGTTTTTTGAGTGATATTCCCTAGTGTGTTATTTCATTTCTTCAGTTTCTTAGGAAAAGCAAATTAATAGCTTTCTTCTCCCTAAAGACCACTCCATTGGATCTTGCATTGGATGCTCTACGTGCTTATCTCACAGTAGTCATTAAAATGCCAAACACGATCAAAGACATTCACTCAAGTGATAACTGAACATTATTATTTTATAGGTGGCACTTTGAAGGAAAGTTTGTATTGTTAATTGAAGATTTTCAATCTAATTATAGTTAATCTTATTGTGAGAAAGAATTGGTAAAGCATTTTTTAGGTATATCAGCATCCTTATGAATGAAGGAAATCATCTTTATTTCTGTCTTTTGCACATCATTATGCATTAAATCATAACATTGTGATTCCAGATGTTTTTCATATCATGTATAAAACTTTATAGATTAATAATCTGTTTTCATGCTGTTTCTTACGTAAAACATTTCTTGTTCTTTGTTTTTGCTTTACATGGAATGCATGGGCTTTAAGACCATAATTTCTTTGGTAAGGTTTCATCTGCCTTGGGGTTCTATCTTTCTTTAGCCTTGTTTTTGCCTGTTCTCTATTAATAAGGTCTAATTTTTAGGCAAAAGCCTACGAGGTCAGATGTGATTTAGAAACAATTTCGATCCATATTAAAGCTGTTCTTTTTTACCCTATGTAGTGTTGGAATATTAGAATATTTGGCAGAAAAGTCTTGATCCTTTTGAAATATTATCTATGAGAAATATAGACTAACAGATATTAAAAATTGGCCTCATTCCCTAGCAAGCCGATTCAGATTTAAAAAAGAAATAGGCCAACAAAATCTTTAGCCTTGTTCGTAATGAATAATTATTTATAATTTTATAATCTATTAAAGTAGGTCCATCAAATGAAATTATAGACAAAATAAAATTAATAAAGGACAGATAAAATTTCTAAAATAAAACTTGTGACTATAGCTTATATTTTAAATGTATATAATTATTGATGCATTTATTTTCAAAGTCTTTATCTTTTTTCGTTTGATAGGAATGGGTCGGGAAGTTGAGAATCTTATATTAGAAAATACACAACTGTTGGAAACCAAGTAAGTATATGTGAAATTTTAACAGAAGATAAAGAATTTTCTTCTTGTCCAAGTCAATGACACTTCATCGTTTTAACATAATACTAATGGAATCTCCCTGTCCCATCTCGTTCCCCAACTCTGAGTGTGCACACACACACACACACACACACACACACCCTAATGTTGGGACCTACACTGCCCTGTTAGATATGTTCCCTTGCCCTGTTTTTTTGTAGAAACACAGATTGTCATCTCCTTTTCACTCTATAAGTATCCATGCCTTTTTCTTAATCTTCTAAATTTGTCCTGGTTTTACACTTTTTTTGCTCCCTCCCTTAACATTTGTCTGTTTTCTTATCTCTTCTCCTGGGGTTTCTTTTATTTCCACACAAATATTTTCATGTATACTCAGCCTTCCTCTTCAGAGCTGTCTTCCATAGCTGTGCATTCTTGGGTGCAATTTGTGGAGTCTTAAGCCCTCAGACACATTTAATGGGACAGATCCCCAGTCATGTGGAAAAGCTGACTGGGTTCCTTTGTCAGTTTGCTGTGTCAGAGCAACTTTGGAACATCTGTGTATATCCAAGACAGAATGCAGTTATAATAAGGTCCTATGCCCACTATACCCAAAGGAACTGGATATCAGGGTTTTTTCTTCAGCGTAGACTGTCTTAACTTTCCAGTTTAAACTGTTTTCTCATTATTTATTAAAGGTAACATCAAGAAATAATTTTACTTTATTGATTGGGTAATATATTCTGAGGAATTATTAACAATAGTAACCTTTTGAATGCTATTTTTAAAATTTAATCTTCTCACTTTTTAGTAATTGATGATCTGTCTTGTTTTATTCATTTGATAAATGAGTAAAATCTTAGACTGTTGCTTTGTGTTCTTTTTGCATTTATCTACAAACAACATTGGGTAGAATGTCTTGAAGTATTAAATTATTATTGTCTATGGTTGTACAGTTTAGTCTACAAAGGAATAGCTGAAAGATGGAAAGAATATTTATTTGTAATGATGCACTTGAAATATGTGTTTCTTAGAAATGCTTTGAACATAGTGAAGAATGATTTGATAGCAAAAGTGGATGAACTGACCTGTGAGAAAGATGTGCTGCAAGGGGAATTGGAGGCTGTGAAGCAAGCCAAACTGAAACTAGAGGAAAAGAACAGAGAATTGGAGGAAGAGCTTAGGAAGTAAGTTTTAACTGTGTTGTTCTAAACCAAACTCTTTGCCAGTTATGCCACAAAGGGTTACAGATGTAACCCTGAGACTGAGACCTTCTGTCCACTCAAGCCTGGAAGGCCAAGAGCTGCCTGGGAGAGGGCAAAGTGCCCCAGCCCATTGCCTCTGCTGTGAGCAGGCCCCTCCAGTTGTTAGCCTGTCATCTAAATATTATTGTCTTTTGTTTTTTGTTTTCTGTTTTTTTGAGACGGAGTCTCACTCCTGTTGCCCAGGCTGGAGTGAAGTGGCAAAGCCTTGGCTCACTGCAACCTCTGCCTCCCGAGTTCAAGCGATTCTCTTGCCTCAGCCTTCTGAGTAGCTGGGATTGTAGGTGCCTGCCACCACACACAGCTAATTTTTGTACTGTTAGTAGAGACAGGGTTTCGCCATGTTGGCCAAGCTGGTCTTGAACTCCTGACCTCAGGTGATCCACCTGCCTCGGCCTCCCAAAGTGCCGGGATTACAGGCGTGAGCCACTGCACCCGGCCTAAATATTGTTATTTTTTATGTCTATAATGATGCAAAAAGAGTTAGAGACTGTTCAAACATCTTTGTTTTGATAATAAGGAAATTTAAAACATTATTTTTTTATCCCACTTTCTTTAATACCTGTTTATTTCTGAACAATGCTATGATATGATGATACTCCACCAAATGAGGGTGGCTAAATACCCTGTTTGGGAAAAGAAAAATAATCCTTTAGTGGTAGTTAAAATTGTTGACCTACTCTTATTTTTTTGAAAAGATGAGCTCAATTCAAATAACATGTTTTGTTTTGTTTTTTCCCCACTAGAGCTCGGGCAGAAGCTGAAGATGCAAGGCAAAAAGCAAAAGATGACGATGATGTAGGTTTACAATTTTGGACTTTTTTTCTTACCTTACCATGTTTTGGTGTTTCGGGAAGATCTTCCTACGTAAGCTTTGGATATAATACTATAAAGATTTTTAAAAGTCAGGAGACATGTTTATGGTCATGAATAGGATAGCTCATGCTTCTGCATGGTATCCAGATGCTGAGCTTTCTAGCTCCATGCAGTGTGCTCATTTTCCCTCTGTGCCTCTGTGCTCTTACCTGTAGTTGCATGTTCAAGTTTGAGGACCAACTGGGACATTTTGGGGTTTTTGGTTGTTGTTATTGTTGTTTCGTTTCAAATTTTGATTTAGAAATATGAAAGCTTAATAATAAAAATTATTTAACAGTATTAAAAAGATGAAGTCTAGAACTTTAGTACTAGTCAATTAGTTCATATTGTTGTGAACATAAGTACAGAAGAATAAATATGAGCTTCTTGCTAATATCCTTAGCATACCCCTAGTCTTTTTTTTTGAGACAGAGTCTCAGTCTGTCACCGAGGCTGGAGTGCAGTTCTGCGATCTCAGCTCACTACAACTTCCACCTCCCAGGTTCAAGCCATTCTTGTGCCTCAGCCTCCCGAGGAGCTGGGACTACAAGTCTAATTTGGCTAATTTTTTGTATTCTTAGTAAAGGTGGGATTTTGCCTTGTTGGCCAGGCTGGTCTCTAATTCTTGGCTTTAGGTAATCCACCCTGGTCAGCCTCCCAAAGTGCTGGGATTACAGATGTGAGCCACCCAGCCCAGCCTCATAATCATTCTTATAACAAATGTTTGCAGGTCAAAGGTCAGACCAAAGATATGTGGTTGTTTTGGACAGAATGATCACTTGGTGCCCCTTCAGTCTCTGTTTTTTAGTATCTTATGTAATGATACACACAAAAACAAGTAAGACATGCAGGTTATGAATCATAATAAATTAACATTGTGAACCTACCACCCAATCTGATAATTAGAACATTACTAGACATTGAACTATTCTGTGTTCCTCCCCTGCAGAGAAAGCTGCTATCCTATATTTATCATTTGCTTAACTTAAAAAAAAAATTTTATCATATCACATATGTATATATGGTTTAATTTTTCCTTTTTTGTGTTTCACACTACATTTAGTCTTGGAGACCAGCTTCTTTTCCTCAGTGGCATGTTTTTGAGATTCATCCGTGTAGTACAGTGCTGTAGTTATCATTCATATTCACTACTTTATGATATCCCATTGAATGAATAGTCACAATTTATGTATTTATTTTCCTGTTAAGGAATATTTAGTTTGTCTCAGCTTTTTACAATGCTGTTGTTACAAACATTACAGTAGAAGTCTCCAGGTGGGCAGGAGCAGTAGCCTTTCCAGAGTACATACCTACTAGTGGGCTTGCTGTGTTATAAACTTAAGATCTTTATCATTTGTTGTTTAACTTTATTGAAAGGAGAGGCCCAGTTTCTATAACAGAACAACAAAGGAGGAGGACTGCTAAGGGCTAAGCTTAGTGTCTTTCTTATGTCCCAAACCTTTCAGCTTTGATCCAAAATGTGGATAATGAAAGCCTATAGGACGTTGACTTGAGCCATGTTCCCTTGAGGTCTTACCCCTGTGCTCACTCTATATTCACATACTCTGTCTAAGAGTAATTCTGGCTAATACAGTTGTCTCCATCTGTTTGCATTTATGTTGGTATTTTAGCGACTCTTATAGTTGAGTACCTTGGTAACTAGGTAATAAGTTTACCCTTAATGCTGGTCTTGGGTGAGTATGTGGTTTGGTAATTTGAGATAAATGGAACTAACTTATAACTATTTTCTGAGTGACGATTGTTACAGAGCATGAATTAAAATAATGGTAGAGCAACATTTTTAGGTGAAACTTACAATAGTGTATTAAATCTATGTAGATAACAATTTTGGTTTTAGTTTAAAATCTGCACTATCCTTTATTTTTATTTTAGTATTATTACTATTTTTTAGAGACAGAGTCTTGCTCTGTCACTCCTCCAGGCTGGAGGAGTACAGTGGCAATCATATCCCACCACAGCCTTGAACTCCTGGGCTCAAGTGATCCTCCTGCCTCCGCCTCCCAAGTAGCTGGAACTACAGGTGCATGCCACCCCACCTGGCTATTAATTTAATTTTATTTTTTGTAGAGCCAGGGTCTCACTATGTTGCCTAGGCTGGTCTTGAACTCTTGGCCTCAAGCAATTCTATGCTTTTTTTTTTTTTTTAACTTCAGCCTCCTGAGTAGCTGGGACCAAAGTTGTGCGCCACCCCATACGTGGCTAATTTTTTATTTTCTGTAGAGATGGGATCTCACACCACATTGCCAAGGCTGGTCTCAAATTCCTGGGCTCAAAGTGATACTCCCAAAGTGCTAGGATTATAGGCGTGGACCATCGTGCCTGGCCCTACTGTTTGTTTTTGTTGTTGTTTTTGTTGTTGTTGTTGTTTTGTTTTTTAAAGACAGGATTGCACTCTCTTGCCCAGGTTGGACTGCAGTGGTATGGTCATGGCTCACTGCAGCCTTGACCTCCCAGCTGAAGCAATCCTCCTACCTCAGCTTCCCAAGTAGCTGGGACTACAGGTGTGTGCCACCACTCCTGGCTACAGGGTTTTACTATGTTGCCCAGGCTGGTCTCAAACTAAGCTCAAGCATTGTACCCGCCTCAGACTCCCAAAGTGCCGCGACTACAGGCGTGAGTCACTGCGTCCAGCCCCCTACTATTCTTTTTATTTTTTAGCTTTATTTTTTATATATTTTTAAGAACCATGAGAACAGACCCACACTACTCTTTATGATTTCTTTATAATATGTTCAAATATCTGTGTATATATATTCAGAAATTAAATTGCTGCCTTTTATCTTTGTAGTCATGAGTGATTATTTAAATCTCTTTGTTGGCTGGGCACAGTGGCTTACACCTGTAGTCCCAACACTTTGAGAAGCTGAGGCAGGAGCACCACTAGAGTCCAGTATTTCAAGATGAGCCTGGGCAACATAACGAGACCCTGTCTCTACAAAAAAATTTAAAAATTAGTCAGGCGTGTTGACATGTACCTGTAGTCCAAGCTACTCAGGAGGCTGGGGTGGGCAGATTGCTTTAACCCAGAAGTTCCAGGCTGCAGTGAGCTATGATTTCACCACTGCACTTCAGGGTGGGCAACAGATCAAGGCCCTGTCTCAAAAAATATATTTTTTTAAAAAAAAGTCTTTGTTGATTTTGTTTTTATAAAGCCATTTTTCTTTAAATGATCTACTAGATTAAAAATTAAGGAATGCTTAAAAACTGAAAGATTTTGCATAACTCTGAGATGAACACCAAGACATTTATAAGCTTCCAGAATGATATGTCATTTTCTTGTCATTATAGAGTGATATTCCCACAGCCCAGAGGAAACGGTTTACTAGAGTAGAAATGGCCCGTGTTCTCATGGAGCGAAACCAGTATAAAGAGAGATTGATGGAGCTTCAGGAAGCTGTTCGATGGACAGAGATGATTCGGTTTGTATGACAAGCGCTCCATTATTTTCCTACTATTATTTTGTAGGTTTGAATATTCCTTCATGTGGAACTTAAGTCCTGCCCTGTAAGATCCAAGCCCCTTTCTCTGTTTACTAGGAGAGACTTTTTAAAGTAACACTCAGAATTAGCAACAGAATGTGATCAAAGGAGGTGCTTTTTGGGCCAGTAAGGGATCTTGGAGGATGTTACTACGACCTCTAAAAGGCAATTATTATTACTTAGGAATGATGGTCATTTTTCAAATATAGAAATCAATACTACTTACCCAGTAATGTCAGGAAAAGATCACAATTTCATATGCAACACAGGAAAATAAATTATTTTGACTCAGTGTCTTTCTGTAAAATACTCTTGCTTGATTTCTTTCTCTCTTTTCTAACTGTTCATGCCAAGTACACCCTTCCATTGGTATCTTTCAGTCAGATGGCTCTTAAATCTCACCCAATGCTGCCATCTAATGGTTGTAGTCTCAGTAATAGTGTTTCTTTAATTTAGAAAGAACTGAAAAGTTTGTAAATGAGCTGCCCCCTAATTTACCCATATTTTTGAGTTTGGATTGTCATATCAGATTTACCAATAATAGTATGCATTGACATGTTGTTTTTAAGTTTATGAACACATTCTCTAATTGCCAACTTTTACTTCTTTAGGATTACATCATTTATTTCACAGTTTATGTACCCTTTACCAATGTTATATTAGAATCAAGTGTTTTAACATATCATTTTACAATTTGCTGTGATAGTAATTGCTTATAACTGCCCATAAGGAAGATCAGTATTCTAATCTATATTTATTAGACAAGGAAACTAACCCACTAGAAAGTGTATGTTCTTAACTGCAGTATTTAGTGGATATCGAATAAATAATAAGTAAATATTCAAAAAACTGAAAGTGGACCTTATTTATTTATTTATTTATTTATTTATTTATTTATTCATTCATTTATTGAGATGGAGTCTTGTGATGGAGTCTTGCTCTGTGCCCAGGCTGGAGTGCAGAAGTGTGATCTCGGCTCACTGCAACCTCCACCCCCTGGGTTCAAGCAGTTCTGCCTCATCCTCCCTGGTAGCTGGGTTTCCAGGTGTGCGCTACCATGCCCAGCTAATTTTTGTATTTTTTAGTAGAGACAGGGTTTCACCATGTTGGTCAGGCTGGTCTCGAACTTTTGACCTCAAGTGATCCGCCCGCCTCGGCCTCCCAAAGTGCTGGGATTACAGGTGTGAGCCACTGTGCCCAACTGGACTTCACTTTCCATTGCTGTTTTTAACTCTAGCAGCCAAGTGGTAGTCAACAAATTAAAGGAAATAGTAGCTTACTTTTAACTACTTCACTGAAGTAAAGAATGTTTTTAATTTAGTTCATAACAAAAAAGTAGTGAAAAGAGAGCTCTGATTATGATGGCAGAATCCCTACCACCTCATAAATCAATTTGGAATATCTTATTTTCTGAAATTTTGTTGAATCACCTGTCAATCCAGTTTATCCTCTTCCCTGCTGTGGTCATCTTTCCAGTGATGGAAAAGTTTTAGTCTTGTGAAAAATGACCCCTCAGGATGCCAAAGTTTCAAGCTATTTTGTGAGAGCTCCGAGTATAGATGATAGAGACTTTTATGTAAAGATGGGAATTTACAAGGCAATATTTTAATAAAAGGGAAAGTTAGAGGGTATCTTTTCAATAAAAAATTTTAAATATCATTCAGGCATGTTGGCTGTCTAGCACATATTACAGTCCTCTGTCGGTAGACTAAGCTCTTTGAGGGAGGGATGATATTTTATTTTTCTTAGTAGAATTAAAGTCAATCTTTAGCAGATTGACTGACACATGGTAGGTCAAAGTAACTACAGTATTTATTGAACTTAATTGTTGACTCCCCTCTGTGTATCCCATGAACTTCTTGGGTCTCTTGTTCTTCAGAAAGAAAGGTAGAATACCTCACTGATAAATGTTTCTTTTCTTTTCTTTTTGAATGTAGGGCATCACGAGAAAATCCAGCCATGCAGGAAAAAAAAAGGTCAAGCATTTGGCAGTTGTAAGTATTGAAAAACAAAGATGTTAGACAGCACATGAGACAAGAAAATTACAGTCAAAATTTATTTCCAAGAATGATTTTATGTCCATTTTCTTTCCTTCATTTTTTTTTTTTAAACTAGGGGTAATGGTTAAGTAGCTAAACTGAACTTTTTTTTTTTTTTTAATATATAGTGTGCCAACTCGGTAAGGCTCTTCTCAAGGACAAAAAATATGATATCGTAAGCTGCATCATGTTGACTGTGCATTTGTTGCAATCCTCTGCCAAATTTAAATAATGGGGAATTATTTAGAGACTTGAAAATGACCTGGATCCCCATTAAATAAGTTTCTGATTGGCTGGTTTTGTGATTGTAAGAAACTTTACAAAGTGAAGATGAGAAATTTAGTGCTTGTAGGGTTTGAGTAATATTGTGTATGTATTGAGCTTGAGTTATGTTTGTGCTAGAAGTACTATGTGTTTACTGTGATTAAAACTTACCCTTTTTTGGTGAATCTGCTATTTAATGGAAGTGTCAATTAAAAAAGAAATAGACCCGAAAGTAGTTGTTTAAATTGAGCTTAATCAGAAAATGTATAAAATGTGTGTTAACATGGTAATATGTGTTCCAGTACTTGATTATAATAAGCTGTTTTTAGAACTGGCATACTAAGCTTCCATTCACATCACACAGCCATAACCTTGCGGTTTAACAATCGCTCTTACCTTGCACCAAGTAGGAGCTAGCAAAAAAACCAAAATATATTTATTCAGTAGGAGAAGTTTCCTCTATTTAAGAGCTTCTTGCTTTCATTATACAAATTGCTAGTTAAAGAACAGGCACCCGCCATTCTAAGCAATAGTTTCTCTTCACTGAATGTCTGAGTTTGGCTACGAGTTACTGCTAAGGCTACAGCGTATGACTACAAAAACTGTTTTTGCCAATTTCTAACTCATTGCCTTGTAAAAGTACTCTGAAATTTTCTTCAACATTAAAGTTTGTGGAAAATCAAGGATTGTTTCTCATAGTACATGTGACACACAGACATACTGTCTTCTTTTAGTTTCAGCCGACTTTTCAGCTCCTCAAGTAACACGACTAAGAAGCCTGAACCACCTGTTAATCTGAAGTACAATGCACCCACGTCTCATGTTACTCCGTCCGTCAAGAAAAGAAGCAGCACCTTATCTCAGCTCCCTGGGGATAAGTCCAAAGCCTTTGATTTCCTTAGTGAAGAGTAAGTCTTTTCCAAATTAATCATTATATTCTAAATTAAGTTAGTGGTTCAGAATATTCTTGGCCTCTTATCAGCTCTAAGGATTCAGGTAAATCTATAAAAAAATCATTTCTGGGCCAGGCACGGTGGCTCACACCTGTAATCCCAGCACTTTGGGAGACCGAGGTGGGCGGATCACAAGGTCAGGAGTTCGAGACCAGTCTGGCCAATATGGTGAAACCCCATCTCTACTAAAAATACAAAAATTAGCTGGGCGTGGTGGTGTGTGGCTGTAATCACAGCTACTTGGGAGGCTGAGGCAGAAGAATCGCTTGAACCCAGGAGGCGGGGTTGCAGTGAGCCGAGATCATGCCATTGCTCTAGCCTGGGTGACAGAGTGAGATTCCATCTTTAAAAAAAAAAAAAAAAAAAAAAAAAAAAATCATTTCTGTAACTTGGCTGTCTTTAAGTAAATTACTTGTAGTCAAAAGTTTTTATGAAAATTGCTTTTCAGTTTTTATAAAAGAGAAGGATTTTTTTTTAAATGCCTCATTTTTGCTGGTATGACAACATTGATAAATACCTATTAATAGAAATGTGAATGGCCTTTAGAGGTAAATGAGCCTTTATCCTAAATGTTTGAACATTTCTGTTGGTGTCAGAGGACTTGGTTTTCCATCCTGACTTTACTACTCATTAGGTACAAACACTTGGGCAAATTAACCTTTCAGAGCCCCCAGTTTCTCTGTCTGTAAAATTAATCTGATAACCTATCTCAAAGGTGATTGGACCCAATTATACAGTTATCTGTAAAGTATCTGACATATAGGTAGATATGTTAACTGTGGTATATATACATAGCAACTCATCTTATGAAAATTTAAATGGCCAAAATAATGGCAAATTATTTTCAAAATCATTTTAATAATATTTTACCTTATAACTCCAAAGTTTACCAAATCAGTTTGCATTTTTATTTTCTGAAACAAGTTAATGGGATCTAAAATCTAACCTATATCAATCTTCCTAAGCAGATATTGATTTACTCAAGTTTTAAATCACTTCTAGCACGTTTTCTGGCATTAGGATATTCTCAGTAAATATTTGTTGAATGAACAACAACAACAAAAAAGCCAAACATACTTAAGAATTTTCCCCTTTCATATGGCCAGCATCTGAAACCTGATATAAATTTGGTGGCTGATGATTCAATTTAATGTAACAAAGCTGCTTGGTAACCTGTTAAAGCTTAGGCACTGAATTCACTGCACAAACTTAAAAAGACCAGCTTTAGTATAACACTTTGTTTGTTTGTTTGTTTGTTTTTTGAGATGGAGTTTTGCTCTTGTCCCCCAGGCTGGAGTGCAGTGGCACCATCTTGGCTCACTGCAACCTCCACCGGGTTCAAATGATTCTCCTGCCTCAGCCTCCCAAGTAGCTGGGATTATAGGTCCGCACTACCGTGCCTGGCTAATTTTTGTATTTTTAGCAGAGACGGGGTTTTACCATGTTGGCCAGGCTGCTCTCGAACTCCTGACCTCAGGCTATCTGCCCTCCTCGGCCTCCCAAAGTGTTGGGATTACAGGCATGAGCCACCGTGCCCGGCCTATTATAACACTTTTTAAGGAGCTGTTATAGTTGAAATAAACTAATTTGAAATCATGTAAATTTTTGTTGTTTTTGCTGTTTTAGTGACAGAGGAGAGATAAAACTGGGGATAAACGTAATTAAACGTATTCATGTAATTAGGAAAATCTTTTTTCCTTTTAGAACTGAAGCTAGTTTAGCCTCACGCAGAGAACAAAAGAGAGAGCAGTATCGTCAGGTAAAAGCACATGTTCAGAAGGAAGACGGTAGAGTGCAGGCTTTTGGCTGGAGTCTGCCTCAGAAGTACAAACAGGTAATATGCACATGTGGTAAGAGCATCCAGCAGGAAAGAAGAGGGCAAGTTGAGTGTGCGTGGGCATGAAGGATTCACTGTACGCATCCCAGCCCTGCTCATCTCAGCCGCATGGACTGGGCACACATTTAAGCATGGAGGGTGGTGGTTTTCAGGCTGTTTTCTAGAGCTGTAGAACTCAAATGAAATGCTCTGAGTCTGTGAGGGGGGGAGGAGTCAATAAAGGGTGGCTAAGTGCATGGAGTTTGAGGTACCCGCTCTGCTGTAACCAGAGCAATTCTGGTTTAATATTTGAAGATTTCATTTTTTAAAAAACCAGCATCATTGTTGAAAAAATTATTGGCATGGAACTTTTCAAACTGTTCATTTAAAATTAAGTTCAGGTCTTCAGGAATTTTATCTGTCTACTCCATAATTCCTACCCCAAAAGACTCACATGTTCATGTACAAACACATATGCATGTGCACGTGTGCACATATGTGTGAATTAGAGCCTCTTTTTGAGCTCCCATTATATCCTGTTTATTGAATTGCTCAACTTGATTTTTCTGTTTTTCAAATAAGAATGGCAAAATTGGCTGATGCCTGTCATTGGCTCATGGTGCCTGTTATTGACTCATGCCTATAATCCTAACACTTTGGGAGGCCAAGGTGGAGGATGGCTTGAGCTCAGGGAGTTTGAGACCAGCCTAGGCAACATAGCATGACCTCATCTCTACAAAAAATTTAAAAAATTAGCTGGGTGTGGTGGCCTGTGCCTGTAGTCCCAGCTACCTTGGAGGCTGAGGTGGGAGGGGACCGCTTAAGCCTGACAGATTGAGGCTGCAGTGAGCCATGATCAAGCCACTGCACTCTAGCCTGGGCAGTAGAGCGACCCTGTCTCAAAAAAACAAAAAAACAAAAAACCTGAACTTGATTTCAAGGAGTAAATAACAGCAGTGCTTGCTCATGTCTCAGTGGATCTGTAATAAGTTCACTTTTGATGAGGCTTACTAATGTGCCTTTTTCACTCCTCCTTCCACCATTATTAGGTAACCAATGGTCAAGGTGAAAATAAGATGAAAAATTTACCTGTGCCTGTCTATCTCAGACCTCTGGATGAAAAAGATACATCAATGAAGGTAAGTTCATTGTGAATTAAAAGGAGATGTTTTCTAAACTCTGGGTAGTTTTTTTTCTAAAACCAAAAAAGTATAAGTATTACTTCTATGGTGAGGTTATTGTTCATTTTATAATATTAGGTTATAAGACCTGTATTTACAACCATTA
Source organism: Homo sapiens (assembly GCF_000001405.40). NCBI lineage: Eukaryota > Metazoa > Chordata > Mammalia > Primates > Hominidae > Homo > Homo sapiens. The sequence goes on along the minus strand of NC_000017.11, from coordinate 50,995,295 downwards.
GTTATTTTAAGAAAACATGAAAATGCTAAACATTTCTAGACTTAATATTGTTTTCTTTTTCACCTGAGAAGCTGTGGTGTGCTGTTGGAGTCAATTTATCTGGTGGGAAGACCAGAGATGGTGGTTCTGTTGTTGGAGCAAGTGTATTTTACAAGGATGTTGCTGGTTTGGATACAGAAGGCAGTAAACAGCGAAGTGCCTCTCAGAGTAGTTTAGATAAGTTAGATCAGGAACTTAAGGTAAGTGTGTGTACTAACATTTGACCTGGTTTATGAGACTATGAGTTTAACTCTTTCATCCAAAATTTGCCTCTGGGTCCAGCTTCTAATTGGGATTACTATGCCCTGGCTTACTGTCCCTCAGCACCCTTTTAAAATCAATTTTAAAATATTGAGGTATAATTTACATGCAATAAAGTGTGCACTCGAAATGGGTATAGGTCAGAGTTTTGACACATGTGTACACGTATGTAATCACTACAGTGATCAAGCTAATGGAACATTTTATCATTGTTCTGCTTTACCTGTTAGTTTTGTGTTGCTGTTTAGAGACAGAGTCTCACTCTATCACATAGGCTGGAGTGCAGTGGCATGATCATGGCTCACTGCAGTGTTAACCTCCTGGACTCAAGTGATCTGTCCACTTCAGCCACCCAAGTAGCTGGGACTACACACCCACACCACCACACCTGGCTAATTTTATTTTTTGTAGAGACGAGGGTTTCACTGTGTTGACCAGGCTAGTCTCACACTTCTGGCCTCAAGCAGTCCTCCCACCTCAGCCTCCCAAAGTGCTGGGATTACAGACGTGAGCCACTGTGCCAGCCTAACTGCTAGTTTTTCATCTACTAATTAATATTGATAGGTGGTTGTATTAGTCTATATTCACACTGCTGATAAACACATACCCGAGACTGGGAAGGAAAAAAGAGGTTTAATTGGGCTTACATAGGTAACCTCTGGGGAGGCCTCAGAATCATGACAGGAGATGAAAGGCACTTCTTACATGGTGGCAGCAAGAGAAAATGAGGAAGAAGCAAAAGTGTAAACCCCTAATAAACCCATCAGATCTCGTGAGACTTATTCACTATCACGAGAATAGCATGGGAAAGACTGGCCCCCATGATTAAATTACCTCCCCCTGGGTCCCTCTCACAACATGTGGGAATTCGGGGAGATACAATTCAAGTTGAGTTTTGGGTAGGGACGCAGCCAAACCACATCAGTGGTTGTATTTTTACCCTTCCAAATAATCTGGAAATAAATTTGAAATAGTATTGCCTTTTACTGTAACAGCACCACCTTATGAATATTTGTACATACATATTGTTTTAAACATTTTTCCTCCTTTGCCTATACAGGAACAGCAGAAGGAGTTAAAAAATCAAGAAGAATTATCCAGTCTAGTTTGGATCTGTACCAGCACTCATTCGGCTACAAAAGTTCTTATTATTGATGCTGTTCAACCTGGCAACATCCTAGACAGTTTCACTGTTTGCAACTCTCATGTTCTGTGCATTGCAAGTGTGCCAGGTAAGAGTGAGTCATGCGTTTCTCTGCCCTCCCCTCCATCCACCTACCTGCTGGGCACTGATGTAGCAGCTGAAGATGCAGTTCTGCACCTTGCTGTCATGAAGCTTATGTTCTAGTTAGGGAAGATTAAAAAACAAACTGGAAACCATTGAATAAAGAAGATATTTTCAGGTAGTGAAAAATACTGTGAAGAAAATAAAACAATGGGAATATGAGAAAATAACTGGGAGCCAGAGGACTGTTTGGATTAATTAATAAGGAAAGGTCTTCTAAAGTTTTGGATTAAACATTATGTGATGTTAAAACATTAGTTTAAAAATTAAAGAAGTGTATGTGATATATCCATATGTTGGAATATTATTCAGCCATAAAAAGGAATGAAGTTCTTTTTTATATTTTATTGTGGAATACTTAATATGAGTTCTACTTTTTTTTTTTTTTTTTTTTTGAGACAGAGTCTTACTCTGTCACCCAGGCTGGAGTGCAATGGCATGATCTCGGCTCACTGCAACCTCCACCTTCCAGGTTCAAGTGATTCTCCTGCCTCAGCCTCCCGAGTAGCTGGAATTACAGGCACCTGCCACCACGCCCGGCTAATTGTTTGCATTTTTACTAGAGACGGGGTTTTACCATGTTGGTCAGGCTAGTCTTTTTTTTTTTTTTTTTTTGAGATGGAGTCTTACTCTGTCACTCACACTGGAGTGCAGTGGCACCGTCTCGGCTTACTGCAACCTCTACCTCCTGGGTTCAAGTGATTCTTTTGCCTTAGCCTCCCAAGTAGCTGGGACTACAGGCACGAGCCACTACACCCGGCTAATTTTTGTATTTTTGGTAGAAATGGGGTGTCACCATATTGGCCAGGTTGGTCTCGAACTCCTAGACCTCGTGATCTGCCCGCCTCGGTCTCCCAAAGTGCTGAGATTACAGGTGTGACCCACCACCCCGGGCAGTCAGATTAGTCTTGAACTCCTGACCTCAGGTGATCCACCCGCTTCGTCCTCCCGAAGTACTGGGATTACAGGCATGAGCCACTGAACCCAGCCTGAGATCTACCCTCTTAACACATTTTTGTTTTTGTTTTTTTGAGACAGGGCCTCACTCTGTTGCCCAGGCTGGATTGCAGTGGTGCAGTCACAACTCATTGTACTCATTGCAGCCATGACCTTCCGGGCTCAAGTGATCCTCCCAGCTCAGCCTCCCAAGTAGCTGGGACCACAGGCGCACACTACCACACCTGGCTAAGTTGTTTGTACTTTTTGTAGGCAGGGTTTCACCATGTTGCCCAGGCTGGTCTGGAACTCCTGGGCTCAAGTGATCTGCCTGCCTTGGCCTCCCGAAGTATTGGGATGCCCAGCCCTCTTAACAAATTTTTAAGAGTACAATACATTATCCTCTAGGTAGAAGTTCTGACACATGTTATAACACAGATGAACCTTGGAAACACTATGCCAAAGGAAATAAGTCGGACACAAAAGGACAAATATTATATGATTCCGCTTATATGAGATATCTAGAATAGGCACATTCATAAAAACATAGAGTTTCTGTGTGAGGTGATGGAAAAGCTTTAGAAATAGGCCGGCCATGGAGGTTCACACTCATAATCCCAGCACTTTCAGAGGCCAAGGTGGGACGATCACTTGAGCCCAGAAGTTTGAGACCAGTCTGGGCAATATAGTGAGACCTCATTCCACAAAAAATCAAAAAATGAGGCGGGAGGATAACTTGAGTCGGGGAGGTCAAGACTGCAGTGAGCTACGATTGCACCACTACACACCCACCTGGGCAATGGGAGTAAGACCCTGTGTTTTAAAAAAAAAAAAAAAAAAAAAAAAAAAAAGACCTGGCATGGTGGCTTACACCTGTAATCCAGACACTTTGGGAGGCTGAGGTGGGCGGATCACCTGAGGTCAGGAGTTCGAGACCAGCCTGGCCAACATGGTAAAACCCCGTTTCTACTAAAAATACAAAAATTAGCCAGGTGCAGTGGCAGGCGCTTGTAATCGCAGCTACTTGGGAGGCTGAGGCAGGAGAATTGCTTGAACCTGGGAGGCAGAGGTTGCAGTGAGCCGAGACTGTACCATTGCACACCAGCCTGGGCAACAAGAGTGAAACTCTGTCGCCAAAAAAAAAAAATAATGGTGATGGCTACACAATGTTATAAATATTAATGCCAATATTGTAAATATTAGTGCCACTGAATTGTACACTTTTAAATGGTTAAAGTGGCAAATTTTGTTTATATATATATTATTTTTACTGCAATAAAAGTTTTTAGTGTGATATAAATAAAACAATTTTCTAAATTAAAAAATGAGATTTATTTTTATATTGTAAATATTTTTATATTATAAATGCTTAGTTTTTAATGTTTTACTAATATCTTAATCAACCTATATACTTGGGGCATTTAATTTTTAACAGTAATGGATAGAAGCTTATACTTCAAGTAGTAGCAGTAGTCTTGATGATTTAAAAGAATTTTTTTTTGGCTGATGTTGTCAGATATAATAGATTGTTTTTAACCTGTGGCTGCTGAGGAGCTCACTAAGAACAGAAGCTGGCTAGGCGTGGTGGCTCGCACCTGTAATCCTAGGACTTGTCTGAGGTTGGTGGATCCCTTGAGGCCAGGAGTTCAAGACCAGCCTGACCAACATACCGAAACCCTGTCTCTACCAAAAATACAAAAATTAGCCAGGCGTGGTGGCTCACACCGGTAGTCCCAGCTACTCAGGAGGCTGAGGCAGGAGAATCACTTAAGCCAAGGAGGCGGAGGTTGCAGTGAGCTGAATCATGCCACTGTACTCCAGCCTGGGCGACAGAGTAAGACTCTGTCTCAAAAAAAAAAAAAAAAAAGTTTATTTTCTGACATTTTTATGTTTATTTGCACTTGTGTTAATAGAAGTATTTTCTTAATTTTTTAAGTTACCTTCCCATATTGTGAAGATTTGTTTATGTAAATTTAATGCTACCTGTATTCAACTACCTGTACATCTCACCTGCATAACTCTCATTTCAAACCTGTAATTGTTTTAGTAAAAAAAATGTTATTTATAGAAGTTTACTTTGCTGTTACAAGAAGATTTATTTTTCAGGTGCACGAGAAACAGACTACCCTGCAGGAGAAGATCTTTCAGAATCTGGTCAGGTAGACAAAGCATCTTTATGTGGAAGTATGACAAGCAACAGCTCAGCAGAGACAGACAGCCTGTTAGGAGGCATCACAGTGGTTGGTTGTTCTGCAGAAGGTGTGACGGGAGCTGCCACTTCCCCTAGTACAAATGGTGCTTCTCCAGTGATGGATAAACCACCAGGTATATCCATTCTCTTTACCTGCCATCTGTATAGAGTCTAAGGCTACACTCAGATGCCTCATTATGGACTTAATTTAGATCTTAAGTAACAAGGTTGAAAGAACTTGAAAGAAGATACTGTAGGCCGGGCGTGGTGGCTCACGCCTGTAATCCCAGCACTCTGGGAGGCCAAGGCGGGTGGATCACGAGGTCAGGAGATCAAGACCATCCTGGCTAACACAGTGAAACCCTGTCTGTACTAAAAAGTACAAAAAATTAACCGGGCGTGGTGGCGGGTGCCTGTAGTCCCAGCTACTCGGGAGGCTGAGGCAGGAGAATGGCGTGAACCTGGGAGGTGGAGCTTGCAGTGAGCCAAGATCACGCCGCCGCACTCCAGCCTGGGCAACAGAGCAAGACTCTGTCTCAAAAAAAAAAAAAATGCTGTAATGACTGTTAAATGGAATGAAGAATTCTTAATTTCATGGTACAGTGTGAAGGAGTGGGTAGATGGAATGGAATTCTATAACAGGGGTTTGTGTGGGGAAATAATTGGAGGAGAAAAGCCCAGACTTGGAATAGTGTTTTATTTACTTTGTAGAAATGGAAGCAGAAAATAGTGAGGTTGATGAAAATGTTCCAACAGCAGAAGAAGCAACTGAAGCTACAGAAGGGAATGCGGGGTCAGCTGAAGACACAGTGGACATCTCCCAAACTGGCGTCTACACAGAGCATGTCTTTACAGATCCTTTGGGAGTTCAGATCCCAGAAGACCTCTCCCCAGTGTATCAGTCGAGGTATAATAATGGGTCATCAACTTAGGCAACTGGGTGAAGTGCACAAATAAAAGGAACCAAAATAATCTCAAACAGTCAAAAGATTTCCACTAATTAGTGTCACTGTGGTGGATTAAAAGATACCTATTCTTGTGATAATTTCATGTATTCCCGCTCCATCATTCTCGCTGGATATTCCCCCCCATTTCTTCTGTACACCTTCCAATTTAAAAAAAAAATCTTATCTATAAAAGTATAATCATGCATCAGTCAACAATGGGGATATGTTCTGAGAAATGTGTCATTAGGTGATTTCATCATTGTGTGAACATCATAGAGTGCATTTACACAAATCTAGATGGTATGGCTTATCACACACCTAGGCCATATGGTATAGCCCATTGCTCCTAGGCTAGAAACCTGTACAGCATGTTACTGTACTGAATACTGTAGATAATTGGAACATAACGGTAAGTATTTGTGTATGTAAACATGCACAAGGTACTGTAGAAATATAGTAGTATAATCTTGTGGAACCACCACCATATATTCTGTCCATCATTTTCCAAAATGGTTTTACCAGGTGTGTGACTATATATTAGTCAAAATCTTTCTGTTCATTTTCTCCTCTGATCTGTTTTTTTTTCTTTTTTTTTGTACTTACTGTCTTCCATTCTATAAGTAATTCTTTGTCATTTTAATCCCACCCCTACTCTAATTTTCACTCCAGTTATCAGCAAAATTGGCCATTGTTTAAATCTGCCATTGTACAAGTTTCCCACATGGGTGTGGATGACCTTTTTGAATTTAGTTTTCATGCAAATATTTTATTAAAAAACAACTCAGATAGTTCCAGTGGCTCATGCCTATAATCCCAGCACTTTGGGAGTCTGAGCAGGAGGATTGCTTGAGTCCAGGAGTTCAAGACCAACCTGAGCAACATAGTGAGACCCTCATCTCTACAAAAAACTTAATGATTCGCTGGGCGTGGTAGCGTGCACCTATGGTCCCAGCTACTCAGGAGGCTGAGGTGGGAGGATTGCTTGAGCCCTGGGAGCTGGAGGCTACAGTGGGCCATGATATCACCACTGCACTGCCGCCTGGGAAACAGAACAAGACTCTGTCTCAGAAAACAAACAAACCAAAGAAAACTGTTTGTTTTAGGCTCCTCCGTTAAAGGGTTGGTTAATCTAGGCCCATTTAGTGAATTATTTTATTTTCTTTCCTGCCTTTTCTAGATCCCCTCTAGATGAGAGTCTCTTTAAACTAGATCCTTTTTAAAGTTTAATATTCTTAGTGTATAAAGTAAGAAAGATTAATTAATAACCCATTTATGCCTAGTGGTCCATTATTGGAATGCTAAGCTTGTGGGAGTTATTCATATCCTACTGCTCAAGGTCATCGCTAAGGTCTGATTTTTTACAAAAAAAATTTGCAACCTCCGGCATAAATGGGTTAATATTTAATTCTTTTTTTTTTTTGGAGATGGAATCTCACCCTGTCACCCAGGCTGGAGTGCAGCAGTGCAATCTCAGCTCACTGCAACCTCCGCCTTCCAGGTTCAAGCGATTCTCCTGCCTCAGCCTCCCAGGTAGCTGGGATTGAAGGCATGTGCTGCCACACCCAGCTAATTTTTGTATTTTTAGTAGAGATGGGGTTTTATCATGTTGGCTAGGCTGGTCTTGAACTCCTGGCCTCAAGAAATCCACCCACCTCACCCTCCCAAAGTGCTGGGATTATAGGCGTGAGCCACCGCACCTGGCCTGAATTATTAATTTAAGAATAAGTCATGTTTGAATTTGATAGCCTGGTTATATATCTTTTACTAAATATGCCCTGACAATTCAAAGGAAAGGTTTTGTGATAGAATATTAAACATATTTCAGTTTATTAATTTATTTTAGGTCATTCTTTATATTTCTCCCTACTATTTGTATGTGTGTATCCCTCCCTTCTCTCTCACTTGAGAAGAAACTATGACAAAACCCAAAATAAGAGACAGCCATAGTAATTGTCTGAATATTAACTGCTGTATTTCATTACCATGTCTTATTATCTTTTCTGCTCCTTGGGCTTCCTAGTTTGTTAATGTTATTTCTGGTACAATTGTTGAAATATGTGATGTAAGCTTTTGACTTTGGCTTTTCTGGAATTTTGGTGGTTTCTTTTTTTTTTTTTGACTAAAAGTTGAAGCCAGGTGTGATAGTGTGTGTGCCTCTAGTCCCTGTTATTCAGGAGGCTGAAGTGGAAAGATCACTTGAGCCTGAGAGGTCAAGGCTGCAGTGAGCCCTGATTGTGCCACTGTACTCCAGCCTGGGTGACAGAGTGATACCCTATCTCTAAAAAATAAATAAATAATAAACAAATGAACAAACTTAAATATAGAAGGATTCAGTCCCTGAAAACTATAACGATAGTTAAGTATACTCAGATTTCTTTCCTTTTGCCCTCCCTTTCCAGCAATGACTCAGATGCATATAAAGATCAAATATCAGTACTGCCAAATGAACAAGACTTGGTGAGAGAAGAAGCCCAGAAAATGAGTAGTCTTTTACCAACTATGTGGCTTGGAGCTCAAAATGGCTGGTAGGTGTCAATGCTTTTAACATTAGAATATGTTGTTTTACTTTTGCTTTTGAAATCAGAAGATAAGTAAAATATGGTAAACAAATACAAAAAGTGTGGATTAATGCAAAGAATTTTATATATACACACAATTTGATGTTATGTTGCAACTACCACATAAACTGGACTTGCACTGGTTCTGAATAGTAAGCCATATGTTTCTTTGTCACAGAATGTTCCCTTTCTATAATATTCTTGGAAGAAGAGGTATGTAAAATTTTAAAATCGAGGTGCTCCAGAAATAGAAGATCCTGAACAGCACAAAGACAGAGAATATTTAATTTATGTAGGCTAGAATGTGGGCAGGAAAACAGGGATTAAACCAACATTTTGGCTGCAGGAAGGCCCAATCCCAACTTTTAGTGAATTTTTTACTAAGATAGGTAAAACAAATCACAATCTGCAAAGTCAGATGATGATGACTAATATTATATGGTTTGTTCACTTTCCGGTTGTGTGGAGAGTTTTACAAAATTGTGCATTTACAAAGGTTAAGCAAGATTACTGTTGAGCATCTCTAATCCAAAATTTAAAACTCTTTGACCACTGTTATGATGCTGGCAGGTAATGCTCATTGGAGCATTTTGGATTTTTGAATTAGGAATACTCAACTGTTATGTATGATGTAAACATTCTAAAATCTGAAAAAGTCAGAAATCCCAAGCATTTCAAATAAGGGTTACTCAACCTGTAGTATGTCTTTTTCATATGAGTCCAATACTATAAAGTGAAGAGTTGGCAAACTTAGTGTAACTCTCTTCCAGTAGAGCATTATGGGCATTGTAGTTTGAATTTCATATAAATCTCCCCTGTCGTAAAATACCCTTGATTTCCCCCCCACACACACTTTTAAAAATGTAAAAAGTATTCTTAGCTTGCAGGCTGGATTAAAACAGGTGGCAGACTGGATCTGGCCTGTAGGCCATAGTTTGCCACTCCCTATGTGGGCCACTCTGTCATCCAAAAGTTATAGATCAGTGTAGTAGAGAGGTAAGGCAATTCAAAAAAAGAGTTTTGCCCAAGGACTAAGTGTGTGAACCTGACTGTGCATTGCACTAGTTCTTGCTTTTCAGTCTTCATATGTTTTTCTTTGCTCAGCAGCCTATTTCTTTACCTTAGGCCTACCCTCACTCTCATTTTTCTTTTCTGACCATTGCACAAAAGCAGCAGCACCTTTTCCTAAAATTTGTATGTTACTCTTCTTTCCTTCTGAATGAACTTCGCGATCATTGTTAGATATATGCAATGTCTTGATGTTCTCTATGCCTTACCAGTGTTGACTTTGTTCTTACAGTTTGTATGTCCATTCATCTGTAGCCCAGTGGAGGAAATGTCTCCATTCCATTAAACTTAAAGATTCGATTCTCAGTATTGTGTAAGTTTTATTTTGGAAATTCTTCTTGTTAAAACTATGCATTTTGGTATAAACTAGATTTTAAGACTTTGAAAGCTAATACATGTTTCACGACTAAATTAGTATCCAATTTGTTTGTTTTTTTAACCCTTTTTATGGAACTAGAGAAGTTAAGTGAGAATGAAACTGTATAATAGAAAACGAAGTAGAAAGGATAACTTGCTTGATTGAGTCCTCACCATACTGCGATTTATTTAGCACTGCAGGAAATAACCAATACCTATTAAGTTATGTTTATTTTAGAATATTCTTTATGGCTTGTAAATATGTTGATTGGGGCATTGATTACTAGTTCTTTTCTATGTGTTCACTGTAAAAAAATCAGACAGTTTATCTCTGAGCCTACAGGGCTGACTCTGTTGGTTCCACTCAAGGTGCATGTCTCTGGTCTTTAGAGTTTGTGTTGATTGTCTGTGATGAGAGGAGAACCTTGGGCCAGAAAGTGAAATAACTGAGATACCATTCATACTGTTTATTTAGTTCAGCTGACATTTTTTCATAGCAGGACATCCACAGTGAAGAAAGTGGTGTGTTCATTTATATTCAGGTGTCAGCTCCTTAACTCATCACAGATTGGCCCTTTGTGAGGCCTTGAACTAGTTCAGTAGCATGTGGTCCCTTCTGTATTCCTGAATGGAGAGTTCTGAACTCCCCTTTCCTGTTTGCAGACACGTGAAGGGAATCGTGTTAGTAGCCCTGGCTGACGGCACCCTTGCAATCTTTCACAGAGGAGTGGGTGAGTGGTGATGTGTGTATAACATGGACACTAATTTGTTGCTTTGCAAAGCATTTTTAAGTAGATTGGTTTATGTTTTAAAGAAATGATACTCAGTTTAAAGAATAAATACTAACAATACACAACATCAGTAAATATATTAGTGCGTGCATGGAGGTATACATTAACAGATACCTTAGGGAAAATGTGTTTACCACAATGGGCATTTTATGGTGCTTTTATTTTATTTTATTTTTTGAGACAGAGTCTCGCTCTGTCGCCCAGGCTGGAGTGCAGTGGCGCAATCTCAGCTCACTGCAAGCTCCGCCTCCCGGGTTCACACCACTCTCCTGCCTCAGCCTCCCGAGTAGCTGGACTACAGGCGCCTGCCACCACGACCAGCTAATTTTTTTGTATTTTCAGTAGAGACAGGGTTTCACTGTGTTAGCCAGGATGGTCTCGATCTCCTGACTTTGTGATCTGCCCGCTTTGGCTTCCCAAAGTGCTGGGATTACAGGCGTGAGCCACCGTGCCCGGCTGGTACTTTTAAATAATGTGATAGGGAGGCATTTGTTTTTCATTCATATACTTATGCAATTCGGAGAAACTTGGTGTTTTTTTAATGTCCTATGTGTTAAAAATAATTTGTGTCCACTTAACATTTGGACTTTTTCTTAAAGAATTTTAATTGGGTAAGATTTAATCATTTTCATGTCACCTTATTTATATTCTCCCCCTTTAAAACCATTGTTTCATCTATAGAGGGGTGGTGGTATCAGAAACCCTACCTTAAATGAATTAAGTTGAGGGAATTTAGTATGTATTCCTCCGTAACTCCTTGGTACTTGTGTCAACCAAAAATGATACATCATTTTCTACCCACTTGATTGGTATATCTAGGAAGTATTATGAAACATAGATACCCTGAATTTGGATTTTAGAAAAGCTTTTCCCAAAATCTCCTATCTTTCTGGGCTGGGGAAATGTGGAGTAGATGACAGTTAGGTGCTTTTGTAATTGATTGGTACCTGAAAATTGCTGGTTAATGACTCCATATCATCAAAGAGTGAGAGGGCTCCATTTTACCTTTTTCAGCCCTTTATCTATGTTTAATCTTTACAGTAAATTATTAAGAAAGTTCCATGGTCATCCTCATTTTATAGATGAGGAAACTGAAACACAGAGCATTTTGGTAACTTTTTCATGGCCACTCAGCTAATAAGTGGAAAAGCCTAGAAAAAAAATGAAACAATGCATGTTTTGGTAAATTGAATTCAAAATAATATTGACAGAATAAGACAAGTAAAATGCATTTAGTAAGTGTCAATGTAAAGTCCTGCATTTGAGTTCAGAAGAGCACGATGGGGAGACATGTCTGAAGAGTGAGAATTACCTAAAGGTTGACTATAAACTCAATATGAGTTTAATGCCTTAAGCCTCAAAGACAAGGCTGGTGATAATCCTGCTCTACTAGGCTAGATAAAGACAGCATATTCAATGGACATCAACAAAACAGAGTTAGGATGAAGGGTCTGTAAACTGTGGTAGGTACAGAGCACATGCCAAAGATAACTTGGTTTTGAAAAGAGGAGACATAGGGCTGTAACGAAGAAGTTTGTACTGGATTTATTCTTTTGTTTCCACTCTGCAAGACTGCAGACGAGTGGGTGATTACATACAAAAAGACAGACTTTAGCTAGGTGTGGGTAATATTTTTCAATTAAAGGTGTCTGAAAATAGAATGGCTGCTTTGTGAGGCAGTATGCTCACAAAAGCTAACAAAGCAAAGCGAGGTTCTGATGACTGGTTCTCCTTCATATTTCTAGTATCACTGAAAATATAGTATGCATAATTCCTAAAGTGTTAGCAATGAGTTGCCCTCAACTTCTACCCAAGAAAATACATCAAAATGCACGTGACTGAGAGACGTTATTCCCAAAATAACCTTAAGTCCATTCTAATTCGAAAAATATTATGATAAACAGATAACTTGTAACTGATTTATCATCACATCACTGCTTTTGTGAGCATGTTTTAAAGGGGGTCTAGGTACTGGGTGGCACTTTGAAGCAGATGACCTTTGAGGGTCTCTTCCAACTTTGCAGCTTATGGAATAAAAGAACCCAGGCTGCAAATAAAAGATATACTTAGTACATGGTACTTTGAGTGCTTCCTCAATAAATTTAATTATACAACAAATAAAATGTTTCTTGTGTTGAAATTGAGTAACAGGTGGTATGTATTTACTATAACCTTTTATTTTTTTTAAAGATGGGCAGTGGGATTTGTCAAACTATCACCTCTTAGACCTTGGACGGCCTCATCATTCCATCCGTTGCATGACTGTGGTACATGACAAAGTCTGGTGTGGCTATAGGAACAAAATCTATGTGGTGCAGCCAAAGGCCATGAAAATAGAGGCAAGTTATTAGCCTATGTTTTCTGTATTTATTGAATTTGTATTATCCGAAGACTATTAGACTATAATTATTTTCAGCTTCTTTAGAAATTGTTTCTGGATCTGTGTGTTTTAGGGCACTTGAGTAATGTATTTGAATATCTTAGCTTTCTGTGTTACTTAACTCTCTTGCCAGTTTTGACTGTGAGGGTAGAAAGTGGCTTTTTAAAAAAGGAAAGAGGATTCATACGTGAATGTTTAAATGTGTGTCTGTGTATGTATCCAGAAATATGTATGTGTTTTTGTTTGAATACATGGTTCTTTTTATGTTTAGTTATATGAGGATTGTTTGAGAAGAGGATTCCTCCCTGTCCTCCCCACGTGTAATCCAGGCACATCCACATGTGTGTCCCAGACAGAAATAACATTGCACTGGGAATTTGTTGTAAAAATGAAAACCTCCTAACCTCCTAGCATTATTTTCTTTTTTTCTTTTTTCTTTTTTTTTTTTCTGAGACAGAGTCTTGCTCTGTCACCCAGGCTGGAGTGCAGTGGCATGTTCTTGGCTCACTGCAACTTTCGTCTCCCAGGTTCAAGCAATTCTTCTGCCTCAGCCTCCAAAGTAGCTGGGATTACAGGCTCCCGCCACCACAGCCAGCTAATTTTTTTTGTATTTTTAGTAGAGACGGGGTTTCACCATGTTGGCCAGGCTGGTCTCGAACTCCCAACCTCGTGATCCGCCCACCTTGGCCTCCCAAAGTCCTGGGGTTAAGGCATGAGCCACCGCGTCCGGCCTAGCATTGTTTTCTTACGGTTTTTTTTTTTTTTTGTCACAATACATAAATGCATTCTAATTGTTTAGGGGGACAAAAAGCATACAGGAAATTTTAAGGTGAAAGCCCTCCTTCACCCTCCCCCAAATCACATTTCTTTCCCTAGAAGTCTCAAAGTCAACCATTTGGTGTTTGTTTTTTATATCAATTCTATCTATCTATCTATTCTTTCTTTCTTTCTTTCTATCTATCTATCTATCTATCTATCTATCTATCTATCTATCTATCTTTATCTGTGTATCTGTTTATATCTATCTAATTAGCTAGCTATCTGGCTGTCTATCCATCCATCCATCCATCCATCCATCCATCCATCCATCCACACACAGGTTGAATATCCCTTATTGAAAATGCTTGAGACCAGAAGTGTTTCAGATTTTGGATTTTTTGCAGATTTTGGAATATTTGCATATACATAAATAATGAAATATCTTGGGCATGGAACCCAAAGTCTAAACATAAAATTTATTTATGTTTCCTGTATACTTTATAACAGTGAAAAATATGATATACCATTAGTGCAGTAAAAAAAATACTGTGTTCAGCGTGACTTATGGTATCATATCGGCACTTAAACACTTTCAGATTTTAAAGCATTTCAGATTTCAGATTTTTGGATTGGGAATGCTCAGCCTGTGCCTCACACACATATACAGCAGCGTGGGTTCCTTTTAGTTTAATTATATTTTGGTATTTTTGTTTGTTTGTTTTGAGACAAGGTCTCACTCTGTCACCCAGGATAGAGTGCAGGGGCGCAATCATAGCTCACTGCAGCCTCAGACTCCTGGGCTCTAGCAAGCCTCCTGCTTCAGCCTCCCAGGTAGCTGAGATCACAGGCACACACCATTATACCTGACTAATTTTTCTTTAGTTTATTTGTAGAGACGGGATCTTGCTATGTTGTCCAGACTGGCCTCAAACTCCTGGGCTCAAATAGTCCTCCCACCTCAGCCTCCCAAGTAGCTAGGAATACAGGCATGCACCACTATTCCCAGCTAATTTTTGTATTTAGAGTTGGGATGTCACCATGTTTCCCAGGCTGATCTCAAACTCCTGTGTTCAAGAGATCCTCCCACCTCGGCCTTCCAAAGTGCTGGGATTACAGGTGTGAGCCACCAGCGCCCAGCCTGATTAATTATAATTGTGATCTTATTTCAACACAGTGGCTCTGCAACAACACAAAATCCGGAGATAAAATCTTTCTGTTAGGCCAGGTGCGGTGGCTCATGCTTGTAATCCCAGCACTTTGGAAGGCCGAGGTGGGCAGATCACTTGAGGTCAGGAGTTTGAGACCAGCCTGGCCAACATGATGAAAGCCTGTCTCTACTAAAAATACAAAAATTAGTCCGGCATGGTGGTGTGCGCCTATAATCCCGCTACTCAGGAGGCTGAGGAAGGAGAATCGCCTGAACCCAGGAAGGGGAGGTTGCAGTGAGCCGAGATTGCGCCATTGCACTCCAGCCTGGGCGACAAGAGTAAAGACTCTGTCTCAAAAATAAAAAATAAAGAAATAAAAAAAATCTTTCTGTTGAGCACTGTTACATAGTGTGGATGCGCTAGTATTGCTGTTATAAGGTGATATCCTATATAGTGCTGAAGTCCAATATCCCGTTCTTAGTTCTTTATTTTTTGCATTCCAGGATGAAAACAATTGTGTATATAAGAGTAATCATGTTTAATATATAATATTTGGGCTTGTCTTTTAATAGTCTGCTAACTTGTGCAAATTAGCACAGTTTTAAATATGAAATTCTATGTAGCAAAAGTAACTTTGTGATTGGACAATCTCTCCTAGAAATCTTTTGATGCACATCCCAGGAAGGAGAGCCAAGTGCGACAGCTTGCGTGGGTGGGGGATGGCGTGTGGGTCTCCATTCGCTTGGATTCTACGCTCCGTCTCTATCATGCACACACTTATCAACATCTACAGGATGTGGACATTGAGCCTTATGTAAGCAAAATGTTAGGTAAGCTTCCAACGCGTTTTATCTTTACCAGTCAAAGAGGGTGTTTTATTTTATCTATCTATGTGTTTATTGAAATGAGGTCTTGCTTTGTTGCCCAGGATGGAGTGCAGTGGCTATGCACAGGTGCAGTCATAGCACACTATAGCCTTGAACTCCTGGGCTCAAGCGATCCTCTCACCTCAGCCTCCGGAGTAGCTGGGACTGTAGGTAGGCACAGCCACCTCACCCAGTCCTTGTTTTTATTTTTAAATAGTCTAAAATGCTGGGTAGAACCAATGAATTAAGTTATCTCAGGAGTAGTGAACTTTTATCATTGAAAGTGTCAGACGTTTCAATCTACCTTACTCTTTTTTTTTTTTTTTTTTCTTTTTTTCAAGACGGGGTCTCACTCTGTCACCTAGGCTGGAGTGCAGTGGCACCATCACGGCTCACTGCAGCTTTGACTTCCTGGGCTCAAGTGATCCTCCCACCTCAGCCTTCCCAGTAGCTGGACAGGCCTGCACTATCATGTTGGCTACTTTTTTTTTTTTTTCCTGTAGAAATGAGGTTTCACTGTGTTGCCCAGGCTGGCCTTAAACTCCTGGGCTCAAGTGATTGGCCCAGACCTCAGCCTCCCAAAGTGCTGGTGTTACAGGCATGAGCCAATGCACCTGGCCCCTTATTGTTCTTGATGGAAAGTTGGGATCATTTTGGACTCCTCTTCTCTTATTTCCCACATCTAATCTGTCACTGGGAACTGTCAAGTCTGCCTCTAAAACTGTATTAAATCAGTTACTTCTTTATCTCTACCACTATCCTTTTACCCCCAGGCCTCCTAACTGGGCTCCCTGTTGCCACCCCAGTCTGTTCTCTGCCTAGTAACCAAGGTGCAGATATTACCTTCACACACCTCCACTGTTGCCTTTAGGTGAGGTGACATGACCAGGAGACCTTACATGTTCTCAAACACTCTCCTTGCTCATACCGACCCACAGCTCAGCAAGCTCCTTCCCATTTCAGGGTCCTCACATGTGCTGCTGTATCATCTACCTGGGAAGTTCTTCTTGGTCCCTTTTTACTTACTTAGCTTTCAGGTCATAGCCTAACTGTCATAATCAGGAGAGACCATTTAGGTCCTGTCATACTTTTTCTTCATGGGCTTATCATTATTGTGATCGTACCAGTCTTATGTGATTCTTGTTTATAATCTCTCCCCTACAGACCCTAAGCCCCGTGAAGATCAGGGACCATCATTGTCTTGTTCCCTGCTCTATCTTTAGCACCTGACCTAGTGTTATAATGATTATTAGAAATGTCATAAAGGATTCCTTTCATGAAAAATGATTGAACTGGATCAGTGGTTTTCAACCATTTAGAGTTACTGCCCTCAGAAAACCTTATTTCTAGCTATGTACCTTCTCCCTAGAATATATACACATGCAAACACAAACTAATTTCAGGGATCTACTTTGACTGGAGGTTAAAGGTTCCTAGGTTAGGCTGAATGGTAATTAAGCCTCCTTCTAACACTGTGATTCAGCGATCATGCCCTCAGTTCTTGTAAGTAGAACTTATGAGTACTAGTGTTGTCTTTCTTAAATGTATTACCTGCTCAATAAATTTGTCTTTCAAGTCACTGAAAATAAGATCAGTTGTAAAAATTAACTTGAAATACAAAAATGCGTTTGTTCTCCCTAAATTATTTGTGTATAATACTTAAAATGTTTAAACTGCTTTAGAACCTAAGTATATAAATGAGGGGAAAAGTATAGATTTTGTTTACAAAGATTTTTATCTGTGCAAAGAAAACTTAAGGGAAACCAGAACTTTTTCAGCTTATAAGATCAAAGGACACTTGATTTATCTGGGTTTGTTTGTTTTTAGAGACAAAGTCTTGGTCCGTTGCACAGGCTGGAGTGCAGTGGTTGGATCACAGTTCACAGCAGCCTCAAACTCCTGCGCTCAAGTGACCCTCCCACCTCAGCCTCCCACATAGCTGGGACTACAGGCATGTGCCACCATGCCTGGCTAATTTTTGTACTTTTTGTAGAGGTGAGGTCTGTTGCCCAGGTTGGTCTCAAACTCCTGGGATCAAGCAGTCATCCCACCTTGTAGGATCTACAGGAGTGAGCCACCGTGCCCTGCCAGTTTCACTGTTTTCTGTTGGGGTTTTTTGTTTTATGTGTTGGTTTGGTTTTACAGTTCCCTAAGTAAATCCTGTGTCACAGTTCCTGATGTATCCTATTTCCTGTGTACTTTTCTTCTAACTAATAATGTTATGTTACCCACTTTTAGGCTTTTCTTTTTCCATTAACCCTGAATTGTCAGATAGACAATAAGCCCCAATATGAGCTTACTTTGATGTGAACCTTCAGGAAACATCCATCTAGCTCTAGTCACATTTCCTCTGTGTTGTATCAATCCTGCTACTACTACTTTCTTTCTTTTTTTTTTGTTTTGTAATCCTGCTACTTCTAAGGAACTTGGAATGTAAAACACTGTCTGCTTTAGTTTCTCAATAACGTGTTCCCTCCTTTCTTTACAGGTACTGGAAAACTGGGCTTCTCTTTTGTGAGAATTACAGCTCTTATGGTGTCTTGTAATCGTTTGTGGGTGGGGACAGGAAATGGTGTCATTATCTCCATCCCATTGACAGAAAGTAAGTATATTTTTAGATAACTGCCATGGAACAAATAGGAGAATTATAGGAAATAGTTATGTCTGAAATTCAAATCTGTGTTAGCTCAGAAAATCAGTGATGGCAAAGATCTAGCTATAGTTACTTCACTCAATGAAACTTATAAATTCTAGGAAAATAAGTTTTCATGTATCAAGACCAATACTCATAATTAAAAGTTTTTCGTTGTCAAAACATTTTCACAGTTCAGGAATCACAGTCCTATTTCATCTTTTGAAATAAAAGTTAAAGTCCATTTTTCTTAAGCCTTATTATACCATTATCCAAAAACACTACCTAGCATTCATCTTAGTTTTTCATATCTCCTTAGCAGATAGTTTAGTATATTCCATTTGTCTTATTTGAGGTTTAAAAAAAGTTGTGGAAGAAGTTTCTCAGGAGTTCAGCAAGCCTTTCCATCTATCTTCTATTTTAAAAGAATGTGATTTATTGTTTTTATGAATAAAATATACCTCGTGTGTTTCTCATATGATGTTCCATTACATTAATCATCCATTAAGTAAATGTTTTTGTGTTGCAAAATTCATGGCAGGGAATGGTTTAAAAGCAAATACTGTAAGTCTATAAAATACATTAATACATATACACTTCAAAATCACCATACCTTTTTTCAGGCCAGAGGAGGGAGAAAGACTAGAAGGTATTTCGGAAGCCTTTAAAAGAAAGCAAGGTTTCAATCCCACCTGTCTTTTCTGCAGTTACTTATAAATCATATTTAGACCTCTCCTTATATCCTAAGAGATTCCAGGATCCCCTAGAGTTCATTTCAGTTATTTGTAAGAGCTTCATTTTAGCATAGTTATTGGAACAGGATTTGTTTTTTAAAACACACACACACAGAGAAATAAAGGAGAAATTTTAGCATTTAGGAAATGCTGCACATTGAGTTCTTAGTGTTTTGATTCAGATTCACTAAAATTGCTTTATTATTTAAAAAAAAAACACCATAAATCAGATTTTCCTTTTTCAGCAGAGATTCTAATAGAAGCCTTGGGAAGAACTTTATGTATTACTTGGTATTATGCCAAGTGGGATCTTGTTATTTTCGTTAGGGGCTTTGAGCACCAGGTTTACCAGATAGAAGACGCTGAGAGTGGTGGCTCACAGTAATTCTCTCCTCCCTGTCATGCACCTCTCCATGTCCCCTTTCCTCCTTTCTCACTTTAGCCGTAATCCTCCACCAGGGACGTTTACTGGGGCTGAGGGGTAAGTGCAGATTCTGAACCAAACTCTTCTTCCTGGCTTCTAATAGCCACTGTAAGGCTGTTACCACTCCTCTAGAATACCCTCTTGAATGTTCCTAAATGTTATCCACTTGCAGTCACTGCATCGCAGCAGGTGTCTTTTTTTTTTTTTTAATGTTTGTTACATGGCCACCAAACTGCTCAGCAGCTTAGTCTATTTATCATCTTTTGTTGCAGCTGAACTTTCTTTCAGACTTTGTTTTCCTTCCAGTATAAACATGAAACATCTCTTAAAGCTGTCATTAATTTACATCGTTTACTCTTGTTACCGATCATATTTCTTTCATTTACTTACTTGCCCATGGAATGGGGATGTTTTGTGAGTCTGGTCTTTTACAGTACGCAGCACACCATCAGTCTGGTATCAATAAAAGCTGCTCTATTGTAGTGGCTGGATTCTTGTAAGCACAACTTTTTACCAACCCCCTCAAGGGAAATATTCTTACTGTGAGGGAGAAAAATCAGAAGATAAACTATAAAGAAAGACTTTATTTGCAAATATACCCATTTACTTTAAACTGTATAATGGTTAGTTTTCTAACATGTGCATTAAAAACAAAACAAGAAACAACTAAGATTCAAATTTGTTTTTTTTTTAACTAAAATTATTTTTTAAATGAATAGATGTGTTTAAAAAATAAGCTTACTTATTGCTAGACTGGCAAAATCCCCTACTCCATTTACTGAGGTACTTAAAAATAACTAGCATGCTGTATCTCTTTTTTTCCCAGCTTTGTCTTGAATTGGCATTGCCATCCTTGTTTTATCTCAACTGGCTGTAGCTTTTAGATAATATCATAAGGATTAACCAGTAACCTCTTACATTCATTACTGTTTTCTAGGGGAAAATATTTGGTATTTGGTTTTTCTGTTGCAGCAAATAAAACCTCAGGTGTACCAGGAAATCGTCCTGGAAGTGTAATCCGTGTATATGGTGATGAAAACAGTGATAAAGTGACTCCAGGGACATTTATACCCTATTGTTCAATGGCACATGCACAGCTTTGCTTCCATGGGCACCGGGATGCTGTGAAATTCTTTGTGGCAGTCCCAGGTATGTTAGATTATTCTGTTGAGATGTTCCATGTAATTGTCTCTCTTCTGTCATCTCTTGGTTCCACTACCTAATAGTCTAAGGCTAAGTACTCGAATTGCAGGTAATTTCAATATATACGAAGGAAGTTCTGTAATGGAGGTGTGACTAAGGTGCTATAGGGATACTTGAATGAAGTTACTTTGGAATATCTCTCCCACCCCCAAAGATAAATTTGTTGATTTTTCTTTAGGAGACTTGCTTACTTTTGAAAAGCAGTAGTATTATTTTATCATCGTGGATTGCCAAAAATGGTCTTGACCTAATAAGAGAAATCACTAGAAAGAAGCTTCTATCATCAAGGCTGCATGGAGGAAGAGAGAATGCACTCTGGTACCTTTAGCAGCTTAATAGGAAAAAGCAGTGAACTAGGAGGCCTGGGGGTCTGGCCCCTGTGTCTCTGCCACTAACCTCGAGCAAGGCACTTAACCTCAGAGACTCATTTCCTCACTCCTAGGTGGATGTGATTAATATCTGCTCTGCCTACTTCATTTGTTATGAAAATTAATGAAAATGCTACTGGGAGCTATAAAGCACCACCCAGAAAAAAGATGGAAGTGATGATGTCCAGTGAAAAATGACAAATTATCCATTGACAATACTTAAGTGATGTCACTGACCATCTGTAAGCAGGACACAGGTTTTGAATTTTTTTTTCCCATAAGAGGCAAGTTTAGGAGCTAGACGAAGTTCAGATCTGACTTTCCCCCACCAACTAACTGTGTGATGTAGTATATTAGTCAGGGTTCTTCAGAGAAACAGAACCAATAGGATGCATGTGTATGTGCGTATGAAGAGAGAGTTACTGTTAAGAAATTGGGTCACACAGTTGTGGGGACTAGCAGGTCTGAAATCTGCAGGGCAGGCTGGCAGGCTGGAGACCCCGGGAAGAGTGGATGTTGCAGTCCAAATCTGAAAGCAGTCTGGAGGCAACATTTCTCTTTCCTCTGGATCCCTCAGTCTTTTTCTTCTAAGGCTTTCAACTGGTTAAATGAGGCCCACCCACACTGTGGCGTGTAATCTGCTTTACTCAAAGTCTGTTGTTTTAAATGTTAATCACATCTAAAAAAGACTTACAATGATATCTAGACTGGTGTTTGACCAAATATCTGGGTATCGAGCTAACACGTCAAATTACTCATCATACTTATTTTCCCAAGGGTCTTCCAAAGATTAAATGATTTTATGTACATGGGGCAAGGGCTGGCATATGGTACCCTAAGCAATTATTCAGTTATTCTTAACAACAGTGATAATGAGCTTTCTGAAACCTCATTTGTACATTTTATATATTTGTATAGTCATTTCCTTCCTAGAAATGGGATTGCTGGTAACAGTGTTTCTCTTGCTTAAAAAAAAATGAAATATCACAGTTTCCTTTAAATCTCCTTTGTATCCCTCTCCAATCCCATTCTCCTCTCCTTTTCCTCTCCATTGGTAACCACTATCTTGAAGTCGATGCAAATCCTCTTGCCCCTGTTTTTGTATTTTTACTATGTTTGAATGTGTTTATAAACAATGTATGATTGTTTTGTGGTTTTGGACTTTACATGTTAAATGTTGTGTTTTATATGTATGCTTCTACAACTTGCTTCTCATTTTTTGAGATTTATCAATGTTCATACATAAAAATCTAGTTTATTCATTTAACTGGTATTATAACTGAATAAAAGTGCTACATTTTATTCATTCTTCTGTTGATGGACCTCTAGGCTTCTCCCCTTTCTTTTTTCACTATTAAAAACAATACTGAAGCAGACCTTCTTGTGTGCATGTGTAAGGATTTTTTGTTGGGTATAAATCTAAAAGTGGAATTAGCAACATGGTTGTTGCGAGGCCAGTTGGCCCTAAAGATTAAACCATTCTGGTTGGCCTTATCAGTAATACCACTGTGCTCTTGCTTCTGTGGCAGAACTAACTCGTCTACCAACAGAAGTCATTGCTGGCATGCTTGATTTCTTCCAAAGTATAATTGAGTAATGCATGAATGAATCCCTGTGGGGATACGTCAGACTATCCTATCCACTTTCAACATACATTAATTTTGTTACAGTGTGTCGCATTAATGGCTGTCCAGCTAGCTCCTGGAGGCGCAGTCTGTGTAGTTTGACCAAAGGACAGCAGATTCTGACAAGGAAAAAAATATCCCACAATTAAATCTTGCTAAGAGGGTTGGCTTAGAGATTGCTCATTTGTTCATAGTTGTGAATAATATTTAAAGGTTTCTCTCTTTCTATTATTTCACACTCAAGGATTCTACCTTAGAACTTAAGCTTTAGAACAAACAGCACATTTACTAGTAATTTTGTTTGCATAATCTAAATTAAAAATAACCTGTATTTTCCTTAAATATGAGAGGAAAGCCATAGATTTGAAATAAATTTAAATGTTAATTATGACTATGCAAACTCATAGGGCTTAAGTTGAAGACTTTTCTCAGTCTCTTACACAAATAAGCACATTCCTTTTCAAGGGAGAGACCTTTTCCACTGTCTTCTCAGATCAAAAGATTTAGACTATAATAGTTTGAAGCAGGTAGGCTGTGCATGGTGGCTCACACCTGTAATTCCACAACTTGGAAATCAAGGCAGGAGGATCACTTGAGCCCAGGAGTTTGAGACCAGCCTGGGCAAACATAGCAAGACTTCATTAAAAATTTTTAAGAGACCAGGCACAGTGTCTCATGCCTGTAATCCCAGCACTTTGGGAGGCCTAGGTGGGTGGATCACTTGAGGTCAGGAGTTTGAGACCAGCCTGACCAACTTGGTGAAACCCCATCTCTACTAAAATACAAAAATTAGCCGGGCGTTGTGGCAGGCACCTGTAATCGCAACTACTTGGGAGGCTGAGGCAAGAGAATTGTTTGAACCCCAGAGGCGAAGGTTGCAGTGAGCCGAGATCGCGCCATTGCACTCTAACCTGGGCCACAAGAGCGAAACTCTGTCTCAAAAATAAATAAATAAAGTAATTTGGGCCAGGTGCAGTGGCTCATGCCTGTATTCCCAGCACTTTGGGAGGCCGAGGCAGGCAGATCATGAGGTCAGGAGATTGAGACCATCCTGGCTAACACGGTGAAACCCTGTCTCTACTGAAAAAGTTAGCCGGGCATGGTGGCACGTGCCTGTAGTCCCAGCCACTCAGGAGGCTGAGGCAGGTAAATCGCTTGAACCCGGGAGGCGGAGGTTGCAGTGAGCCAAGATTGTGCCACTGCACTCCAGCCTGGGCGACAGAGCAAGACTCCATCTCAAAAAAAAAAAAAAAAAAAAAAAAAAGGTAGTTTGAAGCAGGCAGCTAAGACCCACCTTGCCATGCATATATCTCATATTGGATTTGGGGCCTATTCCTGCTTTGTTACAAAATTGCTTTACTTAGATTTTCAAATTGGGTTTTGTTTGTTTGTTTGTTTGTTTGTTTGTTTGTTTTTTAGAAGCAAGGTCTTGCTCTGTTGCCTAGGCTGGAGTACAGTGGCGCATCACAGCTCACTGCAACACTGAACTCCTGGGCTCAAGTGATCTTTCTGCCTCAACCTCCCAAGAAGCCAGGATTACAGGCGCATACCACCATTCCCGGCTAACTTTTTTGGTAGAGATGAGGCCTTACTATATTTGCCAGGCTGGTCCCAATCTCCTGGCCTCAAGTGATTCTCCCACTTCGGCCTCTCGAAGGTGTGAGCCACCATGCCTGACCTCAAATCGGGTTCTTAAAACCTTCATGTAAATGTTTTCTGATCATGCAGAGCCTTCTAGCTTCCCCAGTATTTGGTTATTAGAATATATTTACCTTTTTGTTTAACTCTAAAAATACTTAAAAAAAAAAAACAAAACAGCCTCCCTTCTGTGATAAGTAATATTCACTTTTGTTTCTGTATAAAACAGGTCAAGTCATCAGCCCACAAAGTAGCAGTAGTGGCACGGATCTGACGGGTGACAAAGCAGGGCCATCTGCACAGGAGCCTGGTAGTCAGACGCCCTTGAAGTCTATGCTTGTCATCAGTGGAGGAGAGGGCTACATCGACTTCCGAATGGGTATGTCATTGGTTCTGGGTGCTCAGTTTGCACTGTGTGCTATGACTTGGGTTTTGTCCCAAAGTAAATAAGAAACCACTCTGATAATGATTTATAAGAGGTTCTCTTTGAGCTCTTTACACACGAAAGGATTTTGTGGGTTTTTGTTTTTTGTTTTTTTCTTTTTGGTATTTCTTTCTTTTTTTTTTTTTTTTGAGATGACGTCTCACTCTGTCACCCAGGCTGGAGTGCAGTGGCATGATCTCAGCTCACTGCAATCTCTGCCTCCAGGTTCAAGTGATTCTCCTGCTTCAGCCCCCCAGGTAGCTAGAATTACAGACATGCACCACCACATCTGGCTAGTTTCTGTATTTTCAGTAGAGACAAGGTTTCACCATGTTGGCCAGGCTATTCTCAAACTCCTGACCTCAAGTGATCCGCCTGCCTCGGCCTTCCAGCTGGGATTACAAGCCCGAGCCACCGCACCCGGCCCTTGGTATTTCTTTTCATACCAAAATGTATTTGTTTGAAAGGAGCATTAGAAATAGCAGGATGTGGTCAATGTGAAGTTTTATGTGAAAAGCATAGGATTTAGGGTCAGAAGGCCTTGGACAAGTCATTCAACCTCTTAGAGCCTCGGTTTTCTGTCAAAATGGAGAAATAAAAATATTTCTTAAACAACTTCATTTGTTCATTTTCTCACCTAACAAACATTAATTGAGCACCTACTGTGTACCTGTCATTCTTAAACTGGAGATACAGAAACAAATCAGACAAAGCCTTCGTCTAATAGATTATAGAACAGTGCAGAGATAGAGACATGTTAATAAATTAAAATGTTACTGATGCTCTGGTAGTGAGTAGTCAGTTCTTTCCAAGGGTAGGGAGAGAAGGAAGTCAAGAAATGATGCTTGAGGTGACTCAGCACTGCATAGTCTTAGCACAAAGGGTCAGGTTGGGGAATGGGGTGGGGAGGACCAGGGGTTGGCACTCCGAGGTAAGAGAATAGCTTGGCCAAAGGTTTAGAGATATGAAACCATTTTAATGGAAGAAAAACTATTTTAAAATGACAAGAGTGTGGAGTAGAAGAAAGTATGAATTTGTTGTCAAAAGGGAGGGAGGGACTGGAGTATGGGAGGCCTTTACATACCAGATTAAGAAGATTGTACTTTATCTTTCAAGCAAAAGAGAACTATAGGAGCAATGTGATTAGAGTTGTGTGAAGGATGGACTGGAGGTTCAAGACTAGACCTAGGGAAATGAGTTGGGAACAAGTGAATGCCCAAGAAAGGTAGTAACAGTGTGAACAGATAAGAAGCATGATGAGAATGTGGGGAAGGAGAGAATGGGCCATAGAGCTCAGGACTGTCAACAGGAGAAGCAGGTCTGGAGGGACGGAAAGAGGAGTCCAGTGCTGATCATGTTGATCTTGAAGAGCATAGTGGTGATTTAGGTGGGAAATTTCCACTGGGCTTCTGAATATACAGGTCCTCTATCTTAGGAGGGAGGGATTTGGGGGCTGTCAGCATGGAGTGGTACTAAAAGCCATGAGGGTTGGTGAGTTCGCCCAAGGAGCTAAAAGAAAAGGTTCCAGTGGCTAAACCCAGTCTCTAATAAAAATACAAAAATTAGCTGAGCGTGATGCCGTGTACCTGTAATCCCAGCTATTCAGGAGGCTGAGGCAGGAGAATCACTTGAACCCGGGAGGTGGAGGTTGCAGTGAGCCGAGATCACACCACTGCACTCCAGCCTGGGTGACAGAGTGAGACTCCATCTCAAAAAAAGAAAAGAAAGAAAAAGGAAAGGTTCCAGGATAGAACCCTGAATTCATACTCCATTTAAAGATCATTAGAGCTTATGGAGGGATCTGAGAAGGAATGGCCAGAGAGGTACAAAGAAAACATGGAGAACTGATGCTCGTGAAAGAGTAGTGCTTTGTAAATTGTAAGACACTGTACAAATATGTTTATTTATTTGCTATAATTTTTCTTTTTTGAGACAGAGTCTCACACTCTGTCACCCAGGCTGGAGTGCAGTGGCACAATCTTGGCTCACTGCAACCTCCACCTCCCGGTTTCAAGCAATTCTCATGCCTCAGCCTCCCGAGTAGCTGGGATTTCAGGCATGTGCCACCACGCCTGGTTAATTTTTGTATTTTTAGTAGAGACGGGGTTTCACCATGTTGGCCAGGCTGGTCTCGAACTCCTGGCCTCAAACAGTCCACCTGCCTCAGCCTCCCAAAGTGCTGGGATTACAGGCATGAGGCACCGCACCCAGCTTATTTGCTATAAATAAACTGATCCCTTGGACTCGCTTAAAATCTCAGTGCTTCAAAAAGTTCCCAGACATAAGGCAGTAGGCAGTTTGAGAGAATATAATAGTGTTGTAGATCAGTAACAAATACTTTAGATATGAATTCTGTAAAGGAATAAAAAAAAATTAGGGTCATTTAAATGACAATGTGACAAATGTGATTAGTGTCACCAATATCTGATGCAAAAAGTTTGTTGACACTTTTAAGAGGGGAAGGCTGTTAGTGTGAACTTTAGAAATTGATTCCAGGGATGTCAGCAGGAATGGAGTCATTTCAAAGTGTTTTGAATAATTGACTATTGTTGAATTCCCTTTTATGAGAGGAGTTGTTAGGGACTCCACTTGGCTGGGGTGATTTTTGTAACTTTGTGTTGGAGTGCAGTATGTCAGTTGGAACCGTACTGAGGAGTTTGTTAATAAAATCTCTATGTGGTTTTTCCATTTCCACTAAAAATTCCTTCCATTGTGGATCCTGAAAATAGAACAAAAATTGCTTAACCAGGTTTGGCAGTATCTCTAGTTATTTCCAGCCTGAAAAACAGACTTGTCTTTAGCATAGGCTAATTTTAATAGTGAATATACTGTTGTAAAAAATCAAATTTGATCTTTTTTGGGGGTCCATTTCCTTTTTCATTTCCTGTAATATTTTAACAGTGAGAAATTGATTCTAAAGTCCCATATTTTTAATGATTTAAACTTAAAACTTAGGCTGTAGAGACCCTAGCAGACAGGATAATTTTCTTACAAGTAAAATCTTCAGAACAACTCAGAAGAGAAATGGCGACAGCCTTTTGTCTCAGCCAGTTAATTTTTTTCATTGAAATTTTTTAAAATTTAAGAGCCAAACTTAATTTTTTTACCTTCTAACCACCTGGGTATGTTTCAGTTCAGAGATGGGAGTTTGAACTGAGTGTTCTCCTCTCTCTAGTTTGATATTGCTGTGAAAAGGCCATTACAGGGCTGGGTAAGGGAAAGTTTGGCCTGCAGAGAAAAATGCAGATATTTAGGGTTTTTTCTCTTCTGTTGTTTCTAGTCAACAGTATCAATATTTTCTTTTGTCCAGCTGAAATTCACATGGGGCACATTACAAAATTCTGTTAGATCAGTGGAATATATCTTTAGGTCCTGTGGTGTGTATGTTTTTAGGATTCTGCTGAAGAATCCATCCCACTAGACAACTTTTCACTGGGTTGTGCCAAAATAACCCTGCTCTGTGACAACAGATACAATTGATGCAAGCTTGTATCGAGAATTATGGTATGCCCTGCACTGGGTCTTATGGAGAGGAGTGTGGTGTACCCCAGACTGGGCCTTGGAAGCCAGTGTCTGATCAGGACACCATGGATCACATTCACTTAGCCGTGATGCAGAAGAACCTGTATCTTGGCTGCTACCCCAACCTCTTTGTTTCTCCTTTTCCATTATACACTGTTAATTTGTAACCTATCCTAAACTTGAAAATCATTGGAAGAAAAACCCAGTAGCTGGTGAATCTGCCATCTGCAGTGCTGCAGGCTAATTATTTTAATTTCCATATGCTTGTGTCAATTATCTTCAATTGGAGAACATTACACCTGTCATTGATAATTGTGAGTTATTTGGGTTTAGTTAGTTTGCTCTGTACCTGTGCTCACGCATTTTATAACACTATTCTCAGTTCTTAGTTTAAAATAAGTGACAGTAGACTCTTCATTTTGGATGAACACAGAATTGCCTTCTTAGCTTCCCATGTCTGGACCATCGGTATGCAGACATGTTGGGGTGGCTTTTTAACGTAGTATAGTGAACTGGATTTTATAAATACAGTCTGAAAAATGAATTAACCTTTTCTGAAGTCAAGCAGTGGCTTGGGTGAATATGGGTGAGGATTCTGACTCTTAGTATTTCTTCTACTATTTACTCTCCAGTGAAAGTCAGACAAGTTTTGGGCATCTTGTTCATGGACTAACCACGAGCATTACATCTGACTCACATCATTCTATATTTTATGTGTTCAGCCTAACTTGAGTCTTCTTATCATTCACTAGGTGATGAAGGTGGAGAATCAGAACTTCTTGGAGAGGATCTTCCACTTGAACCTTCTGTCACCAAAGCAGAAAGGAGTCACTTGATAGTGTGGCAAGTGATGTATGGCAATGAGTGAGCCCATGGGAAACAGGTGGAGATGGGGAAGCCGTCTCTTCTGCATGGTTTATTTTCCCTCTATCCTTTTATTTAATGCTCTTTTGTGAGATAAGTTTCACCACATAATGTGTGAGCATTTTTTCCTGTTAACTTTATATTACAAAATCCGTTCTACCATAACAATACAGAGGAACTAGCTGTGTTACTGCACCAGTGTTATAGGTAACTTCAGTATATTATGAACAAATCAAAGAATGTTTACTTCCTGCAAACTGGTGAATTATAGAAAGCAATCCAGATGTGGTTTACTCTGCCACAGTCTAATGTCATTCACTTCATTTGATGGGGTCACTTGTTAGCTGTCACTAATAATGGAATTAATGGGAAACACTTGATAAATGAAACTGTACCGTTAAATACAATAGCTGAGTTTTCCCCAGTGTATTGTAAAATTGACACACACTAATACAAGATGGATTATCAGGATGTATCTAAATGTCCCGAGAGGGTTAAAAGCTAACTGTAAATTACTTTAACTTTCACTTTCAAATCTGACAAATCTTGTTTATATGGTATATAAAACTTTGTTTTCATCAGATTTGGGGGGGTTTTATATTAAAGAAATTAAGACTACACTATTTAAATAAACGTTTCCTGTTTCTGACTTATTAGAGCTCTAAAGTTTATGAGGCCTACTTCTCTGAATATTCTGATGGGTTTTTTTTGAGACCAGTCTCATTTTCATACTGACATGTCTGAAAGATTTATTATTTATAAAGCTTAGGACATACTCTGGGAAGCTTAGAAGATACTTCAGCACTGGGAGGATTTTTTAAAGGAAATGTGTTTTGTATTTCTTGTACCAGAGAATGGTGATGTTGATTGAGTTTTTTCCATGTAAAAAATGTACTTGTTTGCCAAATGTTCCTAGATTGCTCTTAACCTGTTAATACAAGTAAAACTGTAGTGGGGATGGAGTCTGGCCTAAGTACAGAATGAGGGATTTAATTAGAAAAGTTATTTTCTTTTGTTCTGTATCAAACTGCAGAACAGCTATATACTTGGTATTTTGTACGTGAATAACGTTTTAGCTTTTGTGCCCTTTTGAGCTTGAAGGGTTATCCTCAAAGGGGAAAACTATGAAGGGGAAGAAGACAAACCTAAGATACCATAAAGTAAAGGTTGACATTACATATTTTCATTCACAATGCCCATTAAAAAAAAAAAATAGGTTGGGCATGGTGGCTCACGCCTGTAATCCCAACACTTTAGGAGGCTGAGGCAGATGGATTGCTTGAGCCCAGGAGTTCAAGACCAGCCTGGGCAACATGGCGAAACCCTGTCTCTACCAAAAAAAAAAAACAAAATAAATTAACCGGGTGTGGTGGCACATGCCTGTAGTCCCAGCTACTTGGGAGGCTGAGGTGGGAGGATGACCTGGGCCCAGGAGGTGGAGGTTGCAGTGAGCCTTGATAGCACCACTGCACTCCAGCCTGGGTGACGGAGCAAGACCCTGTCTCAAAACAGACAAACAAGCAAAAAATAGATTAAAGTCTGGATTTCACTGATTTTCTTGCTTAATAAGTTTTTTAAAACCACGATGCTGCAATTTTTTCCCTCTCAAGCTTCTTGAAAATGTGTGATTTACCCTTTTTTATCTATTACTCTAGGCAAAGCTAAATATGATTTTTTTTTTTTTTTTTGAGACGGAGTCTGGCTCTGTTGCCCAGGCTGGAATGCAGTGGTGCGATCTCAGCTCACTGCAACCTCCACCTCTCAGGTTCAAGTAGTTCTCCTGCCTCAGCCTCCCAAGTAGCTGGGATTACAGGTGTGTGCCACCCTGCCCAGCTAATTTTTGTATTTTTAGTAGAGACAGGGTTTCACCACATTGGCCAGGCTGGTCTCAAACTCCTGACCTCAGATGATCTACCCGCCTTGGCCTCCCGAAGTGCTTGAATTACAGGCGTGAGCCCCCGCGCCGGTCCGAAGCAAAGCTAAATGTAATTTTATGTACTGTTTTAACAGTATAAACCTATGGGATAAAGGCCCCCAATCATCAGAAGGACTACTGAAAAGAAAAGAAAGCAAACGTAGATGTCAAATTGTCTAAACATTCTTAAGTACCACTGATTTTTTTTTTCTGGACTATTATACAAAGATGTCTGTAAAAAGTATACCAGTGGCTTTTATGCATATACACGATTAGGCTAGATTGTGAAGTACATGGGATTTCATGAGCCAGAGGAGGCATTTGGATCCATTGGGCCACATGTGACTATAAGCACATTGTGTACACAATAAAATTGTAGCCACTCATGTATTAAAACTGTTTTGGTAAAAGCTGTATTAAAAGAATAATTTTTTGCTTGAGCTACTTAGTCACTTTTTTGCAGGGCACCAAAATGTAGGCTACTTTTCCATAGCTTGTTTGCTATGTTTTTATTTCATCTTAAATCTGAGCCATTTTTGGCAATATCTTTTAAAAAATCATTATTAAACATTTATTGGAAATGTTGTATAGATTCACAAGAAAGAGACACCAAAGTGTTTGGGAATTTTAATCCCAAGAAGTAAACATCCCAGAGTCAGATCCCATTTGCTGTTGTTCAGCCATGTTTGTATGACTGAATGTAATTTAGGAAATCAGGAGTTAGAGATGAAAAATACAAACATGTCAAATGGTTGTAATTGCTTTTTTTGAACTTACTGGCTTTAACTTAAGTAATATAGGTGTGTAGTTGTTTTATCTAAAGATGTCAGATTATCTGTGGCCCTGTTAATTAACTGCAGGGACCAGAGAGAGGACAAAAATGCCTGTATAATTTGCTTTAAAGGCTTGTCCTTATGTTTGTAATTTCAGTTAAATATTTTCTACAGATTGCTTCACTTCCCCTTTCCCCCAATAACAAGTTCATATTCTTGTAATGTTTACTTTGGTCAACGTGGTAATTTTTGGAAGAAAATGCCAAAATGTAAGCTTCTCACAAGCAGCAAAGGAATGTAACTGCCTGTAGCTACCACATCAAGGGAGAGAAGAGGCTTGCGTACTTTGGGTTGATCTCACTGTACAAAAAAAGTGTACCCCTATTGGAAGAAATAAGGAATACTTGAAGGTTTCTCCTTTTTTTACACTTGAGTCATGTGCAAGGTTGAACCATATGAAATTGCCAGTGTTCAACCATTGCTGATCTGCAAAAGCGACAATATCATATGCCTCAACCTAACACTTACTCTTAAATGCAGGTTAAAATCTCTGTGAGGCAAAGGGATAATATTCTCTAGGAACTCACTTTTGAGAGTATTTTTCTCTAACCCATGTGGATCTAAATTTTAAAAATAGGAATGAATCTCTTAATTGCAGCTTGTGGAGAGTATAAAACATTTTGAGCACAATATGCAGCACATAACTTTTCAGATTGTGTTTGCATAGAAAAGGTTAAAATCAATTCTTTCAGTTACTGTATTGTTCATTTCTTGTAAAGGTCTTCCTACATTTGAGACGAGACCCTTTAACATAGGCTGCCTTAGTAACAAAATAAAACAGATGTGTCATAATATTAACTGTCCTAAAGAACATGTGTCTTGCAAATGCCATGGAACTGAATATTTATTTCCTTGTGAGTATTATGACCGTTACCAAAGGACTCAACCAGATTTAGGGCTCTTCTTAATTGATCATGTTCAGAAAGGGACTCATTTGGTCCCACTTTGTAACATGGGAAGAGTAGAAGAGAAAATTAAATGTGGAAATCATAAATGCTTTTCTAACAGGGTTATGCTATTCTGTAACACTAAATGTCTGTCTTTTCTCTTAAAAGATTAAGTTTTATTAATTTTGTCATACATTTCTCTATTTGAATATATCTTAACCATTTTATGTTCCAAATTCGTTTTTTGTCCAAGACATTCTATCAGAATTTTACTTGCCTCTATAATCTGAAAAATGGGTTCTAGAATGTCCCACTTGCTGTCTCTTAGAGGCTGAGCTTCATTTCTATGAGCAAAGAGCTCATTTAGCAATGTAGTTATTTCAGTATTTATTTCTATTATGGAATCCCTGGGGTTCAGAATGTAACTTTGTACATGAGATATATATAAATATGTATATGAACATGTATGAGGTCTAGTGTGTTTTGTTTTGTTTTTACCGTTCCTGGGGATCTGAACTTGGTTTTTATTTGCAAGTCCAATAATCTTCCCCATCACACATGTCATTCCTGAGGGTCAGGACTGTTGCCATTTGGCACCAGCTAAAGGTGAGCAGTGGGGAACCCTCATGCTGGTCAGCTTGGCTCACGTGTTCAGGTGAGATATGAGAATAGACAAGAGGGCTTAGGAGAAATGTGGGATCCCTGAGTAACAGCCCACACATGATACTAAGGCATACTATTTGCCAAATTATTCAATAATAAGAGGCAGGGTGTAATGTAATTTTAACGCAGCGTGCTTATTTGTGATCCATTTGCTTGGGCAAGACTCGGGAAGGAAGAATGACTATAAAACTGATCATGTGGCAGCACAATGTGACTCCAGATTCAGTGCAGCGAGATTTAATCTCTTCCAGTGTGTTTTGTTTGTGCCTTCAAGAAACGTGGGGTTTTAACGTGATAGTAAAAGTTGCCCCAGTTGGCATGTTAATAGGACCATTCACTAGATGAAGGCATAGTCATCTGTTCAGTGAGGTTGGTTGCCCTAGAATACAATGACTAGGGCGGCTCATTCCTAGTTTTTATAGGACCTTACCCTGCCTGCCCCTTAGTCCCTGGGGAACAGGGCAGGAGCACCAGCCTCATCACTAGAACTGTAGTCTGCAGTGTCCCCCTTGTGGAAAAACTATCTTTCAGACTAGTGGAGAGAGACTGCTTCAGCCCCCAGGCTCTTCCTTAACCAGCCCCTGATCCCTCAGACTCAGTGTAGGCATGAAAGCCTAGAGATCACAAGGGGCCTGGACTTAATCTTCAGCAGCAGCCAATTTATTAGGAAAGGTTTTATAGTTAGGGGACTTCTCAGAATGCCTTAAATATTGGATAATTGATAGAATTTTGCTTTAAACTCGTTTTCTTTAGAAAGACATAGTGGTATGGTGTGAAAGAAGGCTGTATAACCCAGGCTGTGACCCTAGCAAATCACTTTAACATAGTATCCCAGAGTCCCCCACACAGGGCTGTGGAATCGGACCCTCCTGTGGGGTCTGGGCCCAGGCGTCTGTAAAGAGTAGTGGGTAAGTGTGATATTTAGCAGAGGTTGAAGCATGCAACTCTCATGTATTTGGACCTTTGTTTTTCTCATGTGTTAAAAGACAGGGTGGCTTAGTCAGGTAATCTAAAAAAATCCTAGCTCTGACCCTCCCTGGTTCTGTGGCCCGGCTCTGATTTGCCTGGTTGTTGTCTATACAAGTAAGGACCACTCCTGCTTGCGAGTCCATTGTCGCCCAGTCCCTCATGAGGCCCAGATAGCCAGTGGGTAGGATTGGATTAATTAGAATTTCCAATTTATCAGAATGACACTATACAAAAGAAGCCACATAGTTTAGCTCCTTGCTTTTAACCACAGAACATTCACTCCCACCCACAGACATAAAGGAGTTACGGAGCTGGGCGCAGTGGCTCACACCTGTTATTTCAGCACTTTGGGAGGCTGAGGCAGGCAGATCACTTGAGGCCGGGAGTTTGAGACCAGCCTGAGCAACATGGTGAGACCCCCATCTCTACAAAAAATTTTAAAAATTAGCTGAGTATGGTGGTGTGGACTTGTAGTCCCAGCTACTTGGGAGGCTGAGGTAGGAGGATCACCTGAGCCCTAGGGAGGTTGAGCCTGTCTCCAAAACATAAGAAGTTATAATTTGATTTGAAGCACCAAAGGAGAAGTGGACCAAATAAGCCCCGGCTCCGTGGGAACAGCGACTTCAGTTAGAAGCTGCAGTTCTCAGCTAGGCTGGGAGAGAGAGGCATGGCCAGAATCACCCCGGGAGCTATTCACAGAATAAACATTTTTTTCTTTTTCTCTCCTCTCAAGAATATCAGACTCTATTGGGGAACATGGGGAAACAATTACCAGGTGATTCTGATCCTCCCATTGGGAACATCTGCCCAAGAGGAACTCAGGCTGGGCACGGTGGCTCACACCTGTCATCCCAGTGCTTTGGGAAGGGAGGTGGGAAGTTAATTGCTACATTAAAAGCTTAAAGGAAATATTTTATTTCCTATTAGTCTGTATTCACGTGTCAGGGCTATTTCCTGATTTTTTTTTTTTTTTCTAGAAAAAGCCATAACCATTTAGTTGTTATCATGCCTAGCTTGCATTTGCATAACATCTGATAGTTTTTTCTGAAGTATTTAGCCTATAAATTCATAGTTGATCTTCATGGAAACCCCCTTTTTAGAGTGTTACAGCTTTCAGATGATCCAGAGGCCTAACCACAGATGTGGCCTTGCCCACTGGTAAAGAGGTCCGACTGAGACAAGTAAAGGCTCAGGTGCCTCAGTGGGCGGTACAACAACTGAACACTGGAGGCTACTGCAGGTGTGTTGGGACAAGTGCCACATCTCAAATCAGGAGACTTGGGTTTGAATCCTGGATCTCCTGTTTCCCAGTTTTGTGACCCTTCAGTCACAGTTTCCTTACTGTCAGAAGAGTAACACCCCCAAGGGTTCTTGCCACCTGGCCCTGCTAGGCACTCAGTAGCAGACCTGAGGTTCCTAGATGCCAGGTGTCTGAAGATGACTATGACACTCTCAAGGAGACTGGGCTAGTCAAGGAAAGCAGATGCGGAAATGGTGACGTGATCAAGTGCTGTGGCTGCATATTAGAAGCAGTAGTTGAACAAATGATGTAGGTATGGTATCTACTTTGTAATGTGATAAAAAGAAAAACTGCCTGCAAGTCCTGTTGAATGCAGAATATTCTTATCTCTATTCTATTTACCAGGGTTCCAGGCCATGTCTGTCCTAACAGAACTGTGTTAGGAAGCAGGGGTCGCTTGGGCCTATTGGACCTTCTGGGGAATACTGTTCTCTGTTGTCCCACCCCACCCCCCCCCCATTTTAAGGAAAAGGAGTATCCCGTGAAAATTAAACACAAGATAATTCATACTCTCTTTTGCATCTAAGAGTTAATTTCATTCCTATGCAGGCACATTGAGGGGCATACTGAAGCATGAAAGAGTGGTAAATTTCACATTTTCAGATGTCCTCAAAACATTTATTCAGTATCTGTTGCTCATAATGCTTTATGACAATAATTAAACTCACAGTCACTGCATATAAGTGGGTAGAGCAGATAAAAAGGACCAAATAAGATATTAGCATCATCAGATGTACAATGGTGTGGAACAGTGGCAAGGATGGTCGTATGCTTCTCTACATGATTAAAAAGCTTAGCATCACTCCTTCTAAGCAAGAATGCAAAATTCTGGCTCATATATCACACCAGAGGGGTCTTTGGGAGAAAGGGCTGTCACCTTGGGGTTCCTGAAACATGGCTTTAATGTGAAGTGGGATTAAGATTTTTTGTAGGACGTCTCAGGTACAGAGATACCCAAAGAGACTGGAATGGTGTTTCAGAAACTTGGATTTCCTCATCAGTTGTATTGTCATGATGGTCTCTCATTCACAGGATTGTTGGAAAGAACCAATGAGATCACATAAAGATGTAGTACTCGACAGTTAACAGATACTTGTATGCTTCCCCCACAGAGGCCTCGATTTATTTTCCTGCTATTCTTTCTCATCAAGCTGACTTTCCCCTGCGTTTGGCCAGCCCCAGACAAGTGACAGTGGGTTTGAGTTCCAAATTCAGGAGAGCATTTTCAGCTGTTTGCCTGTTGGTGCATTTTGGCCTGATAGGCTTCTGAGCAAGCAGGCTTTTACTATGTATGCCGTCTACATTTCTGTCTTGGAGAGTTTGCCTGGGGCTGTTCATAAGGAACTAGGAGCAGAAATCTGGCATGTGATTCTTACAGACATCTCAAACGTTGATCCTTCCTGAAGGAGCCTAGCTGGAGAAGAGCAGAAACGGGGCAGATGCCTCTAGGCAGGCCTTGACTGATTTAAAGTCCCAGTCCTGGGCTTCACTCGATTAAGGGTTTATCAGACCTTCCCACCCATATTAAAGCCATGTTTCTGGGACCCCGCAGTGACAGCCGTTTCTTCCCAAAGACCCCTCTGGTGTGTTAAGATGTGAGCTGGAAGTGAGCAACTCAAAAACCAAGTCATGGTAAAGAACTGTAGGTTTTGGGGCCAGGCTCGGTGGCTGGCTCATGCCTATAATCCCAGCACTTTGGGAGGCTAAGGCAGGAGGATCGCCTGAGCTCAGGAGTTCAAGACCAGCCTGGGCAACAAAGTGAGACCCCCATCTCTACAAAAAAATAAATTAAAAAATGTGCCGGGCATAGTGTCACGCACCTATAGTTTCAGCTACTCAGGAGGCTGAGGTGGGAGGATTGTTTGAGCCCAGGAGGTTGAGGCTGCAGTGAACCAAAATCATGCCACTGTACTCCAGCCTGGGCGACAGAGCAAGATCCCGTCTCGAAAAAATAAGAAGTAAAAAGTAAGGCCAGGCATGGTGCCTCACGCCTGTAATCCCAGCACTTTGGGAGGCCAAGGCAGGAGGATTGCTTAAACCCAGGAGTATGAGACCTGCCTGGGCAACATAGCAAAACCTATTTTAAAAAGAAGAAAAAGAACTGTAGATTCTAGTCCCTCCCTACCACTGCTCCATCAAAAGTCATCTCATCTCTCTGAGTCCCCAGTTGTAGTTGTCCTTGGGGACAAGCACGGACTTGGCTTGGATGCCCTGTAAGGCTATGTTCAAGGT
Source organism: Homo sapiens (assembly GCF_000001405.40). Taxonomy (NCBI): domain Eukaryota; kingdom Metazoa; phylum Chordata; class Mammalia; order Primates; family Hominidae; genus Homo; species Homo sapiens. Next base: position 50,957,476 of record NC_000017.11, on the reverse strand, counting down.
GACATCCTTTGAGGGTGGGCCGTCTCTTCCATTGCAACTTGGGTTGTGTGGACTAGCAGCCTTCATGCCCAGCCAGATCCCAATAGTCACAAACGTGCTCAGATCCTTAATGGAGAGAATCATGTAGCCTGCACCACTTGGTACAAACTGCTTTGTTTGACGCACCAGTTTGTCCCGAGGCATCGGGATGAACCCTTCCATGAATGGGAGGAATGTGTCTTAATTAGGAAGAGAGACACTGTTGAGTTCTCTGGGTCCTAGACTTCCTTTGGGTCTTTTCCTTCTTGAACCTTTTGGAAGTCTCCAAAAGGCTACTTTAGGATGGCATTAGAGCCTTCGGGGAGCTTCTCCCAAGGGCCCCTTTGGCAACTAAGGTGAATGGCTGAGAGGTGAAGATGAATTAGGAGGATCCTTGGCTTTCTGCCACCACCCACTCCCAGAGCAGGAAAGGGGTTGGGGAGAGGAAAGCTGCCTTGCTGGGGAGAGACCCAGCTCTGCTCCCTTTTGAACACACGGTGGCGCCATGTTAGTGTTACCTTTCCTCCCTTCCGCTTGCCAGCACCCAGAGCCTACCAGCCCCTCAGCCCTCCTCTTCATCCTCAGTGGGCTGGCGAACCCTGCATGACAGCAGGCCAGACCAAGGAGGGTGCTGCACTACGGAGGGTCAAGTTGTAGAGCCGAGGGAAGCAGTTCACTTTACTAATAATCAACCTGAGACCAAGAGTGGCAGCAGAGGTGGGACTAGAATCTTGACTTCATTCTGTGCATTTTCCACTGGCTGCTCCAGATTCTCATAGCCCTGGGTTCTTCTCAACCCCTTTCCTTTGCCAGGGGCAGGGAAAACAGCTTCTCTCAGCCCCCATCATGCGGCCCATAGCCCAGGGACCCAAGCACCTAAAGCCTGGGACCATTGCTGAGGTCAACAGGGTTGATATGGATGAGAGAAGAATTGACCCAAATGAAAGAAGGGGCCAGGCACGGTGGCTCACGCCTGTAATCCCAGAACTTTGGGACTCCAAGGCAGGCAGATCACCTGAGGTCAGCAGTTCGAGACCAGCCTGGCCAACATGGTGAAACCCCGTCTCTACTAAAAATACAAAAATTAGCCGGGTGTGGTGGTGCACACCTGTAATTCCAGCTATTCTGGGAGGTTGAGGCAGGAGGATCACTTGAACCTGGAAGGCAGAGGTTGCAGTGAGCCGAGATCACACCACCACACTCCAGCCTGGGTGACAGAGCGAGACTCCATCTCAAAAGAAAAAAGAAAAAGAAAAAGTAAAAAAAGGATGAAAGAAGGGAATCTTTAAAAGCATCCACGCTATCAATTTCTAGTCTTTGAAGTTTCAGAAGAATTTCTGCGGCTGCTGCTTCTGAACAAGGCTAAAAGAAATGTCACGGAATCAGCTTAGTGAGTTGCTTCAATGGAAACTTCATCCAAGGCCGATAATAAATAGCAGTTACATAACTCAGCAGGTCACAGCACTAACTAAGCCCTTTGTAGGCCATCAATCCACATTTATTTCCTGGATTTTATAACTGCTGCTGAAAGGGAGAAAAGGAGGGGCTGAGGATTAGGGGGAGAGAATCTGTGTGCCTGGACGAAACCTCCAAGCCTATTTTCCAGCCTCCTCTCCCATACGCCACCTCTGCAGCTAACTCTCAGGGGGACGTGCCGAGTTCCAGCACATCCAGACACTGTGGCTCCATGCCGGGAAACCAGACCCCTGTCCCAGCTGCCCTGAGTAGCCAAGAGCTTTAGGCTGGTCATTTTCTCTCTGTCCTGTTTTCTGTAAAATGACAGTTGGGCTAGATGAGTTCTAGGATGCTTTTCTGCCCCATGATTCTAAACATTAGGACAGAAGAGTGGGTACCATGTTTGTTTCCCTCACTCCCATGCCCCAGTGTTAGCTGCAAGATGCTGTTGGATCCTCTTGATGGAGACGGGGGAAGAGCATGATCCCAGCCAACTGACACATGGCACAGCAAGGGGGCAGGAGGGTCAAGGCTGCCCTGGCTGGGATGGGGAGCTGGGAGTGCACAGAGTAAAGGGCCCTTGCCGCCTCGGCCTCACTGTCCGGACACCCACATGAGCCAGAGCCAGCATGGACTACACAGCTTCCATGGGCACAGGGGAGTCGGCATAGGCCTGGAGGAAGGGGCGCCTAATAGTAGTGTTCACCATTCTCAAGCCTGGGGAGTTTGATGCCCAGGTTCAGGGCTGTTCCAGAATGCTTAGGTGGGTATGAATGCCCAAAACTGCAGCCGACAGGTCCCAGATGCAGCTTCTGTCTCTCGCCTCTGCTGGGGTCATGGGAGACAGCTCCCCCAGTCTTCTCCACCCTTGCCCAGCCTCCTGTGCAGAGCCACAGGCAGATCCTACCAGCTGGGAATGTCCAGTATGAAGCAGGTTGAGGAAGGGAAGGGCCTGGGGAAGAAATTCACTGGGGAAGAGGGAGGATGTCAGAAGATTTGTGGCATCAGGAAATGACAGGAAAGCCGGAGGGGAGTTGGAGTGGCTGGAGAGGTGAGAGTCCCTGGGCAGAGCCTCTGGTGAGCAGCCTTCGGGTCTGGGTCCGGGGCCCCTTTCCTTCAGGGCCCGGCCGGGCAACTTGCGGGGATGGGATAATGCCTTAGGGAGTCCAGGAGCCCCAGCCCAGACTGCCCCTCTTGGGGTGTGAAGCCCCTGCAAGGGCTGAGTGGCAGAAAGCAAGGGTGGCCGCAGCCACTGAGCATCCCTGGGAAGGGATGGGGCTGTATAGAAGGGGCACCTGGGGACAGGTGGGCAGTCACAGTGTCTCAGCCCGCTGGGACTCACAGCAGAGCTCATCTGTAGAAGAGAAGGTAGAGGTCAGATGTTACATGGGAGGAAATTTCCAATAAAGACAAAAGTGCTTCCGCGGAGAGGGGACCTGGAGATTGGGACTCTGCTCATACTCGCTTCGCTGCACGCGGTCACTGTGGTGTCCTTGCATCCCTCTTGCCCCTCCCTCAGCGCTCTGCCCTTCCCCAGTTCCTGCTGCTTCCTCTGCAGGAACAGCTGCATGTCTGGGCTTGTCAGGGAGTCAGCTGCGTCTCCAGACACAGACGCAGGAGGCCCAGCACCACCCCCAGCCTGATGCCGTCACTGAGGTTTGGAAGGTGGTGGTCTCCTCCCTGTTAAACTGAGACCCAGAGAGGGGGAGTGTGTTTTAATTCCCCAGACCCAACAAGTGAGTAGTGCCAGAAAGGGCCCTCGGGGTCCCATCTCTCCAGGCGGCCTCAGGTCAGTTCCCTCCCGCTGTGGTAGCCTCATCAGCTAATTCTGCCTCTGTTGGATCAGCCAGCAAGGCAATGCTCAAGGGGGCTGGGTGGCGACTCCAATTTGGGTGCACCAGCCAGTCCCAGGGGTGAAGGCAGTGACTTATTTGGGAATTATTTTTGTAGAGGAGACACTTGACTCCACGGCTGTTGAGGCTGAAGCTACCCAAGTGACCCCTGAGCTGAGTGGCAGGGAGGGCTGGCGGCTCCTGGACTCAGCTTCACACCACCTCCCAAGGTGTTCTCAGCCATGCCCCTACCTCTGCACAGGGCCACTCCTAAACAAATCCTCCTGCCTCCCTGGAGCTTGAAGGAGGTGCTTTGCCTCCCATCCTCTCCGCAGTCTCCTCTCCCCTCGGGGATTGGTCACGTGGAACCCTGTTGGAGCCTGAGGGGTGAGATGGTGAGTGCCCAGAGGGCAACGGTGGCTGGCTCCTTCCAGAGCCCACTTTTTCTTTCTTTCTTTCTTTCTTTCTTTTTTTTTTTTTGTTTCTTGGGACAGGGTCTCCCCTCTGTCGCCCAGGCTGGAGTGCAGTGACACAATCATAGTTCACTGCAGCCTCAACCTCCCAGGCTGGAGCTATCCACCTACATCAGCCCTCCGGGCAGCTGGGACTACAGGCACACACCACCACACCCAGCTAATTTTTTTTTTATTTTTTGCAGAATCAGTGTTTCGCCATGTTGCCCAGGCTGGTCTCGAACTCCTGAGCTCAAGTGATCCTCCTATCTCAGATTCCCAAAGTGCTGGGATTACAGGTGTGAGCCACCATGCCTGGGTTTTCCTTGTTGATAAATGAGCATGGGATTGTTCTAGAGAAACTGTGCCATGAGCTGGGTGGGACAGGAGCATCAAGATCATTTCAGAAAGTTCTCTCGTGAAAGCCAAAATATGTGCCTACTCCACCTCTGCCCGCTAGCTACCATGTCCCAGGCCAAAAAGTCCTTAGGAGAGGAGAATCCCATGCAACTGTGGAGTGTGTGCTGGGCCCAGTCCTGGGTTCCTCATCCATTGCCTGCCTTAATCCCCAAGGCGGCTGTGGGGCACAGATTTCCCCATTTGACAGGACACCTCAACCAGCGGTTCTCAACCTCACTAGTACTGACATGTGAGGCTGGGTGCTTCTTTGCTGTGTGGCCTGCCCTGTGCATTATAGGATACATAGCAGCATCCTTGGCCTCTGCCCACTAAATGCCGGTAGCATACCCAATTTCTCCAGACATGTTCCTAGGGGGCAAAATCGTCCCTACTTGAGAACCATTGTCGTAGACAGTAAGTGCCAAGGACTCCAGGATGGGCCCTTGTTTGAACCTGGATCATCCAATTCTAAAGCCTGTCCACTTGCTTTTCTTTTCTTTTTTTTTTTTTTTGTGAGACAGAGTCTCACTGTGTTGCCCAGGCTGGAGTGCAGTGGCATGATCTCAGCTCACTGCAACCTCTGCCTCCCAGGTTCAAGTGATTCTCCTGCCTTAGCCTCCCAAGCAGCTGGGGTTACAGGCTCGTGCCACCATGCCTGGCTAATTTTTGTATTTTTAGTAGAGGTGGGGTTTCACCATGTTGGCCAGGCTGGTCTCGAACTCCTGACCTCAGGTGATCCACCTGCCTCGGCCTCCCAAAGTGCTGGGATTATAGGCATGAGCCACCACGCCCAGCCCACTTGCTTTTCTTCCTATTGCCTTTTTGGGAGTAAAATCCTTTTTGAAATCTGATGACAGCTATATGATCCTTATCCTGGAACAAGGCTCCTACCTTCAATTTCAAGGAGTTTGTGGGTACCAGGTGCTCATTCATGGAGAGAATATTAAGGACACCTGCCCACAGGGAAGCAGAACCAGATGGGAAGAGGCTGAATCAGCCTGCCCTCCTTCCTCTGACCCCTGTGTGATCACCCTGTGACTGGGGTGCGGTGTGTGTGGGGAGAGGGAGGTGAAGGCGGGATTGCCAAAGGCAGAGACATCTGCCCTTTTTGGACAGCTGCCATGTGAGCACGCCCCTGTGTGCCCTGAGGTGGGCAGCTGTGCCAGCCCACGTGCCGAGCCTCACTCATCACCTTGCAGATGGGTGGCCCTGACTCAGCTGGCTGGATACCAGCTGTGGTTGTCCCATCCCAGAACATACTTCCTGTGACTGAGTGACCACCACACTTACCCAAGCATACCTGCCCCTGAAAGCAGAGGAAGGGGCCCAGAGGACTCAAGAGCTGGCCTTTTGTTCTGAGTTCTAGAATGCCGTGATGGTGGAGGAGGGGAGTGGAAGAGCTTCAAGATTTCAGGAACTTCCAAGTCCCTGGCTTTGTAGCATGTTGTAAAGACACGTGGGCCTCAGTTTCCCTGCTTATAAAATGAGAGCATTGGACTGGATGATTTCTAATAATCCATACCCATTGAGCATTTCTTTTTTTTTGAGACGGAGTCTCGCTCTGTCACCCAGCCTGGAGTGCAGTGGTACGATCTCAGCTCACTGCAAGCTCCGCCTCCTGGGTTCACGCCATTCTCCTGCCTCAGCCTCCCGAGTAGCTGGGACTACAGGCTCCCGCCACCACGCCCGGCTAATTTTTTTGTATTTTTAGTAGAGATGGAGTTTCGCCATGTTAGCCAGGATGGTCTCGATCTCCTGACCTCGTGATCCGCCTGCCTCGGCCTTCCAAAGTGCTGGGATTACAGGCGTGAGCCACCGCGCCCGGCCCGAGCATTTCTTACGTGATAGGGTCTTCATGTCCATTCTATCATTTAATTCTTTTTTATTTTATTTATTTATTTATTTATTTTTGAGATGGAGTCTGGCTCTGTCGCCCAAGCTGGAGTGCAGTGGCACATCTCAGCTCGCTGCAACCTCCGCCTCCTGGGTTCAAGCGGTTCTCCTGCCTCAGTCTCCGGAGTAGCTGGGACTACAGGCATGGCTAATTTTTGTATTTCTAGTAGAGACGGGGTTTCACTATGTTGGCCAGGCTGGTCTGGAACTCCTGACCTCAGGTGATCCTCCCACCGGGGCCTCCCAAAGTGCTGGGATTACAGGCATGAGCCACCACACCCAGCCTATCATTTAATTCATGCAATGCCCTAGGAGAGAGGGGCTGTGATTATTAGCCTCACATTACAGCTGAGGAAGCTGAGACTCAGAGAGTTTAAGTAACTTGCCCAGGGTCGCGAGGCCAGTAAGTGGAAGAGGGGTGGGTCCCCTGCCCAGGTCTGACCCAGCAGCATCGTTGAGGATGTCAGTGACGCAGGTGAGAGGCTACGAGTGTCCAGGAGAGTAATGCAAGGGTGACCTGCGGAGGGAGGAGGGGCAAGATCAGGCACCCCGCCCAGTGTGGGGAGCGGCTGAAGATGACTCGGAGGTTTGGAGGGTGGCGGTGCTATTAATAGAAATAGGGAAGTCAGGAGGAGGAGCCGGTTTAGGGCTAGAAGATGATGAATTCATTCTTAGGCATGTGGACACGGATTTGCTGACAGTGGGACCTTTAGGCCAAGATCCAGCCACAGTTCAATTAGGAAAAATCAGCACCTACGAAGTACCTCTAAACGCCAGCAACAGCCTTACCAAGATCAAATCCCCAAACCACTCACACGGCAAGGCTTCCCAAGTCACTGGCTGTGGGCTGAGGCTGCAGTGATGAGTCTGCAGCAGCCATGCCCACGGCTCAGGTTCAAGTCCTGCACTGACCACTGGGGGTCACCGCTGGCGCGCAGACCTGGTGCAGCCGTCCAGGGGGTGCCTGCGGCAAGGCCGACCTAGGGGAAGGGGCGCAGTGGGTTTCAGGGAGCCAGGCTCCCCCTCGACAGGGAGGCAGAGATCTCTTCCTCCTCTTACAGGGGTGGGAGGGAGAGAGGCTGGCAACTGCTTCTTCCAGGCTGTCATCTGGCAACAGTTTTCAGGGCAGCCTGATTAACCTTGAATCTAGTTCTGTTGACGTAGCACCAGGGGAAGGGTGAGGGAGCAGAGCCCCCTTCCCTGAGTTGGCAATGAAGCTCTAGGGGCCTGCCTGGGGGACATCGTGTCCGGGGCAACCGGGGCAACCAGGGCCTGCGACCTGGGGCAGTGGAGCCTGGGAGCTGAGTCCCAGCTGTTCCAAGCCTCATGTCTCCCCTGGCATCTGCGTCAGCAGCTCTGCCCTTTGACTTTTAATTCCCAGGAGAGGAGGGTGGAGGCAGTCTTGGCCATCGGGACTAATTATTTGTGATTCGATTCAACCAGCAGTTTATTGGGGTTTGGACTGGCTTCCTGCTCTCCTCTCAGCCTCCCACACCCCAGCTTTATGGCCCTGTTCTCCTTCGGAAGCTGAGAACAGAGAGCAGGAGTGGCTCTGCAGCAGACACCCCGGTTCCTCTTGGTCTCCTGATCTCGGGATGTCCTGTGGGAAGTTAAGCTTATAAAATGCTTTGAGTCCCTAGAGAGAGGTGGCCCCAAGCTCATGCCCAGCCCAGGCCCTGGGCCCTCCTAGGCCGGCCTCCTGTTCTACCTGGGCTTGTTCGGACCTGTCCCCAGGTGGGCCGGGCTGGGCCAGGAGAGGGGCGCCAGCCTCCCAGCTGTCCAGGTTAGGGGGTGCAGGGCTCAGAAGGGATGGGGGTGGAGCAGGCACCGTGGAACCTGCGAGGCTCCCAGGCCCCAGGGCCCCTGTCAGCGTCTACTGTCCCTCTATATTCGGCCACAGCGTTATTGCCATGTCCTCTCGGGACAGGCAGCCAGCCCGACCCATGATGTCTCCTCCAAGGGCCTGGACTATTTTGGAACCAGCCTTGGGGGTGCTGGGGGAGGCCGAGGTGGGGTTTAAGGGAAGATTGCCTCGCGGCTCCCGGTCAGGGATGAGCAGAGGGTGTGTGGCATGGGGAACTGGCCCCTAGGCCCTTCTCAGAATTCCCAGTACAGTTACGTGAATGTTCCTTCTGCTCAGGTTTCCTGGGGATGCCTAGGCTGGGGCCTCAGGGGCTGAGTCTGGGCAAGAACCCAGCCCCTCCTCCCCCCGGGAGAAGCTTCCAGCTGTTTAGATTCATCCCTCAATTAAAAAACATTGCCCCCCTGTGCCAGGTTTCACCCAGAGCCACGTACAAGCTAGCCCAGTGGGTCTCAGCCTTTCGGATTTCTCACATCACTAACATTTCAAAAAAATAAAAAAATTTAGGATCTGACGTCGTCACCAGTTTTGTTTTTGCGACAGAGCCTCGCTGTGTCACCCAGGCTGGAGCGCAGTGGTGCCATCTCAGCTCACTGCAACCCCCGCCTCCTAGGTTTAAGCGACTCCTGTGCCTCAGCTTCTCGAGTAGCTGGAATTACAGGCGTCCGCCACCATACCCAGCTAATTTCTGTATTTTTAGTAGAGATGGGGTTTCACCATGTTGGCCAGGCTGGTCTCAGACTACTGGCCTTAAGCGATCTGTCCACCTCGGCCTCCCAAAGTGCTGGGATTTCAGGCATGAGCCACCACACCAGCTAGTCACCAGTTTTTTTATTTTGCTGAGTTTGAGGTCATTAAAAGGAAATGTCAAAGGAAAGGTCCTTTTGTGCTCACACACACAGACACACACAGACACAGACACACACACACAGACACACACACGATTGAAAATACAAAGCTCAGATAAAAGGACAGTCTTTTGGATTGAGTAAACCTAGCTTTAGTAAAACCTCACTATATTGTCCTTATTTTTCTCATTTTGCTGCTGGCAGATGAGAACATGGCGATGGCTGGCACTGGGCACCGGCTGAGGGACTTGTGCTCCAGGAACTGTTGGTCTTGCCACTCCTCCGCCTGGGCCCAGTGCCAAGGGCAGCCAGCTCTGCTCCGGGGAACCCCTCCCCAGCACGTATCTCCCAATCTCTCATGCACCGGTCACTGCCACTTTTGCTTCTATCTTCCTGTCCTCCATGCCCCTCCCCCAATATTTGCAGGAGGGGGAAGGTGGGGAGCAGGCTTCACACAGCTCCCAGACTAAAGATGGCACCGCTAGCCGATCACTGCAGCCCAGAGTCCACCCATGGGGAAGTCACACGTCGCCCGCTCCTTGGAGGGGGTCTCTGCTGTGGAAGGTGCTGGTCTGGGCAGGGTCAAGAATTCCAGAGTGGCCACCGCTTCCTGGCCATGGGATCTGAGATGAGTCCCAGAACCTCCTTCCTTGAGCTTCAGCTTCTTGTTCTATAAAATGGGCATATTAACTCCTCATCACAGGGCTGGTGCAAGGGTGGTGTGAGTGACAGAATGTTTGTGAAAGTCCTTGCTGAGCTATAAAGCTTAGGTAGGGGTAGTTATTATTACGATGGGAAACTAGTAAATGGCTGAAGAAAGAGCAGCCCAAAAGCTGACCTCAGCCTCTGGGTACGAAGACAGTGCTCACACCCACCCCCAGGTCTGTGATCTGGGGCCCCTCCAGCCCCACAGAGGAGCAACGCCAGCCTGACCCCATGAGTCAGCAATGCCAGGGCTGGACCACGGCATTCTGGAAGTCGGAACTAGGCCTAGTCTGTGTTGGAGACAGGGTCTGCTGTGTTTTTGGAGAGAGGGTCTGCTTCTGTTGACTTGTAGTGGCCCCACTATGTGGTTATTGCAGCCGACGGCCCCTCAAATTGTAGAGAAGTGTGCGAAGGGCCTCCCCAAGGCGGAGCCCCTTTTGGATGGATGGAGGTTTGAGGATTCAAGGTGTTCGCGGAGGATCGGATTTTAAGGGCTGTCCCCGCCCCCGCTGTGTCACTGTGGGGCAGTGTGGGAAACACGCCCACCCATGTTCCTAGTCCAGTTCACCATTCACTCTAGCTGTGTGGCTGCCTCTCCCAGCCTCAGTTTCCTCATCTGTCAAATAGGGACAAGAGGCCTTACCTTCCAGGGCTGTTGTTAGCTTATTGGGACCCCATGCAACAGTCCCTGGAGGGTTTTCAGTCCAAGGGAGCCCCCTGCAGACCCTCCAGGAGGTCCTCCCCACAAAGGGAATCCAGCGGTCCTGAGGAAGCATGAGCCTGGGCTGCCTCCCCACCCAGAGTGGATCCCCCACCCAGCCGGCCTCCAGCGCCCTGCCCCCTCTCCCCACCTGCTCAGTAGTCTGGTCATGAAGTCATTGCCACCTTCCCCAGCCTGCACCCCCACCACCCCTGCCCCCATGCTGACATCCCATTTGGCAAAGAGGTTGGAAAAGCCGCTGACTCTTCCAGACCCTGAGTTCATTGACTGGTCAGGGCGCATCGGCCACAGGCTGACCATGTGGCCAGAGGGGGGTTTGCAGAGTGAGGGAGTGGCCCCTCCAGGCCTTCCTCCCCTGCCTCAAGCCTCCCCCTGACCACTAAGACACTCCTCCAATATCCGCCCACACCCCAACTATACATACCTGACCTACACACATGTGGCCCACCCCCTACACACTTGCTGCAGACACTCCTTACACCCCTCGTAAACACATGCCAAGCACACACTCCCCTGGGCAGCCACCTACCTACTGAGGCACACCCAGCACACCAGACTCCCACACATATGTGTATGTGCCACTCCCTCATACGCTGGTGTGAGCTGTTGGGCACCACCAGCTACCCACGGCCACAGCTACTCCTGGTCCACCATGGCCCAGCCTCTTGGGCTGCATCAGGCAGATGCACCTGGCCTGAGCCAGGCTCTGGTGGGAGGGTCTCTGGCCTGGGGGGGGTCTCTAGATCAGAGGCACAGGCGGCCAGACTTGAAACGCCTCATCTCAGCCAACCCCTTCACTGCTCATTTGTGGAAACTGAGGCCCAGAGAAGGCAAGGAGTGGTCAGGGGCTGGTCACGTCACACAGGCAAACTCCTCCCAAGCGCCTCCAAGTGTCTGAGAGCGTGGCAGAAAGGCGGGCAGCCCAGGCTCCCTCCGCCCTCAATGCGCTCCTCAAATGTCCTGACTCAGTGGGTCCTCTTCCATGAGTTCTTCCAGGATGACGCCCAAGACTGGGTGAGCTTTTCACCCTCTGCCCTGGGTGCAAGGTCATTTGAAGCTAGGCAGGGGGCACACCCACTGTTGGGCCTCAGCCTTCACAGGCTCAGGATGTTAGTGTCTCACATAGCCTTGGCCTTGCTCAGCAAATACCCAGCGCAGGCTGCAGTCCCACAATGCACTACAAGCCTGGCCCTCCCACTCCCTGCCTCAGTCTCCCTCCCTAAGACTCACCCATCAGGGCCCTCAGCAACTGCCTAGACTGTGGCTCCATCATGGGGCCCTAGGCTCCAGGGAAGGACTCTCTTTCCCTTGGACTGTCAGCTCCACAGGATAAGGATTTTTGCCTGGAAAGGTGCCTGGCACCTAGTAGGTGCCTTAAAAAAAAGCTGTTGAGGCTGGGCAACGTGGCTTATGCCTGTAATCCTAGCACTTTGGGAGGCCAAGGTGGATGGATCACAAGGTCAGGAGTTCGAGACCAGCCTGGCCAATATGGTGAAACCCCATCTCTACTAAAAATACAAAAATTAGCCAGGCATGGTGGTGGGCACCTGTAGTCCCAGCTACTCAGGAGGCTGAGGCAGCAGAATTGCTTGAACCCAGGAGGCGGAGGTTGCAGTGAGCTGAGATCACACCACTGCACTCCAGTCTGGGCGACAGAGCAAGACTCCGACTCAAAAAAAAAAAAAAGTTTTGAATGGTCCTGGCGTGCAGTGGCTCATGCCTGTAATCCCAACATTTTGGGAGGCCAAGGCAGGAGGATCGCTTGAGGCCAGAAGTTCAAGACCAGCTTGGGCAACATAGCAAGACCTCTACAAAAATGTTTACAATTAGCTGGGCATGGTGGCACATACCTGCAGTCCTAGCTACTCAGGCTGAGGCAGGAGGCTCACTTGAGCCTGGGAGTTTGAGGCTGCAGTGAGCTTTGATCCCACCACTGCACTCCAGCCTGGGTTGACAGAGCAAGACCCTGTCTCAAAAATAAATACATAAAATAAAAATGTGTTGAATGAATGGGCCAATCTTGCGACCCCAGCCTCCTTTCATGAGGCTTCTCCAGACCAGAATCAAGAGTTCTGGGAGCCGTTGGGAAAAACCATCAGGCAGGAGCCGGGGTCTGCCGTGGATGGCTGTGGGACCCCGACGCAACCACCTTCCCCTATGGCCTTCAGCTGCCATCGAGCAACGACGGCCTGGCTGTTGGAGGATGCGGTTTGCAGCCTGTGATTCTGGGACCACCTGTGCAGGTGCTGCCCCAACCAGGGCTGGCTGGCCCCCACTGGCTTGGGAGAGGGCACCCCTTTGGGCAGACACGGGCTGGGGAGCCCTATATTGTAAATAAGGCGGTCACTCAGAATAGACCAGGACATTGGCAACTCGGGAAGCCATCAAACACGAGTAGCTCCTGCTCCCCGCTTCCCCCCCACCCGCACTCCACCGCCCGCCACTCACATGTGGCGGGGCCGCCGCAGGAGCGCAGGGAGGCTCCGGGTCAACATCCTGCTTCCTGCAGGGCCTCCCGCGGGGCGGGCGGGGGAGGGCGCACAGAGGGGTGTTTGTTCGCAGCGGGCGGCGGGGAGGAGATAGATGCTAATCGCTGCGGATCGCCCGCCCCAGCTTAAGGTCAGGAGGTAACGCGACCCGCGGTTATAAATAACCGCTCAGGGCGGCGGCCGAGGGCAGCGCGCTGGACCCGCGCCCCTCGCCAGCCGCCGGGCCGGCTTGATTACTGCCCTCCCCGGCCCGACCGCGGGCACCTGAACGCCGACAGCAGAGCACGGCGACCTCTGGGGCTAGCGCGCAAGGTCAGACCAGGTCCAGGGCTTCCCTGCCCTCTGCGGGGACCCTGGAGCACCGACAGCCCCACCTCCCCACCTCCAAGCCCCACTCCCATCTCCCACCAGGGGCAAGAAGGTGGAGGGAGGCCAGCGGACACAACCCGAGGACCCAGGCGGCCTGCGCCTCCGCGCCAAGCCTGGGGGTGGCCGATGGCAAGGGAGGCCCGGAGTAACCCAGCCAGTGAGGGCCAGGCTGCAGCTAACACTGATCCTGCTTCTGGGGCCGACACAGGCCTGGTCTGTGATGGTGGGACTTACCAGAGCTTAGTGGAAAGAAAATCCCTGAGTCTGGGGCTTCAGGAGTCTCAGGCTGGGGAGGGACTCTGGTAGCACCCATGAGGGGACACGTGGTTGTGCCCCAGGGAGGCCAGCCACCTGCTCTCCACTTGCCCTTGGATAGAAAAGGGAGGTGGATTTAACCTGCTCCAGGAGACATGACTTTTATTTTTAAGACTTTTTAAAATTGAAGTTAAGCACACACACAGAACACTGCACAAATCAAAGTGTACAACTGAAAGAATTTGCACATGCTTTGCATACCTGTGCAACCAGCACCCAAATTAAAAAACAGCACCTCACCGGCACCCAGAAGCCCCTCGAGACCCCTTCCACCTACTGTTCCCGAGTCCAGCCTCTCTCCTGACTCAGCCCGCAGGCGCTCTGGCCTGCTTCTGAACTGTGTGTAGATGGAGCCATACAGTGGGTGCCGTTTTGCGTCTGGTTTCTTTTGCTGCATATTATGTTTGTGAGGTTTGTCAGTACTCTCACAGGCAGTCAAGGGCTGTTCGTACCCATTGCTGGTGGCTTGCCATTGTGTGGCTCTGTTAAAATGTATTCACCCATGTTACTGCTAATGGACATTTGGGGAGGTTCCAGTTCCTGGCTATGGTGAATAGTGCCACTATGAACATTCTAGTTCCTGTGTATTGTGAACATATGAATGCATTTCTGTTGGGTGAATACCCAGGGCAGGGATGACGGGGCCCGGCTGTGTGTCTGCTCAGCTTTGGAAGATACAGGAATGTTACTTTTTAATCATTTCAGTAAGAATGATTTTTCAAGGTAAGTTTTTGTTTTCCATTCTATTTAAAAACAAAAAATGATAGTGGCTCATGCCTGTAATCGCAGCACTTCGGGAGGCCGAGGTGGGCGGATCACTTGAAGCCAGGAGTTCAAGACCAGCCTGACCAACATGGTGAAACCCTCTCTCCACAAAAATACAAAAATTGGCCGGATATGGTGGGCACCTGTAATCCCAGCTACTTGGGAGGCCGAGGCACGAGAATCGCTTGAACCTGGGAGGTAGAGGTTGCAGTAAGCCAAGATCACGCCATTGCTCTCCAGCCTGGGGGATAGAGCGAGACTCTATATCAAAAAAGAAAGAAAGAAAGAAAGAAAAATTAGCCAGGTGTGGTGATGCAATCTGTGGTCTCAGCTACTTTGAGGCTGAGGTAGGAGGATCACTTGAAGCTGGGAGGTTGAGGTTGAAGTCAGCCATTGCACCACTGCACTCCAGCCTGGGTGACAAAGTTTGCCCCCTGTCTCCAAAAAAAAAAAAAAAAGATGGACATTATTTACAGCTGCTGTTTAGAGTGACCCATTCAACCATTCAACAGATAAGAGCCTAAGAGCCTCTTCCCTGGCAGATACTGGACAAGAGAGAGACCCAGTTCTTCTAGAGCCTGGGGACAAGTGGCGACAGCAGGGGCGTCACTGAGGGAAGGACCAGGGAGTCTCAGCACACCCCGTGATCCTCATCAGCCACCCCTTACCCACCGCAGCTGCTCCTCACCCACAAACATCCAAACTGAGACCCAGAGGACTTCCCATGCAACCGGGACTCAGGGCAGAGGCTAAGGCCTCCGTCCAGGCAGGCTGCACACGGGAACTCGAAATGGGCAGTCTGGATGGCAGTAACACAATGCATCACAATCAAGTAAGAAGAGGGCTGAGAGAGGAGGAGCAGGTGCTGTGGGCACAAGGGGCTGGCGGCAGGTATGTGGCTGAGTCAGACAGGAGGCTCAGCAGGAGGAGCCCAGGAGGGAGCAGGAGCGTGGAGACAGGGTAGGGGCAGATGGCTCTGGACTCTGGACCTAATCCTGAGGGCCAATGAAGGGGGTTAAGCCTGGGAGTGAGCAGATCAGACGTGCTTTTTTAGCAAGATCATTCTGGATCTCTGTGGAAACTGCCTTGTGGTGATGAGAGCAAACCCTGAGACCACTGGGGTCCCTGAGCTGATAAGCACCAAGGCAGTGGGCCGGAGAGAGGAGAGATGTTTAAGAGGTGTCCTGGGTTGGGTGCGGTGGCTCACGCCTGTAATCCCAGCACTTTGGGAGGCCGAGGCAGGTGGAACATTTGAGGCCAGGAGTTCAAGACCAGCCTGGCCGATATGGCAAAACCTCATCTCTACTAAAATACAAAAATTAGCTGAGTGTGGTGGTGGGCACCTGTAATCCCAGCTACTTGGGAGTCTGAGGCATGAGAATCGCTTGAACCTGGGAGATGGATGTTGCAGTGAGCCGAGATCATGCCATTGCACTCCAGCCTGGCAACAGACCAACACTCTATCTCAAAAATTAAAAAATAAAAATAAAAGAGGTGTCCTGGAAGGACCTGGGGCATAGCAGGCTCTGGGGAATGGGGGAAGAGGAGGCATCAGGAAGGTGTGAGGAATGGATTGGGGAAGACATGGTAAAATTACAGATTTGGGAGAAAGGAGTCATTCGCTCGCAGAGGTTTTGGTGAATTTCCTTCCCATGTTCCCATGTTTCTTTTTTTTTTCTTTTTTAAGACAGAGTCTCACTCTGTCACTGAGGCTGGAGTGCAATGGCACGATCTCGGCTCACTGCAACCTCTGCCTCCCGGGTTCAAGTGATTGTCCTGCCTCAGCCTCCCGAGTAGCTGGGATTACAGGTGCACGTTACCACGCTTAGCTAATTTTTTGTATTTTAAGTACAGACAGGGTTTCACCATGTTGGCCAGGCTGGTCTCGAACTCCTGGCCTCAAGTGATCCGCCCACCTTGGCCTCCCAAAGTGCTAAGATTACAGGCGTGGGCCACTGCGCCCGGTGTCCTTCCCATCTTTCGTGTGATAGGTTCCACTTTGGTCTCAGAACTTCTGAGAGCCAAATTGTTTGGGCCTGAGGAGGACAGCCAGGCCCAACCAATTTCCCTCAGCCAGCCCTAGGGAACTGTAGAAGGTGAGGCATGGCCATGCATTCATTCAAAGGTATCCATGGAGTCCACACCTGCTGGAGCTTGTTCCAGGTGCCGGGATGCGTTGGTGGACAAAACAAATGCCTGGTCCTCAGGGAGCTTCTACTCCAGTGGGGAAGCGTTAATACTTATATAAGCCTAGCCAATATGGCAAAGCCCCGTCTCTACTAAAAATACAAAAATTAGCCGGGCGTGGTGGCACATACCTGTAGTCCCAGCTACTCAGGAGGCTGAGGCATAAGAATTGCTTGAACCTGGGAGGTGGAGGATACAGTGAGCTAAGATCGCACCACTGCACTCCAGCCTGGGCAACAGAGGGAGACCTTATCTAAATATATATATATATGTGTGTGTGTGTGTGTGTGTGTGTGTGTATGTGTATATATATATATGTATATATAAAGTGGTGTAAGTCTTAAGAAAAAGTAAGCTGGGGAAGGGAACAGTGGCAGTGGTGGGAGGAGTCTGTTTCAGATTGGGTGGGCAGGGCAGCCTCTCTGAAGAGACTTCAGCACTGACCTGAAAGAAGCAAAGGAGCAAGGCACCTGCTGGGCAGAGCAGGCCGGGCGGAGGGCACAGCAAGTGCAGAGGCCCTGTGGCAGCTGTGAGCCTGCTTGGGCTGCTGGAGGAGCGGCAGGGAGGCCGCTGTGGGAGGACTGAAGGGAGGACTGCAGACCAGAGGGCAGACTCGGTGGCCCGAGAGGGGGCCTTTCACTCTAGGGAAGGGAGAGGGTTTCTGAAGCGATGGCCTCATCTGGGTTTTGTTTGAGAAGGGTCATTCTGGCTGCTCTGAGAACAGACTGTAGAGGACGGAAGTGGGAGGAGGCCCTTCCAGAGGCACAGGTCAGAGAGAGGGGTGGCCTCGACGAGGGTGGAGGCATCAGCGAGGGAAGAGGGGGAGCCCCCGGCATGGCTGGTGGACACAGCATGGGCTGGTGGACTAGATGTGGCATGTGAGAGACAGATAGGTGGCAAGAAGGACCCCTGCTGTCAGCTGCCCCTTCACCAGGCTGTGGGACCAGGACACAGCTCAGGACACCAGCCTCTTCCTACCTCCCCTCACCTCTGGACTCTCCCCTCCTCCTCCCTCTCCTTGTCTTCTGTCCTGTCCCCTGGCCTCTCTTCCCTCACCCCCTTCTCCCCCTCCTCCTCTCCTGTCCATTCCTCCTGTTTCGGGAGTCCAGTGACCTGGTGCTGTCACTTCCCAAAGGTCAGAGAGGCTGCCCTCTGGATATGGCCTTGTGCCTTTTTTCACTCAGCAGTTTTGATGACTGTGGCCAGGACCCAGAGGCTGGGAGCGGAAGAAAAAGTAGGTGTGGCCCCCAAGTTCTGGCCTGGGGAGCAGCTCAGATGGAGGGAAAGCCCAGTCCCCATCCTGGGGCCTCTCCATGCCCTGAGCCCTGGGTGCTTGCGGGGCACCCCCATGCAGAGCAAGGCGGGGGGTCCTTGGGAAGCTGACCAAGAGCCGCATGCAGCGTCTGCTCCACCTGCCGGGACTTGGGGCCAGGTTTTCTCAAAGCTGCCCCCTCTCCCCATGTAGTTACAGGCTGGCTCCTTGGTCAAGATCCTGTGTTGGATTCAGCCTAAGCCCACAGGTGTACATCCATTGCCTGGAGACACCTGTGTCGGGGAACAGGGCTGAGCTGGGAGCCTGTTCTCATGTTATCCCTCCAGCCCACCCTCTCCCCTGAACTCCAGACCTACACGGCCACAAACTCAGCGTCTCTGCTTGGATGGATGATGGGCATCTCAAACTTAATGTGTCCACCATGTGAGCTCCTCCAGTCTTCCCCCAGTGTGACTAATCCCAACTGCCTCCTTCCAGATGATCAGGCAAAACCTTAGCACCCCCCACCCCCTCTCACCCAGCATCCAAGCTGTCAGAAAATGCTGTTGGCTCTGCCTTCAGAAACTGAGCCCCTCACCCAACCTCCATTGCTATCATCCAGTCTAAGCCAACATCCTCACTCATTAGATTCTTAAAATAGCATCGGCCCTTGCCCCTTCATGCTATCCCCAGCATGGTAGCCAAAGTGGTTTTATTAAAAAGTGAGTTGATAGTGTCACTTGTCTGCTTCCTCTGCAGTCTAAGGCAACGCCGAGGTCCTGTCGGGCGGCCCCTCTGTCATCTGCTCCTGCCCCACCTCTCCAACACCATCTCTTTCCACGGCCCATTTGCTCCAGCCTCACTGGCCTCTGTTCCTTGACTACGCAGTGCACATGTCGGCCTTGGGGCCTTTGCACCTGCTGCCCTGCTGGCTATTTTTCTGGTGGGAAGCAGGTGGCTTGGGCAGGCCTCTGGGGTACCCAGTATGTTGGAGGAGGGAAGGCTGTGGGGTGGCAGGGGAGGGAGCAAGGGGTATCCCTTCTTCCTGAAGTCCCCTCCTTGAAGCTCCCCACAGTTTGTCCCTCACCTTCTTTACATCTTCATTCACGTGTTATCTTCTCAGAAGAGCCTTCACTAACCACCATGTTAAAAAGTAAAGATCAGGCTGGGCACAGTGGCTCACGCCTGTAATCCCAGCACTTTGGGAGACCGAGGTGGGCGGATCACCTGAGGTCAGGAGTTCGAGACCAGCCTGGCCAACATGGCAAAACCCCGTTTCTACTAAAAATACAAAAAAAAAACCCCCAAAAATTAGCCAGGCGTGGTGGCGGGCGCCTATAATCCCAGCTACTCAGGAGGCTGAGGCAGGAGAATCGCTTGAACCCGGGAGGCCGAGGTTGCAGTGAGCTGAGATCGCACCGTTGGACTCCAGCCTGGGCAACAAGAGCAAAACTCTGTCTCAAAACAACAACAAAAAGATCACACCTAGTACCTTGGTTTCTAATACCATTCTTCAGTGAAAGGATCCGGGGCTCCTGGGAGAGATGGCTGATTCCAGGACTGGGACAGGAGCATCGTGTAGTGTCAGAGAGTAAGGAAGGGCTCAAAAAGAAAAGAACCACATTGGTGCTGGAGAGAGGGGTATCAAAGGGATGAAGGAGCCGACTGAAAGAGCTGCCAACAACCAAACGCTGCAACAATTGAGCAGTAAAATGAAGTAGTAGTATAACCCAAGTGTAAAATAAATATCCATGAGTCCATTATAAATAAGCGCTTGGATTAATTAATAAATGGGGGAGAAGACACACACAAAAAAACCCACGCAGAAGAATTTCAAATAATTTATGTCGTTTTTTTTTTTTTTTTGAGATGGGATCTCACTCTGTTGCCGGACTGGAGTGCAGTGGCACAATCTCAGCTCACTGCAACCTCCACCTCCTGGGTTCAAGCGATTCTCCTGCCTCAGTCTCCCAAGTAGCTGGGATTACAGGCGCCCACCACCACGCCCAGCTAATTTTTGTATTTTTGGTAGACACAAGGTTTCACCATGTTGGCCAGGAGGGTCTCCATCTCTTGACCTCAGGTGATCCGCTCGCCTCGACCTCCCAAAGTGCTGGGATTACAGGCATGAGCCACTGCACCAGGCCAATTTATGTCACTATTTCACCCTAAATGAGTTGGGGCTGAAAGCATAAGTCCCAGGCCTTATGTGTGGCTGCACTTAGTGACTTCCTCCCAAAGAGTACAGTGTGGAACGGGAGAAGGGGGCTCATTCTGCGGTGCAGAAACCCAGCGGATACCCGTGATAAAGTCAGCATCTTTGTAACTCCAGTTGATAGGACCTCTGATAGGATACATGATGAAAACGGCACCTCGGCTTTGTGATCAGACACCCAAAAACCCATAACCCCTGTCTAAACATGAGAACAACACGAAACAAATTCCAGTATAGCAGTATCCTCCAAGACACCAAACCAGGACTTCTCAAAACTGTCAGGGTCATCAAAATATTTTCATCAAAATAAAAGTCCGAGAAGTGGTCACAGCCAAGAGGAGCCTCAGGAGGCAAGACAATGACAACGACGTAGAATGTGAGATCCTGGATGGGATCCTGGAACAGAAAAAGGACATTAGGTAAACCCAGAAAATCTAAATAAACTATAGACTTTGGTAAATAATAGTGTATCAAGGCCTGGTGCAGTGGCTCATGTCTATAATCCCAGCACTCTGGGAGGCCAAGGCGAGAGGATTGCTTGAGCCCAGGAATTCTAGACCAGCCTGGGCAACTCCTATCTCTACAAAACCCTATCTCTACAAAAAATACAAAAATTAGCCAGGTGTGGTGGTGCATACCTGTGGTCCCAGCTACTCTGGAGGCTGAGGCAGGAGGATGGCTTGAGCCTAGAAGGTCGAGTTTGCAGTGAGCCATTACCGCACCACCACATAGACAGAGCAAGACTCTGTCTCTAATAATAATAATAATAATAATAATAATAATGTATCAATATTGGTTCATTCATTGCAACAAATGTACCATACTAATGTAAGTTGTCACTGATGAGAGAAACTGCATGCAGGAGGAGGGAGGATTTGGGGGTAACTATGTTGTCTTCTTTTTTTTTTTTTTTTAATAGCTCTTCAAGAATTTATTTTATTTATTTTTTTGTTGTGTAATCTTTTTTTTTATTATTATACTTTAAGTTTTAGGGTACATGTGCACAATGTGCCGGTTAGTTACATATGTATACATGTGCCATACTGGTGTGCTGCACCCATTAACTCATCATTTAGCACTAGGTATTTCTCCTAATGCTATCCCTCCCCCCTCCCCCCACCCCACAACAGTCCCCAGAGTGTGATGTTCCCCTTCCTGTGTCCATGTGTTCTCATTGTTCAGTTCCCATCTGTGACATATTGTCTTCTTAATTTTTCTGTAAAACTGGAACTGAGCTTAAAAAATTGAATCTATTAAAAATTACAGCCCCCAACCCACAATTCTCAAACCCAAACCAGCCTTTTCCCATTGTACTTAACACCATTTATACTTAACACAATTTACACCATTTAACTTTTTTTTTTTTTTTTGAGACAAGGTCTCACTCTGTCACCCAGGCTGGAGTGCAGTGGCTCGATCTCGGCTCACGGCAGCCTTTAACTCCCAGGATCGAGTAACTCTCTCACCTCAGCCCCCCAAGTAGCTGGGACTACAAGCATGAACCACCACACTCGGCTAATTTTTGTATTTTTAGCAGAAATGGCATTTCATTGTGTTGCTCAAGCTGGTCTCCAACTCCTGGACTCAAGCAATCTGCCCATCTCGGCCTCTCAAAGTGCTGGGATTACAGGTCTGAGCCACTGCGCCTGGCTAATTGACTATATATTGAACTCGTATATTTTGTTTATTGCCTGTTAACTCTCTAGAATATAAGCTTCTTAAAGGGTTTTGTCTCTTCACTACTGTATGCCCAGCACCTAAAACAATCTGACCAATAGCAGGTACTCAGTAAATATTTGTTGAATGGTACATTTCTAAAGATAGTCACTGTTGGTTTTTCCAGTTTTTTCCCTCTGCCTAAATATATTTATTACTGTTCTCAAATAAACACGATTATAATGTTTTGCTTATCTGCTCTTTTCACTTAATAGCACCTGATTATTTTTCCTTGTTATTGTTTTACCTCATTTTCTAGGCCATGCTGGTGTTTGCGAGCCTAACAAATGGTTGTGATTCAAGAGGCGAAGGCTCTGGGCGCCTCTTGCTCCCTGCCGGCTCCACCACAGTGCCATGTGGGCAGGGGATGGAGTCATGCCAAGGCCTGGCCAAGGCCACTCCCGCCCTCTGACATCAGATTGTGGGCACTAGATCCCGCTTGGTGGTGAACCGGGTGCGTCAGAACCCAGGGATTAAATAGCTTTCGAAATCCATCGGCTTGTCCTTGACCAGCCAGAGGGCCAGGGCACGTGCCCAGACCTCCTGCCAGCTCAGGGATAGGGGAAAACACCATCCATGCACACATTCGAGGCAGCTGCAGAGAGCCGCCCACAGTGGGTCACAGCCCAGGCCCAAGACTGATGGTCCTGGCCCAAAGTGCTCTGGAGACCTGAGCTCCCGAGACGGGGGTTGGTTGGAGGCTGGGGGCTGTCAGAACCTCTCTCCAGGCACCCAGCTAGGGGCTGAGGAATCTGCTCTGCCAGCTGTTTTCACAGTGGGAAGCAGGTGGCTTGCACAGGCCTTTGGGGGACCCCATATGTTGAGGTAGGAAACGCTGTGGTGTGGCGGGGGAGGGAGCAAGGGGTATCCTTCCTCTGCACCCAGGGGCCATCTGCTTTCAAATCCAGCCACTTGTCCTCCTTCCTGGTAGCAATATGGAGCCACCCAGACTCTGCTAGACATATGAGTGCTAAAGATAAAAATACTCAAAGGACATATGCCTTCTGTGAACTGCTTTACTCAACGTGCTTGGGAGTCCTTCAGCTTCCCTCTAAAACACAGTGTCACTCCCACCCCCACTGGCCCCACCTCCGCAAAGAGGCAGGGAAGCTGTTATGGCCTTAGACACGCTGTGCTTGTGAATGCGTAGTGTGTGGATGCAGGTGCGTGCTCTGAGCATGCGCCTGCACCTGTCTTCCGCATGCACACCCCAGTGCGTGTACGCGAGTGTTGATGTGTGATGCGCTGAGTGCATGTCTGTGTGTGCTCCGGCTCATGTGTGTGGATATGCGTGCCTCCATCTGTGTTTCCATGTGTTTTGTATGGGTTTGCCTTGGCAGGTGGGTCTGTGTGGGCACACACCTGGGGGTGTGCATGGGTGTGTGCTTTGCTGTATGCGAGTGTGCCCATGAGGAGATATGTTCTTCCATGTGTGCTTGTGTGTGTTTCATGTGAGCACATGCTTGTATGTGAGCTTTTTGTATGTGTACCTTTGGGTATGTGCCTAGGTAGGTGCACATATGTGCATGAGCCCAGGTGTCAAACTCCGAGAAAAGAGATGAATGTTAGTCCCACACCTGCTCTGTTGATGGGCTTTCCCCACCCCCTACCCACCTGCATTCTATTAGCAGGACTGGTCTTTAAACAAATCTCTCACAGGTGAGGTGGCCTCCACTTTTCTCACACCTTCTTATACAGTCATGCACCTCATAACGTTTCAGTCAACTACAGACTGCAGCTAAAGTGGTGGGCCCATACGATTATTATTATTATTATTATTTTTGAAACAGAGTCTTGCTTGTGTCGCCCAGGCTGGAGTGCCCTGGCACAACCTCGGCTCACTGCAACCTCTGCCTCCTGGGTTCAAGCTATTCTCCTGCCTCAGCCTCCTGAGTAGCTGGGATTACAGGCACCCGCAACCATACCCAGCTAATTTTTTGTATTTTTAGTAGAGACAGGGTTTCACCATGTTATTCAGGCTGGTCTTGAACTCCTGACCTCAAGTGATCCACCTGCCTCAGCCTCCCAAAGTGCTGGGAGTATAGGCATGAGCCACTGTGCCCAGCCCCACAAGATTATAATACTGTATTTTAACTCTACCTTTTCTATGTATAGATATGTTTAGATACACAAATACTTACTATTGTGCCACAATTGCCTACAGTATTCAGTACAGTAACAAGCTCTCTGAGTGTGTAGCCTGGGAGCAGTAGCCTGGGTGTGTGGTAGTCCATACTACCATCTGGGTTTGTGTAAGTGCACTCTATGATGTTCATACAATGACGAAATTGCCTGAGGACACATTTCTCAGGACATATCCCCCTTGTTGAGTGATGCAGGACAGTGCTTACTCATCCTCCTCTTTTTTTTTTTTCCAAGATAGAGTCTTGCTGTGTCACCCAGGCTGGAGTGCAGTTGTGCAATCTTGGCTCACTGCAACCTCCACCTCCCGGATTCAAGCGATTCTCCTGCCTCAGCCTCCTGAGTAGCTGGGATTACAGGCACCCACCACCACGTCCAGCTAATTTTTGTATTTTTAGTAGAGATGGGATTTCACCATGTTGGCCATGCTGGTCTCGAACTTCTGACCTCGTGATCCACCCGCCTCGGCTTCCCAAAGTGCTGGGATTACAGGTGTGAGCCACTGCACCAGGCCTCATCCTCCTCTTAAGTTTTCCCAAACTCTGTCTGCGATGGTCCTGCACCCTCAGTGCTTGTTTCCCACCTTCATTGGCTCAGTGTTTTTGGAGCCCTCTAGCCCTGTGAGATGCTCTGGAAGGAAAGGGCTCCTGAGTCCGTGGGTTTCTAGTAAAAGTTGCACTCATTACACCTTCATGGAGACTCATCATGTACCCCAGCATAGGAAAGGTCCTGAGAAGTCCTAAAGTAAAGAAACCTGCTTAAGTTAGTTCATCACAGGGGTTCCTGCAATTCTTGGCTATTAGAACCTGATTTGAAGGTATAACGCCTTGTCAGAATCCGTGCTCCTCGGCGCGCACCCGGGGAAGTCTGTGGTGTGCTGTGGGAGATGGCTCCCTGTGTTCAAGCGGCCTCTTCTCTGCTTCTCCAGCAACTGTGCGGATATTTCCAAGTGTCTGGCTGATGAGGGCCACGCACATAGGCTGGGCCTATCTCAGGGATGGGGGGTACCTCGTGGCTTGAGAATCAATCCTGGCTCTCTGCATCTGGGGCCCACAGGGAGCCTGGCCTCGCCCAGAGAAGCCACGTCAAGGGGCACATCTCCAGAACTGGCTAAGGTGAGGCCTCACACCCAGCCCCGCAGCCTCGGAGCCAGCCAGGGTCCATTGGCTCCTCCTCGCACTGGTCCTGGCCTGGCTGTCAGGGCAGAGGATGCCACCAGTCTCAAGACCCAGAGTGGCCGCAGGAACAAGGGAGACTCTGCCATTTGAGCCAATGCTCCAGGGACTAGAAGCCTGGGTTCTGACTCCAGGGCCCTTGCTCTGCCCTCAGCGTCTGCCCTCCCAGGCCCAGTACCCATGCCTCCCTCAGCCCTAAGACTTCCAGTGGCCTCCTGATGGTCAGAGGCCCTCAGAACACTGTGGTCGGGCATCCTGAAGCCCCAGCCTGGGGTCGGGGATCGGGGGCAGAAGCCTTGCAGCCAGTCCCACTCCTGATCTGACCACTGCTTCCAGAGAATTACAGGGTCAGGAAGGCCCCTGCTATCCCGTCCCTCATACCATTAAAATCAGATACTTAAAATTATGCAAGAAATACATGAACAGCGTCTCTTCAGATGATTCAGACAATACAGAAGTGGGGTAAAAACACTGAAGTCTGTTTTGCTTCTCACCAGCCCATGGATTTTTAAAAACTCAAGTTGAACCATATTCTGTATTTTTCTATTTTTCAATGACTTTATTTCTTAAAGAAATTTAACAATCTGATACATGTTAATACATCTTGATCTACCTTGTTTTTTTTTTAAAACTCATCTACACAATATTCCAGGGTGTTGATGTCTCCCTTATTTCTCTCTCTTCTCTCTCTCTCTCTCTCTCTCTCTCTCTCTCTCTCTGTCTCTCTCTCATCTTCCTTTTGCCACCCAGGCTGGAATGTAGTGGTGTGATCACAGCTCACTACAGCCTGGATTCAGCACACAGGAATCAGAGTCAGAATCAGAAAAAAAACAAGGAGGAAGCTGAGGTTCCAAGAGGTCACCCAGGCAGCTGCGACCAGAACGGTCCCCCGCGTCTCTGGGCGCCCCAGGCCGGCCCTTGTTCGCTCGGCCCCTGCCGGGACCTGCGCTCCCCGGGGCCATCCCGGGCCCTCCCGAGCTCCGGGCGGGTCCAGCCCCCACCTCCTGCGGCCCCCGCGGCTGCAGAGCTGCCCGCGCCTCGGAGGAACCAAAAAAAGCCGGCGCGTGGTGCACGCGCGAGCGGCGCTGGGCCCTGGCGCTGCCGTTTTTAGTGTGCCTGTAGCCCAGAATATAGACTTCATCACCCCCAGGAAACGCGGCCATAATATTTTTGGTTGCATAAGCAAACGAAATTAGAAACCTGGAACGCGTTCAAGACCTTTAGATGCGAGCGCTCGGCAGCGCGGGGGACCAGAGAGGAGACAGATGGGGATTAGGCGAGTTGAGCATCAGGACAATAATTTCCTCTTTTAATTTGGGTTTCATCGACAAGTAAAACAGCATTAGCCGCCCGGTTACGTAACCGGCGCCACAGCCGGCTCTGATAAGCGGCCGCAGCGAGCCAGGCGGGCCCTGCTGCCCCTGCACCTCCTGCCCGGACGGCGGAGGGAGGGCGGGCTGAGGCGGGCCTGCGGGCCTCACCAAGTCAGCCGCCGCGGGGCTGCTAAGCAGGGCTATTGTTAGCTCGGCTCGTCACAGCCGTTCTCAGAGAGCTCCAGTGCGTTGGCTCAGGCCTCACAGCCCGCAATTTGCAGGCAGGAGGATTTGCACTCCTTGCTTGCTTGAAAGAGCTTGCTTGAAAGAGGCTCTCTAGGACGCAGGAATGGAGTGTCCCCCAGCCCTGCAATTCCGTGGAGCGCTGAACACGGCCCTTTGCAAGATTGTATAAAATAACTAAAATTGGAAGTTACCAAAATATTTGACAATGTGGAGAATAGTCTCATAAACTTTGCAGCAACCATACCATCTCAAATTATAGAGCATCTTTTTTAAAAGGCTGGGAGCGGTGGCTCACGCCTGTAATCCCAGCACTTTGGGAGGCCAAGGCAGGCAGATCACCTGAGCTCAGGAGTTCGAGACCAGCCTGGCCAATATGGCGAAACCCCGTCTCTACTAAAAATACAAAAATCAGCCAGGCGTGGTGGCGAATGCCTGTAATCGCAGCTACTCTGGAGGCTGAGGCAGGAGAATCGCTTGAACCCGGGAGGCAGAGGTTGCAGTGAGCCGTGATTGTGCCACTTCACTCCAGCCTGGGGACAGAGTGAGACTCCATCTCAAAAAAAAAAAAAGAAAAAGAAAAAGAAAAGGCTGGGGGACGTGGTGGAAAGATGATGTCCTAGACATAGAATTACATGAAAAAGAGAAAGTTGCAGAAATATGAACAGTATGATTTTATTTGTTAAAAGATAAAACGAACCACATATCCCCAGCAAAGCTTTCTCCTTCTGAGAAAGCTGCACGTTGCCGGACAGTAGGTGTATAAAAGGCTGCTGGGGCAATCGCTGAACTATGGAGGCAGTCCCCTTCGGAGGGAGGCAGGGCGTAAAGGAAGGTCGTGGGGAATTTCACGTTTTACTCTGCATACTTCTGTAGTATTTGAGTTTCTCACACCACAGTGTACTGTGTGTGCTTGTGTCATTAAGATGCGAACTCCCAAAGACATGATGGCTGGGGGCAGCTTTGCAGCATGGAGCTGGCCTGGGCTTCCAGCTGCCTTTTCAGAAAGCAAGTAGGAATTATAGAGATGCCTAAAGTTAGAGCAGAAGGTGGGAGGTGGGGAGGATCTTAGAGAATATCTGGCCCAGCACTTCATTATCTGGGTAGGGAAACTGAAGCCTAGGACAGGAGAGGGACTTGTCTTAGCATCTCACACCAGCTGGCAGCAGGCACATGGAGGCAGAAGCTATAGGTTGCTAGCCTGTGTTCTTCTACCACCAGGCCACTCTGCCAACCCTCAAATGTGCTGGAGTCACGGTGGTGCAGGAGAAAGAGGCAGGAAGAAAAGAACTAAATATTGGCCGGATGCAGTGGCTCACGTCTGTAATCGCAGCACTTTGGTAGGCCAAGGTGGGAGAATTGCTTGAGCCCAGGAGTTCCAGACCAGCCTAGGCAATATAATGAGACCTCGTCTTGAGCCCGGGAGGTGGAAGTTGCAGTGAGCCAAGAAGGCACCACTGCACTCCAGCCTGGGCAACAGAGCGAGACTCCGTCTCAAAAAAAAAAAAAAAAAAGCAGAACTAGGTATTCATGGGGCAGGATAGGGATAGGTGGGAAGCAACTTGGCATCCATCTCTTCAACCATCCATGCAACAAACATGTGTTGAGGGTTCTGGTGGTTTTGAAGCATGTCTGTAAATTTTTTTAACACTCTTCCCATCGAAAGGCAGGGCTTCTGTCCCCTTGCCTCGAATCTGGGCTGACCTTAGCCACTCACTTGTAACACATAGAACGTGGTGGAAGCAATACTGCCTGATTTTCAAGGTTAGATTAGATAAGCCTGTGCATCTTCCTTCTGGCTTTCTTGGGACGCGGGTTCCGGGGGAAGTCTGACTACCCTGAGATTGCCGTGCTCGAGAGGCCACATGTAACACCTCAGTGGAAAGCCTGGCCAACTCCCAGCCAATTGCCAGCATCCAATGCAGCCATGGCAGAACCCAAGCCCATTTGCATGCACCCCCTTGAGACTTTGGGTGATCCAGTCCATGGCAGAACCCAAATGAGAACTGCCTGGCTGAGACCTTCCCAAATTCTACACCCACAAAACCATGAGCAAGATTAAATAGCACTTTTAAGCCACTAAATTATGGGGTGATTTGTTACCGAGCGATAGTATCTGCAAAGGGAGTTACTCTGTGCCAGGCACTGTGCACAGAGGGGTAGAACAATGAATAAGCATGCAGAAGCCAGACACATAAGCAGATAATTATGAAATAATGTGGTAACTACAACGATGGAGTCAGGCATGGGTCAGATGGGAGCAGAGCTGAAGAGTCTGTAATCTAGGCTGGGTGCGGTCTGAAAAGTTTTCTTGGAGCAGGTGACATTGAACTGGCTTTGAATGGTGAGTAAGGGTTGGCCAAGTAAAGGGGTGAGCTGAGGAAAGAAAGACATTTCAGGCAGAAGGAGTAAGCCCTGGAGGTAAGACATAGAATGATACTGGTCAGGGGACTCTTTATGACATATGAGACAGAGAGCAGGAGATGAGGCTGAGCAGGTCGCAGGGCCCCCAGATTGTGAGAATCTTCAGAACAGGCCAACAGTTTGGACAGAAAGCAATTGGGAGGCTTGAAGGTGGGGGCACGAAATGGAGCCTCCTGGGAGCAGCATTGAGAGGATAGACAGGAGGGAGAGAGAAATGGGGATAGAGCAGTGAGGAGAGAGAATCTCAGGAAAAAGAGCTTGGAGATCCCCAGGCTAATGGAGCAGAAAAGTTTGGGAGGGACGATATCTGAGAAGAACATAGGAAATAAATAGTCAGGCCTGGGTGCCCATCTGGGGGTATTATGGGCAACTCTTGGGCTCCCCTTTTGGGTGACCAGGCTGGCAGTGGCACCATCAGCTTAGAGAGCCCTGGAGGAAAAGTGGGTATGAGAAAAGGAGGGTCTGGTTTGGCCTTTTACAACATCATGGCAGGCCCAGGTGGAGACATCAAGTAACCCATGGTATGTAGGAATCCATAGCTTTGGGGGAGCCTGGGGAGGAAGTATGGAGACAGTAGACACTCCTTAAAATGTGTTGAATGAATGAATGAGTGAGTGGATGGGTGGATGGATGTACACACAGACGTGGTTGTTGAGTTCGTTAGGATAGATAAAGTGGGCCAGGGTTGTGGGACAGGCCCTGGGGCTGGCTCTACTGCTGAAATTGAGAGGTATTTGTAGGGGCCAAGTGTGATGACCAAGGTCTTAACGATTCATGGTCCAAGTTCCTGGAATGTGTCCCAACATGTAGGCCACAAGAAAGCACAAAGGAAAACACAGAAGTTCAGGGAATCAGATAGGTTCAGTTCCAAGAAACATTAATTTAGGGGCTACTGTGTGCCTGGCACTGTGCTTCACATATATTATTCAATTTAGTCCTTAGGCCACCCATTCATTGATCCAACAAATATTTTTTGAGCACTTACTATGTGCCAGGCACTGGACTAGATGCTGGGTATACACTGGTGGATAAAGCAAACACCATCCCTTCCCTCGAGGAGCTTAGGATCTAGTGGAGGTTATCATTCCCCTTTTACAAAAACCCAGAGAGATTAAGTAACCTGCCCAAGGTTACACAGCTAGGGGAGATTATACTGCCTGACTGCATGTCCCGGATGCCTCAGGGCACCTGAGTGTGGCAGCTGGCAGAGGAAACTAGGGCAGGGGCAGAGGGTGACCTGATTGCAAGAGCTCAGGTCTGTAGGGAGTCTGAGAGCCATTCAGTGAACTTGGGCTGGGCCAGACCCCCATTTCGGGGAAGCTGGGCTCAATCATAGGAATTTAGGAGGGCAGTGGGATCCCTATTATCAAGACCCACATCTTGGGGCTGGGTGCGGTGGCTCACGCCTGTAATCCTAGCACTCTGGGAGGGCGAGGCTGGTGGATCACCTGAGGTCAGGAGTTCGAGACCAGCCTGGCCAACATGGTGAAACCCTGTCTCCACTAAAAATACAAAAATTAGCCAGGAATGGTGGCACACACCTGTAATCCCAGCTACTCGGGAGGCTGAGACAGGAGAATTGTATGAAACCAGGAGGTAGAGGTTGCAGTGAGATCGTGCCACTGTACTTCAGCATGGGCAACAGAGCCAGACTCTGTCTCAAAAAAAAAAAAGAGACACATCTTGGGGTTGGGGCTGAGATTCTGGGGCATAAACGAGGCCCCAGGCACAACTTGAGTGCCTCCTCTTAATGATGATGATTGTGACCCCTGAGCATCTGCCACACACAGAGCTAAATGCTTTCCGGGCACAGCTCATTTGATCCCCACAGCTACCCATTACTAGCCCATGCTACATGTGAGATACTGAGACTCCAGAGGGGTTGGTAACCTGCCTGAGACCACACAGCCAGGAAGTGGCAGAGCCACAGGACTGGGCCACATCGACTCCAGAGTCCAGGGTTCAACCACTACCCACAACGCCTCGCATCAGAGTTGGTATAAGAATTAGGCTTCACCTGCACACATGGGTGGGGGCGCAGAGTCCAGCTTTGAGGAGCTGGGGATGGCTGGGCCTGTGGTTAAACTGGATACGAGCCGTGCCTCCTTCCCAGCCCACATCCTGGGGCCCAGCTGTCTCCCTCCCTAGGCTTCAGGGTCCCCCTCCTCCCAACTCTTAGTTATAAGACTTGGACTCTTTTCTCTCCAGCTCCTAGAATAGGAAGGACATGGGTGCTCAGCATGTCTTACCCTCAATCACTTTGCAGATGAGGAAACTGAGGCATAGAGAGACGGTGTTAGTTACCTAAAGTCACTCTGCAAATTAGCGACAGAGCTGGGGTGAGATTACAAGTCTCTTGGGTTTCAGTCTAACATCCCCCACCCCTTCTAGGCTAAGAGCAGGGCCTGAGGTCACCATCATCCTCAAAGCACACACAGGGTCCTTTTCCCGTGTCTCCTGTCTTCCTTTGAAAGTACTGATCTGAGTTCCCGTTCCTAAAGCACCTGTCCATTCACACCCAACCACAAACAGGAAGACGGACAATCAATGGCGCCACGTAGCTCAAATCAGTGAGTCTCAGGCCAAGGAGGGTAACACACTAGGGGGTGATGGGGACTGTGGCAAGCTAGCAAGTGTGTGCCATCTGAGGGAGCACTGGCAACAGCCATGTGGTCCAGAAGCTTGGCCAGAGAAGCCAGAAATCTTACTAATCAGTTCACATGGTTTTCCCCACTAGCATTAGCAACCAGTTGACTTGGTATGAAAGATACAGGTGTGGAAGTACGGCTCATATAGGACAGCTTCCCTCCATCCCTCAGAGACTCTCTGCCTGGCAGGCCCTGATCTGGGAAGACTTAGGAGGTTGTCCCTGAAATCCAAGGAATCTCATAGGCTCAGGAAATGCTCATCATGTCTGCTGGCTTCTTTCGGTAAACCCAGTGGCCCTTAGGCTGGGCAGCACACAAGAATCACCTGTGGAGCCATGGCATTCCTAACGCCAGGCTGCACCCAGGCCAGTGAAATCAGATCCTGGGGGTGTGAGCCAGGCACCAGTCTTTTTGAAAAAAAGCTCCTCAGGTGATCCGAAAGTGCACCAGTGGCATCGGCATCACTGGTAGCTTGTTAGAAATGCAAAATCTCAGACCCCACCTTAGATCTGCTGAATCAGAATCTCTGGGGGTGGGGCCCAGCCAGCTGCAGTTTCACAAGCCCACCAGGTGATTCTGACTCAATACAATTCCAGGCGCACAATCTCAGACCGAGGCAGTGTGAGGTGAAGCTGGTGCCTACAGGAACATGGCACATCTGAAAATAACCAGCTTTACAAGAGATGGTCAATTTAAAGACACTTTTTGAAAAGAAAACCTTACTTTGATTAATTAATTACCAGGGGCCAGGGAACACTGCAAGTTGGGCTCTTCTCTCTTAATTCAGTTGGAAACGTTTCTCCCTCTGACTTCAGAATGGTGAAACATCCTCTCCTTTACAGTCTGGAGACAGAAGCCCTCCTCACTCCTCCAATTCCACCGCACGAGGCTGGCACATAGCAGATGCTCATTAAGCATTAGTTTCTCTCCTTCCCATTTCCCCTTGGAATTTCTAGAGCAGGGGCTTACACACATCCTCTTGCTGTTTTGATTTATATTAAAGTTAGTTCCAGTGCCCAAGTGCCTGGGGTGGCAGGTGGCCAGGTGGCCAGCTGGCCAGGGATTAGGAAATACTGAATTGTCTTTATTTTAAAACCTTGGCCAATGCCAGGGAATATAAAGGGAAGTGAATGAAGTGGGAAGCAAATCATATTGATGATTTTCTTACATCTCTATAAAATGATCTATCGTGTTTCCTTGATTATATGACACATAATTGATGTACAAAGACAGGGTTTTTTTTGGTGGAAAGAAAATGCATACATTTGCAGGCACATTGTGTGTATACATCAACTATGAGACACATTTGTACTCAGTGCAGTGGCTCATGCTGGTAATCCCAGCAATTTGGGAGGCCTGGGTTAGAGGATCGCTTGAATCCAGGAGTTAGAGACCAGCTGGGCAACACAGTGAGACCCCCATCTCTCCCCAGCAAAAAAAGTTTTTTTAAATGCCAGACATGGTGGTGCGTGCTTGTAGTCCCAGCTACTTGGGAGGCTGAGTGGGAGGATCGCTTCAACTCAGAAGGCTGAGGCTACAGTGAGCCATGATGGTGTCATTGCACTCCTGCCTGGGCAACAGAGTGAGACCCTATCTCAAAACAAACAAATGCACCTTTACAGTTTAGAAATTTGAAACTGTGTATCTCAGAGGCAAGGAAAAGGATTTTCTATGAACGATGATTGGAGGGTAGAATGTGAAAATACAATATAATGATGTTCATGGGTTATGGATTATCTTTTGGTCTTTGAGGGTTCTTGTAATAGATATTAACATGAAGTTTGCATAATGATTAAAAAATACAGTTTACAAAGAGAAAGAAATTTCATTAGCCACAAGAGCCACAAAGTCTGCTGGGGTAGAATATCATAAGATACCTGTGGCCTTTAGGAGATCTGCTATAAAATGGTCCTAATTCTTAGGGCTTGAACTTAGTCCCTGTGCAACCTCGGGTAAGTCACTTGCTGAGCCTCAGTTTCTTCATTTGCAAAATGGAAATCATGATCATCTACCTGGCCTGGTTCCTGTTTAGTTAGAGAATCAAATGCAGGGATTATTGAAGGGAAGAACAGGTGGAAACCTTAATCTGCTTAGCCTGGGGAGAGGATGTTTCTGGGACTCCACCTGCCCCAGAATCCCAAACCCACAGCCTTGTAGCAGATGATCTCTGCAAACACAGGGCATAGCTGACGCCCTCTGCTTCCAGAGAGGCCTCTACCTTATTTTCTGGCAAAACCTCAATGCCCTGGACTGTTGCCAAAATCTCAGATCCACTGGTGCCTGAAGATGGATTCTGGGGAGCACAGCTGGTCAGTCAGCACAGGACACACAGATGCCTAGTGCGACCTGGACACAGCCAAAGGGCCTGAGCTTCCCACCACTGGGGTCTCTCTCTTTGGAGGAAATCATTCCACAGAAAGGCCCTGATAAAAATGCAAAGGTGTTATTTTAGTAAGATCAATGCTAAAATTTAGAACAGAGATCGCAGCCCACAGATGGACTTCTTTTGGCCTTCACAGTTTTTAAATTTTTTATTCTTTTTAATGTTTGAGTTTCCCACAAAGCTATCATCCTTTTGGTTTCTGTGGCTGCAGCTTGGGCTCTGGTAGGACTGGACGTGGCACTTCCAACAGGGGCTGCCTGGGCCCCAGGGCACAGAGAGACCTTCGGGAGCCAGATATCAAGAGTGGTTCTGGCTGCCTCAGCCATGGACATCCTGCTGCAGCCTGTGTGGGGGAATTCAGGAGCAGAGAGTGCTTCCCACCCAGATCGTAAAGGAGAGGATACTTTACAACTCTGCAGTGTGGAGAGGATTTCCAACCCCATAAGGGAGCACGGCCAGCTTGTGCATTTATCCACATGCCCAACAATGTTTACTGAGTGTTTCCTCCTCTGTGGCCTGTGGGCCAGTCATCACATTTAATTCCCCCAACAGCCTGTGCAAGAGGCATTATTGTTCCACATTGGGGTCCCTCTCCTTGAGACAACCAGCACCCCCATCTCTTCTCCTCTGCTTCCCAGCCTGGCTGGGCCGGGGAGGAGGTTATAAGGCCCATGGTGGATGTTACCCATTCATTGCCTTCTGGTCCTGTGGTTGTTATGGACTCTGGCTGGGGTCAGAGTCTCCAGGGGCCCCCTGGGCCCAGGCTCTCCACCCAGGCAGCCTCACCCAGCCTGCACAGGTGGGGCCAGGCAATTTATCGACTGATCTGGGTGTGCCCCTGTAGGGAGGAGAAGGCATGGACCAGCTGACCTCTGCCCCATCCTCCAGACCCAGAGGCTGTAGACAACGAGCTTTCCTTAAGAGGCTCTCAACAAATACTCAGGCTTGCCAGGGCTCCTCTGCTTATAAAAATTCCATCTTACAGCATAGAAAGTTTGGAAAGCGCAGCAAATGTATATAAAAGTCACCTAAAAGGCCACCAGCTAGCGATGACCATTGTCAGCATTCAGGAGTATGCCTCCTCTTCATCCCAAAGTCAAACATGAACTACGACTAGGTTGTGACTAGGTTGTACTCTTCTACAATGGGGACACAGGGGTCACAGTTATTCCATTGTTTGTCTTTTATTAATTCTCCTCCATCCTTGGCTTGTTTGGGGACTTTAAAAAAAAAACCGCTTCCTATTACATAGCACAGACTTCAGGAAATACTTGTTCAATGAAGGGACAGGCAGGGCCTGGTCATGTTGGGACTGGAACCCTGGCTGGCTTTAGGTGTGCCCAGCACAAGCTGAACCCCAACACCATTCACCATCCAACCATTCCTGGCATCCCTGGCATGAGGTTAGTTCTCACCAGCTCTCAGTGGAGGTCACTAGTGTTTGTTGACCTTAGTAAGGGAGATTCACAGCTGGGCATGGTGCCTGTAACCCCAACACTTTGGGAGACCAAGGCAGGAGGATCACTCAAGCCTAAGGGTTGGAGACGAGCCTGGGAAACATAGGAAGACCCTCTCTCTACAAAAAAATTTACAGATTAGCTGGGCCTGGTGGTGGGCACTTGTGGTCCCAGCTGCTTGGGAGGCTGAGGTAGGAGGATCGCTTGAGCCCGGGAGGCTGAGGCTGCAGTGAGCTGTGATGGTGCCACAGCACTCCAGCCCAAGTGACTGAGCGGGACCCTGTCTCAAAAAAAATCAATCAATAAATAAATGAGAAATAAAGGAGATGCAGGTGGAGAGGGAGGGGCCTGGATCCTGGGGCTGTGGCATCAGGCAGAGTCTCAGCTTCAGAGTCAGCGGGCAAAATAGGGCCCCGGGGCTGAAGGGTAGGGTTCCTTCCCCTTGAGCCCTCAGAGAGGTTGTTAAGAAAGAGAGAGGCCAAGCGCAGTGGCTCACACCTGTAATCCCAGCACTTTGGGAGGCTGAGGCAGGCAGATCACCTGAGGTCAGGAATTTGAGACGAGCCTGGCCAACATGGTGAAACCCTGTCTGAACTAAAAATACAAAAACTATCTATCTGAGTGTGGTTGTGCACACCTGCAACCCCAACTACTAGGGAGGCCGAGGCAGGAGAATCACTTGAACCTGGGAGGCAGAGGTTGCAGTGAGCAGAGATTGTGCCACTGGGCTTCAGGCTGGGCAACAGAGCAAGACTCAAAAAAAAGAAAAGAAAAGAAAGAAAGAAAGAGAGAGACAGTTCTTAAGGAATCAGGCTTCAGAGAAAGCAGAAGTGTGGAGGACGGACACAGGAAGGCTGTCGGTTGTAAGAGGAGGCTCTGCAACATCGCCAGCAAAGGCGACCGAATTTCTCTTCCCGGAAACTTCCAAGAAGGGGGCATCTCCGTGGACTGGGTCAGAGACCACCTATCCCTGGGCGAGGGGAGGAAGCAGAGGCTTCAGGAGCTCTTTCAGGGAGCACGGAGGCCAGGGCAGCCTGCAGGACAGAGGAGGGTGTGGCTGGAGGGCCGAGGTGGCTGGAGGACAGGAGAGACTTTGGCCAGGGCATTGGTTTTCCTTACTAGGCTGGGCAGGCTTTCTAAGCCTCTGCAGGCAGCCAGTTTGGGGAGGGGCCTGGGCTTGGAGATTCTCGCTTGGCTCAATCCCCTCTTAGATCCGGGAGCTCGTGGGAGGCTTCGGACAGAGCTGGCCCACTCTGCAAAGGTACTTTAGGATTCTTCCTGGAAAACCAGCAAGAGGAGGAAGCGAACACTGCCAGGCCACAGGCCCAGCTTGGATGGCGAGGAGGCTACAGCGTTAGAATCTGGACTCAGCCACATCTATGCCGAGTGACCGTGGGCAAGCAGAGATTTAACCTCTCTGAGTTTCAGCGTCTTCCTCTGGGAAATGAGGATTTTTTTAAAAAACCACACAAAAAATTTTCTTCTGTCCCCTTCTCCCACTCAAGGTTGCTGTGAGGATTATAATGCAAGAGCAAATAAGCAGAAGGGGGCTGGGTGCAGTGGCTCACGCCTGTAATCCCAGCACTTTGGGAGGCTGAGGCAGGCGGATCATTTGAGGTCAGGAGTTAGAGACCAGCCTGGCCAACATGGTGAAACCCTGTCTCTACTAAAAATACAAAAATTAGCCAGGCATGGTGGCACACACCTGTAGTCCCAGCTACTCGGGAGGCTGAGGCAGGAGAATTGCTTGAACCCGGGAGGCAGAGGTTGCAGTGAGCTGAGATCGCGCTTCTGCACTCCAGCCTGGGGAACAGAGTGAGACTCTGTCGGAAAAAAAAAGAAAGAAAGAAAGAAAGAAAATAGGCAGAAGGGCCTGCCTGGCATAGCTAGGTGCTCAATAAATGTTATTCTTCCCTGAAGGTGTCCTCGGAATTGGTGGCATACGCGAATTGCCTTGGGGGTTTGTTTAAACTGCTGACTCCTCTCCACCCCGGCCCAGCAGGTCTGCCTTTTTCACAACACCCAGGCCCAGGTGATTCTTAGGCAGCAGGACCCCAAAATAGCACCAAAGACGCCAAAAGGCTGTTGCCAGATGGGGGTCCTAAGCAGGTGTGTGGGTAACCCCCTGCCCACCGACTCTCACGCCTTAGGCCACCAGCCTGCAGCCCCTCCCTCCCACAAGCACCGTGGGCCCTGTTGTGAGCTGCCAGTTGCAGTGTGGGTTTTTGTCTGCCTTCCCCACCCCATGCCAACCCGCCCAGCAGGCCCCACTGCCTTGGCAACGCATTGCAAAGTCCACACAAAGGGAAACTGCGCTGGGGAGGCTGGTCCTGCCCGACGCCCGGGGAAGGGTTTCCATGGCAATGCTGACATCACCAGGCTCTGGCGGCTGCAGTCAGGCCCTGCATGAAGGCGCCTGGCTGTTCACACCACAACGACCTTGGAGGAGGGCGACCCAGGGCTCTGCACCGATGCCGGGGGGCGGAGAGGGCCTGCCCCTGGGTTCGAAACCCAGCCCTACCCCTGACTGGCCAGGTGACTTTGAGCAAGACACAGGGTCTGTCTGAGTCTAAGTCTCTTCACCTATAAAAGAGAACTAATGATCTTTACCTTGCAGTGAGGAGGAAATGAAATCATGGCTACTGTGCAGGGATGGGTAAACTGTAAAGGCTGGGGAGCACCCTGAGCCCCGTGACTGCTGGGCCCCTGGGTGTGGGATCCAGAAGGAGAGGCTGGGATTCGGGGAGGAGAAGGCACAGTTATCCAACAACCTCCCCTGCGCCTCCTCTCACTGGGGAGGAGGAGAGGTATTTGGGGAGATGTGTTATTTGGGGAAGAGAGTCATGGGATGGGGAGACATTGGGGCTGGATGGTGGCTTGGATTTTCCGGTCTCACACCCTCAGCTCAAGGATGAGGATTCAGAGGCCCAGGAAGCAGCTGTGACACAGGCCCAAGCTCATATCCCTGCATTAGGATGGAGCCAGGGTGCAGGGGGTATGGGCAAGGGTCCCCTGTGCCCCAAGGGTGGGCCCTCTGGGTGGAGCCATCTCTGTTCTCAGTGGCAGTAACACTGACTCCTCTGCAGGAAATAAACAGTCAGAAGCACAAGGCGGGAGAGGGTGGGACCTTCTGAGATCAGTGAAGCTGTAGGTTGGAGTCCACCCACGGTGTGCTGGGCAGGAGGAGAGCCGGGCAGCGGGGAGCTTGGAAAGGCCTCGAAGGCTTCCTCTCTGCTGCTGTCCCTAGGAGGCTCTCTGAAGGCTCTGCCTTTTCCCAGCTTTGGCTAGGGGCCCCCACCCCACCCCACCCCACATGGTGAGGGTCTCCCTAGGCCTTAGCCACATGGCTTGGGGCAATTCCAGGAGGAGGCCTCAGGTGTCCACAGAGCTTTCTGCCTAGCCAGCTCACCCCCACCACCAGCTTGTCCCCTCCTGTCTGTCCTCTGTCAGGATCTGGGACCTGCCGCAGGCTCTTTATCTCCAAGGGAATTGCTGGGGACTGTCCCCACTCAGTGTCCCAGCCAGGGTCTTACTGTGCCCTGGTGCCCCATTCTGCCAGACTTTGTCCAACTTCCACCCAGACGTCTGTGTCCCACCCTCCCTGGGCCCAAGTGACCCCTCTGGGCTCTTGGCTCCCTTTGCGGGAAGGTGGACCTCCCACCACAACAGCGGTCACTCGTCAGTCCAGAGGGAGGCTTCCATGAGGTTGAGACGGCCATTCTGACCTGAAGTTCCCCTCCCGCGGCAGGAAAGCTGCAGGCCGTCATTCTGCTTCCTCTCCCTGGGGAAGTCGCCCTCCTTCACCTCTGGGGCCAGGGAAGGGGCCCGCTGCCTGGGAGGGGAGGGCAAGTGCTGTCCTCAAAGCTGCAGTCAGGTCACGGGGAAGAGAGGAAGCCATGGGGCTGCCATGTTAGGCAGTGAGGGCTTGCTGGCACTTGCGCGCGCCCGCCTCTGAGTCCCTGGCACCTATGCCCCTCTTGGCCACAGCCTCACTTGTACTTACCCTGCTGAGGCCTCCGGCTCAGCTGGACTGTGACGTGCCATTGTTTGGCTTCGAACCGGTTCTGTAAGGGTGGCCCCAGTCCAGTGTCCTGGGGTGGCAGAGCCACCCATCGGGGTGCCCTGGAGAAGCCAGGCATCTGGAGCAGGAGGTCTGGAAGGCGGGGGGAGGAGGAATGTCCCTGCTGAGATAGAGGTCCAAGGACCCCCTCCAGAAGCCCACACTTTGTGCCCACACAAGGAGCACAAGGAGCCTCAGTGGCTTCTCGAAGCTGCCTGGCTCCATGAAAGGATGGTGGCTGGCCTTGGGCTCTGCGGGGATCAGCCACGTCCTTTCCCTTTGCCTCCAAGACAGAGGAATTGGGTTAAAGGTTGGAACCACCTGGGAGGACACTTCCCTACTCACCAGGTACTGGGCTTTCCAAGGCTGCATCCTCTGCCCCCTCCCCTCAGGGCTGTAGACCCCGGGTCCTAGGCCTAGCGTCCCTCCCTGAAAGTATTTGGGGACGAGCCCAGCTGGCTCGGCCACCTGCTCTGGCTGAATAATGGGCATGCTGGCCTAGGCCTTCAGACACCCTGGATGGGCGGTGGGGGACCCAATTCGTGACTCTGACTTGAGTGTGCTCAACCCAGCACTGATTTACATAACATGGTTTTGCATGAAAAACAAGCCAGCATGCAGTGTGGGGAGGGCCCCAGCTGTGGCCTGCTGTGGGCAGCTGTCCTTGGCCGGCCTCCCCTGTGGCCCTGGCTCCTGCCTTCCCCTGACCTCTGCAGATTCCTCAATAAAGAATCTCCCACCCCAGCGCAGCATTGAGTGGCCTCGATGGGTGAGCACAGGAGCCAACCACGATGGCGAGGATGCCAGACTCCCTCCTGGGGAAATCCTGGGGTCTTCCATTCCTCTGAGGCTGAAATCACAGCACAGGGGCACAGGAAGCTGTGGCGGGGGGCCAGGGCGGGGCGGGGCGGAGCTGTTGAGCACCTACTGTGCATCAGGTCCTGCTCGAGCCTCTTTCATGCACATTGTGTCACTGCACCTTCACAAGACCTGCTGAGGAAGGTAGAGTCGTTTGGGGGTGCCAAGAAAGAAAGTGAGTCACTCTATGGGGCTTGGAGTGCCCTGGGTCTGTCTAATGGACACCTCACTTGCATTGCACGCCCTCTCTGCCTGGGAAGCATTGCCCACCCTGGGTGCCTGAGGGCTCACACACACTGTCTAGGAGCGGGTGAGCGAGGCTTCTTCCTCCCCGAGGTCTCCAAAAGCTGGAGAGAACTACCTCTGTCCATCTGGGATTGTGGGCTGGGGGTGGAGGTCTGCCAAACCAGGCCCAGAGGAAATAAAGAAAGGGCGGGTCGGAAGCCTCACTCTCGAAGCAGCTGTTAATTTCAAGAAAGGTCCTCCCAAATCCTTAGCCCCTGATCCATCTAACACTCAGCTCAGAAACATTATGTCCTGGGGTTCTTTCGCTGGAAACAGAGTCAGGCCTGGTATAAGCTTGGGAATCGCAGATAAGCTTGCATCTTGAGCTGGTGTCCAGCGGCCTGGTCTCCCTGGGCCTGACCAGCTGTGGAACTGGACAAGGCTCCTAATCTTGCTGACTCTGTTTCCTTGTCTGTAACTCTGTTTCCTTGTCTGTAACTAACACAGGGCAAGTAAAACCTGCTCTGCCTATTTTAGATGGTGGTTGTGGGAGCAGATGAGATCCTGTATGTCCAGCTCTAATCAGGCAGGCACTGAATAAAGGGAAGGGGTGATGTCTAAGGCCAGCAAGGACAGTCAACTCTCTTTGAAGAACCAGAGTTTCTTTCCATCCCCACCCCCAGCCTGCTCTGTCTCTTTGGCTCAGCCATATTGAGCCTAGTCTGAGTTAGGCCAGAAAGGCCAGTGACTCATAGTGACCTCACTCCTCTTTGTCTCAGTTTTTCCTCCTGTAAAATGGGCACAGCTGCTCTTGGTTAAGAAATCTGCCAATGAAAGGCCCTCAAAGGCTGTGTCACTCTGTTATTAACATCACCACTCCTCCTTGCTCTTACTCATCTGGCTAGGAAGACATGTGAAAGGGGAAGATTCTGGAATCTTATTAGAATAAAAATAAGGAAAATAAGTATTGCTTAGCCTGGGCAGCATAGCCAGACCCAGTCTCAAAAAAAAAAAAAAAAAAAAATTAGCCAGGCGTGGCATGTGTCTGTAGTCCTAGTACTTCTGGTACTTGGGAGGCTGAGGCTGAGGCTGGAGGATCACCTGAGCCTGGGAGTTCAAGGTTATAGTGAGCCGTAATCATGCCACTGTACTCCAGCCTGGGCAACAGGGTGAAACCTTGTGGGGGACAAAAAGGAAGAAAGAAAAGAAAAGAAAAAGAAAGAAAGAAAAAAGCCAGGCACAGTGGCTCATGCCTGTAATCCCAACACTTTGGGAGGCTGAGGCGGGTGGATCTCTTGAGGTCAGGAGTTTGAGACCAGCCTGGCCAACATGGTAAATCCCTGTTTCTACTAAAAATACAAAATTAGCTGGGCGTGGTGGTGGGCGCCTGTAATCCCAGCTACTCAAGAGGCTGAGGCAGGAGAATTGCTTGAACCTGGGAGGCAGAAGTTGTGGTGGGCCAGGATCGCGACACTGCACTCCAGCCTGGGTGACAGAGTGAGACTCTGTCTCAAAAGAGAGGAGAGGAGAGGAGAGGGGAGGGGAGGGGAGGGGAGGGAAGCATGGCTTGCAGTCCAATGCCCAGAGCTAGCTGGGCCTCACACGGCTTTTCCGGCCTAGCTGGTGGCCTGTGCCCTGTCACATTTCCACAAACAACTGAAGACAAGTTACCATTTAACCAGTCCATGGGAACTGGGGCCAAACTCTCTCCAAATGGCAAACCAGCAGGACCTGTTTGCTGGGGTGAAATAACCTCGCTGGACTTGGTACATAGCTGCCCTCCCACAACCCTCCTCCTGCCATGCCCAGCCCAGAAGGGTGACCCTGGCAGGTCTCCTGAACTTTCTGAGCTTGGGGCCTCATCAGTGGATGTGGGGGAAACGGTGACTGGGAGGAACCAGCAATGGGGCCCAGGGGAGAACACACACACATTCAGAGGGGTGAGCTGAGCCCCCCAAAACTCGACCAGAGGGGCCCAAGGCAATCCGCAGTGCATTGGAGAGTCAAGCTGCGATAGGAGAGGAAAGAGCAGTGAGTGATGGAGAGGAGGGGCCTCCCTCCACCCAGAGACCGCAGGCTGGGGGCATGGGAGCCAGAGAGGTGCAGATCCCTCCTCCTCCCTCGGCCCCTCACAGCCATCCCTGAGGCCAGGTTAACCATGAAAGGTCTCACCCATCTCAGGCTCCTCTTGAACCAGGGTTGGGTCTCAATTCTCTGGGACCCCCACATACCTGATACCCCAAAGGTAGAGTTGATACTTATTGAATAAATGCTCAGCTGCTGTCTGCTTCCTCAGAACTCCTGACCCTTGGTCAATTGAGCGCCTACATTCCTGAACTACCAGAGCAGGGAGATGGTCGGGGCGGTGGGGGGTCTTAGGGATTACCAAGTGTGTTGTGGGGAGGGAAAGTTACATTTTACTTGACCGTTTAAAAATATTCTATGCCTGGCTGGATGCGGTGGCTCACGCCTCTAATCCCAGCACTTTGGGAGGCCGAGGTGGGCTGATCACAAGGTCAGGAGTTCGAGACCAGCCTGACCAACATGGTGAAACCTCATCTCTACTAAAAATATAAAAATCAGCCGGGCTTGGTGGCACGTGCCTGTAGTCCCAGCTACTTGGGTGGCCGAGGCAGAAGAATCACTCGAAGCTGGGAGGTGGAGGTTGCAGTGAGCCAAGATTGCGCCAGTGCACTCCAGCCTGGGAGACAGAGCGAGACTCCGTCTAAAATAAATAAATAAATAAATAAATAAATAAATTCTATGCCTAAGGTGAGACCAGATTATATTTATTTGTCCTTCTTAAAGTTTCAAATTAAAGTTGTAAAATATTTCAAATATACAGAAAAGTACAGAGTAATATCTCAGCCACAAACCCACCACTAAATTTGGACACATGTAAATATTTCACTCTATTCTCTTTAGGTCTCTTTCAATCAAAAATTAAATTTTGGCAATAGAACGGAAGTGACATCCCTAGCCCATCCTTCTTCCTCCCTCATCAGAGGAGACCACTAACTTGAAACCAGCACATTTCCTATGCATGTTTTCATACTTTTACTATGTACACGGGCCCATAAGCAACCTACGGTGTCATTTGCAGGTTTAGAAAATTAGGTGTGAGGCCGGGACGGTGGCTCATGCCTGTAATCCCAGCACTTTGGGAGGCAGAGGCGGGTGGATCACCTGAGGTCAGGAGTTTGAGACCAGCCTGGCCAACATGGCAAAACCCTGTCTCTACTAAAACAAAAATTAGCCAGCATGATGGCAGGCGCCTGTAGTCCCAGCTATTCAGGAGGCTGAGGCAGGAGAATCGCTTGAACTGGGAGAGGGGCAGAGGTTGCAGTGAGCTGAGACTGCATTCCAGCCTGAGCGACACAGCAAGAGTCTGTCTCAAAAAAAAAAAAAAAAAAAAAAAAAAGGAAAAGAAAAGAAAGAAAGAAAGAAAGAAAAAAAAAAAAGAAAATTAGGTCTGAAAATGTGAGTTGCAGACTGATAGTGCCAGGTTTTCACCCTCTGTGCTCCAGGGCCTGGCCACTGAGTGATCTCCAGGCTGGGAGCTGGAGGCAGCAGCTCACAGTGCCTTGAGCAGCTCCACTCTCCTGTGATTTATACATGGGGGGTTCGGCATGAGATTGCCTTGGAAAAACAGGTTCCACAGTTTGAAAGTCACAAATCTAATGAAAATTCATCTGACAGAGAATGAGGCCAGTGCCCAGAGAGGGGAGGTAACTTGCTCCAGGTCACACAGCAGGCTGAGTGGCAGAGCCTTCTGATGCCCAGTCCAGGAGTCTTGCCTTCCCCACTGTCCAATAAGGAAACATAAATGGGCACCCCGACCCAAAGGATGATTTGCTCCTGGGTCAGGGAAAGGCAAAGGGGTCTGGACAGGGGCCTCTGAGGAGGCCTCTGACCTCCCCTGTGGGGAGTGGAGGGCACAAGGAAAGTGCCAGACCTGCACTCTCCAATATGGTAGCCATGGCCATGTGCCCATGGGCACTGGAACAGTTAGTCCACACTGAGATGTGCCACAAGAGTAAACTACATACCAACCAGATCTTGAAAATTTAGTATGAAAAAAGAATATAAAAGATCTCTTTACTTTTTAAATGGTTTATGTGTTGAAATTATAATATTCTAGACATATTGGGTTAAGCAAAATATATTCAAAAAATTAATTTTACCTGTTTCCTTGTTTTAAATGTGGCTATTAGAAAATACTATATTCTGGCTGGGTGCAGTGGCTCATGCCTATAATCCCAGCACTTTGGGAGGCCAAGGCAGGTGGATCACCTGAGGTCAGGAGTTTGAGACCAGCCTG
The DNA here is from genome assembly GCF_000001405.40 of Homo sapiens. Taxonomy (NCBI): domain Eukaryota; kingdom Metazoa; phylum Chordata; class Mammalia; order Primates; family Hominidae; genus Homo; species Homo sapiens. The sequence goes on along the minus strand of NC_000017.11, from coordinate 50,912,735 downwards.
GCCAACATGGTGAAACTCCGTCTCTACTAAAAATACAAAAATTAGCCAGGCATGGTGGTGCACGCCTGTAATCCCAGCTACTTGGGAGGCTGAGGCATGAGAATTGCTTGAACCCAGGAGGTAGAGGTTGCAGCAAGCAGTAAGCCGAGATCACGCCACTGCACTCCAGCCTGGGTGACAGAGCGAGACTCCATCTCAAAAAAAAAGAAAAAAGAAAATATTATATTCTATGTGTGGCTCGGGTTATATTTCTATTAGACCATGCTGCCCCAGATCTGATGCCCAGTGGCTGAGGCAAAGTAGCTAGACCACAGAGACAGGGACTAGAGGAGGACAGTACACAGGAGCCTTGAGCTGGAGGTGAGGGGTCTGTTTCCACAGGCCACATGTGGAGACTACATTTTGATCAGGAGCAGATAGAACAAATAAATGCCCTCCCCTTCCTACCTCCTAGGTCAGGGGCTTTTCTCTCTGGTCCTCCAGGATCCAAGCTTGCCCTTGTCTCTCTCCCAGAGAGCTAAGTGTGAATCAGAGCAGGCCCTCTCTGCTTGGTACTTGTACCTGCAGACCATCGGTCTGCACAGCCCTGGGGAAGGACAGTGCGGACACCCTTTCCCAGACAAGCTTTCCTTTTCTGCATGACAACAGGGGTTTCTGTTGCCCCCTTCCCTCCCCTTCCCTTCTGGTGGAGTTGAGCACTGCAGCTGGGCTCTTCCTGAGCCTCTACATCACTTGATCTCAGGGAAAGGGTCACCCTTGGGTTCAGTGTGGGTGCAGGGGCTCTCCCACAGTGCAGCAGACACATACTCCAGCTCCTGGGGATGACCGGGGGCCACGGAATGGCCCGAGCCTCAGGATACAATGATTCTGGTCTGGCATTGTGGGAGATGCCCAGCCAAATGCTGGGGAACCAACCCCTCCCCACCGAGCTTCTGCCTTCTCTTGTACCACTGACCCGGTCTGCGATTCCAGCCAATTATTCTGTCTTCTCCAGAGTTGGCAAAGTGTGACACTTCCCTATTAGAAATCTTCAGCGATTTCCCTGTGCAGCTGGGAGCTGTCCACAGGCAGCTTCTCCCTGTTAAGGTAGGGGTGAGGAGGAGGGGACAGGGGTCTGCACCACCTACCAGAAAATGAGAAAAACATCAGGTGCTTAAGTGCATATGACAGATAACAAACTTTTCTCCTCATGGAGGAAACAGAATCCAGGATATAACAACTTTAGAGTTTTCAATATATCGGGGCCAGGGGGAGGGGGAGGGAATAAAAACAGTATCTTCCGCTTCCAGACATTAAAAAATTATATATGTCACAAAAGTAATACAAATGCACACAGTAAAATATTCGAATAAGACTTTTTTTTTTTGAGACAGAGTTTTGCTCTGTTGGCTAAGCTGGAGTGCAGTGGCATGATCTTGGCTCACTGCAACCTCCACCTTCTGGGTTCAAGTGATTCTCCTGGCTCAGCCTCCTGAGTAGCTGGGATTACAGGTGCTGCCACCATGACTGGCTAATTTTTGTATTTTTAGTAGAGACAGGGTTTCACCATTTTGGCCAGGCTGGTCTCGAACTCCTGGCCTCATGTGATGCACCTGTCTCGGCCTCCCAAAGTACAGGGATTACAGGCATGAGCCACAGCGCCCGGCCCAAGCCCAAGCCCAGCCCCCAAAGTCTTGAAAATATGGATACATAATTCATCTTTCATCACTGGCCTTAGCAAATCCAAAGGTGGAAGCTAATAGGAAGCTCTGAGCCCTTCCCTCCACCCTGGGTGCTTTGGGACTCCAGATAACTAAATTTCTAAAAAACAACTTACCCAGAAACGTGCCCTCTAATTTAGAAAAAGTTGCCAACAGAGGACTATGCTCCAGAAACCACAAACTATGAAGAATGAGCATAATACGTGTTGTGAGTTCACTGTTTTAATCAAATAAAACCTGCAACAAAGTTAATCTGACACATAGTTAATGAGATAATCATTGTTGCGCTTTGTGGGAATTAGACATTAATGGGAGGCAGTTTTTATAAATGATGGTAATTATATTGTTGCCTTTGCTCAGCCAAAATGTAAAAGTTTTTTCTTCTCGTTTCGTTACTTCCCTTGAATGTGCCATCCATGTACCATCTAGATGATGAAGTTTCCTGTGGGTTTCTGTGTCATTTCTTCACCATCGCAGCCCCACCCTGCCCCCACCCAGACCACAGGCAGACAACAAAATTTCTTGAGCACCTACCCTGCGTCACTATGCAAAGCACTTGGCTTGGAAGATCTCATTTAATCCTCACAAGAATCTCCAGAAATAAGTATTTTTAGCACATAGGTGACAAAAGAGAAAACTGAGGTTTAGGCTGGTCACGCTGCCCACAATGACAGACCCAGGCATGAGCCAACCCAGGCAGTCTGACTGCACCTCTGGAGCAGAACCACTGTGCTGGGCAGCCCCCTTGCCTTGACCCCAGCTGGCCTCTGTGCCCAGTCCCTGTGCTCCCCTCGCCCTCTGGGACGCCACGGGGCCAGGCAGTTGAGGGCAGCTAGGGTGTCAGACTTGCCCAGAGGGACGTGGGCTGCAGCAAGTGGAAAGAGAATCATAGCAGCCACTGGCTTTGCAGCCACACGGACCAAAGTTCAAATCCCAGTAACTCACGCTCTGGCAGTGTGATCTTGAGTATCACGAACACCTCTGAGCCTCGGTGTCCTCATGAAATGGGGAGAAGAGTTGAGGTTCTCGTAGTGATCAGCGAGCTGATGTCTGTGCAGGCCTAGCACAGGGACTGGCACACAGGTGGGGGTGAGCCCCGAGACCCCAGACCCCTTCCCTGGAGGGCACAGGAGTGGTGGAAGGGACAGGAGGTTTTCCAGCCCCAGTATCCAGGAGCCTTGGCACAGGGACTCTGATCAGGGGAGGGAAAGCAGTGAGAGAGCATAGCTTCCCAGAGAGCTCTGAAGGGGTCGGGGGACCAAAGGGGAAAGAAAATCACAAGCTCTCTTTGGGACTACCTGTAGGGTGAGCCAGGTTTCATGAGCAAGGAAAACCTCCACTTCATTTCCAGTCTCTCCATAAAGCCTGATGTTCCTCCTTTTGTGTTCCTCTGGGTTATAACAGGGTTAAACCCTATATTCCAGCCCGCAGCACAGGAAGGGGTCAGCCAGCAGGAGGTAACCCCTGGTGGAAAGGGAACAGAGAAGCTGCAAACACTGTCCAAAACAAACTTCTGCCACCTTACCACGTTGCCCTGGGCCTGCCCTATTTGCCGTCACCAGCAGAGGACAAAGAAAGGTTATGTGCAAAGGTACTTTGTGTTCCCGCGGCAGGGGGCCAGCGGGGAACTCTCGTCACCTGGTTGTGCTAGGGATTCCAGGGCATGCTCTAAACCACAGAGGAGGGCGGCCTCTGAATGGGGCCACGACAAAACAGGCCTGGGTGAAGCTGCTATTCGTCTGCTATGAGACCTGGAGGGGACTCAGTCCTCCAGCCTTGGATCACAGGACTCCCCAAGGCTACAAGGGCCATTGGGGGTGTCAGAGTCCTGGGACCCTGACCAGCTTCCCAGCCAGCCTCCAGGAGCGCCGTCATCCCTGCTGCAGAGAGAACACAGAGATTAAGAGTTATAGGCTTGGCTGGGCCAGATGCTATGGCTCACACATGTAATCCCAGTACTTTGGGAGGCAGAGGCAGGCAGATCACCTGAGGTCAGGAGTTTGAGACCAGCCTGGCCAACATGGTGAAGCTCCGTCTCTACTAAAATTATAAAAATTAGCCGGGCATGGTGGCACATACCTGTAGTCCAGCTGCTTGGGAAGCTGAGGCAGGAGAATCGCTTGAACTCAGGAGGCGGAGGTTGAAGTGAACAGAGATCATGCCACTGCACTCCAGCCTGGGCAACACAGCAAGACTCCGTCTTTAAAACAAAAACAAAAACAAAGAGTCACAGGCTTTAGAATCAGCCGCACTTGGGGTCAAGTTTCAACTCTGCCTCCTTCCAGCAGTGGGACCCAGGGCAAGCAATCAATTTCCTTTGAGCCTGAGTTTCCTCATCTGTGAAATGGGGCTAATCGTTGGGACTGTTTTGAAGACGCATGTCTTCTGACTCGTACACTGAGCACAGTGGCTGACTCAACTGTCAATGCCAGACATGCATAATGACAATATAAATGTAATGATAATTCCTTCCAGAAATACCTGTCGAGCACCTGTGACAGGCCAGGCACTGTGCAGGGTGCTCTTGAAGATATGAAGGTGAGTAAGACAAGTCCCACCCTGTCTGGAGGACATGCCCAAGAATGATTCTAACCAAACCTGAGAATGCTGAGTGATGGGAGGGAAGGCATGCAGAGGAGGTCAGCATAGGCATTCAGGGAAGCCTTCCTGGAGGAGGCAGCACTTGAGCTGGGCCTGGGCGGGTGGCTAGGACTGTGGATGTGGGGAGGAGAGGAAGGACATGCCTACATGAGGAAGGAAGTAGAGTGAAAGAGCTGTTCAAGTTTAGGGCACACAGAAGCTCCATGTGGCTGGAGTACAGTGCCCAGTGAGGACATGGGGGGTGGACAGCATGCCAGGTGGGACAGAGCGTCACTGTCCCCCAAATACACCATCTCCCTCTGCCTTGCTGGGTGACCTTGAGCTGGGTACTCTGTGTCTCTGAGTCTCATATCTCTCATTTGTGAAATTAAAGGTCTGGAGTGATTAGTGGTTCACCACCTTTCCCCCAAGAACTTTAGTTACTCCCTGTTTTTCTCCCCATTGTCTCGCATACATGTTGTGTCCTTGCATGAAGTCACTGAAGGTTTTGATCAAGGCTACGGATGATCAATCACAGGTGATGTGAAAAAGCCCCCTGGCTCCAGTGTGGTGATGGGTGGGAAGATGGGAGGCCCCCACCATGAGCCATGAGGGCCCTGGTGAGGACTGGGCTGAGGGAGGTGAAGGAGAAAACACCATTAGGAACTGGAGCTCTGGCCTAGAAGTCCTGACAGGGGCTGAGGGGAGTTAAGGGTCAGAAGGCAGAGCCTGGGTGATTGACGGTCAGATGTATAGGTTGGGGTTTCAGCCAGAGGGGCATCCCTCCCATCCCCAGAGGGAGAACAATGGGTTGGTTTAAACAAATTGAATTTGAGGCACCTCTAAGACATCATGGTAGACTGTCCAGTAGGGAATGGATTTTTTTTTCTTTTTTGAGACAGAGTCTCGCCCCAGGTTAGAGTGCAGTGGTGCAATCTCGGCTCACTGCAACCTCCGCCTCCCGGGTTCAAGTGATTCTCCTGCCTCAGCCTCCTGACTAACTGGGACTACAGGCGCATGCCACCATGCCCAGCTAATTTTTTTGTATTTTGTTTTTGTTTTTTAGTAGAGTTTTTTTTTTTTTTTTTTTTTTTAGTAGAGACAGGGTTTCACCACGTTGGCCAGGATGGTCTTGATCTCTTGACCTCATGGTCCACCCGCCTCAGCCTCCCAAAGCGCAGGGATAACAGGCGTGAGCCACTGTGCCCAGCCTTTTTTTTTTTTTTTTTGTTTTTTGAGACAGAGTCTCACTCTGTTGCCCAGGCTGGAGTGCAGTGGCGCAATCTTGGCTCACTGCAGCCTCTGCCTCCCAGGTTCCAGCTATTCTCCTGCCTCAGCCTCCCCAGTAGCTGGGATTACAGGTGCCTGCCACCATGCCTGGCTAATTTTTGTATTTTTAGTAGAGACGGGGTTTCACCATGTTGACCAGGCTGGTCTCAAACTCCTGGCCTCAGGTGATCCTCCTGCCTCGGCCTCCCAAAGTGCTGGGATTGCAGGTGTGAGCCACTGTGCCCCCCTGAACTCTTAACCAGTCTTTCTCATCCCTTGGAGAAATCCTAAAGTGCTCACAGAGGTGGTCCCTTCCCATTTCCACTGGCAGTAGCTCTGAATTCTGGTGTTCATTGTGGGCTGGGCGGGCAGAGGCAGAAGGGTTTGTGATGGGAGCAGGGTTTTCTGCCCCGGTCCTGCTGGCCCTTCTCTATTCTGTACTGGTCTTTGATGGGGGCCAGGCATTGGTAGGTGGGACTGATGATGGGCCTAATGATTGACTAGTGTATTCGCCAATGGAACACACGTGGGCCTCCTAACCCAGCAATACAAGGGGTCTGGAAGATCACCTGTTCCTGGCTCCCCACACCCCACCCCAGATCAGAAAAGAGCAGGGAGAAAGAGACCTGTTGCTGTTTTTTATCTTTATAAAATCCTAACAGAAAATAGAATATTTATCTGTGAGAAGGGTACACTGGCTTAACTAAAATGTCAAGTTTCATTGCTGGAATTATGAGGGACATGATAAATGTACATTTATTCAGTAATTACTCATTCAGGATTCTGTTTTGTATGAAACAAAACCAGGACATGCTGCTCAGAAGCTCTGATTAGTTTTGCTTCATACAAAATCAGCTCCTGGCCGGGCATGGTGGCTCATGCCTGTAATCCCAGCACTTTGGGAGGCCGAGGTAGGCAGATCACGAGGTCAGGAGTTTGAGACCAGCCTGGCCAACATGGGAAAACCCCATCTTTACTAAAAATACAAAAATTAGCCGGGCGTAGTGGCAGGTGCCTGTAATCCCAGCTACTTGGGAGGCTGAGGCAGGAGAATTGCTTGAACCTGGGAGGCAGAGGTGAGCCAAGATCGAGCCACTGCACTCCAGCCTGGGGGACAAGAGCGAGACTGTCTGGAAAAAAAAAATCAGCTCCTGAATTAATAATTATTGGATGAGTGTTACTTGATAGCCCTACATTTTAAGAACAGAGAGACAGAGAGAGAGAAAGAGTTTGTGAGTGTGTGTGTGTGTGGCGGGGGAAGAGGTACAGAGCTGAGGTAATAAAAAGGTAAAATGCTCTCATTTTACCAATGAGAAAACAGAAGTGTAGCGGGTAAGTGACCAGCTCAAGGTCACACAATGAGGCAAGGTCACACAGCAGGGAGGGCCAGACCCCAGACCCCAAACCTGGGCCCTCCCTGGTGCTCTTTGCTGCTATGGTTTTTGGGGGTGGAGTGTGTGAGGGAAGCTGAAGAGTTAACAATGAATTCTGTACCTTCAGGCCATGGCCAACAGCTGCCTGGGAGATAAGGGGAGGCGACCCCTGGGAACAAACAGCCTGTGGATTGGAGAGATTGAGCAAGGCTGGAAAAACAGGTGCAGGTGGCAACAGGGAAGGGGGTGGGGCAGGAGACAGAGCCAGAGGGAGCAGAGGAGGTTCCAGGGCTCCTGGGACCCCAGAGGGTCCCTGTTGCCAGAAGGCACTGGCTGGGCCAGAGTCCAGGGTGAGCAGAATCAGGTCCCAGGCTTCACCCTCTGCAAGCTTCTCTATGACCCCACAGGGGGTTAACTGGGCCTTGAATTGCAGAACCAGAAGGGGCTGAAGGGAGCACCCAGGCCTCAGCTGGCTCTGGTCTGAGACTCAGGTCAGAGGCAGAGGTGATGGCCACACCTGGGAGGCTGGGTTGCCCTTGGACAAAGCAGCGGCCGCAGCTGTTTAGGTTCTGCCACCCTCTCCCCTCCTCTGTCCCCAAAGGCTATCCAGCCCCCGCAGCAGTCAGTCCTTGGGTTTCACAGGCCCTGCCCTGGAGAGCTTTTCTTTAGAACCAGCCCCATCAGAAATCCCTCCCCCAGAGAATCACTGGGAGCTTAGGCTGCTGCGGGGAAAAGGGCACTGGGCTGAGAGGTGAAAGTCCGGGGCTCAGACCCTGTCCTGTCACAGATGCCCTGACCCTCTCTAGGGGCTGTTAAAACCATCCCCATTCAGGGTAAAGGTCCCCGGTGACACTCTGGGTTGGGGGAGCTGGGTGGGTGCCTGGGCGCTGCTCCCATCCCCCCACTCTGAGAGCTTGCTGTGTAGGCAGAGGCCCTGCCAGCCACAGGCTGCTGGGGCTGAGGCTGGGCTGGCTACGGGCTGGTCTCCTCCTCTTCCCCCAGCAGGGCTGTGGGGGCCTGCCCAGGCCCCCTGGTCCTGTGTTTGGGCAGCAAGCCAGCACCTGTGTGAGGGGTGGCCGGGCACCCTGCCCAGAGCTGAGGAGAAGCTGCCCCCTGGGGACTGGGCCCAGGCCTTCTTGTTCAGCCAGAAATTCCAGCCTTTTAAGGATCAAGAGCCAGAGAACGGCCTTTTCCAGGCTGCCAGCGAGCCGTTTTTCCAGCTTGGCAGTATCGCCAGTGCCTTGAGGGAGGCCTCTCTGCTTGCCCGCACCTCGTAGGCCAGGCTCTCGGGAAGGAATTATTTCTTAAGTCAACTTTGTTGAGGTCTAACTTACGCACAACAAAATGTGCCCATTTTAGGTGCACTGTTGTATGTTTGCATACCTACCACAATAACCAAAGTAGAGAACATTTCCGTTACCCTGAAAGGTTCCCTGTGGCCCCTTCTGAGTCAGTCATGCCCCTTCCCTGGCCCCAGGCAAGCACCAATCTGCTTTCTGTCATGACAGATCAGATTTGCATGTTTTGTATACGTTACCATACAGTTTCTACTCTACTCTTACCTCTGACTTTTCCCCCTCAGCCTAATGATTTCAAGATTCGTTCATATTGTTGCGTCTATCATAGTTCTTTCCTTGTTATTGCAGAGTAATATATTCCATTATATGGATATGTTATAGTTTGTGTAGCCATTCACCTGTGTTTGGACATCTGGGTTGTTTCCAGTTGGCAGCTATTATGAGTAAAGCAGTTATGAACATTTGTATATAAATCATCATGTGGATGCATGTGTTCATTTCTCTCGCATTAGTAACTAGAAGAGGGATTGCTGGGTCACATGGTAAGTGTATGTTTCACTTTTAAAGAAACCACCCAACTGTTTCCTAAAGTGGTTGTACCATTTTACAATGTATGGGTAGGACGGGATTTTGAATGCAGCCCTTCCCTCCCTGTTCCATATCCTGGCCTTTTCTCTTCCCCAGGGACTGAGCAGGGTTTGTTTGTTTTTTTGGTGTTGTTGTTGTTGTTTGTTTTTTTCGTAAGTTTGTGTGGTGCTTTGGTTGTGGGGGCGGTTCTTTGCTTCACCAGAAAACATTCTCCTGCCCCCTCAAAGTCCCTGCTCATGGATGAGGTTAAAGTGGCTATGCCGAGTAGAGAAGGGCTTAAGGATCTATTTATATGTGAGTTTAAGCAGATACAGTGTTGGCTAAAATGCTATAATTATTTTCCTTTTGTTAGCTCTTCCCATCCTGTGAGAGTGTTTTTGTTTTTGTTTTGTTTTTTTTTTGTTTGTTTGTTTTTTAGACGGAATCTCGCTCTGTGGCTTAGGCTGGAGTGCAGTGATGCGATCTCGGCTCACTGAAACCTCTGCCTCCCAGGTTCAAGCAATTCTCCTGTCTCAGCCTCCTGAGTGCCGGGTACATGCCACCACGCCCGGTTAATTTTTGTATTTTTAGTAGAGATGGGGTTTCACCATATTGGTCAGGCTGGTCTCGAACTCCTCAGGTGATTGACACACCTCAGCCTCCCAAAGTGCTGGGGTTACAGACGTGAGCCACGCGCCTGGCCAAGGGTGTTTTTAAACAGAGCTACTGCCATGCTGGCAGCCTCATCCTATTCCCCAGCCTGCTGCTCCCCGACCCCCATCAAAACCATTTCTTCTAGAGGCCAAGGCAGCTGAGAGTTTCTTTTCCTGAGTCGTCACTTTTCATTAGCACAGGCTGATAACTGGGGTAGGCACTGGAGCTGGAGAACTTTGTATTTTTGCTGTCAGTGTCCTACCCCTGCTCTCACCTCCCTGTCTGACCCATTGTTCCACCTTGCCATCAGTCACCAGAGAGCTCCGGGCTTCCGTAACTCAAAGGATGCAGCTGCCCAGAAAGAAAGGATTAAGCTTTCTTTTTGTATTCAGACACATTGCTAATTGCCAAGAAAGTACAGGCAGAAGAAAGGATCTACCCTTGGAGCAAGAGTTAAGGAAACCTAACAGCCTGGCACTGCACATCTGCTGAACTAGTCCTATTTCTACCCCTGTTTTAAAGTTTTTAGGGCTGGGCCAATAAATAACCTTTTTAGGATAAATTCAGATCTTCCCTGTAAGACTCTCGGGATATAATTTCTCTCACATTTCAGGATACCTAAGAAACCATTCTCCCCTGCTTGGGGAATACCACTACTCATGCCTGGAGCAGCTCACTTAGCTGGGTTCATCATGCTCCACCTTCTTCCTCTTCTTTTTTTTTTTTTTTTGAGACAGGGCCTCACTCTATCACCCAGGCTGGGGTGCAGTTGCAGCTGTGCTATCTCAGTGCACTGCAACCTCTGGCTCCCAGGTTCAAGTGATTCTCCTGGCTCAGCCTCCCAAGTAGCTGGGACTACAGGCATGCACCACCATACCCAGGTAATTTTTGCATTTTTAGTAGAGATGGGGTTTCACCATGTTGGCCAGGCTAGTCTCAAACTCCTGACCTCAAGTGATCCACCTGCTTCAGCCTCCCAAAGTGCTGGGATTACAAGGCATGAGCCACCACACCCGGCCATGTTCCACCTTCTTTAGAAGGCATTTGCTGGCAAGATACCGCCAGCCTCAGCATGTTTTAAACAGATGAAATTGCCCTGGACTATCAAAAGTTTGCCTGGGATGATAAGCCTGTGACATTGCCCCAGTCTGAGCTATCAAAACAATATTTAATCCTGGATTAAATATTGTTGTTACTGCTATTTATTTTATTCAAAGATTGAAAAATAGCTGTGAGGTGCTGAATTTGATACAGGCAGGAAGTCTTGTTAACTAACCCTTATTCCAAGTTGGCTTAAGCCAAACCTGTGCTGTCCAATATGGTAGCCACTAGCCAGATGTGGCTATTTGAATTTAAATTACTTAAGTTAAAATTCAATACCATGAATTTAGTTCCTTCACTGCAATAGTCATATTTGAAATGCTCAATCGCCACATGTTGTTAGTGGCTACCATATTGGACATGGCAGATATGGGACATTTCCATCGCCACGTAAAGTTTTATTGGAGAGTGTTGGTTTCAACACTTAGCCACATATACAGCAGCAGCTTTATCACATAGAACATTTAGAACCTTATCACCTAGAACATCTATATATGGGCCTTATCTGGGATAGACCTTAGAGAAAAAAAATTCAGAGATACGATCCCTGTCCAAAATGCATCTGCAAATCCAGAATGACACTGACACACAGGATTTAAGAGAGTAGAGGACCAATTTCAGACCAAGCAATGATGGACGTGTAAGGGCAAGAGAGAGACACAAATTCAAAGAGAAGGAAACTGCATGTGCAAAGGCAAGAGATGTGAGGGGCTGGCTGTTTGGGGTTGTCCTGGAGTGCTGTAACAAGGAGATATTTGTACTTTAGGATGGTTACTTTGGAGACAGTGAGAGGGCCATGGGAGACCAGGAGGACCAAGGAATAATCCAGAGGGAAACTGAGTTGTCCTTGAACTAAAGCCTGGGCAGTAGGGGTGGAGAGAAGCAGTCAGATCTGAGAGACCTTGGGTCCAGCCTGGATGGGGTAGGTGGGGAGGAGCATGCACTATACCTGGATGGTTCAAGGAAGAGCTGGGACATCTGGGATCAATTGAATGCTGTGGGCTCTAAATTAAAAAGGCTCCACCAGGAAATACCCCAAATGGCTGGTTTCTAGAAGATCAAGGTTGCCAACGCTGACTCCTTCCAAATCATGAAGTATGAGGTTCTGTGCGACTTCAGCCTTCCCTTTGAGTCAATGAGGCAACAAACCTATTGCTGGAAAATGGCGTCCTCCAGGGAGGGTGTCGTGGGGGGCCCCGGGCTCAGTATAGCACAGAATGCACAGCCCTTGGTTGTCCAAACTCTCCACTTGACTTTATTTATAACCCTAATTACACCCTCCAGGAAGAACAGTTGCTGATCAACCCAGTTACAAATTAAAGTTAATAAAATGAAGACAGCAATGAATGGCTGCTGCCCAAGCTGCCAAGGGCTCCGATCAACCCCAAAAGGAGACTGCGGTGCTCCCAGGACTCCAGCCACCAGTGTCCTCATTCACATGCTTGCCGTGGAACCCCCCCCTCCCCTCCCAGCTCGCCTCCCTCCCCTCAGTGGCTCAGTCCACCTGTTGTCATCTCCCATCAGGGATCATCAGGCTTCAGGTTCTCCAGGTTCAGAAACTCATGCCATACCCAGTTGGTCCCCAACCCAGCCTTCTCCCGCCACTACTGCCTCCCCAAGCGGTCACATCAGTTGTCGGTGCCACTGTGTGAAATGAAGCTGCTGTGAGCAGAGCTGTAAGAATCCAAGGACAGGAAACAGGGCCTTCACCTCTTTACTCCTCTCCAGCTCTCTTTTTTCTCTTTGCAGCTCCCTTTCTTATTCATTTCCTGTTATCTTTTTCTCTACCCATCTCCCTCACCCTGTGGCTGACCTTGTCCACATGCCCTGAATGTCCTGAGAGGGGCCCTGAATTCCACCGGTGTCCCAGATGGTCGAGCGGCACTGGCTGCTTCGTTCAGAAGCACGGGCAGCTTCAACGCAGCCTCCAGATTCTGCTGACCCTGTCCATTCCTTTTTCTTTCTAAAGAGAGGAAACTGGAGAGGGAGAGTGGGGGACAATCCTCTCCTCACAGGCCCTGCTCTCTGTGTACTTGGCCCCTCGCTCTACCTCCCTCCGTCTCCTGCAGCTTGCCTCCTGCAGAAACAATTACAGATAGTCAATCTTCATGCCTTGCAATCCACAGCACACCCAGATGAACTGATGCGGGTTATCTGGGAGGATGGAAAAGGATGTGATGACTGGGCCACTTCTCTGCAGCATGTAGAAACCAGTGCACTGGTTAGAGGGCTACTTCTGACCCTCTTTGCCAGCCCCTATAACCCGAGTACCATGCGCATACCAGCCATCAGAGAAAACAGCGAGTTCCCTGGGGTTTAGGATAATCATCCCTGGATATTCTGGCTTGTTCTTGTCTCATATCTGCCCAGCTTTAAACTCTTGGTTCTTGGTTGAGCACGGTGGCTCATGCCTCTGATCCCAGCACTCTGGGAGGCGGAGCTGGGAGGATCGCTTGAGCCCAGGAATTCAAGACCAGCCTGGGCAACGTAGGGAGACTCTGTCTCTACAAAAAAATTTAAAAACTAGCTGAGTGTGGTGGTGCACACCTGTAGTCCCAGCTACTTAGGAGGCTGAGGTGGGAAGATCGCTTGAGCCTGGGAATTTGAGGCTGCAGTGAGCTGCGATTGTACCACTGTGCTTAAACCTGGGCAACAGGGTGAGACCCTGTCTCTAAAAAAATAAAAATAAATTAAAAATAAACTCTTGGCTCTGTTCCCCCCACAGCCTTGATTAGGGGTTTCTATCCAGTTCTACCAGCATTTGGCTCTTGGATTTCCCAGATGGGCACTGACGTGGCTCACCCACTGGGAGGCCCAGTTTCTGCCCTGCCTTCATAGAAGCTGTGCCCTGGCTCCAGTTCTGCCGTCACCAAATGTCCACATCAGGCTCTTCCCCTGTGCCCTGGGGAAGCCAGAGTGGACCTCTTCAGTGAGGGGGTGGCAGAGTGACCAGAGGAACCAGTGCTGCCTCTAGGGCTGGCCATGCCAGCGAGGGTGAGATGTCAAGATGTCACCATCAGACTCTGACTCAGGGGGCGGCCCACACACTACTTTGCCTTGTAATCAGTGTGTTTACTTGTCTGCCTTGCCCATGAGGCTATGAGCTCTGTGAGAGCAGGCCTGTGTCTGAATCGCCGCTGTAGCCCCAGTACCTGAGGCAGGTTCCTGTGCTCTGACAAAGTGTCTGTTGAACAAATAGATGAACAAATGAGCCCTTCCTCCTTTATTCCCTGCCAAGGTTAATGTCCTCCCCATTCACACAGGCCCAGGTGAGAAGCTTTAGGGTCACTGAGTTTTATTGATTCTGCTTCTTAAAATACTTTGCCCACCAATTCCTTCCTTGGGGGACTATGTGTTTCTTAGCTAATTCTAACTGTCTTTTATTTATTTATTTATTTATTTATTTATTTATTTATTTATTTTTGAGATAGGCTCTTGCTCTGTCACCCAGGCTGGAATTCACTGGTGTGATCATGGCTCACTGTAACCTCGACCTCCCAGGCGTAAGCGATCCTCCCATCTCAGCCTCCTGAGTAGCTGGGACCACAGGCATGCACCACCATACCAGGTTAACTTTTTTTTTTTAGAGATGGGGTCTCACTATGTTGCCCAGTCTGGTCTCAAATTCCTGGACCCCAGCGATCCTCCTGCCTTGGCCTTCCCAGGTGTTGGGATTACAGGTGTGAGCCTCCAACTGCCTTTTGATTGATTTTCTGGTTTCCTTTTTAAACTCTCACCTACCTGTCCATCTTCCCCATTGCTCATAAGTATAACACAAATGTAATCATGCTGCTCCTCTGTTTAAATATCTCCAGTAAGTCTTCCTTTCTCACCAACTAATGTACAGTTCCTTTAGCCCCTCCATGATTTGGCCCAACCTGCTTTTCCAGGCTTCTTCCTGCTGCTTCCCCTGTGGACCCTGGGAGCCAATCACTCAGAAATTCTCACTGTTCTTCAAGTAAGTTACTCTTCTTCCACCTCCACATTTTACATGTTTTATCCTCTTCGCAAAGGTTACTCTGTGCAACAAACCCCACCCTTGTCAGCCTACTGAACTCCTACTTATCCTTTAGGATCCAGCTAAAATGTCACCCCCTCTGATCCTCTGAAGTCATCAGCTAGCAGTCCAGCAGTCCAACTTTTTTTTTTTTTTTTTTTTGAGATGGAGTCTCACTCTGTCACCCAGGCTGGAGTGCAGTGGTGCAATCTCGGCTCACTGCAACCTCTGCCTCCCAGGTTCAAGCGATTCTCCTGCCTCAGCCTCCTGAGTAGCTAGGACTACAGGTGTGTGCTACCATACCCAGCTAATTTTTTGTATTTTTATTAGAGATGGGGTTTCACCATGTTGGCCAGGCTGGTCTCGAACTCATGACCTCAAGAAATCTGCCCTCCTCAGCCTCCCAAAGTGCTGGGATTACAGGTGTGAGCCACCACACCCGGCCCAACATTTCTTTCTTATACCTCTTATCACCTTGTATGTGTCCCCAGCACCAAGTACCGAAGTTCCTTGTTCCATGTCTCTCTCACATGAGCAATTAGGCTCCATGAGGGCGGGGCCTGTGTCATCTACCCTAAGCTGGCTGAGAGCCCTGTGCATGGAGGGACAGGCAATATACCATAGGCTCCGTGGCCTTGGGCAAGTTACTTGCCTTCTCTGTCTCAGTTTGCTCATCTATAGACTGTCTTAACAATAGTTCCTGCCTGAGGGTTGTTGAGGATTAAATGAGTTACTATTCATAAGGCAGGTAGAGCAGTGCCTCTCACATACTAAGCCCTCAATAAACGTTAGCTACTGTTATTATCTGTGATTATTAACTCCTCTGTAAATGTTTTTGAGTGAATGAGAACTTTAAGTAGAACAAGGCACTTTTCTACACATAAAGAACATCCAGTATCAGAGTCCTTCTGTTAAGATCTTCAAGACATCAGTGCACCCCATATACTACCTGGATGAGCAGTCCTTTGTTTGTGGGTAACAATCTACCACTTTTCCAAGTTATGCAGAAAATGTTCAGTTGAGGAAAGATGACTGGAGAAAGTTTATCATAGTTGAGATGAAGGAAGGGAAAAGATTTGGTCATAAGTCCCCTAGTTACGTTTTTTTAAGAGACAGGGTCTTACTGTGTTGCCCAGCTGGGCACGAACTCCTGGGCTCAAGCAATCATCCCGTCTCAGCCTCCTGAGTAGCTGCGATTATAGGAATGTGCCACCACACCCAGTACCCTTTGAGAAGGATGTGAACCCGTGATTATTCAGCTGCTAAATTATGAGGAACCAGGCGACTAAGGGGCCAGGTTTAGGGATATTGCTTTTGGAAACAAATTTCTGCATCCAAAAATCTTTATTTATTTATTTATTTATTTACCTATTTATTTTTGAGACAGAGTCTCACTCTGTCACCCAGGCTGGAGGGCAGTGGCTCAGTCTCAGCTCACTGCAGCCTCCCCAACTCAAGTGATCCTCCCACCTCAGTCCCCCAAGTAGCTGAGAATACAGGTCTGTGCCACCACACACGGCCAATTTTTGTATATTTTTGTAGAGGCGGGGCTCTCTCTATGCTGCTCAGGCTGATCTCGAACTCCTGAGCTCAAGGGATCCACCGGCCTCGGCCTCCCAGGGTGAGCCACTGTGCCTGGCCCCAGAAAACTTTAAAGACAATTGAATCCTAATCATTTTGGTTTAGAAAATGATCATAATTTTGATTTTGGTTCAAATTCTGGTCCTATTATTTGCTATTTGTAAGATCCTGATATATCCCTGAGTCTGGCTAATCTATAACTTAAAATTACTCTCATCTCATGCGGCTGTTGTGAGGTTGAGATGGGATTAAATTAAGTAATTCACATGAGGTAATTTACATAATGTAAAGCATTAAGATCATAGGTGTGTACAAACTTGTTGTCCGAGTCAATTTTGAAATTTATTCTGTACCTGGATCTAATAAAAATGCTTACCTCTGAAGCAACAATAACATTGAGCAGCTATAGGTATAGTTTTTATTCCTTTATTCTAGTCAGTTAAAAAGAAATCCTCTTGAACTCAATATGCATTGTGGGCCAGATTTTTTGTGACTGGCTGAAGAAAAAAAAGTGTTAAAAAATACAATCCCTAGTGGTGGCTCACGCCTGTAATCCTAGCACTTTGAGAGGCCGAGGCAGGTAAATTGCTTGAGCCCAGGAATTCAAGACCAGCCTGGGCAAGATGGTGAGACCCTGTCTCTACAAAAAATGCAAAAATTAGCTAGGGATGGTGGCTCACGCCTATAATCGCAGCACTTTGGGAGGCCAAGATGGGTGGATCGCTTGAGCCCATGAGTTTTAGGCCAGCCTGGGCAACATGACGAAATCCTGTCTCTACAAAAAATAAAAAAATTATCTGGGCGCGGTGCTGTGTGACTGTAATCCCAGCTACTTGGGAGGCTGAGGTAGGAGGATCACTTGAGCCCAGGAGGTTGAGGCTGCAGTGAGCCGTGATTGTGCCACTGCACTCCAGCCCGGGTGACAGAGCGAGACCCTGTCTAAATAAAGAAAAAATACAATATCTGCCCTCAGGTAGCTCATAGTGTGGTGAGGGAGACAGATGACAGATTTTTAATGAGTCAAAGTCTAGCAGTGGCCTGTTACGTCTCCACAGAGGAGACGCGCATAAGTGACAGTAGACAAGATGGGGCAGGGTAGTTAGGGGAGATGATATTTGGACTAAGCCTTGAAGGAAGAGTAGGAATACTAGTCAGACAAGAAACGGGGAAGGAAAACTGACTCCAGGCAGCTGGAGCAGCCCGTACAACGATCCTTAGGTGCAAAGAGTCATCCCATTCTAGGAAGAGCAAATTGTCTGATGAGGCTACAGCATGAACACCCCCAGTAAGGAGGCAAGCGAAGAAACTGGAAAGGCAAACAAGCCTCGCGTCCTGAAGAGACACAGGAGGCGGGTGGCCCGAGTCTGTCCCAAATCAGGACGCAAAGCCACGGAAGGTTGCAATCGGAGGAGTGATCCGATGTGTTAGCGTCTTGTTCTGCTCACTCTGGAGGCCACGTAACTAGAAGGAGGCTATTCCAAAAATGCAGGCAAGACATTCTCATTTGTAGATGTGCAGAGGCCACAAGGAAGGTGATTCCACAATCTAGATCCACATGCAAGCTGGCAAATACATCTTATCCTGCAGTAGATGCTCACTAAGAAGTGACATTTGCCGGGTACCTATCTTACTGACTTTAGAAGAAAAAAACTAGTTGAAGTGGCATTTGCATACTTCCAGTACACCACGGGGGCACCTATCAGAAGTGTCCCAGCAAAGATGGGCACAGAGGTAAATTCTGGAATGAGGGGAGGTCCAAGAGATTATACCCTAAAAACGTGCTTTTGTTGTTGTTGTTGTTTGAAACCAGGTCTTGCTCTGTTACCTAGGCTGGAATGCAGTGGCGCGATTACAGCTCACTGCAGCCTTGACCTCCTAGGCTCAAGCAATCCTCCCACCTCAGCCTCCTGAGTAGCTGGGACCACAGGCGCACACCACCATGCCTGGCTTATTTTTTATTTTATTTTTTGAAGAGATGGAGTCTCATTTTGTTGCCCAGGCTGGTCTTGAAGTCCTGGGCTCAAGCAATCCTCCCACCTTGGCCTCCCAAAATTCTGGGATTACAGGCATGAGCCACCATGCCCCACCACAAAAATGTTAACAGAGATTATTTCTGAGTGGCAAGATTATAAGTGATTTCTTTTTTCCATAGTAAACATGAATTATGGCCGGGCGCGGTGGCTCACGCCTGTAATCCCAGCACTTTGGGAGGCCGAGGCGGGCGGATCACGAGGTCAGGAGATCGAGACCATCCCGGCTAAAACGGTGAAACCCCGTCTCTACTAAAAATACAAAAAATTAGCCGGGCGTAGTGGCGGGCGCCTGTAGTCCCAGCTACTCGGGAGGCTGAGGCAGGAGAATGGCGTGAACCCGGGAGGCGGAGCTTGCAGTGAGCCGAGATCCCGCCACTGCACTCCAGCCTGGGCGACAGAGCGAGACTCCGTCTCAAAAAACAAAAAAAAAAAAAAAAAAAAAAAAAAAAAACATGAATTATTTATATATAGTTTTAAAGAATAAAATAATTTCTTTTTAAAAAGGATCAACCCAAGACCTTTGGATTAAAGGGGAATTGGGAGAGCCAGGACAGGCACTAGGATGGACCATTCAGAGGTCTAGATCCAGCATGGAGTCAGTGAGGGTGAGAAGACTTCAGCGGAGAGGGAGATGGAAAGAACCAAATCTGCCAGCATGAGGGCTCAGGCAGGAGGGTAAGTCCCCCCATCTTAGGGGAAGCCAGCGCTAGGGAAGTGAACGTACCCATCAAAGCCAGGGATGACGCGCCAGCCAGGCATTTGGTAGAGGGATGGGGAGCGCGTGCTCGGCACACAGACAGATTTTCAGTAGGTGGCTGAAAGACACGAGGGGAAAGATTGTGTAACTGAGTTGTGGGGAAGGAGAACAGTGGCCTATTGTTGGAGACCTAATAAACAAATTGAGAGCGTTCATCTTGCGGGTGTGGGCCTGAAATAAGTTCCGAGACAGCTTAATGATCCATCACAGGTTCTTTCCTAGGAGTGAGTCACCAGCACATTTTATTAACCCAGTTCACCCTTCGTTGCCCCAGCGCCTGCAACAAAGCAACCGAGATCCCGCAGCTGAGCCGCTCCCATCATGAAGCCTCTGGCCTACACAATGGGGAAGATGAAACCAGCCAGCCTCATCAATCGTCCCTGGGCAGGCCAGTCTCCTCTTCAGTCTCATGTTCAGGGTTTGCATAATTAGGCGCCTGATGGAGGCGAATGTCTGCCCCACCGAAGGTCGTCATTGTGCAGCACTCTGTCGGGGAGCTGTGAGGTACACAGCAGCCCGGGCCTGCTCCGAACAGCAGCAGAGCCTGTGAGGAGGAGCCTGGCTTTTGCAGGAGCGCATTAATAAGGTTGGAAACCCGTGGCTTGGGAATCAGAGCCAATCGCAGTCATGTCAGAAATGGAAATAAGAAACTCCTGGATGAAATGGAGGAGCCAGCAACCCTCTAACCAGAGGTTCTGAATTTCAATTTGGGGTCCACTCTGCAAAAGCTGAGGGCTATTGAGCAAATCCTTCAACCCCTCAGTGTCTTTGTTTCCTGGACTGCAAAATGGTGGTGACATACCAGTTCCCCTTATCTTAGAGACCAATCGGTTTACACTTTGAAGAGCTCACGGTGTGTTCAGGGCACTATTCTAAGGGTGTTACATGTGTATTAACTCTATAATCAGCAACAACCCTATGCAAGGTAGGTGCTATGATTATTATTATTATTATTATTATTGTTATTATTATTGTCCCTCGGTTAAAGATGAGATAACTAAGCTATAGGGAATTTAAGAAACTTGCCCAGGCCAGGCACGTTGGCTCATGCCTGTAATCCCAGCACTTTGGGAAGCCGAGCTGGGGAGATCACTTGAGCCCAGGAGTTTAAGACCAACCCTGGCAACATAGCAAGACCCCTATCGCTGGAAAAAAAAAAAAAAAAAACTTAGCCAGGTGTGATTGTGCACGCCTATAGTCCCACCTACTTGGGAGGCTGAGGTAGGAGGATCTCTTGAATCTGGGAGGTCAAGGCTGCAGTGAGCCATGATTGTGCCACTGCACTCCAGCCTGGGAGACAGAGCAAGACTCCGTCTCCGAAAAAAAAAAAAAAAAAAAAAAAAAGGAAGAAAAAAGAGAAAGAAACTTGCCCAAAGTCACACACGATTGTGGAATCCAGGCTTCAGCTTCGGTAGCTGACCTCTAGAGTTCATGCTGCAAACCTTCAAACGCAACATGCACTTCACCTCCTCCATCGGCAGTAAAATGCTTTACAAATAGAACTGGCTTTATTCTTTTCAACGGTTACTGACATTTCCAGAGTGTGGAATTAAGTGCCTTAGGCCCTGCTCACAGCATGTTTGTGGTTGCTAGGGTTATCCTGCAGGAAAGGTTGGGGGTGATGGTTGTGTCTACTGTGTACTGAGGGCCTAATGTCACTTCTTACAAAGCCATGCAAGATGAGGGAGCTGAGACCAGGAGAACTAAAGTGACACCCCACAGCCATGAAGCTCATAAACTGAACATCTGGGATTTGAATTTGAGACTCATCTGATTCCAAACTTTCCACGCAGGGCTTCTTAGACTGTAAGCAGAAGCTAGGTAACATGATAGTTAAGAGTTGGGCTCTAGAAACTGTGTTTGTAGCCCATTTCTGCCACTTCTTAGCTGTGTGACCTTGGGCAAATAACTTTGCCTCTCTGGGCTTTGGTTTGCTCATTTGTAAAATGGAGATGACAATAGTATCTACTCATAAGGTTACGATGAGGTGCATGTGGGTTAACACAAGGAAAGCATGGGTCAGTGGCACATGGTATGCTCTCAATGGTTATTAACGTAACAATGCCAGGCCTGGGGCAAGAGCGTAGTACTTGACTCAAGGTTTGCATTGCTTAGGGGAGGCACGAGACCCAGAAACCAGAAAGATTCACACACAGGTGGGGTATTTTTTCAGGGAAGACCTGACCAGGAGGCAAGCAGTAAAGGAAGAACTTCTGGGAGGGTGGAATGAGGCCCAGGAGACTCAGACACAGATAAATGAGAAAGAGTCCAGTTGGGCCAGGGAGTTAGTGTCGGGGATCCAGAGTTAGGCAGCACCTAGTGCTCCTTCCTAGGGTTGTGCACAATGTTCAGAGGGTCGACAGTGTCGGTAGGGGCCCAACCAGGCAGTCAGTATGAGGGTCTGGAAAGGGTTTGGCAGCAAAGAGTACAGACATGACCACTGGCTAGGAAATTTGAGGCAGGACTCTACTTTCTGGATAAACAAGGGCCAGGGAAGCAATTATGTGAGCTGATCGGGCTGGTATCAACTAGCTAATCTAATGAGCTAAGTATGTTTATTAGAGTAGGAGCTTGGTAACAGGTAAATCTTATTAGTCTTTGTAGACATCACTGCGCCAGGACTATGACCAGGAGAGTGAGGCACTCACCTTAGGCACAAAATTTAAGGGAGTGCCTAAAACACCCAATACTCTAGATAAATAATATTTTAATGCAATATTTTCAACATCCAAATTAGTGCAAAAAATCCATGAGACGCAAAATATCAAACTTTTCAATGAAGACAGAACCTGTATTATTGATTTTTCCTTTTTCCTCAGGCTTCAGTAGGTTCAGCCAGGCACTGCAGACAACGCCTTAAATACACACCTTTTGGTGAGTCAGATAGTGGGCATTTTGGCTTTTATCTTATTTTTTTAGAGATGAGGTCTTGCTATTTGCACAGGCTGGAGTGCCGGGGCTGTTTACAGGCATAATCATTGTGCACTGCAGCCTTGAACTCCTGGGCGCGAGGGATTACCCTGCCTCAGTCTCCTGAGTAGCTGGGACAACAGGCATGGGCCAGCATGCCTGGCTTAATCGTGGGCTATTGATGTATTTATTTATTTATTGAGACGGAGTCTCACTCTGTCGCCTAGGCTGGAGTACAGTGGCTCAATCTCGGCTCACTGCAACCTCCGCCTCCCGGGTTCGAGGGATTCTTGAGCCTCAGCCACCTGAGTAGCTGGGATTATGGGCGCCAGCCACCATGCCTGGATAATTTTTGTATTTTTAGTAGAGATGGGTTTCTCCATGTTGGCCAGGCTGGTTTTGAACTTCTGGCCTCAAGTGATCTGCCTGCCTCAGCCTCCCAAAGTGTTGGGATTACAGGCATGAGCCACCGCACCTGGCCAATTAGGAGTTTTTTAGATGTCAAGTCTCAGGCAGACCTTGGTGCCTTATTGGCAGGAAATTGAAAGCCTATAGGTACTAGGTGGTGGAGGATTTGACCAGTTCTGCCACAGTGGGTTCTTCTAAAGCCAGCTCCCAGGACAGGGGCCATTCTTTCCTTATGAATGACCAAGACCATACTGGCTATTTCAACCGACTAGCGTTTTCTTCCTATTTATAATCAATAGCATCATTTTCAGCATCCTGGTTCTTCTTTTTTATGTAAAATAAAATAAATAGCGTCCCTCAAATCACACTTTTTTTAAAATCACACCTTCTTTAAATCTCATACACCATCTATATGCAGGACTCAGAGATCATCCCCCTTAGCCCCAGGCAGCTTGACTGTCATTTGGATAAAGCTAGGAAAGAATGAAGGATGTAATTGGGTGTTAGTAGGTATGAGAGCTCTGAAGGAGAGGTGCCTGCAAAGTTCCAGGCAAAGTCAGCCTCCAGGTAGGCAGCCAGAGTCCAGGGAACACATATTTGCTGAAGGTTTGTAGAAGTCCATGGGTCAGATTCCCAGCAGCATTGGGAAAAGGGACATTTAGCAGCAGTGACAGAGAGAGTTCGAAATGGAGTTTCCTTCTACCTTAGCGGAGAAGCACTTTCATGAGCTTCCATTTAAGATAGCAACTAATCTCATGATACGACCTGCAGAAACCTGTAGCAAGGGAGCCATTGGAACTGGTATTCAGTGGGATCTGTCAGAGCTCAGAGCTGGGAGGGCCAAATCCAGAAATCTGGCAGACAGTAAGTGGGCAAGAGGTCAAAACAGGGAAGGAGTTCATTAGCACATGCAAAGGCTTAGATTGAGCTTGGCTCAAAGTGCATGCCCTGTAAGTGCCCTTGTGGTGGCTGATGGCAAGGATGATGGTGTTATTTTGGCAGCCAGGATCTGGGTTTCAGGGACAGGATTTCTTAGTTTCTTAGAGCAGAGGTGACCAGACTGGGATTTGATGCTTTATCAAAATTTTTTGGGCAGGATGCGGTGGCTCACGCCTTTAATCCCAGCACTTTGGGAGGCCGAGGCAGGCAGATCACTTGAGGTCAGGATTTTGAAACCAGCCTGACCAACATGGAGAAACGCTGTCTCTACTAAAAATACAAAAATTAGCCAGGTGTGGTGGCGCACACATGTAATCCCAGCTACTCAGGAGGCTGAGGTAGGAGAATTGCTTGAACCTGGGAGGCAGAAGTTGCAGTGAACTGAGATTGTGCTACTGCACTCCAGCCTGGGTGACAGAGTGAGACTCCGTCTCAAAAAGAAAAAAAGAGAAAAAAATTTCCTCAAATCTGGGAACCAATATTGTCAACTTTAAATTTAGCCAAGTGAGGCAATTCCTTTTTTTCTTGGAGACACCATCTCTGTCACCCAGGCTGGAGTACAATGGCACAATCTCAGCTCACTGCAACCTTTACCTCCCAGGTTCAAGCGATTCTCCTGCCTTAGCCTCCCAAGTAGGTGGGATTACAGGTACGTGCCACCATGCCTGGCTAATTTTTGTGTTTTAGTAGAGATGGGGTATCAGTATGTTGGCCAGGCTGGTCTCGAACTCCTGACCTCAGGTGATCTATCCACCTTGGCTTCCCAAAAATACTAGGATTACAGGCATGAGCCACTCACTGCTCCCGACCTAGTGAGGCAATTCAAACAACCAAAAAAAGCCCTATCACCTCCCATCACCATGTCTTCATAAAAGAAAAGCCATCTTATCACCAAAAGTAAAACAGCCATCATATCAGAATTTAAACTAGAAACAAAAATTAACGTTATTAAAAGCTCACTTATGTTTTGTTGTTGTTGTTGTTTCCAGTTTGTAGCTGATGGACAAAAACTTTGTCATGGATCAGCGCTGATGGGTAGAGTTTAGGATGCATTCATGCCCAGGGCTCCTCTGCCCAGGCTTGGGGCTACCTTGTGGGGCTTGGTTGTGAGGACCATGGCCAAGGCTGGGTGGCCAGGGACGAAGTATCTGTCCTGGCCTGAGCACCTGTGCTGACCTAGCCCATCCACGCCATCACAGTGGGCACCTTTGCTGTCCTTCTGGGAATTCTCCCAGTCACTAGTGAGGGTGATAGCTTTCCCACTTCTGGCCCAACCTGCTCCCACTCCATTCCAGGGCCCCCTGGGTCATCTCCCACTTACAGCCCTCCTCTCGCCTTTGGGATCTGACACCTGAACTCGCTTTCTGCAGTTTGCCCTTTGGCATTCTTCAAGGGCTTTGGCTGATCCTGCCTTCTGGCTGCTCCTGCTCCTCCTGCCTGATCCCCACCTCTGGACCCCAGCCTGGGCTGTCCTCAACTGTCTGGAAACTACTCAGAATGTTAGATCTTGAATCACCTCTTGCAGCCACCACAGTGTGGACTCAATCCTTTTTCCATTCATGTTCTCCTGTTCTGCAACTGGGCTGAAATGACTGCATGGCGATGAGGGAGAGAAGACTGAGTCTCAAGTGGGGACGCAATTTGTGGAAAACAATAGGCCCCAGGGCAAGGAGCGAAATGGGCAATTAGCCCAGGTCTGTGTTGAAGTCAGTCTCTTGGACTTACCTGGAAGCTCTCTAAGGCAGGGATATATTCAGATCATCTTTTCATTTTTTTATTTCCTTCCTCCTCCCAACTCTCCATGTTCACCCCTCCCCAAAAAAACTAGTAAAGCTCATTTGCAATATATTTGTTGCTTTGAATTTTTTTTTTTATTTATTATTATTATTTTGAGACACAGTCTCACTCTGTCACCCAGGCTGGAGTGCAGTGGCACGATCTCGGCTCACTGCAAGCTCCGCTCCCCCCTCCCCCACACCTCCCTCAAAGAGGTTTCAGTGTGACAAGGAAGAGGTCACACACACCCAGGGAGCTAGAAGTAACGCAGAAAATACAGACTGCTTCAAGAAAAGTACGAAGGCTGGGCTAAACTGGTTTCACTTCCAAGTGATTGGGTGATGGCCCCTATGGGTCAGCCTGGCCTGAAAAAGAAATCTCCCCATTGGGGCTCCAGCTTGTCCCATTCAGCCCTTAACACAGCTCTGAGCTGAGGCAGGAGTCAGCATCACCAGCACTTTTTGTTTTACAGGGTTTTTTCCCTTCAATTCTCCATTTGTCTTGGTCTGCAGGTGCTCTTCTCCCTGACCCTCCTTTCATATTCATCCTAAATGACAAGACCTTTCCTTAAAAACAAGCATCTTCTCCTCCCATGGCAAGACAAGGCTGCCCTTTGTGTGTTGTTTTCATTAATTTGTTGATACTTGTTTTCAAGCTACATTTTATTGGACTTGTGCTTACTTTGCTGAAGCACAAAGGTTGTTTAAGCAGAAGGGCACAAGAAAGTGGAAAACTCCTGACCTCAAGTGATCCACCCACCTCGGCCTCCCAAAGTGCTGAGATTACAGGCGTGAGCCACCACACCCGATCACGGGTCTTCCTGCTTCTGTGATCACCTTCTCATAACCTTGAGACCACTGCACATTGATGAAGTTCAGTTAATCTACAATGACTGTAGCCATCTGAGTGACCCCAGGTGAGACCAATAGAACTGTCGAACTAGCCAACGCACAGCATTGTGAGAAACAATAAATCATTGTTTTAAGCCATTATGTTTTGTGGTGGTTTGTTACAAACACATAACTAAAACAACCTCAAAATCTGGATAATATGTTAGGGCCTGCCTGGAAAGCTGGCTGCCCCCCTGCTCTTCCTCGGCCCATCGTGGGAACTCTTGGCTATAAACAAATCTTCCCGGAGTGGATAAGTGGTCAGGATTTAAGGTGGTATTCTTCCCAGGTGCTCGTGCAACTTCAAAAAAATAAAATTCTAAGAATGGGATTTCAGGCCCTTATCAAGGACATATTTATGGCCAGGGACCCTCCTGCCTGCTCTTCAGAAACCACATCTTGGCTTCTTCCTTCAATAGCTTCCAGCCACCTGTTAAAGATCTGCCTTTCCCAGATGAGAAGGCAGGTCTAATTCAGAGGAGATTGAGCTGGTTGATAATGCAGAAGAAATTTCAAGGCGACTCTGAAGCACATCTAGGCTTCCTTGTAGCCAAACCAAACGAAATAATCTCAAACCCCAAAATATTACAGGAAAAAAAATAAAATCAAGTATTGCAAAGATGACAAAATGTTGGGTCGGGCATTATAGATCATGCATTATATATAGCAGTTACCTACAGATAGTAAAAAGTCACACCTGTAATCCCAGCACTTTGGGAGGCCGAGGCGGGTAGATCACTTACGGTCAGGAGTTTGAGACCAGCCTGGCCAACATGGTGAAACCCTTTCTTTACTAAAAATACAAAAATTAGCTGGGCATGGTGGCACGCGCCTGTAGTCCCAGCTACTGGGGAGGCTGAGGCAGGAGAATCACTTGAACCCAGAGGTGGAGGTTAAAGTGAGCCGAGATGGTGCCACTGCACTTCAGCCTGGGTAACAGAGTGGGACTCCATCTCAAAAAAAAAAAAAAAAAAAAAAAAAAAAGCAGATGGATTCCAATAGAATTTGACCTCTTCTGAGGTCTTTACATTGTTCTGAAAGGGTCTGTTTGTGTCCATTTCCCTAACTAGACTGTAAGTCTCTTGAAAACAGGGATCATATCATAAAGTATTCATTGGCTGGGCAAGGTGCCTCACACCTATAATCCCAGTATTTGGGAGGCCAATATGGGAGGATCAGTTGAAGCCAGGAGTTCGAGACCAGCCTGGGCAACAAAGTGAGACTGACTATTCTCTATTTTAAAAAAAGAAAAATTTTCATCTTTATGACTCTAGAGCCTAGCACATTAGCACAGGGCTTTGCACAGAGCTGGCACTCAATGAATGCTGTTGAGATAAAGCACAATTTAAGCCCAAAGAGCAGGGTGGGGAGCTTAGAAGTCAATAGGTCCTATGGTTTTGAAATTCTGAAAGATTTGAAATATCAGAGGAGGCAGGAGAGCAGGGGTCTAAGCCCATGGGAAGTGCTGGCCTAGTCTGGTGGGCTCTTGTCTCCCTCAGCCTCACCTCAGGCCAGGAGTTTGTGCCTTCACCTGGGACACTGGTGACGTCAAGGCAGCTGCGAATCCTGAGTGCAGTGCCACCCTGAGCTCCTGTGACCCAGCAACCTCTGCTCAGAGAGAGGAGCCTTTGCCTGGCTTTGGGCAAAATGGAACCTGTCTGTGCCTCAAACCTGGAGCTCTGAAGGCTGAGGACTTCCAACCCCTCAAGTGTACCAAGGCAAAGCAAACAGCTCAGAAGCAGCGCAGGGAGGTGGCACACCCCCAGACACTTGTCAGCTGTGCCGTCAACTCGTCATTCTCACTGATGGGTGCCTGCTCCCTCAAATCCTCCCTCCAGCATCCACCTTTGAGGCTGGGGTCCCGGGTGCTTCAGGGGCTCCCAGACCCCTGCTGGGTGAGTGTGGTGGCCCTGAGGAGTGTGTCTCCCTTTTCTACAACTCTAGCTCTGCCCTATACATCTGGGGACAGGGCCAAGAAAGGGGTCCGTTGAGTCAAATGGACCCAACAAGTCCTGGTCACGGCCTTTCCAACCAGAAGCACCTGCCTGGCCCCTGGAGACCTTGCTCCCTATCTCCAGGAGGAAGGAAAGCAGGGGAGAGGTGGAAAGAGGAAGGGGGTGGGGAAAGATTGCCTAACACACTTTCCCAGGTTCCCCCACTACCTACACAAGGTTCAGTCCTTATTTTGGTATGCAGAGCTCCTCCCAGGCTGAGCTCACCCACAATCGCAGCCTTATCTCTGCCTCTCCCTACTCTGACCTGACAACCATGGGAGTCTGCCTCACACTTGTGTAGGGGCTGAGTCTGGAATGTCATTTTCCTTTCCCTGCCCATGAAGCAACACTCTCCCTTCAAGGCTTCTTTAGGCTCTGCCCTGCCTTCCCCACCTCCCAGGCAAAGACAGCTTCCCAAAACCTCACAGCAACTGTTGCCCCTACCACGATCTGTCTGGTAATACAGCAGGATCACTCATTCATTCATTCACTCACTCATTCATTAAGTCCTGTATGAACCAGGCTCTGTGCTGGGGTCCCAGGATACTGCAAGGAACAAAGTAGACACAGATCCTATCCCTTTCGACTGCATTGCTCAGCGGTGGAGACAGCTACTGAATAAATAGCTGCATAGGAACTATGGGAGCAAAAAGCTGAGGGTTTGCTGTAATAGGACTGGGGCAGCTTCCCCTGAAGAAGGGAAATAAAAGCCAAATGCTAAGCTCACTAGGGATGAATGAGGTGAGAGGAGTAAGTGAGAGGCTGCAGGCAGGACTAGCAGAAGGCCCTGAAGTGGGAGGGAACCTGGTGTATTTGAGGAAGTAAGAGAGGGTGGAGGAAGGTTGGGCAAGCTCTGGCCTTCTGCTGGGTAGGCAGGCAGGCAGCAGATCCTCGAGGGTCTGTAGACTGCAGTGAGGGCTTTGGTCCTCACCCTAAAAGTCATGGGAGACACTGATAGGTTTACCCCAGTGGGTGCAGGGTGACGGGAACATGACTGATTTGCATTTTTTTTTTTTTTTGAGAAGGAGTCTCGCTCTATTGCCCAGGCTGGAGTGCAGTGGCACCATCTTGGCTCACTGCAACATCTGCCTCCCGGGTTCAAGCAATTCTCGTGCATCAGCCTCCTGAGTAGCTGGGACTACAGGCGTGCACCACCATACCTGGCTAATTTTTGTATTTTCAGTAGAGACAGGGTTTCACCATGTTGGCCAGGCTGGCCTCAAACTCCTAACCTCAAGTGATCCGCCCACCTCAGCCTCCCAAAGTGCTGGGATTACAGGCATGAGCCACCGCGCCTGGACTGCATTTTTTTTTTTTTTCTAATACAGAGTCTTCCTCTGTCTCCCAAGCTGGAGTGCAGTGGTGCGATCATAGCTCACTGAAGCCTCAAACCCCTGGGCTTAAGTGGTCCTCCTGCCTCAGCCTTCCAATTACCTGGAACTACAGGTGCACGCCACCACAGCTGGCTAATTTATTTATATATATATATATATATATATATATATATATATATATATATATATATATATTTTTTTTTTTTTTTTTTTTTTTTTTTTTTTTTGTAGAGACAGGATCCTGCTACGTTGCCTAGGCTTGATTTGCATTTTTAAAAGATCCATCCCTTGTTTGTGGGGTGGAGAAGGTGTTAGCAATGAAGGCAGGAGTCAAGGCAGGGAAACCAGTAGGCGGCTGGCGTGGTGGTCCAGGGAGGAGGTGCTCATGGCCTGCAGGGTGGCGAACGGACAAGATCAATAGGTAGGAGGTCAGGCGGATGGGTCCAGTGGCAGCTTGAAATTAGGGACAGAGTGAGCAAAAGGGGGTGTCTCAGAAGACTCCTGGGTTTCTGGCTTGGGAAGTGTCTGTCCCACTAGCCTGGGGCTTACTCAGCCTCCTATTCTCCTGCACCCAGTAGAGTAGTCCTGTGAGCGATGCTTATGGAATGGGAATCCAGACGCAGGGAAACAGGACAAAAGGGCTAACTCTCTATTAGGGAGTATGTTAGGATTGAATTAAAGCCATTTTAGCCAACCATTTACAGAGTTCTTATAATAAATAGGTATTTCAGAATGCACAAAAATCAGATCTCTGTTCACAGAAGAGGTCTAGTGAAAAAAAAAAAACAGATCTCTTCCAATGTGATAAATTAATGCTTTTGGAATGTAGGGCAGATAGGTGTGGTGTGTGCATTCTGTTCTCATTTTTGTGAGAGATAATAAAGGAAGCTTTTGGAAACAAACACTACATAAACAAAGAAGTGAGCCCCAAATATAAAGATGATATATGTATATATTCAAATTGTACAAAAAGTATGTATAATATATAAATATAATAAATGTTAAAATGTATTTAATATTTTATTTTAGGCCAGGTATGGTGGCTCACACCTATAATCTCAGCACTTTGGGAGACCAAGATGGGAGGATTGCTCGAGCCCAAGAGTTCAAACCAGCCTGAGCAATATAGAAAAAAAAAAAATTAGCCAGGCATGGAGGACTAGACTTACCTCTAGTCCCAGTTACTCACGAGGCTGAGGCAGGAGGATCACTTGAGTCCAGGAGACTGAGGCTGCAGTGAGCCATGATCATGCCACTGCACTCCAGCCTGGGTGACAGAGTGAGACCTTGTCTCAAAAACAAAAAACAAAACAAAAAACATTTCTTTTTAATTGCAAAGGTAACTGACCACTGTGGAAAATCCAAGCAACATATGAAGAGAGGAGTCAAAAGTGAAGTGTCCCTTCACTCACCCGCAGAGCTACACCTCGCTAAATGTAACTACTTTCTCCTATGCACCAAAACATGTTTTCTACTTTCTTTCTTTTTCTTTTTTTTTTTTTTTTTGAGACAGAGTCTCGGTCTGTCGCCCAGGCTGGAGTGCAGTGGTGCGATCTCAGCTCACTGCAAGCTCCCATTCCTGGGTTCACGCCATTCTCCCGCCTCATCCTCTCGAGTAGCTGGGACTACAGGCACCCACCACCACACCTGGCTAATTTTGTTTTTGTATTTTTAGTAGAGACGGGGTTTCACCGTGTTAGCCAGGATGGTCTCAATCTCCTGACCTCGTGATCCGCCCGCCTCGGCCTCCCAAAGTGTTGGGATTACAGGAGTGAGCCACTGCGCCTGGCCTACTTTTTTTCTTTTTAGAGGCAGGGTCTTGCTCTGTCACCTAGGCTGGAGTACAGTGGTGCAATCATACTTCACTGTAACCTTGAATTCCTGGGCTCAGTAGATCCTTCTACCTCAGCCACCCAAGTAGCTGTGACTGCAAGTGCACGCCACCACCCCTGTTTTTTGTTTGCTTGTTTTTGTTCTTACAATCTATCTAACCAGATGGATTAAAAAAAAATATTTGTAGAGACACGGCTTCATTGTGTTGCCCAGGCTGGTCTCGAACTCCTGGCCTCAAGCAATTCTCCCTCTCATCCTCCCCAAGGGCTGGATTGCAGGTATGAGCCACTGCACTCAGCCTACTTTTAATAAAGGTGAGATTACTCTTTTTCTGTGGCTTTCTTATCTTCCAAGGATATCATATCATGTGGTTAAGCCATAGGCTCTACAGCAAAATGGTTGAGGTTCAAATCTCAGCTCTGCCACTTACTGGCTGTGTGCTTTCATATGAGGCCCAGTGCATACCCCACTGTGCCTCAGTTCCCTCATCTATAAAATAGCATTAATTATGGTATCTTCTTCATAGGGTTTTTGTGAAGATTTAAATGTAAAGCAGGAAGAACAATACCTGGTACATAGTATCTTCTCCATCTATATGAATTCAACTCACCAACAGCCACAAAGTACAAGATACATCAAAATTATTCAACCATATTAAAAAATATTATTCTTCTAGGCCGAGTGCAGTGGCTCATGCCTGTAATCCCACCACTTTGGGAGGCTGGGGGAGGGGGGGTAGATCACCTGAAGTCAGGAGTTCGAGACCAGCCTGGCCAACATGATGAAATCCCGTCTCTACTAAAAATGCAAAAATTAGCCAGGCATGGTGGTACATGCCTGTAATCCCAGCTACTTGGGAGGCCGAGGCAGAAGAATTGCTTGAACCCAGGAGATGGAGGTTGCAGTGAGCTGAGATTGTGCCACTGCACTCCAGCTTGGGCAACAGAGCAAGACTCTGTCTAAAAAAAAATATATATATATATATAAAATATGTATATATTATATATATATA
The DNA here is from genome assembly GCF_000001405.40 of Homo sapiens. NCBI lineage: Eukaryota > Metazoa > Chordata > Mammalia > Primates > Hominidae > Homo > Homo sapiens. Next base: position 50,880,729 of record NC_000017.11, on the reverse strand, counting down.
ATATATAATATATAATATATATAATATATAATATATAATTTATATATTTATATATAAATTATATATAATTTATATATATTTATATGTATAAATATATATATAATATATATAAATTATATATTATTTATATATAATATATATATAATATATTTATATATAAATTATATATAATTTATATATATTCTTTTATATATATGAATATATATATTCTTATATATATATGAATATATATATATATATTTTTTCTTATTCTTATTATTTTGAGACAGGGTCTCGTTCTGTCACCCAGGCTGAGGGAAGTGGGGCAATCACAGCTCACTGTAGCCTTGACCTCTCGGGCTCAAGTGATCCTCCCACCTCAGCCTCTTATGATGTATACCTCATATTTCCTTTTCTTGTCTTATTAAAATGGCTAGTTACTCCAGGCTTGTTTAATAATGGCAATGGTACCAACCCTGTTTGTCTCAATACTGACTAATGGCAATGGTATCAACCCTGCTTGTCTCAATACTGACTTTAAGATGTTTCTAGGCCAGGCACAGTGGCTCACGCCCGTAATCCCAGCACTTTGGGAGGCAGAGGTGGGCAGATTACTTGAGGTCAGGAGTTCGAGACCAGCCTGGCCAACATGGTGAAACCCCATCTCTACTAAAATACAAAAATTAGCCAGCCATTTTGGCAGGCACCTGTAATCCCAGCTACTTGGGAGGCTGAGGCAAGAGAATTGCCTGAACCTGTGAGGTGGAGGCTGCAGTGAGCCGAGATCACAACACTGCACTCCAGCCTGGGCGATAGAGTGAGAATCTGTCTCAAAAAAAAAAAAAAAAGTTTCTAACACTTCCCCATTAGTACAACCTTTGCTGTAGGTTTCTGATGGATACTTTATCAAGTTAAAGACATGTCATTCTCTATTTCAAAACAAAAAAAGAGTTTTGTTTTTAATCATGAAAGAGTATTAGATTTCGTTAAATGCTTTTTTGGTTGCATCAGTTGAAAAGGTCATTGCTCCCTTTTGGTTTATTAATATAGTGAATTGCATTAACAGATATCCTAATGTTGAGCCATCCTTGCATTATACTTTTAATACACTCATCCAATTCGCTAATATTTCATTTAGGATTTTAAAATCTGTATTCATAAGCAAATTTAGGCTTTCGTTATTGATTGATTGGTTGATTGATTGAGACCGGGTCTCATTTTTTTACCTAGGCTGAAGTGCAATGGTGTGATCTTGGCTCACTGCAACCTTGACCTTCCAGGTTCAAGTGATCCTCCTGCCTCAGCTCCCCAAGTAGCTGGGACTACAGGTGCACACCACCACATCCAGCCAATTTTTGTGTTTTTTTTTTTCTAGAGACAGGGTTTTGCTATGTTGCCTAGGCTGGTCTCAAACTCCTGAGCTCAAGCCATGTGCCTGTCTCGGCCTCCCAAAGTGCTAGGATTATAGGCGTGAGCCACCGTGCCTGGTTTTATCTTCTGTTGTTGTTGCTCAAATCATTGTCCACTTTGGTATCCATGTTATACCAACTCGTAGAGTGAGTTTATAAGAACTTCAAGACCTTCATGCTTCCCTAAGCTCTGAAAATTCAAATACAGGAATTTTTTTGGCAGAGCTTACCGTAAAACCACCTTGGCTTTGTGTCTTTTTTGGAGGTAGATCTTAAACCAGTTTTTTTCCATTGTTGGTGGTCTATTTAGGTTTGATACTATTTCTTAAATCAATTTAGATGATTTACATTTTCCTTAAGGATTGTAAATTTAATGTAGTTGTACATAGTATGCTCTTAATCATTTAATAAGCTCTGTTTGGTTTTTTTAGTTTTTAAAAATTTTTGTAAAGGCGGGGTCACACCATGTTGCCCAGGCTGGTCTCGAAGTCCTGGGCCCAAGCGATCCTCCTGCCTTAACCTTCCAGTGTTGTGATCACACCATTGCACTCCAGCCTGGGCATAGGGTGAGACCCTGTCTGAAAAAAAAAATGCAAGTAAAGAGATGTTTTGCTATATTTGTTGTTAATTTCTAGCTTTAATGATCTATGAACAGTATAGGTCATAAGGTTTTTATTTGGGGGAATTTATGTAAATTTTCTTGGTTACATATTACACAGGCAATTTTAAAACTAGTCCATGGGTTGTTGAAAAGAATGTCTATATGTGGAAAGTCCTATAAGAACACCGATATCTACCAAGTCAAGTTTATTAATTATGTTAGCCAAAACTTTAATTATTACTTAACTGATACATCAATTTTTTCTTCTCTGAGTTCTTTAGTTATTTCCTTCCCCTTGGTCTCTCCATTCTTAGTTTCTGGAATCCCTGTGTTGGTCAACATCGAATCTCTTGGAGCTAGTTTACATGTCATTTAACATTTTTTGATTTTAACCATATTGAGAATAGAAGGATAATGATTTGGCTTTAGAATCCAAATGCCACTGAGTATGTGAAATCAGCTGGCAATTGATTGTGTAAGTACCACTCAAATGATAACATTTAACAGGTTAATAAAACAGCACAAATTGGGGAAAACTCATTGGGATGCAAATGATCAAATAGCAGAATGCTGAACTTTATGAAAAGTCAGTTCAGTCAAATATTTACTAAGCATTCTGTGGATGGTGTAGGCACAGGGCAGTAGAAGCTACTGGCCTGCTCTCATGACAATGCAGGCCTCTTGGAGAGACAGGACACACACCCATGCAATACAGTTATGCAACATGGCATAAATTATTTGACCAGTGGGAGATGGGAACCAATGGATGAATTCTCCCCTTTCTTTTCTCACATAAAGGGATACAGTTTATAGGGCTTCTTGGAGGACTAATCCATGGAATCAAGCAATTTTACTTAACAGCAATTGGTTTAATAACGCAACCTGAAATAGGTTCTCCTCCTTTGCTGTTTTACTCTCTTTGCCCCTCTCTCCTGCTTCCTGGGATTTCACTCCCTCTTAAAGTGGTAGCAAACTGAGGTTAGGAGTTCGACACCAGCCTGGCCAACATGGTGAAACCCCGTCTCTTCTAAATATACAAAAATTAGCTGGGCGTGGTGGCAGGAACCTGTAATCCCAGCCACTAGGGAGGCTGAGGCAGGAGAATCCCTTGAACCTGGGAGGCGGAGGTTGCAGTAAGCTGAGATCATACCACTGCACTCCAGCCTGGTTGAGGACAGAGTAAGACTCCATCTCAAAAAAAATAAAATAAAATAAGGCCAGGCGCAGTGGCTCTCACCTGTAATCCGAGCACTTTGGGAGGCCAAGGCAGGTGGATCGCCTGAGATCGGGAGTTCAAGACCAGCCTGACCAACATGGCAAAACCCTATCTCTACTAAAAATACAAAATTAGCTGGGGTGGTGGCACGCGACTATAATCCCAGCTACTCAGGAGGCTGAGGCAGGAGAATCGCTTGAACCCGGGAGGCGGAGGTTGCAGTGAGCTGAGATAGCACGATTGCACTCCAGCCTGGGCGACAGAGCGAAATAAATAAATAAATAAATAAATAAATAAATAAATAAATAAAAATAAAAAATAAAGTGGTAGCGCAAAGCCCTTTGCCTTGGGCTCTGCTTGTTTAGGAACCTATGCTAAGACAGCCTGTAGCTGAAAGTCCAGGTAAAGTTGATTCAAGGGCTGCTCAAAAGGCTGTTTCCAGGACTTGGTTTTTCTTGGTTTTACCTGGGTTAGCTACATTCTCTGACAGGCTCTCTCCTTTTGGTACTAAGATGGCCCTGGGAGCCTCAACAATGAATACTTCCAGGTTCATATTTCATGGGAAAGAGTCCTTATCCCAAGACCTCAGACAGAAGTCCCAGAATTGAGTTATTGGCTCTGATCAGCCATCCCTAAACCCATCACAGTAGTTAGGAGAATGTGATGCTTTCGCTGGCTTTTGCCTTGTCAAGAGTCTCACTGGAAGCTCCTGGATGAAGGGTGGGAGAGGTATAGGTTCTCACACAAAAATCGCAAGTCTCACTAGAAGCTCCTGGATGAAGGGTGGGAGAGGTATAGGTTCTCACACAAAAATCGCAACTGTTGCTGGAAGAAAGGGGAACAGATGTTGTCTAGGCTAACAACAAGGAAAGGTGGAAGTAATCAACCCTCCTGGTACCACAGTAGAATTTTCTACAGAAAGGTTTTAGTTTTTTCAGAAACCGTAAGTTTTTTTTACTTAATACCTTGCCACATAATCTTTTATTTTTTCTTTTCTTTTCTTTTTCTTTTTTTTTTTTTTTGTGACAGAGTCTCGTTCTGTCACCCAGGCTGTAGTGCAGTGGCATGATCTCGGCTCTCTGCAACCTCCATCTCCTGGGTTCAAGCAATTCTCATGCCTCAGCCTCCCAAGTAGCTGGAACTACAGGCACGCACCACAACAGCTGGCTACTTTTTGTATTTTTAGTAGAGATGGGATTTTACCATCTTGGCCAGGCTGGTCTCAAACTCCTGGCCTCAAGTGATTCATCCACCTCAGGCTCCCAAATTGTTGGGATGACAGGCCTGAGCCACCGCGCCCGGCCAAAACTTTTCCTTTTGTTCCCAAGTGGATAGAAGTATTGGTCTCCAGGTGGGGTCTGTATCTTCCTTAAAAGACAGTAAGTATTTCTTCTTCAGAACAACCAAACAATTGAAGAATATTCCATTGGGTGATAAAACTACGTCTAGCAATTGAACACACATTGGCAGGGCAATTCCTAAGTATCAAGTAATGTACTATGCTCTGGGGCATTTAGAGATAAATAAAATGTGCTCCAAACAGAATTCCAATAATGTCATTTCCCAACTGAAAAATCACCCAACATCTTCCCGTCTGTTAAAGGCAAAATTCCAGATTTCCTCCCTTGGTAATCTGGCCTCTGCCTACCAACCAGCCTCCTCTCTAGATTCTCACCTCTGAACCATCCACAGCAGCCACTCTGAGCCACTTACCCTTCCTCAAATATTCTGTGTTCTTTCATTGGATTAAGCAGCGACCTAGCAAAGCCATCAGTCAATACTGATTGACTGCAAGGCACTATAAAGCTCGTGTAAAGGTACATGCTTTCTGCTCTTAAAAAGCTTGGAATCCAACAAAGGCTAGGACATAAACACACGGAAGGCTAAATAAACTAATAATTAAATAATAATATAAAACATCAAGCCATGGGATTCTGAGAGGTTTTTTGAAGGTGAAAAGGACTGAGTTGGCAACACTGTATCTGACAGAAGAGAGTGTTAATAATACTTGTTTGTAGTTTAAAAGCAATTTCACATGTATTTTTACTTGAGCTGAATCAAATGGTACTTGAATTTCTGCCAGATGTAAGAAGCAGAGAAGGAAGAGAAGGAGGAGAGGAGGAGGAGAAAGTAGGGAAGGAGGGGAAGAGGGAGGGGGAGAGGAAGGAAGAAAATATTCACATTTATGGGGGGCTTGACGGTTCATAGAGCGTTTTCACAGGTGTCACCTCAATTGATTCTCACACAACTCTGAGGGTAATTATTGCTTCTAATTATTTATAAGATGAGGGCTGAGACTCAGAGTAGCCATACCCAACTAATACCAGGTGGCAAGACCCAAACACAAATTCTCTAATTTTGAATTCATAATTTTTCTTCTCTGCTCCACTGCAGCTGAGATAGGAAGTGGGGGCCATGTTAGGATATCCAATGTTAATACAATGGGCAAAGTCTTAAAAGTCAAAAGGAAATATTTGAAGTAGTTATTAGTAAACAGTGTGAAATGTGACAGAAAGGTCAAGAAGACAGAGGCCTAAGTAAAAATGATTAGAACTGTTTTTGTTTGTTTGTTTGTTTTTGAGAAAAGGTCTTGCTCTGTCACCCAGGCTGGAGTGCTATGGAATGATCACTTGCCGCTTGGAACTCCTGGGCTCAAGGGATACTCCCACCTCAAACCTCCTTAGTAGCTGGGACTACGGGTGCTTGCCACTACACCCTACTAATATTTTTATTTTTTTTGTAGAGACAGGGGTCTCGCTATGTTGCCCAGGCTGGTCTCAACCTCATGGCCTCAAATGATCCTCTCTCCCATCTCAGCCTCCCAAAGTGCTAGGCTTATAGGTACCACTGTACCTGGCTTGCTTTTTTTTTTTTTTTAAGCATTTATGGATAACCCAGGAGTTAGTCAGGACCTTATAAAGTGAAACAGTAGATTGAAAAGCAAGGTTCTAGGCATCAAAATCACATGTTTAAAATGTTTGGGCAAGTTCTAGAGTGAGGTTTATGACCAGGATCCTCTTCAGCCACGTATCTGTACACAATATGCAAGATACTCATACAAATTGAAGCAAAACACAAAGACCTCTAAGAGAAACATGGAGAAAAGGCATAGATAAAAAATTTATAAAAACAGTAGTACAACGAGCTGACAAACATGTCAAACTCTATTCATCCTACATGTAATCAAAGAAATAAAAATTAAACAACAGATATCATTTTACCTACCAAATTAGCCAAGGATAGAAAAAAATTTTTTAGTAGGCAACGCTGGCTAAAAATGTAGTGATTTTGCAGTGCGTATCCTCTGGGAAGGTAAAAAAGTACAATCTCTCTGGAAGGTGGATTGTCATTATGTTACCAGCCTTAAAAAATATTCCTTCTCTTCCACTCGCTAAGTTTGCTTATAGAATCTAGCTCAGGGAAATAGAGAGGTAGCTAAAGATTTACATATAAAAATGCCTGTTAAATATGTTTGTTTTTAATACAGAAACATTTTCAACAACTTAGATGCCCAGCGATGGTTAAATAAATTATTCTAAATCCATAGAGTAGAATATAATATGCAGTCATTAAAAATGATGATTGTGACAAATGCTTAATGTCAGGAGAAAATAGGAAAAATGTAATGTTAAGTGAACTGCAGGATAGAAAATTGCGTGTGTGATAGAAACTCATTCAGAAAGAAATGGAGCAAGATGGTTAGCACTGCATGGAGAGATTAAAGATGATTGCTATTTTCTTCTTTATTTCTATGTGTTCCAAATTTGCTATAATGAGCATTTCCAGGTTTTATAATGAGAAAGAAGCCCTGATATTTTAGATTAGAGGAAAAATTTATTTTGGCTTTTTTGAAAATCAAGTTCAGGTTTCCTTAAAAGATGTAAAATTAGTGTTTTTGCTGGAAATACTTCAGCTGCAAGTCATGGAACACTTAATGTCGGTTAAAAAGTGGACCAGACCTAGGCAGTGACTAGCATTGGTGAGAACCCCTGTCCCTGTGATTAACTTGCGTTTTATTCATGGTTTATTCAGTAGGAGCTGCTGCAGCTCCTGCCATGAGATCCATGTTCAAGGCAGGAAGAAGAGAGAAGTGACCCAGTGGTGATTTTTAAAAATGGCCTCAAATTCTTTGACACTCCTCCATGAGAGGTGGTGGTTATGTCCCCTCCCCTTGAATCTGGCTGGTGGTTACTTTGACCATTAGGGTGTAATGGAAGTGGTGCATTGTGACTTATGAGACTGGGTCATAAAAGGCCATGCAGCTTCCTTGGTGGCAGCTTCCATGGTGGCAGCTTCCATGGTGGCCAGGCATGGTAGCTCATGCCTGTAATCCCACTGCTTTGGGAGGCCAAGGCAGGAGGATTGTTTGAGGCCAGGAGTTTGAGACCAGCCTGGGCAACACAGCAAGACCCTATCTCTAGAAAAAACTTGAAAAAAATGGTTTTAATTTTTAAAAAGTTCACTCTCCAGAAACTGCTCTGCTTCCTCTCAACTGCCACGCTGTAAGAAGCCCAAACCACAGGGGAAATTCAGAGGCCATGTGGAAACGCTCCAAACAACAGTGCCAACTAAGCCCAGCCCTTGAGTCACTGCAGCCCAGGTGCTAGACATGTGCTTTGAAAAAGCTTCCAGGTCCATGCTGTCCAATTCAGAAGCTGCTGTCCACATGTGATTATTTAAATCTAAATTTCATTAAAACTAAATTAAAGTAAAAATTCAGTTCCTCAGTCACACTGGCCACATTTCAAGTGCTCAAGAGCCGCATGTGGCTATTATATTTGACAGCACGGATATGGCATATTCCCATCACTGGAGGAAGTTCTGTTAGACCTGCTTCAGATGATACTTGAGCATTTGAGCCTTTCCAGCTGAGGTTCCAGACACTATGGAGCAGTGATAAGCTATCCATCCCCTTGTGCCCTGTCTGAATTTTTTTTTTTTTTTAAGACGGAATCTCTCTCTGTCACCCAGGCTGGAGTGCAGTGATGCTATCTTGGCTCACTGCAACCTTTGCCTCCTGGGTTCAAGTCATTCTCCTGCCTCAGCTTCCTGAGTAGCTGGGATTACAGGCACAAACCACCATGCCTGGCTAATTTTTTTGTATTTTTAGTAGAGAGGGGGTTTTGCTATGTTGGCCAGGCTGGTCTCGAACTCCTAACCTCAAGTGGTCCGCCCTCCTTGGCCTCCCAAAGTGCTGGGATTACAGGTGTGAGCCACCAGGCCAAGCCTGAATTTCTTACCTACAGGATCCAAGGGTATAATAAAATTGACCTTTTGTGCCACAGTAAATGCGTGTTTTGGATAGTTTTTCATGCAGCAATAGTAACTAGAACAAACCTCTCTGATAGGAAAAGCATAGCACCCTCAGAAACCATCCCAGCTGACTTCTGTTTACATCTTATCTGCAGAACAGTGTCACAGTGCCACCTCTACTGCAATGAAGCCTGGGAAAACATGCATTTAGCTCTTCTAGCCTCTTTAGTCAGGAAGAAAAGGGAATGAGGATGGGGCATGGGAAACGGGTGAGCTGGCAACAGTGTCTGCCACAATTGGTTATATATATAAAATCACATTCTATTTTAGTAAGCAGAGCTGCATAATAACATATGCAACCCATGCTTTAAATGTATTTAAAGTACTCTAATAACATTTGCTCTCAGAGTACTTTATATAAATGTTCTTTGTACTTAGAATGTCATGAACACCGTATCACTCCTAGAACCCGCACTATAATCTCTTTACTGAAATCAAAATCTTCCTCCTCGGCTAATGGAAAGAAATTGCAAGATTTGGTTTGGATTTTGTTCATCAAGATAATAGAAAGTGAGCAAATTATAAGGAAACATTCTCCTATCAGACCACGTTGCTTTAGTAGGCTTGTTCAACATTATCTAGTTATCTTTTAATTACAAATGTCTGTGTGCCAGTGTCTTCTGGAGACTATATAGCCCTCCACTACAAACCCATGTGAAAAGCCACAGGAAACCACACTGAGGTTTCCTCAGACGTAACTGGATTGCCTTTTTTTGAGAAATGTTTAGAAGAGAACTGGTTTACTTGGTTTTCAATAACTCAATGACTAGAGCATGATTTAAAAAATTAATTTTAGGCCAGGCATAGTGGCTCACGCCTGTAATCCCTGCAGTTCAAGACCAGCCTGGCCAACACGGTGAAACCCTGTCTCTACAAAAATACAAAAATTAGCTGGGCATGATAGCGGGTGCCTGTAATCCCAGCTACTCGGGAGGCTGAGGTGGAAGAATCACTTGAACCCGGGAGGCTGCAGTGAGCTGCACTCCAGCCTGGGCGCAGAGCGAGACTCTGTCTCAAAAAAAATTAATAATAATTTTAAAATGTGTGTGCTATGATTTATGTTGCATGACCGTTTAAAAAGAAATAAATAAAAATCACAATAAGAACATTATGGGGTTTTTTTGTTGTTGTTAGTTTGAGACAAGGCCTCCCTCTGTTGCTCAGGCTGGAGTGCAGTGGCACGATCACTGCTCACTGCAGCCTCGACCTCCTGGTCTCAAGAGATCCTCCTGCCTCGGCCTTCCAAGTAGCTGGAACTACAGGTGTGCGCCACCACGCCCGGCTAATTTTTAAAAAATAAAAGAAAATAAAATAGAAACGGCCTCGCTATGCTGTATAGGCTGGTCTCCACCTCCTTGTCTCAAGAGATTCTCCCACCTCAGCCTTCCAAGTAGCTGGGACTACAGGTGTGCATCACCACTCCCGCCTTTTTTTTTTTTTTAAATAAAATAGAGATAGGGGTCTCACTGTGTTGCATAGGCTGATCTCGAACTCCTCGGCTCAAGGGATCCTCCCGCCTCAAGCCTCCTAAAATGCTGGCATTACGAGCATGTGAGCCACCTTGCCCTGCCTGTCTTATTTTCAAATAAAGGTAAAAGGTTGATTCCTTAGAAGTGAAATGAGTCGGCCGGGTGCGGTGGCTCATGCCTGTAATCCCAACACTTTGGGAGGCCGAGGCGGGCGGATCACGAGGTCAAGAGATAGAGACCATCCTGGCCAACATGGTGAAACCCCATCTCTACTAAAAATACAAAAGTTAGCTGGGAGTGGTGGCGCATGCCTGTAGTCCCAGCTACTTGGGAGGCTGAGGCAGGAGAATCACTTGAACCCGGAAGGCAGAGGTTGCAGTGAGCCAAGACTGTGCCACTGCACTCCAGCCTGGCGACAGAGTGAGACTCTGTCTCAAAAAAAAAAAAAAAAAAAAAAAAGAAGTAAAATGAGTATTAATAATTATACACCATGTGATAGCTATTCTCCTGTAACCCTTTCTCAATTTACAAGGAAGCATATTAAGAATTAGAAAACTTAGGATGTCTCTATCTCAGAAATCAAGGTGTTGCATGTGTGTGTTCTTGTGTGGATTAGGTAATAATTCAAGGCACTTTCAAGAACTGTATTTTATGAAGATATTGGAAGTTATTTTTTACCAAACGATTACCTTTATTGTAAGGGCCCACTGGGAATTGTGTAGAATGTAGGGATGTGAAAGGCAAAGGCTGTAGTTTCTAGTGACTGTTATTTGCTCAGAGAGAGGAATACCTCTTGATTGTGATACACTTGGAGCCTAATATCAAATTCTTTTTTCCTCCATAAGTCTAATTCCCTGCACAATTAGCAGTTAGCCCTCCACTCCCCTGCACAATTCCAAAGTAAATGTTAGATAATAATAAGCCATATGCAGAACTTGGATAAAGAACATTTTATACCTCGTGACTGGCAATGTTCAGAGATGTGAATCAGTTTTCCCTTTTATTTGCAATCCATATATATGTATTTTTTTTCTTTTTTGAAACGAAGTTTTGCTCCTGTTGCCTAGGCTGGAGTGCAATGGCGCGATCCCAGCTCACCGCAACCTCCGCCTCCCGGGTTCAAGTGATTCTCCTGCCTCAGCCTCCCGAGTAGCTGGGATTACAGGCATGCGCCACCATGCCAGGCTAATTTTGTATTTTTAGTAGAGACAGGGTTTCTCCATGTTGGTCAAGCTGATCTCGAGCTCCCGACCTCAGATGATCCACCCACCTTGGCCTCCCAAAGTACTGGGATTACAGGCGAGAGCCACCGCGCCCTGACTTGCAATCTGTATTTGAAGAACAGCTGCAGTATATATGTTAGGAACATTGAGTTTTAAGGGCGGAATATTTTATTTATTTATTTTTTTGAGAGAGAGTCTCGCTCTGTCGGCCAGCAGGAGTGCAGTGGCACGATCGCGGCGCACTGCAACCTCCATCTCCCAGGCTCAAGCAATTCTCCTGCCTCAGCCTCCCAAGTAGCTGGGATTACAGGCGTGTGCCACTACACCCGGCTAATTTTTGTATTTTCAGTAGAGACGGGGTTTCACCGTGTTGGCCAGGCTGGTCTCAAATTCCTGAGCTCAGGTAATCTGCCTGCCTCAGCCTCCCAAAGTGCTGGGATTACAGGCGTAAGCCACTGCTCCCAGCCAAGTGTGGAATTTTTTTTTAATTGAAGGAGACATTAGATATGATCTAATTCAACCCTTTTTATAGGTGAGAAAACTAAAAGTTTATTGAAACTGGTGTGAAACTCAGACCTCCCAGTACCCACCCTTCATTGCTTTTTCCAGTATGCCATGGGGCCTCCGTGTGTGTTGTTTGTGTGGTGTGTGTGTGTGTGTTTATATTTGGTCAGACATCTTCTTACACTCCTAGGCCAAGCAGCAATAACTCATAAATTTTTGACATCTACATTTCTGACTTAAAAATGCTTTTAATGCTACTGATATTTAATCAGTACCTATCAGATGACTGCTCTCATATTTCAAATCTGGAATTACAGATTGAAGACATTCAGAAAAGAGAACTTGTCCCTTCTCTTTAGAGAATTATTGAAAAGTACAGATAAGTTTGACAAAATTACAATTCATCTATCTTTAGACATTTTAGTCTCAGCCATGCCTAATATGCCCCCCCAATATAAAATTACTAATCAAGACACATGGTCCCGCAGTTCTAGATGTTTGGTACAGTACCATTATTTGCCTAATGGTAAAAGAAGTTGTGCTTCTAGAACACGTGAAAAATGAAGTGTTTCTTTTGGTAAGGCATTCCAAGGATATCCTGTCTAGTTTCTTGAAATTTCTGTGCTTAATTAGAAAACTAAAAATAACTCACTTTTATTACAGATGGACTTGTCATTACAGAAAACCAAAAACAAACAAATAAAAAAAGAAAACTGAACAAATCATTTATATTTGACGCTTTGATGACATTTCAATGCAGAGGAAGGGACATTTTAATTTAAATGCTTTCACAGTTTTGCCATACTTTCACATTTCAATTCCACTCCTGTTTGCAACTAAAAAACCCAAACACTCAAAAAAAAAAAAAAATCACATTAATCAGAATTTAAGGAGTCACTTAGTAAAACTATGTTTTAGGAATCTGTACAATAAACATGAAATCAGTCACCTGACCACTCCCCACCCTCAGCCCATTCCACAAACCCATCTTCCCACCCCTTCTCCTACGCATTGAGCCTTCAGAAATACCCTTTCTCAGTGCGGTTCCTTCTAAAAAGGAGAGGCGGGAGAGTCAGGGTGGAGAAGGCGGCTCCAACCAGATTTTGCGTCCACAAAGCCAAAAGCTTCTAGGCCTGGCATGTACGGCGGGTTTGTGCCCGAGGAGCACAGCTGGTCTACACGGGCCCGCCCCGTAGACACCCTACTCCTCGGTGAGCTGCGGTTTAACTTCCTTATAGCAGGTTGAGAGTGCAGGCCCCAACGTTTGGAGGGGAAGGCGGCGCCCCAACTGGTGTTTTTCCAGGAAGTGCTCCAAGAATGGAGAGGAGAGGGGAAAGGGGAAAGGGGAAGGCCAGGCGATGGGCGTTTCATTCATTGCTTCTTTCTCCCCGTCCCCTCCTTCGCTCCCCCCAGACTTTCCCCTTTTCCCAGTCCGAGTTTGACGTCGGTCTCCTGGATACCAGGCAGCCAATCGCCTCGTTGCGAAGGGACCAGCGCAGCCAATCAGGCGTCGTTGCTACCTGTGAGTAATATTTTTAGCTGAGAGGGACGCTCGATTCCACTCCCGATGTAATTTCGTGTATTTCTCTGGGGCAGGTTGTGAAAAAGGCACTTACCCGCCCCCCACCACGAGTCCCTCTCTTACCCCACTCCCTAGGTACCCGCACATATTTCAGCCAAGAATGATCTTAAACGCGCTTTACAAGCAGGCACCGCGTTTATTCTGTGCACCTGCGATCCAGCAAGCCCTAGAAATGCACGCATGCGTGTGTGTGTAGACATGGACACAGATACATACGCAGTTTGGCCTCGTGTCGCCACACTCTGGGCACGGCGTGGGCTGGGACATTTGGAATAAACGGATCCGAGTCGCAGCCGGGGTCGCACCGGGAGGCCTGAGGCTGCGGAAGCAGTTAAACTGCCGGCGGGGCGGGAGCTGTGGCGGCCTCCCTTCCCCACCCCCAGCCCGGCTCCACGTCTTTGGGTTCTGCAGCTGCCACTCTCTGGGTGGCGGTTGGCCTAGGCCTTGGGGTGATTAATATTCAATTAATCGGGTGCACAAGTCCCGGTCACAGTTTGCCCTTTCTCTACCCCGCCCCTGGGGTGGGCTGGAGGCCGATTTGGTAGCTATTCCACGAGCAGGATCCTCCTTGGCCGCAGACCCCCGCGGAGAGGGCACTTTCTGGGTACTCTTGCCGCTCCTCCAGCCCCGGTTCTCCTGAGCCGCTTCGCCACCAGCTTCGTCCCCCTCCCCCTCTGCCCGGCGCTCTCCGCCTAAACCGGGCGTCAGCCGCCCTACCCCACCCCTTTCTCTCTCATTGGCACGTCTGCCCCCACAGTCCCTTTCCAGACGTTCTCTTCATTCCGTCCCCAGTGCTCCGATCGTCGGTTCATTGGCCCTCCTGGAGCCCGGAGGGTGCGGCTTCCCCACCCCTGCGTCCGCCGCGCGTCCGGACAGGGGCAGGCGGGACTTGGCCAATGGCGTCGGGGGGCAGGGCAGGGGCGGAGCCGGCCGGCGGGGGACCGGGGTGCCGGGCGGGGAGCGCGGGGAATGGCTGCGCCGCCGGAGCTGTGTGACGCGGAGCGGGCGCGCGCACCCCGACGGAGGGGATGGGGGCGGGGAGGAGGCCATAAAACGAGAGGCGGGGCGCGCGCCGCGGCAGAAGGAGCGAAGCTCTGGCCCGGCGTGTAGCGGGCGCACTACGGGGACGCTGGGCCGGGCACCGGGCTGTGTGGAGAAGTGAGCGCGCTCGTCTGACCCCCGTGCCCGCCACCCCGAGCCACTAACGGCGATCTCCCAAGGCCTGCCCGAGGCCTCTGTCCTCTGTCCTCAGCCCCGCAGCGGCAACGTCTTGCACTCGGCGAGCTCGCCGCTCCCGACCCTCCCGCGCCCCCGCCCTGCCGCGCTGCTCCCCGCCCAGCCGCGGGTCTGTGGTCCAAGCCGCCCCGAAGCAGCCCGTAAGTATCTCGGGGCGCCGGGCGGGGTCGGCGAGGAGACGGGAGCCCCGGGCCCAGGCGGCGGAGGAGGGGCTGCAGCGGCGTCGAGCCCTGGGCCCTCGGGAGCTCGGGGACGGCGGGGTCGCGGCCCTGGGCGCCGAGGGGGCAGCGCCAGGACCCGAGGGGAGCGGCTCCGAGGGGCCGCCGGCGCGTCGGGCTCGTCCTGGGCAGTTGGCCGGGGACGGGCGGCCCGGGGCGAGCTGACGGGAATTGGGGGGTTGGGGTGCCCGGAGGAGCGACGAGCTCGCGGTGGAACGCTGGGGTTCGAGGGGCCGGTGGCCGCGAGGCTGAAAATGGTGCCGAGGAACCGGTGCTCCCCCAGGCTCTGGCCGGCTCCCAGGAGCCCGGGGCGGGGGCCACGGGGCGGGGAGCAGCGGGTCGGGTTACGGCGGGGGAGGGGAGCGGCTGACCCGGCGCCCCGACCTGCTCGGTGCTGGGTGCCCAGCCGGGAGAGGTTGCTCTTCCATTTCCCGGGCCTTCCTCCTCCTTCTCCGAGGAGGCTCGTACTCTCTTCCTCCTCCACCTCCACCTCCTCTTGCTGTTGCTGCTGCTGTAGCGCTTGGGCTCCGAGGGCTGTGAGCAGAAATCTAATGAGATCTAACTGGCTGTTTATGTAATTCTTCACACTCCTGCCTGTCTTAAGGCGTTGCTTTGTAACTACCTTCCACCGAGCCTGAATTTCGCTCGGCTGCACCTTCAAGCAATTGGGCTTAATCAGCTGCCTCTGCCGGCACTCAGGCTTTTGACTTGGAAAGTGTTTGTAGTTTGGGGGCAGCCAGAGATTCTTTTTCCCTTTGTCACCACGAATATGGAAAATAGAACAGACGAATTAAGACCAACTTGATTTTTAAACGTACTTTTAAATCAACTTCAGTGTGCAAATAGATCCCTTTCGCAAATATCTTCTGTTTGCCCTTGATCTTTTCTTATCCCCACCCAGTGCTGATCCAGCAAACGTTTAAAGGTCGACCTTACCATACTTGCCTCTCCGGCTGTTACCGTGAGAGGGAGGGAGGGAGAGAGGGACAGACGGAGGTTTTTTAAAATCAGACTAAAACTCAGAAACCCTGGCCTTAAACAGAATAATCAATAGTTTTAATTTGTGTCTTTGCTTTTGTTATACTTGCTGCCGAATAGGTATTTTCAGATTTAGAAAAATACACATTGAAAACAAAAGGCCCAGAGAAGCTGGATTTTATTATATTGTATGCTCTTAGTATACTTAAGGCCGAAACTATATAGAATAATTTGGTTCATAATTATTTACTAGGATGAAGTTCATTTAGTACTCAGTGTCTTTAATTTTAGCATCATGTACTATGGAAATTAAAATGATCTTCCTAACGTAACCAAATTTTTAAATGTCAGTGACAGAGCAGATTTAAACAGTATATATCCAAAGTAAACTAAAACATGGATTCACTTCTAAGTTGGTGAATAACAATAAAAATTACTACCTAAAAGTGGCATCTATATATATGGGGGTGGGGGGAGGATGCTGAGTACAATAAATATTCTTGTGAGAACTGAGGAG
The DNA here is from genome assembly GCF_000001405.40 of Homo sapiens. Lineage (NCBI taxonomy): Eukaryota > Metazoa > Chordata > Mammalia > Primates > Hominidae > Homo > Homo sapiens. Next base: position 50,864,484 of record NC_000017.11, on the reverse strand, counting down.
AGAAGAATGCATGTTCTAGAGATTTTTCTTCTTAGAACTCTATTCAGAAACAGGTTTTTAAAAGCATTATTTCATTTGTAAATCTACATTTTCCTGTGTCATTTTAAACTTTAATAAACGATTTTCTATTTTATGTTTATTTTGTGCTAGTAACAGTTTTCAGGCTTTCTGTCCTAGTAGACATTTTCTTTTTCTTTTTATCCTTAGCAGACTAACACAGGATCTTAGACATTTTGAAAGGTGAAATTACTTTGGAGGGGGGAAGGTCATGGGACTTATATTACATTTATCTTATTTGGATATGTTTGCTTTTGTTTTAAGGAACAAGATCACTCAAGGTGAAGGATAATCTACTAATACCAGCACTTTGAATGAAAATTTGTTTCTCTGCCACAAACTGAACATCTTTTTTTTTTTTTTTTTTTTTTGGTGGGGGAGTTGAAACCTAATTTTGTGGCGTAGCAGCTATGCAGCTTGAAATCCAAGTAGCACTAAATTTTATTATTTCGTATTTGTACAATAAGCTTCCCAGGAGACGTGTCAACATTTTTGGTGAAGAACTTGAAAGACTTCTTAAGAAGAAATATGAAGGGCACTGGTATCCTGAAAAGCCATACAAAGGATCGGGGTTTAGATGTATACACATAGGGGAGAAAGTGGACCCAGTGATTGAACAAGCATCCAAAGAGAGTGGTTTGGACATTGATGATGTTCGTGGCAATCTGCCACAGGATCTTAGTGTTTGGATCGACCCATTTGAGGTTTCTTACCAAATTGGTGAAAAGGGACCAGTGAAGGTGCTTTACGTGGATGATAATAATGAAAATGGATGTGAGTTGGATAAGGAGATCAAAAACAGCTTTAACCCAGAGGCCCAGGTTTTTATGCCCATAAGTGACCCAGCCTCATCAGTGTCCAGCTCTCCATCGCCTCCTTTTGGTCACTCTGCTGCTGTAAGCCCTACCTTCATGCCCCGGTCCACTCAGCCTTTAACCTTTACCACTGCCACTTTTGCTGCCACCAAGTTCGGCTCTACCAAAATGAAGAATAGTGGCCGTAGCAACAAGGTTGCACGTACTTCTCCCATCAACCTCGGCTTGAATGTGAATGACCTCTTGAAGCAGAAAGCCATCTCTTCCTCAATGCACTCTCTGTATGGGCTTGGCTTGGGTAGCCAGCAGCAGCCACAGCAACAGCAGCAGCCAGCCCAGCCGCCACCGCCACCACCACCACCACAGCAGCAACAACAGCAGAAAACCTCTGCTCTTTCTCCTAATGCCAAGGAATTTATTTTTCCTAATATGCAGGGTCAAGGTAGTAGTACCAATGGAATGTTCCCAGGTGACAGCCCCCTTAACCTCAGTCCTCTCCAGTACAGTAATGCCTTTGATGTGTTTGCAGCCTATGGAGGCCTCAATGAGAAATCTTTTGTAGATGGCTTGAATTTTAGCTTAAATAACATGCAGTATTCTAACCAGCAATTCCAGCCTGTTATGGCTAACTAAAAAAAAGAAAATGTATCGTACAAGTTAAAATGCACGGGCCCAAGGGGGATTTTTTTTTTCACCTCCTTGAGAATTTTTTTTTTTAAGCTTATAGTAAGGATACATTCAAGCTTGGTTAAAAAAATAATAATAAAACATGCATCATTTTTCATTTGCCAACCAAGCACAAAGTTATTTTATACTGACTGTATATTTTAAAGTATACTCTCAGATATGGCCTCTTACAGTATTTAAGATATAGCAAGGACATGGCTGATTTTTTTTTATAAAAATTGGCACTAATAAGTGGGTTTATTGGTCTTTTCTAATTGTATAATTTAATTTAGTACAAAGTTTGTAAAATATCAGAGGATATATATATATTGTTTCTACGACATGGTATTGCATTTATATCTTTTTACTACAGTGATCTGTGACAGCAGCAGCTTCATGTTGTATTTTTTTTACTGAAATTGTAAAATATCCATCTTAAAGACATCAACTATTCTAAAAATTGTGTACAGGATATTCCTTTAGTGGTGGAATTAAAATGTACGAATACTTGCTTTTTCAAAAAAATGTATTTTCTGTTAAAAGTTTAAAGATTTTTGCTATATATTATGGAAGAAAAATGTAATCGTAAATATTAATTTTGTACCTATATTGTGCAATACTTGAAAAAAACGGTATAAAAGTATTTTGAGTCAGTGTCTTACATGTTAAGAGGGACTGAAATAGTTTATATTAAGTTTGTATTAAAATTCTTTAAAATTAAAAATGCCTATTGTCTTTGTTTTTAAGTGTTTTCTGAAGATCGACCTCTGGAGTTATTATGTTGTAAATGCTAATGATGGAAAAAGGCCTGACTCATTGAGTCACGAAGGAATAATGGAAAGCAGTTGCTCTACTGATGTACCAGATCGTGGTTTGCCACATAAAAAATGCTATCAAAACTATAGCCTGACCAGTGCTTGGTACAACTTTATTTTTTAACAGCCCTCTTCAGTCCACATTTGTCTACCCCATTATAGAGATGGTATGGTAAGGTTAGCTATACAGCAAGTTTCAAAATGTCATGCTGACATGGAGGAGTCAGGTGATAAGATGAAATTCCTTCGTGTAATCTGAGATGATTTATTTGAAATTTATATGGAGAGAGCATTGGATCAGTTTTCTGTTTTTGCTGAGGAAACTTGCTTGGACAAAACGGCTGACTGAACTTAGAAAAATTTACATCACTTTACTAATCTTTAAAGTTTAGCTATTGCATATAGCTAGAGAACTTATGGTCAAAATCTATTCACGGCTGGACAGATGGTTAGATGTTAGCATTTTCATTTTCCCAGCAAAAACGCTTATGTATTTAATTTTTTGCAAGTGGGTACCCAACCTGCTGGTTTGAAGGATTTAGAGATATTGACAATGTATCAAATTGGAGTGGCTTGGTGAGGATGGAGTTTTTTAAAACTGAAGAGTTGGGGAGAAGAACACTAAATGAGTCATTTCACTAAATGTCAATTGATACAGTATTGACATAGTATTGGTGAGAAAGTTAACGTCCATTTGATACAGTGTTGACATAGTATTGGTGAGAAAGCTGTCTTAAAAAACTTTATATGTACTTTTATAGTAAGAAACCAGCACTGCCTGGGTTACCAGTGAAATAAATTTGGTCTCATGAGCTTTTTGGACACCAGTCTACAAAAGCCTTTTGTCATTTACCCATGCAGTGTAGAGCAATACAAAGTTTTAAGGAAACAAGCACTGGAAATAACAGAGCTAAGCTGTTTGTCAGCTCCATGGTGAGGCTTTTGTTCTTTAGGGAACAGAACGAGGCTATGAAGAAGTATTGGAATAATGGGTGCAAGCAGCAGAGATCTGGTCTGCCAACACTTACCACTTACATGCTTTTGTGATCACGAAGTTTGAATAGCTGTAAGAACCATCAGGATAATGGCTTTAAGCACTAGTTTCTGCTACAGACTGATAAAGTTACATTTGGGAGAAAACTCTACTTATAAATGAAGGCTCAAGTGTAATGTGCTTTTTCTGAAAATCATAAGGCAGCTGGACGGAACATAATAGAATTTTTTTTTTTTTTGAGACGGAGTCTCTTGCTCTGTCACCCAGGCTGGAGTGCAGTGGCACCATCTCGGCTCACTGCAACCTTCCACCTCCCAGGTTCAAGTGATTCTCCTGCCTCAACTTCCCGAGTAGCTGAGACTACAGGCGCCCGCCACCATGTTGGCTAATTTTTGTATTTTTAGTAGAGACGGGGTTTCACCATGTTGACCAGGCTGGTCTCGAACTCCTGGCCTCAAATGAGCTGCCTGCCTTGGCTTCCCAAAGTGCTCTGATTACAGGCATGAGCCATTGCGCCTGGTCAACAATAGAATTTGAAACTGTCTGGAGCACTAATATATTCATTTTATTTTGAGACAAGGTCTCACTCTGTCACCCAGGCTGGAGTGCAAAGGGGCCATCTTGGCTTACTGCAACCTCCACTAAAGCGATTCTCCTGTCTCACTCTCCTGAATAGCTGGGATTATAGCTGCGTGCCACCGTTCCCTGCTAATTTTTGTATTTTTTGTAGAGGCAGGGTTTCGCCACGTTGCCTGGGCTGGTCTCAAACTCCTGAACTAAGGTGATCCGCCCGCATTGGCCTCCCAAAATGCTGAGATTACAGGCGTGAGCCACCACACCCAGCCAAGCACTAATATATTCAGATTTTAAATACTGAGGTTAACATAAGCCTGAATATCTGTTTCAGATCTTAAGGATATATGTATCGACAAAAATCTTAGGGAAATTTCATCTTGGTACATATGTTTGACATCGGAGAATGACTAACTCAAAATGTGATCTTGATTGGTTTTATTAAAACTTGAGCTTGGTGTCCTTGAGAACTTCATCTTTTTTTTTTTTTAGACAGAGTCTCGCTCTGTTGCCAGGCTGGAGTGCAGTGGTGAAATCTTGGCTCCCTGCAACCTCCGCCTGTCGGGTTCAAGTGATTCTCCTGCCTCAACCTCCCAAGTAGCTGGGACTACAGACGCGCGCCACCACGCCCAGCTAATTTTTATAGTTTTAGTAGAGACGAGACGGGGTTGGCCAGAATGGTCTCGATCGCCTGATCTCATGATCCTCCCGCTTTGGCCTCCCAAAATGCTGGGATTACAGGTGCGAGCCAACGCATCCAGCGAGGACTTCATAATTTTTTAAAAAATGAACAAAGGCCCTGTTTACATGCCCTTTTTGTTCATTAGGAATGGGAATTTTTTAAAAGGTGCTTTTGCCTAGCACATCTGAGAAAAGGTTACATCTTAGTTCCAAGTCATTTTCTCCCCAAGGTGCCATCACACTTTTGACTCTCTGTGGGGAGACCATTTCGGTTGACAATTTGATGAATTCGTTATTTTCACAGGCCTTTCCCATCTTTTTGACTCCTATAACTACAGATACTGTAGCAGCCTCTGAATACCCTGAGTGTCCAAAATGTTGCCTTACAGATTTCATAGCTCATGGATGAGTAAGGAATATTATACCAAAAAATGGCTTTCTAAGTTTAGTATATTCGTTTTCTGCCCTGCCTTGTCGTTTCTGAAATCAGGTACATTGTGAAATGTCCTTTTCGCCTATAATAGATGGCAAATGTAAATATAGGCCTTCTTCAAAATGCCTCCTTAAAGATAACAATATATGCTGTGATTAGTTAACTTAGCTTTTGAAGGTGAAACTAAAGGTACTCTGAGTTTAAAATATTTTTCCAGGGCAGGTGCTGTGGCTCATACCTGTAATCCCAGCACTTTGGGAGGCCGAGACAGGTGGATCACTTGAGGTCAGGAGTTTGAGACCAGCCTGGCCAACATGGCGAAACCCATCTCTACTAAAAACACAAAATTAGCCAGGTGTGATGGCATGCACCTGTAGTCCCAGCTACAGGCTGGGAGGGTGAGGCAGGAGAATCACATGAACCCGGAGGCGGAGGTTGCAGTGAGCCAAGATTGTGCCACTGCCTTCCAACCTGGGTGAGAAGAGCGAAACTCAGTCTCAAAAAAATAAAATAAAATAATGTTTTTCCAATCGGGTGTAAATTTCGTTCCCATATACATGTCTGGCATTTTAATTGAGAGACTTAATAAATCTTCAGGACTTCGATTATTTTAAAATAAGTCACTGTGACACAGAAAGAAACAAAGTATGTCTCATTGGACATACTTAAGCTAATGAAGTAAAATGCCGGTTGGTAGACCTTCCTTTATATCCTTTCGGTACACAAACAGAAAATGGCATAGGCATGCTACATCAGATACGTACCCTTGCTTGACTGGAAATGCATGCTTTTGTCAGATGCTGGGTGACAACTCTAGTGCAAAAACAGATACAAGAAAAACAGAAGACAAGTATGTAAAATGGTCACTGCTGAATAAAACCCATTGCATTGTTTAGTATACCAATCAATTGACGCTTAATCAGTTTGGCCCAGGAGGTCATTTGAGATCAGAGTGCTTTAGTTTTTGTGGTATATTAGGAAGATTATATCTTGTAGTTTAAATGATTTAGGATCAATTATCTGTGGGCATACAATTGGAAAATTAGCACATTTTCCAATTGCATGCCCAGTTTGAAACCATTTTTGAGTGGCTTATGTAAACATGTAGTTGGAGCCATTTTTAAAAATCTTTTAAATCAGGAAATAAACATATAGCACTTACTATGTGTCAAGTGTAGTTCTAACCCAGTTTATAGACTGGGTCAGGGGGAGGGGGATGGGACTGAGGCACAGAAAGCTTCACTGACCCAAGATTGCATGGCCAATACATGGCAGACTAGCGATTCAAATGCAGGTAGTGGTTCCAGAGTTCACGCTCTTAAGCACTATGCTTTGCTCCCTCAGATTAGTTGCTATTCTGATTTGAAGTCAGGGTAATAACACCATTTTCGATGTATTAGCTACGTAATTTGCAGAATCTTTACAAAAGTGTTAATGAGAGGGGTCTAGTGGAAGGCTATTAACCATGCTCAGAATATGCCATGATGATATTTTGAGTGAGACTTTATATTTCTATTGGTCATAAACTGAACTCATAGGCAATAAGGAAATGTTTTTAGAAATCATTGTTATATCATTGCTCTAGTTTTTTGTTTTTTTTTTTTTTTTTTTTTTTTTTTTTTTTTTGAGATGGAGTCTTGCTCTGTTGCCCAGGCTGGAGTGCAGTTGCACAATCTTGGCTTACTGCAACCTCTACCTCCCATGCAACCTCCATCTCCCAGGTTCAAGCGATTCTCCTGTCTCAGCCTCCTGAGTAGCTGGGATTACAGGTGCACACCACCACACCCAGCTAATTTTTGTATTTTTAGTAGAGACAGGGTTTCACTATATTGGCCAGGCTGGTCTCGAACTCCTGACCTCAGGTCATCTGCCCACCTCGGCCTCCCAAAGTACTGGGATTACAGGCGTGAGCCACCACACCTAGCAATGCTCTAGTTTTTTTGGTTTTCATAATTCAGTCATATAAATTACATCTCTTTTCAGAACTACTGGATGATTCCCTGACTACATTTAGTGGTCGGTTACAAGTAAAGTTGTAACCGTTAACCTCCTGTTGCTATTTTCACAACCATTCCTTGTCTGTGCTTATTGATAAACACTCTAAAGAAAGGCCAAGGCCGGGCGCGGTGGCTCACGCCTGTAATCCCAGCACTTTGGGAGGCCGAGGTGGGCGGATCACGAGGTCAGGAGATCGAGACCATCCTGGCTAATACAGTGAAACCCCGTCTCTACTAAAAATACAAAAAATTAGCCGGGTGTGGTGGCGGGCGCCTGTAGTCCCAGCTACTCGGGAGGCTGAGGCAGGAGAATGGTGTGAACCAGGCACTGCACTCTAGCCTGGGCGACAGAGCAAGACTCCATCTCAAAAAAAAAAAAAAAAAAGGCTCAGGAGAATTTCTGTAGTTTCTATGTGGATTAAATCCTGTTATACTAAATACTGTTTACATTGTTGGGTTAGTTGGCATTTGATTGAAGCAAATATTGCTGACCCCTTAGTTGAGCTTTAGGTGGTTTAGATTGGGCTGAAAGTCTTATTAATGGAATTTGACTCGTAAGTATTAATAGTAAAACCTACATTAACCATTTCTCAGTATTTGAAGTTTTAAGATTTTATGTCTTAGAGGACTTGGTTTGTATATATAGTCTGTTAGTGAGAACTTTGAGATCATCTCACAATTAGGCAAACCTTAGACGAAAACATTTAATCAACAGGCAGTCCCTGTCTAGTTGTCTAGTGGCTAACTGAAACTACAGGTCTAAATTCCTTGCTGAATTGTATGAAGTCATTTGATTCAGATGGCTCAGTTTATTCATCTGCAAAATGAGTACAGTGATACCAATATGCTTCCCTGAGGAGCTATGAGAACTAATCATTTGCTATTAAGAGTTGTCAGTCAACTAATAGAACATGTGTCCATAGGGGCTCACAGTATTTAGAAGCCATAAAGTCCAGAATTCTAGCCATGTTCGCTGCCCTTTAAAATGAGGAAAGTAAATGAAGATTATAACTGCCTTATGTGAACATGTTGCTGTCAGTTATTTGCGTCAACAGAAAATTGAAATTCTACAGTAATATTCTAAAAGCTCATGTTTCATAAAATAAGTATAATTATTTTCATAAGAATAAGTATCACGGAGTTTGTATTTCTAGTTTTGAAGCACTGAAGGCAACTAGTGCATTCTTTTTCATACAGTTGGCAAGTTGATTAAAACTCAGTATACTAGTTGACATTTCCTTTTGGGAGCAGCCATAAGTGTTTGCTAAGTTAAAATGTCCTTGCTGTTGTGAAAAATATTGACATAGTTGTTCTTATTTAAACAATATTGCCTGAGGAATAGTAGTTAAAATGTAGCTTGGTGGTGGATACGTCACATGGATAATGGTGCTAGCTTTATTTTAGTGCAGGTAGAAAAGAAGAGGAGGTTCGCTTTACCAAAGGGAAAAACATAGAGGACTTGGAAGGAAAAACACATTCCGTCTGGCATTATGAGTACTTACTTCACTGATAAAATATGACCAGTGTGCAGTACAGAGAACAGGTGTAAAATATTTTTAGACAAACTTTGGCATATACCGTAGGTCGCATCCCTTCTGCCTATACACTTTTCAAGTGTTTCAAAAATAATTGTGGAAAAACCACATTGACAAAATGAGCTAGACATTGATTTCATGTGGGGTTTGTTTTGTTTTGTTTTGTTTTGTTTTTTGCACTGAATGTTAAACATAAACTTCCTTCCTGGCCATCAGGTTGCAGCTATTTTTAAACTCTGATTCTCCACATGCCCTTCTATAGCTTTTGAGGTCTTTTTTTCCTCTTTCTTAGTGCTAGTGAGAAAGCTGGAAAATTATGTTGCACACTCTTTTGGAGTGTGAAGACTGACTTAAAACGATTTTGTGCTTCCTTTAGGCCAGAAAGAAAGAGTGTCAAGAATGGACGTGGCATCAGTCTAGCTTGTTTTCTAGCAAATGGTGAGTATAAGTAAATGACTTCTGTATATTGATAGAAAGGAATGCTATCAGTATCATATCAGTATGATTTAAGAAATGGAATTACTGGCCGGGTGTGGTGGCTCATGCCTGTAATCCCAGCACTTTGGGAGGCTGAGGCAGGCGGATCATGAAGTCAGGAGTTTGAGACCAGCCTGACCAATAGGTGAAACCCCGTCTCTACTGAAAATACAAAAATTAGCAGGGCATGGCAGCACGTGCCTGTAATCTCAGGTACTGGGGAGGATGAGGCAGGAGAATCACTGGAATCCAGGAGGCGGGTCGCAGTGAGCCGAGATCGCACCACTGCACTCCAGCCTGAGCGACAGAGGAAGACTCCATCTCAAAAAAAAAAAAAGAAAAAGAAAGAAATGGAATCATCCTACCCTGCAAATATTGTACACTTTAGTACAGTATCCAGACACCTTGTGACACAGGTTCAGTAGTTTCCAGGCATAGGAACATCTTTTTCTGTTTTGCACTAAATGCAGGTATTCCTTTCAGATGGCTTTCCCTTGCCACCCCTCCACTAGCCATCAATGCATTTCTTTTTCCTTTTTTTTTTTTTTTGGAGGGGGAACGGAGTCTCACTCTGTCACCCAGGCTGGAGTGCAGTGGCGCAATCTCGGTTCACTGCAACTTCCGCCTCCCGGGTTCCAGCAATTCTCCTGCCTCATACTCCTGAGTAGCTGAGATTACAGGCACGTGCCACCACGCCCTGCTAATTTTTGTATTTTTAGTAGAGACGGGGTTTCACCATATTGGTTAAGCTGGTCTCGAACTCCTGACCTCGTGATCTGCCCGCCTTGGCCTCCCAAAATGCTGGGATTACAGGCGTGAGCCACTGCGCTCGGCCCCATCGATGCATTTTTAGTAAGGATGAAGGTTGAATTTTGTTTTGTTTTGTAATGACAATGCCTATTCTTTCTTCACTCTGATTATCCAGATCTGCCTACTGCCCTCAAATCTCTTTTCCCAAAAAGAACTCTCCTAGTTTTGCAAACTACCTGCCATTCTAAAGTTTTGTGGAGCCCTGGTGACTTACTTTATTCTAATTTCTTTTTATTTCCAGAAAACATGATAGGAATCTCTTAAACCATTTTAATACAAGGTTTAAGATAGCTGCAATCTTTGCAGTCAACCTTTCTAGAAACTAAGGTGTCACCAGAGGCTCTTTAACTAAAGACTTTGAGAACAAACAGTTTTCACACAGCTATAAAAGATTTTTACCTGGGGAAATTCTTCTTTGTGAATCTTGAAAAAGGCTGGAAGAAAGGAAGGAAACTTTTTTTTGGTAACTTAGAAAGAAGATTCTTGTTTATTTTCTGAACCACTAAAGTTCAAAGAACTTTTTGGGTTCTGTGTAAAAGGAATAGAGAGATGGAGGTGAGAGCTTATCTCCCCAGGAGCATCTGCCAAAGGAGAAGGGTCTGGCAGCCGGCAAGGGACCAGGGTGTTATGTCTTCTATCTGCCTTTGCTTCCAGGGCCTGGGAAAGGTGGAAAGGACAGTAAAGGAGAGAGCTTATGCATACACTGCCTGACAACTTGCCCTGGAGATCAGTTTCCTCGGAAGGAGGCTTTGCAGAAGTTCTGACACCGCCATTTCCCAAAGATTGTGCGCGTGTTTTTTTCCCAGATTTTCAAGGAGGATGGGGAACTGCTCCTACGTAAAGCACTGCCTATTTGAAGGATGATTTTTATACTATCACAAAGTCTTATGGAATCCAGAGGGAATGACCAACCCCAAAAGCTCAGTAGTAATAATGGCAACCCTTATATGAATTTACTATGTGCTAGATACTGCCCCATTTAAATTCAGTTCAACTTCATAACAACCCTCTGAAGGTTGTACTGTTTCTCCCATTTACAGATATATAAGTGGAGGCAGAGAGCTTGCAACAGTCACAGCCAGCGGAGCTAGGATTTGAACTGTGGGATTCTGTTTCCAAAGTCCATGATCCTTAACCATTACACTATCCTGCTCCCTTGGTTGACCTCAACCGGTCGATTTTATAAAAAGAGCCCCACCTGATTATTTAGAAGTCATCTAAGCTGCACTTTGTGCCCAGTCCCCCTCTCCTGCAAACCTCACTTGTGATTGTTTGCTCAGCAATCCCAAACTTATTTTGCTATCAGCCTTTGCCAGGCACAATTAGGAAAGGGAAATCGGTTGCAAAAACACAATGGAGTAAGATATGAGTTTGAGGGCTACGTGCTAGCTTTACTTACTTACATTGCGACTGCTCTCTGGATGATTAGATTTGTTGAGAAGCAACTATAGGCACTTCACATACTGAAGTCTTGGGTCCTGAGCTTTACTAGTACTTGTGATAGCAAAAGGGTGATGTTGACTCAAGTGGCTGCCCTGGGCTCAGATTCCATTCTTGTCCCTAAATTCTTTCTCAAACAAGGTGAGATATGATTAAAAACAGCTCCTGTATTCATCCACTCAACACATTTATTAAGCATCTCCTGCGTTAGGAACTGGCAGTGATATATACAATCCTTCGGAACCTCTAAAGGAGCTTACATTCTAGCAAACGATAACACACACGCCCAAATAATCATAATACACAGGAAAATGTAGGGGTATGAACAAAAAAGGGTGAGACTGTGCCTATCTTAGGGATGCTAGATCTGGGGGGAGATATCCAGCTATGAAGAATGGGTACAATGTCCACTGGAAGCACCCGGGGAAGCCTGGGCTCCCTCAAATTCCCAGCTCCAGTGGAGGAACAGGCAGTTGAGAGGAAAACCTTGGTCCTGGTGTGTGTGTGTGTGTGTGTGTGTGTGTGTGTGTGTGTGTGTTCTTCATCAGATGTAGCCACAGTAGGAAGAATGTGTGCTGCTAACCCTTGGGGAAAAAGGCAGAGGAAATCAGAAATAGAAGCTCTGCTGCCAGCCCATCTCTCCTGGGAGAACCTGCCTTTGAATTTGAACATTTTAACTTATTTTTTCACTGTTTCAAGCTTTGTACAGAAACATTATGAAAGAGAAATAGTTTAAAACTTCTTTATTCATCAAACCCAGGAGTGAGATGGGGAGGACCAGTAAGAAGTCCAAGGAAAGAAAAGGTGGGACTGAGAGGGGCGTCAGGCTGTGTCAGAGGGATGTCGAATTCCTTCCTTTTAAGACAGTTTCAGTTTCATGCTTAATCTAGAAACTTCCTCAGGCTAGAAGCTCCCTCTAGGGGTCATCTCATTTGTTTTCCTACCTTTAGTGACAAAGCCTCTTTTGGTTTTGTGATGTCAGGGCTCACAGCAGGTACTACCCCTCCAGAAGTTGGTGTTGGTGGAAAGTGCGTGTTCATTGCACAAACTCAGACACCCCCAGGTCACTCCCAGTTGCCACTCCCATCGCCACACCCTACCCCTGGCCAAGGCAACAAGTCTGTGGAGCTCTGCAGTTTCCTTTTCCAGTTTGGCTTTTTGGGTGCTTGTAATATCTTCCGGTTTGAACATAAATCAAAGAATGAGGCTTTGAAGGGAAAGCTTTGTATAAATTTCAGCCAGAAATTAACATTCCCAAATAACTTTTCGCCTGGGTCACTTCCCCGGGCAATGCCCTTCCCCAGGCTTCCCTAAGTTCTCTTGGTGGCTGAGCACTCTGTCATCCACTGAAAATACCACCACAAGCTGGCCAAACTCCTTCATGTGACCTGGGACTGTTCAGAGAGCATCACTATTCTGTACAGAGTGTGGATCCTGCTTTGGCACAGAAGACACCAGCGTCTGATCCTTGTCTCACACTCACTTGACCAGCGGGGACACATGTTTAGGCCCCACAATTTCCCCTGCAGATGTAAGAATGCTCTAGAGTGGTGTAGGGGGCTTCATTCAGCCTCCAAATAACATTACTCCTCGTGATCCTCTATGAGAAAGAACGTGGGCTTTGGGGTCAGACTTTTTTTTTTCCTTTTTTTTTTTTTTCTGAGACAGAGTCTTGCTCTATCACCCAGGCCGGAGTGCAGTGGCGCAATATCGGCTCACTGCAACCTCTGCTTCCTGAGTTGAAGGGATTCTCCTACCTCAGCCTCCTGAGTAGCTGGGATTACAGGTGCCCAGCCCCAAGCCCGGCTAATTTTTTTGTATTTTTAGTAGAGACGGGGTTTCACCATATTGGCCAGGCTGGTCTCAAACTTCAGACCTCAGGTGATCCGCTGCCTCGGCCTCCCAAAATGCTGGGATTACAGGTGTGAGCCACCACGCCTGGCCTGGGGTCAGACTTTGAATCAAATCTCAAACTCAACCTTAAATAGCAGTGCACTGTTAAAACGATTCCACCTCAGATTTCCTAACTGTAAAAGGGTTCCAAATTCTACTTGTTAGGGTTGGTGTGATGAGCATGTAAGATAAATAAAGCATTCAGCATAATCCTCTTCCCTACATAGAATAACCTGCACTCTCTTTACTCTGTGGTGAGAGAGGGCTCAAATCCTCCACCTCTCCCCGCACGGCTTAGCCTCAAGGGCATGTGCTCAGCCTATTTAGGGGAGGTCAGCTGGCTATAAACGTGCCTTTTCATGAGAATCCTAGGAAGTAAAACTTCCTGGTATATTAGCAGGGAGAAGGGAGGACACAAAAATGAGACGAAACCAGACTTGACTGTTCTTGAATCTGTGGTGGAAAATATCACACATGCGGTTAAGTACGTGGCCTTTGGAGTCATATAGACACGCCTAGGTTTGGTTCCCTGCTTGGCCAGGGACTTTGGGAAAATTATTCAATCTCCCTGAGCCTCAGTTTCATTATCTCTGAAATGGACAGGTTATTAAATGGAGGTGAAAAATATACACATCACAGGGTTGTAAATATTTAATGAGATAATGCATGTTGAACACATATTAAGTGCTGTAAGCTATTAGTAATGGAAATTATTAACCCTACCAAAAGGGCATCTAATTGGTAAAGGGTGCCCACCTTCTATGAGGTCTGGGACAGGGATGGGTTACCATCCGTGTAAGTCTCACTAAAGCTGTGTTCTAGTCATCCATAAACACCAGCTTCAGCGCTTATTAGGGTCACAGGGTAAAATTGCTGGTTGTAATGATTGTGAGGATTGCTTTGAGTCTGTTATTGATCATACCAGGGTCCTAAGGCTGTTTCCCCTTTTATTCTGTTGCCCCTTGTGGTACATTGAGATGGAGAGTGGCACTTGAAATAAGGGGTCATTGAGAGCTTAGTTCTGTGCCCCGAGGTGTTGGAGCTGGGAATGAAGGGTTCAGAAATATTCTTAGGGCCTCCATGGAGGTCTCAGAGGTTCCTCATCTCTAACCAAATTACTACACTTTATCTTTTCTTCCTGGGCCTCCAACTGCACAACCCCGAGTGTGTGCGTATGTGTGTATGCATCTCCCCATCCCTCTTCTTTTTCCTCTCATTCCTGCCCTCCTGCTCTCCCCCTCTCTTCTCCAGCTACCCTCCTCCTGGACTCTTTCCTTATCAGCAAAGGAGACTGCATCTGTTCTCACTTTGCTCTGGGAGAGGGGCCTGTTCTCCCCTCCTGGTTCTTGCTCCAATCATTGGCAGGGACGTGCAACAGCAATTATCCCCAACAAACTGAAGCAATGAGGCCCAGGACCAACTACCCTGGAGAGGCACTATGGCTACCATTATTATTCTGTTGTATAGATGATAATACTAAGGCACAGAGAAGTTAACTACTCAAAGTCACAAAGCCAGTATTTGAACCTATGCTCTGCCATGACTGTGACCTTTTCTCACTGCCGGCCCACCCTGGATAGCAAGGAGATTTGGGGACCTTGCGGCCTAAAATATCTGGCCCCTTATTTACTTATCTATTTATTTATTGCTTAATATGTTGATTGTCTTTATCTGAAAAATCCTCATAGAAAATTGTTGTCTGGGGCCGGGCGTGGTGTCCCACGCCTGTAATTTCAGCACTTTGGGAGGCTAAGGCAGGCGGATCAACTGAGGCCAGGCATTCAAGACCAGTCTGGCCAACATGGTGAAACCCTGTCTCTACTAAAAATACAAAAATTAGCCTGGTGTGGTGGGGTTTGCCTGTAATCCCAGCTACTGGGGAGGCTGAGGCAGGAGAATTGCTTGAACCCGGGAGGTGGAGGTTGCCCTGAGCCAAGATCGCACCACTGAACTCTAGCCTGGGTGACAGAACAAGACTCTATCTCAAAAAAAAAAAAAAGAAAGAAAGAAAATTGTTGTTTGGTTTAGCCCTCAGCAGTCTGCTCCTCTGCTCTTGTAAGAGAGGGCTCAGAGAAAACAAGCTTGCCTTCTTTTGAGCTACCCAATCTTTCTTCTGGGCAAGGGACATTTGGGGACGGTTCTATCTCCTCTTTTTAGCTTCTTTCTCGGGCTTCTTCTCATGGACTGGTGATATGGTTGGCATCTGTGTCCCCACCAAATTGCATGTCAAATTTTAATCCCCAGTGTTGGAGGAGAGGCCTGGTGGGGGATGACTGGATCATGGGGGTAGTTTCTCATGAATGGTTTGGCATCACCTCTCAGTGCTGTTCTCGTGATAGTGAGTGAGGAAGTCATTGGGAGCTCTGGATGTTTAAAAGTATGTAGCACTTCCCCCCTCTCTCTCTTCCTCCTGCTCTAGCCATGTAAGACGTGCCTGCTTCCCCTTTGCCTTCTGCCATGATTGTAAGTTTTCTGAGGCCTCCCCAGAAGCAGAAGCTGCTATGTTTCCTGCATAGCCTGCCAATTAAACCTCTTTTCTTCATAAATTGTCCAGTCTTGGGCATTTCTTTATAGCAGTGCAAGAACAGACTAACACAGCTAGATTCTCTTGTATAGCAGCATGAGCTTCCTTACACATCTCCTCCACCACGTCTGTAGTTACACTGTTCTTTATGTATTGAGATAACTCTTTCTTGTAAGCATCTTTATTTTCTTCCATTAGGTGATGCATCCAATCTGCAACATTCTGACCTATGATGTACTTCTGATGTACTTCTTCATTAAATTCCTTGCCTTCAGAATCATAAGCAGGGAATCATTTGGTACTGTGAGGGATAGACAAGCCTCCATCCACAGCTCCCTTCAGTGCCCCAAAAACTTTATTGCCAATAGTAGTTCTGGCAAAGCCTGCATCCAAATAGCAGGTGAAGGCACCGGGCTGACCATCAATGCTTTCCACATTATAATTCATCTCTGGTCACCTTCTCTTGGCCATCATAGATCTTGTCCATGCCGAACCTATTGAGAAGCCTGCAGGTCAGCACAGGCTGGTACAACAGGCTGCAGCGTCATCTGTCAGGCCAACCTTCACATTGCATTTTGGCAGTTCATGTGCATAAGCTGTACAGACTATCATATCCCCTTCTATGTGAGCATAAGTAATCTGACAAATGATATCTCTATTAGTTACATGACTTTTCCTGTATTTGGGCATGTTATACTTGTTTTTATCCTATATCACCAAGGGTTTCCAAAGATAGTAATCAGTTTTACCCTCTTGTCATTTTCTAAATTTCACGTGTATCTCTTAAAGTAGGCCTAGTTCTTGACGTCTTTAACCACCCCCATCCTGCAGAACAGAGCCCCCTGGGCCCTCTTTTTAAACATTTATGCAGCACACTTATAGCAGCAATGACCACTAACAAAATAATTATTAGACTTTTAGTCAGCACTTCCATGCAAGAAACAAGATGACAGCTGCAGCATAGGTGTCTCTGAAAAGCTGCTGAATAACTGGCCTGGTGGCAGGCTGATTCCTGGGAGGCGGCAGCTGTCATGGGCACTGTGCTGTGCCATGGGAGGACTTAGCCTCTCATTCCCACTGTCTCCTTCCCATCAGCAGCACCCCTACCATATTCAGCTAAAAGTTTGGAGAACTCATCTTCACCTGCGTGTCATGACTGCTGGTGCTGCGTGTGTGTGCGCACTTATTTGTGTCCCTTTTTGGGAACTCTGGGGTATTGAGGGAGGCCATCAAGAACTTTATTTGCATGAAGATATATAAACCTGGCCAAGCACAGTGGCTTACACCTCTAATCCCAGCACTTTGGGAGGCCGAGGCAGGTGGATCACTTAGGTCAGGAGGTCGAGACCAGCCTGGTCAAAATGGCGAAACCCTATCTCTACTAAAAATATGAAGATTAGCCGGGTGTGATGGTGGGCGCCTGTAATCCCAGCTACTTGGGAGGCTGAGACAGGAGAATCACTTGAAGCCAGGAGGTAGAGGTTGCAGTGAGCCGAGATTGCACCATTGCACTCCAGCCTGGGTAAGAGAGTGAAACTCCATCTCCAAAAAAAAAAAAAAAAAAAAAAAAGAGAGAAAAGAAAAAAGATGTATAAGCTTTTCAGGAGAAAAGATGAGGGCATACTGAGGCTGAGATCAGGGTCATGAGACAATGGGAGTAAAGAGAAATTTGTGTCAATCCTTTGTAACAGGGGTGTGCAATAGAATTTCCTGTAATGTTGGAAATATTCTGTCTGTGTTGTCCAGTATGGCAGCTACCAGCCACATGAAACATGGCACTTGATCCATAACTAGCGTAACTGAGGAAATGAATTTTACGTTTTTATTTAATTTAAATTCATTTACATGAATTCAGTACTAACAGTATTGAAGGGTATGGCTTTATAAAATTTCTGTAAACCCTTGGTACTCCCAGAGGTCAAGGACCAGTTGGAAGTGGTGGTTATGGGTGTTTAGAAGGGGAACCGCCATTTGGGGTCCTCAGCCTTTAACTGCGATGGTTAAAATACATATGTAATATCGTGATAAGGGTACAGGTACCAAATTCGGACAGACTTGGCTTTGAATCTTGGCTCTTTCATTTAATGACCCTATAGCCTTGGGTCCTTTAAACATTTAGAGTCTCCGATTCAGCATCTGTAAAATAGCACCTATGAGGGCCTCTTTTCCTCCATAAAGCCTATAGGGCTTGCCCCATTCATTCATTCATTCGACAAACACTTAATGAACATGGTCAGGCTTGTGTTTGGTGTATAGGTCTTTGCCCTCCTGAAGGTTGCAGCTTAGAGTGTGATCTGCCAAGTGGTGAAATAGTAAAATAATATGGTGCCTTCAGAGGGTTGGGAGGATTCAACCGGGCAGTCCACGTAAAGTGCCTGGCGCAGGGGTTAGCATTCTCATGTCCACCCCACTCCTGGCACTGTGCTTCTCCCCTGCCCAGGGTCCTTGAGAAAACCCTAGGCCCCTCCTCGCTTCCAGGCTACCCACCCAGAAAGGAGATAAAGTCACCGTCGTCTGCTCTCACTTAGACTATGGACAGAATTGGATGCATCCCTCACATCAAAACAGAAAACAAGTTATCTGGATGGGTCCACCTCCTCCCGTCGGGTCTCTGGCAGTGTCCTCAAGGCCTGAAAAGGGCCGAAAGCACGCAAGTGCCCCCTTTGCCCCTGACAGACACCTGGGAAGAGGCCCCACCTCCAGGAGAGGCTAGTCTATGTTGGGCTGGGTTCTGCTTTCCCTCATCCGAGTGGGGTTGAGGGTGGCCAGAGTATTGCTGGAGACCTAGTGGAGTACCGTGTCCCGGGGTAATTTGGGACGGGACCGCAGGGACTCCAACGTGACCCTGAAATGGGTCGAGGGCCTCAGGAGCCTGGGAGGCAGGCAGGAGAGGGGTGAGGGGCTTGCCCACCTGCCCACCCTGCCCTCTCCCTCAGGAGATGTCAGCTGGAGGTTTACTCTTCCTTCCTCCTGACACAGCCTGAGTGAGGAGTGTCACCTGACCTCAGGGCACATTCCAGAATGAGGCCACAGCCAAGAATAGGGCCCAGGAACCCTGCCACCCATCCCGCCTGCATTAATCACAAATTCTCCAGAGTAGGAGGGAAGCTTCAGACTCTTCAGAGAGGTGGGAGGAAGAGGAGGAGGAGGAGGCAACATGAGGTGGAGCTGGGAAAAAGAGGGAGGACCCCAGAGAGGCCCCTTCTAGGCTTGTGGTTGTTCAGTGCAGCAGCGCTGAGTGGCCCCTGGTCCCAGGACCCTCTGTTTCACCCAGCAAGCACCCCCATGAGCTCTGAGAGCTGGGCCCACAGCTTCCTGGAGGCCCTAGGCAATGATTCTGATCTGGATCAGCACAAACACAGAGGGAGAGGGACTCAGAGAGGAGTGCTCACACAGCCGGGGGACAGCAGAGGCTTCCCCAAGGAGCTGAGTCTTGAAGGATGAGTAGGCAGAAGGCTGATGAATCTAGGCCAGGACTGCTTGTGTGTGTGATAGAAATACTTGTCACAGGGTGAGGTTGTAAACAGCCCTGAGTGGTATGTGTGTGCTGATGGGAGGCAGTCTCTTTAGAGATATTTGGGGTCCTGATAGGACTCCACACTGCCCAGCCCAGAGCAGGGTGTGTGTGTGTTTGTGTGTGTGTGTTGCACACTAGGAGAAACAACATAACATGAGCATTAAGAGCTCTGGGCTGGGCGCGGTGGCTCATGCCTGTAATCCCAGCACTTTGAGATGCCGAGGCAGGCGGATCACCGGAGGTCAGGAGTTCGAAACCAGCCTGACCAACATGGCAAAACTCTGTCTTTACTAAAAATACAAAAATTAGCCAGGCATGGTGGCACACGCCTGTAATCCCAGCTACTCAGGGAGGCTGAGGCACGAGAATCGCTTGAACCCGGGAGGCGAAGGTTGCAGTGAGCTGACATCATGCCACTGCACTCCAGCCTGGGTGACAGAGTGAGACTCCATCTCAAAAACAAAACAAAACAAAAACTCTGAAGTCAGACTGGCAGGATTCAAGTCTTGGCTCTGCCACTCATCCGATTTGGGGCAAGTTTCTTATCCCGTCTAGCCTTAGTTTTCCTACCTACAAAATAGCCTTCTGTCTCCTCCAGTTGCAGTGGAGCTTACAAGAGCTGGTACCTGGCACATAGGACGTGCGCAAGCATGCTGCTGTTTTACAATAGGACAAGGGGACGGAGGGAGTTCCCCACGGCCTAAGGCAATCACCGATGCTGTGGACTCTAGTCAGGGTTCACCCCATCCCTGCTCTCCAGCCCCACTGTCCGGGGGGTGACATCAGACTACGGAGCGGCTGGCTAGACAATGGAGCAGAGTGTCCTAGCAGGCTGGAGGTGCTGGGGGAGGCGGAGGGTGGAAAAAGCCAAGCTGCCCTGCCCCAGAGGCCCTGGGGGCTGATCTGGAGACAGGCCCGCTCGGGAATAGTCCTCTGAAGAGGCAAACTGAGGGTCAGAACAGGAAGGAGAGAGCCAAGTGGGTGCAGGAAGGTGAGGAGTGAGTATCCAGGGCAGACAGGAGACAGGTGAGTCTAGCCTGGATAAAGGGGCCTCAATTTCGTTATGTCCCAGGACCTAGGCTGGGGCCAAATCTCCTCGATTTGACTGAGCAAAGCAACCTCCCGAGACTGGCTGGCAACCAGGCCCTGGGAGCTCCATCCACCCTTTCCTGAGCTCCTGCTAGATGCCAGGCTTTGTATAAGGCCTAGGGTAACAGAAAGAAAGGACCCCGGCTTGGTTTCAAGGATAGAAAATGAATGCCAGGTAGTAGGTCAGAAGTTATAATAGGTTCGAAACCACCCATTCCCTAAGTGCCCATATTTTCTGAACCCCAAATCAGTCTATAGTGGGTGTTCACTTTGGATATACTCTGTGAGCAATAGAATAAAACATTTGAAACTGCAAAGCCCCAGACCCAGAAACGTGAGGGGAGGCCTTTCGGTTCTGGGGTCTGTTCTGAGCTGAGAGCTGCCGAGGGTGGGAGGGGGCAGGGGGCAGCCACTCGGCGCCAGGTCCTCCTTCCTGGGCTTTCCAGTTGTACCCGGTTAATAGGGCCCAGCTCCCAAGCCTCTTGTAGAGTGATCTTACTACCCTCTGTTTTACAGATGAGGAAACAGAGACTCAGAGAGATTGCAGGTAAGCAGCAGAGCCCAGATTCAGACCTAGGCAAGTCTGACTTCACGGGCTGAGTTTTCTCGCTCTGCCAGGTGGGGCTGGAGTGTGACAGGGATCCCAGGTCTGGGGCTGTATGTGGGCAGTGGTCTGGTGAGAGGGAGCCCCACAGTGGGATTTTCCTGAACCTCACACCTTCATCAGGGAAGCAGACGTGCGACTGGGGGCCCTGCTGTCCCGGCCCAGCCGCACGTTCAGGTCCCGTATCTGTGCAAATGGGGTTGAAAAGGGAGGTGACAGGTGCTGGCATGTGGACAATTGCCCCCACAGCTTGCATGGTAATGTGCTAGAGCTCGAGCTGGAAGCAGGTGCACAGAATGTCCCTGGGCCTCTGAGGACAGGGTGAGACCATCCTCACCCTCCTTGGTTACCTGACCTGAGCAGGGTGGGGACCCGTGGCTGCTGCTCACACCACTTTGGTGGCTAAGTTTTGTGCTCAGTGTTCTCCCGATGTCAACTTGAGAAACCCTGGATCCTCTGCCTCTGTTCTTCCTGCTCCCGACCTCCTCCTCACGCCCTTATTGCAGATGAGATGGGCTGGGCCAGGCTAGGCTGGGCCTGGATTCTTCTTTTGGGTTGGGGCCCGGGAAAACACAGGCAACTGTGCAGGGAAGTGGTGTCTCTTGGGGACAAACAGGCTGTGGGGTGTGCCATGGCTGAACACGTCTCCATGCCTCGGGAGCTGCTGTGGGCCTTCCTGGGGCCAAAGGCACTGCTGTCCCCATTCTGGGAACCAAGCCCCACACCCTGACCTTACCTAGGGCTTTGACACAGTCTTCCTGGGACCAGGCCTCACCTAGAGGCCCCCTAGTGAGTCACAGCTGGCAGCTGTCCTTGCCTGCTCCGTTCCCATCTCCTCCACCTTCTTGCCTCTGAACTTGACACCATTGGTGGAAGGGTCTGGACACTGCACCTGACCAACTGTGCTGTCACGCTGGGGTGAGAGCAGGTTACAGATCAGAACACCTGGGCTGGGCCACCCACCCCTTCCTGCCTTTGTGTTCTTGGCAAGTCACCTCACCTCTCTGACCTCAGCTTAACTCACGGAGCTGAGCTGAGCATCAGTTAAGGGGCCTTGGAGCTGCAAAAGGGGCCCACATATTACCAGCATCTCTCCATCCCCCAAAGATGCTCCCAGTGGCCAGACTTCCCTCTTGTAAGGTCACCAAAGCAAATGACACTACCCACCTCCCTCCCTCCCCCATCATAACCCAAACGAATCACACAAGAAGGGCAGTTGATACTATGAGCTTTTAATTGGTATCTTCCTCCTTATATTTGAGGAAGAAATGAGGACGCCCCACAAGGACCTTCTTCAGCTTGGAGGGGCAGGGACAGAATAGGGCAGAGGAGGGTAGTGGGGGCAGATGCAGAGCTGACAGTGGGGTTTCCCAATCCTCTCTCTAGCGGCCGGAGGGCCAGGATCACACAGGAAGCCTGGAAACACAAAAAAATCATCGACGAGCTGCCCCATCCTTTGCCCAGGTCTCACAAAGAGCCTCCTTCCAGGTTCCCGTGGGTTCCTGAGGCCGCCACCAGATGGGAGCATCGAGCAATGTTCCTTTTCCTTCTCCAGCCACCTCCCTCCTCTCTCAGTCCTTTACTACCCCCTTCCCTGCCTGCTTTTTCATCTTCCTTCATTTCTCCTGCTACCAAACAGATCCCGGGGCTTTTGTCTGATCTATGTCCAAGGAAGCCAGTGGCATATGAAAGCACACCATCCATCAGACAGAAACTCCAGACAGTTGTGAGTCCAGCGGAGGGGTGTGTCTGGGGGCCCTGGGATGAGGGTATCTGTGTTGGGGCTCTAAGAACTGGGCAGTGACTAACATCTCTCTGTGGTCCTGGCACCCAGTAAGCATTCAGAGAACATCCACTGAGTTGAACTGAACTAGATCGACAAACCAGTGCAGCCAAGGAGAAGAAATACGTATTCTGCTGGTGCCGTGGTGGCCTCAGAGGCAAGCCGACCACCACCCAAAGGCACCCGTTTCAGCAGCTTCCATTCAGGGCAAGTCATATGCTGGGCTGGACTCTGCCGCCAGCTTGCTATTGCCCATGCCCCTAACTCCGAGTGGCCTCTGCTCACAGCAATCGAGGAGGCTGTGGGAAAGGTGTCCCATGAGTCCCTGGGCCCTCCTATCTCTCCCCACCTACCCCCTTTGCAAGCCAATCCATTCAACACTTCCTGTGACCAGCACACAGCGGCCATCTCTTAAACCCTTGCTGGGAGACTGGCTAGGGGAGGGTGACTGGGAGAGCCAGGGGTGTGGGGCCAGTGAGGGGAGGAGGAGAATATCTGAGCAAGCTGGTGGTCACGAGTAACTTCCATGTGTCCACTGACTTCTCCTCTTGTCCCCCTCAGCTAAAAAAGATATGAACCCCTTATTGAACCCAAAGAATAGATGCTGATCTGAGACCTTCTGTGGCTTTTTCTGTGACACGTCGGTTGATGTTTCCCTGCTGTCCCAAGCCTGTCTAATCTGACCTCGCCCAGTTTGCTGAGAGGCATTGGGGTGGATAGGTGGAAGAAGGCCAGGGAGGGGGCAGGGAGGGGTGGGGGGCTTCAGTGCAAGCCAAGAAACTCCTTGAGGACGTCACAGGTCTTCTTGTGCATGACCTCACGAAGCTTCCTGACCCGGCGGGCACTCGATGCGCCCACAAAGCTATCGGGGCGCAGCATGGCCATGCCGCCGTCCACCTCCCCCATGATGATGAGCGGCATCTCGCTCACGGTCACGTTGGGGCAGGGGCATGCCCAGTCCACGTGAAGCAGAGTGACCTCCAATGGCTCCTGGCCCAGGAACTTGAGGCCCATTTTCTCATCCTTTAGGACCTCATCCACAGTCACCAGGGCGCGGCCCGAGTCAGGCTCCTCGGTCAGCTCAGAGACTCGGCCCAGGATGACAAAGTCGCTGCGACAGAAGCTGGTAACGAGCTTCTGCCGAGGCTTGCAGGCCCGACAGCGCTGGTTCCCCCTGGGGAAGGGGCACGACTCCTCACAGGCCTCACGGCTCTCAAAGTTGTTGCCATTGCCCTCGCAGCCACCATAGACAAAGGACTGGCACTGGCCCGTCTGGCTGTTGTAAGCCCAGCGAGGCGCGTAGGCTTTGCAGGGCCCCTGCAGGGCGGGCAGGCTGCACGCGGCCAGCGGCCCGCTCATGCAGGCCAGCATGCAGGCCTCATAGGTCTCAAAGTGGTTGAGGTTACGGTGGCAGTGGCCGAAGGTGAAGGTCAGGCAGTTGTTGGCCTGGGCATCGAAGTGCCAGCGGGTCTGCTCTTCGCCACAGTCCTCACTGTCTGGGGGCTTCAGGCACTCGGCCGCCGGGAAAGCCGTGCCATTGGGGCTGCTCTCTGAGGTGGCTGCAGCCTGATGACCCCTGACCACCGACAGCGGGAAATCAGCCCTCAGGACCCCAGCCACGTTCCGGGCCGTGCAGGTGTAGATCCCAGCATCCTGCAGCTGGGCGTTATAGATGACCAGCTGGGCAATGTTGGTGACCACCACGTTGCCACGCACATGGTTGGGCCGCATGACCACATTCTCCCGATCCTCCAACTGCTTCTCCCAGGTGATCTCAGGCCGGGGCCGGCCCACCACATCACAGAGGAAGCTCACTGTCTCACCCATGGTGACCGACTGGTGCACAGGGTTGTTGAGCAGCGCAGGGGCCGCCATGTCCAGCTCAGGGGTCTCTGGGGAGGCTGTGGTGGGGTGCATGGTGGTCTCAGGTGGTGGGGGGCTGGTGTTGGGCCAGGTGAAGTGATAGCGGCAGGTTACAACGGCCAGTGTGATGCCTTTGGAGCAGGCCTCGGCATCCATGTAGCAGCGGTTATAGTAGGTGAGGCCGTCCGAGGCGCAGGTAAAGCTGGGCTCCTTCTCACAGCGGTCTTTGCACTTACACACGGGCTGGCCATCCCAGATGTCACACTCAGAGCCCTGCTGCAGACACATGAAGTGGTCACATGTGGCCTCCTTGGGCATGCCCACTGGGCCCTTCTTCCCTTTCACGTCCATGTAGCGGGCCGCCACGCAGCTCTTGGTCCCACATACGTTGGGGCAGCACTTCTCATAGGTCTCACACTCCTGAAAGAGCCAGAGAGAGTGGCCTGAACAGGGAGAAGGAGGAAAGGAGGGGCTCCCTATCCTACCCCATGGTTTGTGGGGAGGAGAACTAACATGTACTCACCATCTAGTGGGAGCAAAACACTTGAAAATAATAACGAATGCATACGTAGCATCTCCTACATGCTAGGCCCCTGTGTAAGAACTTTGACATCTGTGAGCTTGCTATGCTCATCACAAGCCAGAGGTGGGTATAGCCATTATCTCCACTCCACAGATGATGACTGAGGCACAGAGAGGCTAAGTAACTTTCCCAAGGTCACTCAGCTAGCAGGGTAGGAAGGGGTGGGCCAAAGACTCTAAGAGGAAAAGTTTTCCTACAACCATTTTACAGATGAGACTGCAGAGACTCAGAGAGGTGATGCCCAAGTTCACAGAGACGGGAAGTGGCAGAACAAGGCTCCAAGCTCCCAGTGGAAGGGATTGAGAAATGGAGTTTTTTCTCCTGCATCATATAGCACAAATGAGGTCTAGCTTGAACAAGTAGGCCTGCCTTTCATCTCTTTCCTATGGGAGTGAGGATGCCTTGCTGACTGGAAGAGATCGCATCAGAGGTTAAGAGGGGAATGCCCCTGGGACTTTATCCGAGATGATCCACACCTCTCCTCCCCTCAAGGAGACCGACACACACGGGGAACAGAGGCTGTGAGAGGGCCCAGATCGATCCACAGCCAACAGTCAGGGCAGGCGTGACGGGCCCCACACGCCAGGTCTCAGAGCCACAGGCTGTGCCAGGCCCAGGTATCAGCTCCGTGTGGGACCTTTCACGGGAAAAGCAACAAGAAAAAAAGTCCCCTTGTGTGGCAAAGGTCAGCAAGGCCGTCAGCGAGGACTTGCCAGGCTGTAATCCCCTCTGATATTCTGTGGAGCCACGTAAAGCATTAGTTTAATTCCTCGAAATTAGCAACATGCTCCTGGAGCTGACACAAACAAGGATTTCACGTGGTGTTTTCGACAATAACACATCGTACCCACTTGGCAGGCAGGCAACGCTCCTAATCCTCCACCAGGTAGTAACTCTGTGAATTACTCCCCACTAGGGCTGGCCTCTTGTCATTCCAACTTTTATTTCAGCCTCTTTGACATTCCACATCAGCTAAGAGGGGGAAAATATCCCCCCACCCTGGCTGCATGGAGCCTGCCTGCTTGACTTGTTTACTGTTCTACCCGTTTCGGCTCAGAATGGGGACTTTGTTTTGCAGCCCTTGTTTGGCATAGTCTTCTAGGCCACACCAGGGGAGGCTTTGGGACAGGGATGGGCAGCTCTCAGAGCTGGGTCTAAGGGAGAGAGACCCCGCAGGGAATGGAGAGCAGGAGAGGGAGTAGGAGCAGGAGAACCTTCTCCTTGGCCTGAGCCTCATCCCATTCCCTAAGACATTCAGGACCTGGAGGTCCATGAAAGCCTGGGTCCTTGGGCACCAGAGGGAAGGTACTTCTGGCCACAGGGAACCTACAGGGGGTCCTTAGAACACTTCTGTGTAAGGGGGCCAGAATGTCCCCAAGGGCTGTCTGGATACCCAGCCTTCCACAGGTGCCTTCTCTCCAAGACACACAAAATCCACCAGAGTCTCACCATCCCCAAGCCCTACCTGGTTAATCAGGCCAGCCTGTGCCTGCAAATGTAGCCAACTAATGGCATGACCTTGGCCAGATGGGAGCAGCCACCACTCCTCCTGACTTCTTATCTTCCTTTCACTTGGCACCACCATTGCCCAAGGGGAGCATCTGTCCTGGGAGGCCTAAGAATTGTCCCTGGGCACTGTGAGGTTGAGGCCACCCTCTCCAGGTCAGCCCTCTGCTCTCCTGTGGGTAACCAGGCATCTATGGGGGAACCAGTGTCTCTCGTGTTCCCTGGGGATGCCCCAGCCTGGATCTGGAGCCTTGGGAGACTCCGTGCTGCCCTCAGAGCTGGCCAGACTGGGCAGGAAATAGCTCTGCCTGGAGCAGGTGTAGGTCCCACAGCCTGTTGCCCCAGAGGGGGTGGGCAGGAATGGCCCTCGGGAATGACTCGGGAGCTAGAAGAGAACTGGCCCTGCCCTGCAGCAGTGCCCTCTGATACAGAGCAGAAGGCAGGACCAAGGACGCTGGGAGGCTGAAACGTGGTCTCCTTCCTCCCAGGGACACCAGAGATCCATTCAGAGCTGCTCCTGCTTGGCCTGCCGTCAGCCTGGTCTTCTCTCAGGCTCAGGGTCCAAACTCCTGAGGAGGTGGCCTGGAGTCCAATGCAATCAAAGCTTTCTTGTTAGACATGAGTTCCAAGCTCATCGTTCCCTCACTGGCCATGACAACTGTGCCCTCCGTGCCTGGCTCTGTGTCCACTCTCTCACCTGTGAATGGGCTGCTGATGCCCACCATGCTGACATGTCATGCCAACATACACGACGTGCCCGGCACGGTGCTGGCCACAGTAGCCCTCAGCACGCATGAAGGAGGAATCCTCGGGCTCCAGTCCCTGATGAACTGGGACATCGCTCCCACCTCTCCTTCCAGGCTTCGGTGTTAATAGACAGGATGGTGCCCTGTTTCTCTCCAGGTGAACGGGGCCTGTGTTCCTTCACCTTCCTAGGACCTGCAGGGCACTCCTGCATGGTCCCCACCCTGTGGCTCCCACCCCCATCACTCACAGGCTCATATGGTCCATCTCTGGCTTCTGGACCCCACTCACCTGGTCCGCCTCACACTCCAGCTTCTGGATCCCACTCACCTGGTCCATCTCACACTGTGGCTTCTGGACCCCACTCACCTGGTCCACCTCATACTCCCACTTCTAGATCCCACTCACCTGGTCCGCCTCACACTCCAGCTTCTGGATCCCACTCACCTGGTCCATCTCACACTGTGGCTTCTGGACCCCACTCACCTGGTCCACCTCATACTCCCACTTCTAGATCCCACTCACCTGGTCCGCCTCACACTCCAGCTTCTGGATCCCACTCACCTGGTCCATCTCACACTGTGGCTTCTGGACCCCACTCACCTGGTCCGCCTCACACACCGGCTTCTGGACCCCACTCACCTGGTCAACCTCACACTCCCACTTCTAGATACCACTCACCTGGTCCATCTCACATTGCGGCTTCTGGACCCCATTCACCTGGTCTGCCTCACACTGTGGCTTCTGGATCCCACTCACCTGGTCCATCTCACACTCCTGCTTCCGGACACCACTCACCTGGTCCGCCTCACACTGTGGCTTCTGGACCCCACTCACGTTGTCCTCCTCACACTCCCACACAGTCCCTCCCCGACGGCTCCCACCCCCGTCACTCACAGGCTCACGTGGTCCATCTCTGGTCTCTGGACCCCACTCACCTGGTCCGTCTCACACTCCCGCCTGCAGGTGCTCTGTGCGTCCACCCAGAGGTTGGGATTCATGTCGTTGGGGCAGATGCCGGCGTGGGAATAGCGGATGGGCGGCAGCGCCAGGCTTCGCGGGGGCACCCCGAGCAGTAGCAGCAGCAGCAGCAGCGCTGCCACCTGCTCCCAGCGAGACCAGAACCGGCGACACCTTGGGGCCCACATGGTGCAGGCTGGGGCGGCTAGAGACCTCCCCTGAAACGATGCCAGGGTCTGGGGCCCACCAGGGCCTTCTTCTCAGGGGCTGCAGACACCTGCCCTCCCCACCCCAGCAGGTTTCCTGCTCAGGCTGCTGCTCAGGCTGCTCTGCCGCTGCTGCCTCCACCAAGTCAGCACAGCCTGCCGGGCTGTGCGGCTTCAGATAAAAGAAAGGTCTTTAGAAGGAAGCTCCCTCTCCTGAGTGTGCAGGGAGAGGAGCCACAGCAGGGGCCCGCGCCCGGATTTATATCCTGGGCGCGCCACCCGAGTGGGAGCCAGCTAACCTGATGCCTGTCACAGGCAGGCTGCTGGCGCCTCTGTCCCGTGGCTGATCACAGACTTATTGCAGAAGGGGGGAAAAAAAAAAAAAGAAGCTGGAAGCAGTTTAGGCAGCGTATCTGGCACGGTGGGACACCTGCTTGTTTTTGACTCCAGGAGGCCTTTAACCCCTTCAAGGGCCAGAAATGGCATGTGCTTTGCGGGGAGCTGGCTCCAGGACACGCAAGCTCACTCTGAAGGAGGGCTTGTTTCCCTTTCCCCCACCTCCTTGGGGCCGGGCCCCCTCCTCCCCTTTGGCCACCTCTAAAGAACACACAATCGCTTGTTACGAGGAGGGACCTGCAGCCACCGGGTTAGCATCGCCCGGCTTGATAGTACATTTGAGAGCAAATGACGTGGAAAAACAACAAGTTCACGGCCATTCCAGGGCGGGCCTGCGCCGCGCTGTGCCCTGTAAGCCGACTCCCACCCCGGCCCCGGCCCTTTGTGGGGGGTGTGCGCACGGACAGCTCTGTATCTCTGTGTCCAGGGCAGTTTGCGTCTTAAGTTCCAACTTCAGTTAATTTTCCCCAAATCATTCCAGAGACACATACCAGATATGCTCTGGCCCCGCCGGCGGCTGGGACGGATCACATTCCTCCCTCTTCCATCGACACACCGAGAAAACCTCCGCGGTCACAGTGTCTCAGGATTGTGCCGGAGTCCAGCTGCCCTCGCTGACGACCACAGTGGCTGCTCTTCAGTGAGCTCCTTCTGACTGCCAGCCTTGTCTGGCCTCCCCCACTTCCCAAAGGAGAAGGTCTGTGGTCGAAGAGGGCGAGCGACTTGTCCAAGGTCGCACAGAGTGAGCAGTCCTGGTGGTACCAGCTGCCAGATGCACTGGGCTCTTCACACGTGTGGCTTCTCTGAACGCATCATCTCATTTAATCCTCACAACAAACTGCACCTCCATTTCAGATCGGAGGAAAGGACGCACAGAGAGGCTAAGCAACCTGCCCATGTCGCACAGCTACCCCACCACGGTACAGGAAACAGGGACACCAGCTTGCTGGGTGTGGGCAGGGGCCTTTTAAAATCACCCCTCCCCCATCCATCTGCCAGAACTGCTGTCAAGGCACAGCCCAAACTCTGGTTTTCACAGACTGGACAAGAAATTTTTGAAACATCAGGGGCTATATTTGTGGAGGGGCCGGGAAGAGAGCCAGAAGCTGCCAGGGGCTGGGGGCGATTCCTCCCCCATTTGGCAGCAAATGGCTTCTATCTAAAATGCCACAGAGCAGCCTGCAGTCTGAGTGTTTTCGAGTTGGTCACTCGATCCTGGGGGTAGGGGGCGGAGGCACATAGAGCCCCGAAAGAGAGGTACCTTTCCAAGGCCAAACCACAAGGGCCTTGAGGAGCTGCTGTGTCCCGGGGACAGTAGGTGGAGTGGCCCCCACACGCATCAGATACGGAAGGGATCCTGAAGGTAATCTCGCTTTACAGCTAAGGAAACTGAGGCCTGAGCCCAGGCCGCTCCTTCCCCACGTCCACTTTCCCCTTCAAGAACACAGCTCGCCATCTCACAGGACTGTAAAACGGCCACGGGACCCTCGCTTCCACACCCAGACCCTTCCCCTTCCCAGCCGGGCGGGTGCTGCCTTCTCCCCGCCTGAGCTGGTCCCTTCCCGTTGTGCGGCCATTCTGCAGGATCTGTCTTTTCTGCTTATGTCAAATCGCTAATGAAGGGTGTCAGATCCTAATCCTCTAAATTATTGGAATAAACTTCCCTTCGAGGCCAGTCCCCGTAATGAAGCCAGACAGCGGGCGACGCCGGCTGCTTTGAATTCCCCGTAATTTCATCAGCCCGTGTTCCAGCTGCTCCGCGCGGGGGCCTTCACACAGCCCTTGGACAAACGCGGTTTGCGCAGCCTCCTTTGATAGCACAAAGGGACATGGACAGTGACACATTTATAAGCAGGACTTAGAAAAACTGTCACAGCCCCATTAGGCCAGGACAAGTATCCAAGGAGAGGAGGCCGATTTCTGGGCAGTCCCAAGAGACCATTAGAGGGTGTGGGAGAGATGAGAGGGGGTCGGAGGAGGGGAGGCACCGAGCAGAGGTTGGGGGGTGCTGAGGAGGGCAGGAGAGGGGCACACGGCAGGGCAGGGGAAGCTTGGCCATCCTACCCCCACTCCTGGGGCTGATGGAGAAAGCCCCCACACCCAACCTGGTCCTGTCTCAAGCCACGGACTTCTCCTTCCCGGGCCCCATTCCTGGACGTTCTACTCTGAGAACTCTCAAAGCAGCATCGGGAAAGAGAGGAGCCCAAAGCACTCTGACTCTCCCTCCAGCCCTTCCAAGTCTCCCACCAAAACACAGCTCAGAATAATAAATAACATCTGATCGGCCTGGAGCCCACACAGTGTTTTCACCTGCACGTTGCTGCTGACCCCACGGCAGCCCCAGGAGGGAGCTCCCTAGCGCGGGAGAGGAAACCGAGTCACAGAGAGGTTAGGCTGGGCCCTCCTCCTGCCCACCCCGGGCCTATGGCCTCCACACACCCCGTGCAAGCTTCCAGCCCCTCCAGAAAGCGACCCCCAGCCCATGCTGGCTGCCCCGCCCACTGGCTTGTTTATAAGCTGTTTGGGAGCGCTTTGAAGTCTTCTCCTCCCTCCCAGAGGCCCTTGGAACTGGCTCTGGATCTGCCTCCTTCTCTCTCTCCTCTTGGTGTGTCTGTGTGTCTGACTCTGTGTCCCTCACACTCTTCCCTGTGGGTGGTGTGGGCCCTACCCTCACCAAACCCACGGTACTGAAGGTGGGCCCAGCGGGAGCGGCTCAGTGGCACATGCCCACTGTCCACCGGGCCTCCTCCACTCAGGCCACTGGGAGCAGAGGCTGGGCTGGGTCTCCTGAGCAGAGGCCTGGCCTCGGGCGTGATCTGCCTTTTCCCCTTTCCCCAAGGACACCAGGCACAGCTCTCCTGCTACTCAGAATGAGAGGTCAGAGAGGGCTGGGCTTGGCCCCATCTTGGAAGGGCCCCTCCATCCCCCACCATTGTCACAGGGTGGAGAACCATGGATTCTTCACACTGCCAGGGTGGGTTCAAATCTGCTCTAGGAGCCGTGGGAGGAGGTCACCAGGTCACTCTCAGTGACCCTTGACCTCAGGTTCACCCTGACATTAACAACTCCTGAGCCGCTAGGGTCTTGACGGGACAGCACAGCTGATACCATTTCCCAAGTCAGCCAGCCCCCAGCAGCCGCGATGGGGAGGTACAGAGGTGCCACAAGAGTATCTTGGGTGCCACGTGGCTTATGCACACCCCACACCCACACTCCTACCTCACACTGCACCTGCTCCCTCTATTTCTCTCCACAAAGGTTTTTTAGAGCACCTACGGTGTGCCAAGTTCTGGGCACATCGGAACCAATAACTGGCCAGGCATGGTGGCTCATGCCTGTAATCCTAACTCTTTGGGAGGCCAAGGTGAGCAGATCACCTGAGGTCAGGAGTTTGAGATCAGCTTGGCCAGCATGGTGAAACCCCATCTCTACTAAAAATAAAAATAAAAAAAAATAGCTGCACATGGTGGCGTGAGCCCGTAGTCCCTGCTACTTGGGAGACTGAGACAGAAGAATTGCTTGAACCCAGGAAGCGGAGGCTGCAGTGAGCCAAGATCACGCCACTGTACTCCAGCCTGAGTGGCAAAGCGAGACTCCATCTCAAAAAAAAAAAAAAAAGAAAATAACAACAATCTTTGTCCACAGGGAGGGTACCGTCTAGTCTAGAAAGCCAGCATGCAGAGATAAGAATGGTGAATGCTGGTGGGGAGTCCTCTCAGGGCTGGGGAACAGAGAGGAGGGAGAGACCTGGGGCTGGCTCTCGCACGACCATGACATTGGGTGGGGCCCAAGCCTGGGCAGAATCTCAAAGGAGGGAAGGCATTTCCTACACCTCTCCTTGGAAAGGCCTGGCCCACACCACAGTCTCCTCGGCCAAGGCCCTCCCTCCGCGGGGCCCAGGCCTCCGGAAAGGGGAGGTGATAGGGACGTCAGCAGGTTTAGGAGATGGGGTGGGGGTGGGAGCTGCAGGTCTTGCAGGCGCGGCACAGGGTGGCCCCAGCAAAGTACACCCCAGCGGCCCATTCTGGTCTACCCTGCTTGGGCCCCAGATCTGAGCCAGCCACATTTTCTCCCAAATGGATGGGGGGAAACCAGCCCCCCAGGAGCCCCTCCCGCTCTGATCTTGGTCATTTAAACATGTTTGGGGAGGAGGGGCAGGAATTGGGGTGCTGAGAAGGAAAGGAAGTCCTAGCCAGGGTGCTCAGATGGCAGCCCAGGTTGCCTTGGCTAAAGGCAGTGATTAGTCAGACTCAAGCCGGAGAATTCAATAAAGCCAGCGGCTCATTACCCAGCTGGGACCCCCTGCCCGCGCGGCCTCGGGCCTGGGTTGCATTACAGGACCGCGTGAACTCTCCCCTCTGAGTGAGGCTGCACCGGGCCTTGGAATAATTATGGGGCCTCAGCAGATGGTGGAGACGGATGGGGGAGGCCTTCAGCTGTGAGACACGTGATCCATCTGCATCTGTGTGGAACAGGACACGGGAGGGTCCTCACTGAGCAGAGAGGTAAAGCAAGGGCAGTCCTGAATCCACATCTGAGAATTATGGGGTTGTCAGGGGTGGGGCATGGCCCAGTGTCCCGGGCCAGCTAGGCCTCCTTGGAGACCCTTGCCTGGCCCGGGGGGGTCTACAGGTGCAGTGAGCCCCTGGAATCTGGAGTCCTGGAGTCTCTGTGTCAGGAACCCAGAAGAGGAGGCACCTCTGGGACAGCACAATTCTGGGCTCCTTTGGCATTCAAATGTCTTCCTAGAAGATTTGGAGCCTGTCTCGGGCTCCTCACCCACTCGGGAAGCTACATGGTCTTGGTTTGAGCACTGTGCAAGGAGTCAGGAGCCCTGGGCTCTCTTCCTGCTTTGCCATCATCTCACTGTGGGACCCCCTCTATTTCCCCATCTGAGGCCCCTTCCAGCTGCCTCTTCTGTGATCCCATGTCCTGACTCCTCCAGCTTTGCCTTGATGGAATCAGCTTCAAAAAGCCCTGTGGAGCTCTCAGCCAAGACAAACACCAGAGTGCAGAAGCCACAAGGCTGTGGGGCTGCGGGGCTGGGGCCAGCTCCACCACCCTGCTCTGCTGGGACACAGCGAGGGCGGGTTTCCACTCTTCCCAGGCCTGTAGGAATACCACAAACAGAGGCATGGCCTCTATCCCCCTCGGGTCTCCCCCACCCTAAAAGTTTCCACAGCTACTCTACTCTTCACACTCTGGAGCTCCTGCCTTCCTTCTTTCTCCCTTTGAATGACAGGGAAATGAGAAGGTGTGAGACTCTTGGGCCTCTCTGCTTCCCTGCCTGCTGCTGAGCAAAGAAGGACAACATCTCTAAAGCTAATTGCACCCCTCACACTCATTCCAACAATACAAAATATCCAATGAAGGCTGGGTGCAGTGGCTCACACCTATAATCCCAGCACTTTGGGAGGCCAAGGCGGGCAGGTCACCAGAGGTCAGGAGTTCGAGACCAGCCTGGCCAACATGGTAAAACCCCGTCCCTACTAAAATTACAAAAATTAGCTGGGCGTGGTGGCGCGTGCCTGTAATCCCAGCTACTTGGGAGGCTGAGGCATGAGAATCACTTGAACCCGGGAGGAGAAGGTCATGGTGAGCCGAGGTCACGCCATCATGCTCCAGCCTAGGTGACAGAGCGAGACCCTGACTCAAAAATAAAAATGAAAAATAAAAACAAAATGTCCAATGGCTGTGTGGGGGTGAGCTGGAGTAGGGATGAGAAACAGGTTTCTTTCTGACTGATCATGATTCCAAGACTTGTGGCTTAAAGACAGCTTCCCCACGCCTTCAAGAGCAGGCCAAAGCATTGTTCTGGACTGCCGTGACCTTCTGCCTCCATTTACTTCCCTGGTCTTACCATCTGTCCCTTTCACTCTCAAACTCTGGAGGCTGCCATATCGCGCTTTCAGACCTTTAAGAGCTCCTCACAGTACTCCCCCTTCCACCTCACACAGACATTGTCCTCTGTCCTAAACACTCTCTCACCCCTGGCCTGCTCTGTCTTCTCCCAGCCCACTGCTTCCTGACCGATTTCAGAAACAACTTCTTTCAGGAGGCCTTCCTGACTTTAAATGACAAAGCAAAACAAAACAAAAGCCGCAACTGGGTTGTAAAATACGGGTAAAGTTTAAATGTTCAATGTAGTGGGTTGAGTGGTGCTCCCCCCAGCCCCCCACCCCTGCCAAATATATCCATGTTCTAACCCACAGAGACAGTGACCGTGACCTTGGGAAAAGGGTCTTTGCAGATGAGATTTGGGAAAAGGGTCTTTGCAGATGAAATTAAGGATCTTGAGATGAGATCATGCTGGATTACCGAGGAGGGCCCTAAATCCAATGACGGGTATCCTTATAAAAGGCAGAGACAGAATCGAGACACAGAAGACGGGAAAGTCTTGTGCAGATAGAAGCAGAGATTAGAGCGATGCACCCACAAGCCCAGGAACACCTGAGCCCCCAGAAACTGGAAGAGGAAAAGGACTCTCCCCTAAAGCCTCTGGAGGGAGCGTGGCCCTGCCAACACTGTGGTTTCATACCTCCAGCCTCCAGAACTGTCAGATAATAAATGTGTGCTGTTTTAAGCCACCAAGTTCCTGGTCATTTGTTTAGCAGCCCCAGGAAATGAACACACCTGCCTAAAATTCTCCAATGGCCTCTCCTGGTCATAATTAAATGCCACAACTACCCTGAGCTGCCCCTTTTAGGTTCCTGCTAAAAATACTCAATGAATTGCCTCTCCAGAGTGTGTTCTCTTTTCTGAGAACTGTGCTTTTTTAAGCACTGAGTTGACAGACTCAGTGCTTTAAAAATCTAAAAAAAAAAAGCTATGGTTGTTGTTGTTTTACTCTTTAACAGAAACCGAGAGTCAAGATGATCTCAAAGTAAAGACACTCCGTAGAATGTGGGTGGTCAGAACAGTTGAGAACTGAGCTCAGCTGCTGAGAGCTTTGATTCACCCCACAGGGCCAGAGGTGCTGGTGGCATGGGACAAACTTTTGGGAGGCAGGTACTGAGCCCCCCGCTGAGCTGAACGGAGCCCACCTCTAATCTGTAATCCTTAGGGAAGAAAACCCCTCTGTGACAGGGGCTTTCAAATGTTTTGACTGCAACACATAGTGAGGAATACTTTTTTTCTTTTTTGAGATGGGGTCTCGCTCTGTCACCCAGGCTGGCGCGATCTCTATTCACTGCAACCTCCACCTCCTGGACTCAAGCGATTCTCCCACCTCCGCCTCCCGAGTAGCTGGGACCACAGGTGCACACCACCATGAGCAGCTAATCTTTTGTATTTTTGGTAGAGATCAGGTTTTGCCATGTTGCCCAGGCTGGTCTCAAATGCCTGGGCTCAAGAGATCGCCTGCCTCAGCCTCCCAAAGTGCTGAGATTACAGGTGTGAGCCACTGCACCTGGCCAGAAATACATTTTTTATTATGATTCAGTACACATATTCATGTAAATAACTGAAACAAAAGTTACACAAAACCGTAGTTGCCCTTTCTATATGTGAGGCACTCCATCCACCTGGTGTGACTTTCCTAGGGCCATCCGTGCAGAGCCGGCAAGACCTGCGGCTCCCACCCCCACCCTGTCTCCTAAACCTGCGGCCTCCTCTCTCACCTCTACTTTCCAAAGGCCAGGGTCCCATGGAGGCAGGGGCCTTGGCCAAGGAGGCTGTGCTTGGGCCAGGCCATTCCAAGGAGAAGTATGGGAAACTCCTTCTTTCCTTTGCATGCAGATTCCAAAAGTCGAAGATCACTTGGGAAAGTCAGGAACAACCCAAGGCCAAGGGTTTGGGGGCTCCTATTGTCATCATCTAAAAAGCCAAGGTGTCAGGATACACAGTTAATATACAAATGTCAGTTGCTTTCCTTTATATCAGCAATGAACAATTGGAATTTGAAATTAAACAGAAACCATTTACATTAACGTAAAAAAATACTTAACGTGTACATCTTTTAAAAATATGTATAAAAGCTATGCGAGAAAAACTATACAACTGGTAAAAGAAACCAAAGAAAATCTAAACATGGAAAGACATGTTCCAGCTGGGTGCAGTGGCTCATGCCTATAATCCCAGCACTTTGGGAGGATGAGGTGGGTGGATCACCTGAGGTTAGGAGTTGGAGACCAACCTGGCCAACATGGCAAACCCTGTCTCTACTAAAAATACAAAAATTAACCAGGTGTGGTGGCTCACACCTGTAATTCCAGCTACTTGGGAGGCTGAGGCAGGAGAATCACTTGAACCTTGGAGGCAGAGGCTGCAGTGAGCCAAGATTAAAAAAAAAAAAGAAGAACGACATGTTCCATGTTTATAGATCAGATTAGATTCAAAATTGTCAAGATGTCAGTTCTTCCCAACTAGATCTATAGATTCACTGCAACCCTGATCAAAATCCCAGGAAACTATTTTGTGACTTCAACAAAATTATTCTAAAGTTTATATGGAAAGGCAAAAAACCAGAAGAGCTAACACAATCCTGAAGAAGGAAAATAAAGTTGGAAGACTGACATTACCCAACTTCAAGACTTACTATATATTAAGCTGCAGAAATAAAGGCAACATGGTATTGGTTAAAGAATAGACATATAGATAAATGAAACCGAATACAGAGCCCAGAAATAGACTCATAGAAATATAGTCAACAGGTCTTTGACAAAGGAGCAAAAGCAATCCATGGAGAAAGAACAGTCTTTTCAACAGACGGTGCTGGGCCAAGTGGACATCCATATGCAAAAAAAAAAAAAAAAAGTCTAGACATAATGGACCTTTACATCTTTCACAAAAATTAACTAAAAATGAATCAAGAGCTAATTGCAAAACACAAAACTATAACATTTCTGGAAGATAACACAAAAGAAAATCTAGGTGACCTTCATTTTGGCAATGACTATTTATTTCTTTCTTTAGAGATGGAGTCTTGCTCTGTCACCCAGGCTGGAGTGCAGTGGCACGATCTCGGCTCACTGCAGCCTTCATCTCCCGGGTTCAAGCAATTCTCCTGCCTCAGCCTCCCGAGTAGCTGGGACTACAGGCGGCCCCCACCACGCCTGGCTAATTTTTATATTTTTAGTGGCAACAGGGTTTCATCATGTTGGCTAGGCTGGTCTCAAACTCCTGGCCTCAAGTTAACCACCCACCTCAGCCTCTCAAAGTGCTGGGATTACAGGTGTCAGCCACCGCGCTTGGTGGCAATGACTTTTTAGATACAATAACCAAAACATGATCGAGACAGAAAAAATTGATGTTACTTTTGCCCTGCAAAAGATATTATTAAGAGAATGAAAGCCTAGGCAACATGGCCAAATCCTGTCTCTACAAAAAATAAAAACATTACCCTGGCATGGTGGCACATGCCTGTAGTCCCAGCTACTTGGGAGGCTGAAGTGGGAGGATTGCTTGAGCACAGGAAGTTGAGGCTGCAGTGAGCTGTCATTGTGCCACTGCACTCCAGCTCAGATGATGGAGTAAGACCCCGTCTCAAAAAAGAAAAGAAAAAAAAAAAGAAAAGACGAGCCACAAATTGGCAGAAAGTGTTTGGAAAACATGTATCTGATAAAGAACTTGTATCCAGAATATGTAAGAACTCTCAAAACTCAATAATAAGAAAATAAATAACCCAGTGAAAAATGGGCAGAATATTTTAACAGACACTTCACCAAAAAAGATATATGAATGGTAAATAATTATAATAAAAGATATTTAACATTGACCGGATGCCGTGGCTCATGACTGTAATTCTAGCACTTTGGGAGGCTGAGGCAGGCGGATCACTTGAGGTCAGGAGTTCGAGACCAGCCAATATGGCGAAACCCCATCTCTACTAAAAACACAAAAATTAGCCGGGTGTGGTGGCTCGCACCTCTAATCCCAGCACTTTGGGAAGCTGAGGCAGGAGAATCACTTGAACCCGGAAGGCGGAAGCTGCAGTAAGCCAAGATTGTGCCACTGCACTCCAGCCTGGGTGACAGAGCAAGACTCTGTCTCAAAAAAAATAAAAAATAAAAATAAATAAAAGATGCTCAACATCATTAGTCATCAGGGAAATAAAAATTGAAAACACAATAAGAAATTATTACACACTAATTAGAATGGTTAAAATTTAAAAGTCTGGTCATACTAAGTGTTGGCAAAGATGTGGAAGAACTGAAACTCTCATACACTGTTCCTGGGAAAATGAGTGCATTTGGTACCATTGTAAATGGTACAATTACTTGGTAAATCAGTTTGCTTCTTAAAAAATTGGGAAGTTAAACACTTCTACCATTCCCCTCCTGGGTGTCTACACAAGAGAAATGAAAGGATGTGTTCACAGAAGGCCTGAACATGAATATTCACAGCAGCTTTATTTTTCATTGCCAGAAACTACAAACAACTTCAAAGGTGAATGTTTAAACACATTGCAGTGTATCCATACAATAGAATACTACTCAGCAATAAAAAGGAATAAGCTACTCATACATGCAATAATACAGATGAATCTCAAAATAATTATACTAAATGAAAGAAAACTAACCCAAAAGAGTATACTTTAAACATGTGCAGTATATTGTTTGTCAGCTGTACATCAGTAAATCTGGTTTTTATTTATTTGCTTGTTTGCTTGTTTGTTTTTTCTTTGAGACAGGATCTTGCTTTGTCACCCAGGCTGGTGTGCAGTAGTACAATTATGACTCACTGCAGCCTTGACTTCCCAGGCTCAAGAGATCTCCCAACTTCAGCCTCCTGAGTAGCTGAGACTACAGGTGCATGCCACCATGCCTGGCTAATTTTTAAATTTTTTTTGTAGAGATGGTCTCATTATGTTACCCAGGCTGGTCTTGAACTCCTGGGCGCAAGCTATCCTCCTATCTTGGTCTCACAAAGTGCTGGGATGACAGGCATGAGCCACCGCACCCAGGCAAATCTGTCTTTTAAAATGTCAAACTCTGACCTTATCTACAAGAGTCTGCCTTTTCTGACCCCATTCAGCCTCTTGGTCCTCATGCTCTCCTTCTCTGCTACCACTCTGCTCCAGCCTTATTGGCCTTCTCTCTCAAACATGCTGGCTGTGTTCTTACCTCAGGGTCTTTATTATTATTATTATTATTATTATTATTATTATTATTATTATTATTTTATTTTTTGAGATGGAGTCTCACTCCATCACCAGGCTAGAGTGCAGTGGCACAATCTCGGCTCACTGCAACCTCCACTTCCTGGGTTCAAGCAATTCTCCTGCCTCAGCCTCCTGAGTAGCTGGGACTACAGGCGCGCACCACCATACCCGACTAATTTTTGTATTTTTAATAGAGATGGGGTTTCACCATGTTGGCCAGGATGGTCTTGATCTCCTGATCTTGTGATCCACCCGCCTCGGCCTCCCAAAGTGCTGGGATTACAGGCGTAAGCCACCACACCCAGCCACCTCAGGGTCTTTGTAATGTGTCCTTTCTGCCCAAAGAGCTCTTCCCATGATGGTGTTTTCTATTCATTCAAAGACTTCCCTCACTTCCTTGTCCATTGTTACACACACACTCACGCCTAGATTTTTGCCACCCTCTCCCCAAGTCACATGACACTCCACCCTGTTTTATTTTCTTAAAAGCATTCACCATTACATCCATTGAGTTTCTTTTGGCTGCAAAAACAGTAATGGAACACCCACCCAAGGTATCTCACATGTCAAGGGGTCCAAGAATGGGCAGTACCACGGCTGGTTCAGCAGCTCAACAACACTAGGGCTTCAGGTCAGCCTTCCTGGAATTCTCTTGACCTTCTCCTCATGGTCACAAGATGGCTGCCATCACTGGAAGTGCTCACATGACAACATTCAAAGGCAGGAAGAGAAGATGTGGCAGAGGCCATTTGTGCACTCCAACCATCCCATGTGCTCCCTACATTTCCCAGCCTTCCTTGCAGTTAGGTTGAAGCCATGTAACTAGTTCTGGCCCATAAACTGTGAGTGGAAGCAATGTTGGTGGTTGGAAGCCCTTAGTAGGAGTTTGAGGTCTTCATGAGTTGCCCGATTCATGCTCCCATGCTGGTATTTGGTGATGCCTCCAAACTATTTACTCTCCACATGAACACCAGTTTTAAGGGTTATAAGATGTATGAGATAAAGATGGTGATAGGGGAAAGCCATTGCTTTGCCTAGGAATAGGTCAGACCACAAGGCATGCACTCAAGTTAGAATTCCGAGCCTTAAAGTAAGCAATTATGGATAAGCCCTGGGAGTGTTCCTATGGGAAGATCTTCCAAATGCAGCCTGAGGCTCTCATCTCTGGTTCAACTGTGCCAAATGAGGCATCCTGGTGGATTAAAGATGGCCACAAATTCTTTGCCGCTCCCTCAGTAGAGAGATGGGCTTTCCTTCAACCTGGCTGGTCCTATTGACTTTGGCCAACAGAATGTAACAGAAGTATAACTTCCAAGTCAAGCTTTAAAGATCATGACTTCCACATTTGCCCCTCTTTGAAGGTTTCCTTTAGAAGCCAGCACTGTGTAAGAAGTCCAGCTACCCTAAGACCACCATGTCATGAGGAAGTCCCAGCTAGCCACGTAGACAGAAATACTTAGT
Organism: Homo sapiens; assembly: GCF_000001405.40. NCBI lineage: Eukaryota > Metazoa > Chordata > Mammalia > Primates > Hominidae > Homo > Homo sapiens. The sequence continues at coordinate 50,822,961 of NC_000017.11, read as the reverse complement.
GGATCCATGAAGGGGCACCAAGATACCAGACAAGTGAATGCATTTTCTTGGACCTTCCAGCCTAGCCCAGCTACCAGCTATGTAGTTAAATGAATGATTCCTATAAGGTAGTTGAATGAATGATCCCTAATATTTTTGCCATTAAAAGTAATGGCAAAAACCACAATTACTTTTGCACCAACCTAACATCACATAGAGCAGAAGAACAGCCCAGCTGAACTCTGCCCAAACTTCGGATCCATAGGATCATGAGCAAATAAAATGTTTTATACACTAACTTTTGGGATAGTTTGTTACAGAGCAATATACAGGCTGGATGCAGTGGCTCACGCCTGCAATCCCAACACTTTGAGAGGTCAAGGCAGGAGGATCACTTGAGCCCAGAGTTTGAGACCAGCCTGGGCAACATAGCGAAACCCTTGTCTCTACAAAAAAAAATAATAAATAAAAATAAAAATAAAATTCTTTTAAATTTATTTAAAAACAAAAAATAAAATGTAGAGCAATATACAAATGGAATAGACATGAGGGAACTGTGGTGGAAACCAGTTTCAGCTGCTCAGCTTCACTGCTCATGACGAATCAGGAGGCAGAGACAAGAATCCTGCCAGAATTCTCTTTAGGATATAAGATAGAACATCTGGGGCTCTTCTCAAAGCCTGTGCCCTTAGCAATGCTCATGACAGGGGTCTTGAGTGTGGGCTTAGAGGAAAGCACCATCAGTAGCCTCTAAGCAAACAGACCATGATTATGATCCAGACCATAATGTTGGCTGGAGTAGACTTCAAATATGTGGCCAGCTCAGATTCTAGGGGAACAGCATTAGAGGGTAAAAGCCCTATTTCCCATTAAAAGCAAGGTCAGGTAAGGGCTTCTAGAAGAAGTGACATCAATACTGAGACCTGAAGGATAAATCATAGTTAGCTGGACAAAGAGGGGACAGTATATGCAAAGGCTGTGAGATGGGAGGTGGCACAGAGCATTGGAGGAACTGGAAGACAGCCAGGGTGGCTGGAGAGGAGGGAGTCCACACAAGTCCAAGTGGGACTCAGAGGGTAGAATCTCTCACCCATGCCTACACCACCACCAGGAAGGAGGCTTTGATTTTTGCCTTCTATTTCAGAAAGGCTTGCTTTGCACTTTGAACTCTGTTTTGGGTTGATCTTGGGAGTGGCGATTTGAGGGAAACAACAAAACAGTATGTAGCTAAGTGAAGAGGTAGACCACAGAAAATATATATTAGTCACTGCTCTAGCTTGCAGCAAGCAGACTGAAAGTCTCACAGGAGGCTGGGCGTGGTGGCTCACGCCTGTAATCCCAGCATTTTGGGAGGCCAAGGTGGGCGGATCATGAGGTCAGGAGTTTGAGACCAGCCTGGCAATATGGTGAAACCCTGTCTCTACTAATATACAAAAATTAGCCAGGTGTGGTGGCGAGCACCTGTAGTCCCAGCTACTCAGGAGGCTGAGGCAGGAGAATCGCTTGAACTTGGGAGGCAGGAGTTGCAGTGAGCCGAGATCGCGCCACTGCACTCCAGCCTGGGCGACAGAGTGAGACTCCGTCTCAAAAAAAAAAAAAAAAAAAGTCTCACGGGAAAGGTTCCTTTGTCCCCCTCAGATGGTGTGCGATGGGGGTATGGCTCGCTTCTTCAGTGCCCTGCTGCTCAAACTTCTAGGGGAACATACAGATGGGCAGGCTGTGGGGCTCTGACCCCACGGCAGTGTCAAGGGGTGAATGTTTACAGCTGAAGCTCCAGTGAGCGTGTGTTACAGGGTGCTCTTTCAGTTTTGCCATCTGTAGGCAGCTTGGGTTAGTCAGCTCAATTAGACCCACTACTTTGTCACTAGGACAGAGGGTTTTCTGTATCCCAGGGTTTCTTGCCTTGGTGTACCAGAAGAATCAGATCACACGTGGGCTTGGAGAATGAGTGCAAGGTTTTATTGAGTGGAAGTAGCTCTCAGCAGATGGGGGAGCCAGAAGGGAGATGGTTTTCCTCTGGAGTTGGGCCGCTTGGTGTCCCAGGCTCTCCTCCAACTGCCCCAGCCAAACTCTGCGTCCTTCTGCTGGTCAGTGGCCTGCTGGCATGCCGATGCCGGTGCCAGTGCGTTCCTCTTGACATCCAGCCGCCTGTGTGTCCCACCGCCAATATACTCCTCTAGATGTCCAGCCGCTTCTGTCTCTGCCCTGCTAGGGTCTCGGGTTTTTATAGGCACAGGATGGGGGTGTGGCAGGACAGGGTGGTCTTGGGAAATGCAACATTTGGGTGCAAAAGCAGGAGTGCCTGTCCTAACCTAGGTCCACGAGGGTGGAGCCCTCGCCAGGGAGCACAACCTTCCTCTACCCAACATTTCCCTTGCGCTGTTCCGTATCATTTAAAGGGACCACGCTCTTCCCTTCCCAGCGTTTCCATATCAAAAGCAGAAGAACCCATGACTGTCCGCATTTGGGCCAAGTGAGCATGAAATAGTTGAGGGATAGAAAGCTACTGCACATTTCATGGTGGAATGATTGGGGGCACTGCTGGGTACAGAGGATGGGCAGAAAATGGGCCAGGCTCATTCATCGGGAGCCACCAGGAGGACTTTCTGCCAGTGAGGAGCCGGGGGGAAGGCGCTTCTCTCCCTAAGTCCAGCAGTCAGACACCATGGTAGATGGCAGGAGAGGTGCTTCCCAAAGTTTGGAGAGGCTCTGTTCCTAACTCTGAGTCAGCAGAAGGAAAACAGGAGGGAATTGGAGGATAAAGAGGGGGCCCATGCAAGGGAGCCAGCCCCTTTGTGCCTGCAGGGCACAGGGCAGGTACAACCTGCCCACTGTGGCCTCAGGTACATGAGGATCAGAAAGGCAAAGACCCCACCACTGAGGGTAGAAGGTGTTAGGGTGCTGGAGTGAGGGCTCAATGCCCGAGTATCCCCTTCCCTCTGGGGTTTCTCAGGGAGGGAGTCATCTTGGTGCCTGAGCCCTGCCCCCAATGCAGAGACCCTTAGTATAGTAGACCCTGATGAACCCTGGGGCTTAGGCTTAGGCCAGGCTTCAACCTTCCAGCTTCCTTCCCCAAGGGTCCTGCCACAGGTGGAGAAGATGGGCCAGAAAGAAAGGGTGGCCAGCCCCTACACTCCCCCAGCTAACTCATCACTGGGACAGTGCCTCCAGGTCTGGCTGCCACGAGGGAGACGTGAAAGAAAGAGAGGACGTAGAGAGAGGCCTCTATCAAGGCCACGTGCCTCTGAAAATCCAGTCACCGCATTCATGAGTAAATTCTGAGTGATGGATGTTCTTGACCCCCACCAAGTAAAATGAGCCACCCTGCCCCCACCACACCCTCTCCACCTTCCACCCTGTTACAACTGAGGAGGTGTCCCTCCTATTTAAGGTCAATGCTGCCAACAATGTGTTGGATCCCAACACTTCCCTTTCTTTCCACCTCCTTAGGAACTTTATACCATCAATTACGCCTTCTGTCTCCCAAATACCTGCCACCTTTATACACATTCATGTCTCTCTTATCCTCAACAGATCATTACATCATTCCTTCCACCCCGTATTCCCCCTCCATGAACAGCCCTGCCTCTTTCTACCTTCCAAGTCAGTCCGCATCCTGGCTCCATTTTCTCACCTCCCAAGTCCCTGAACTCATTCTCCTGAACTCTGTGATCCAGCCTCCCACACGTTACTTTGCTGACAAGCCTGCTGCTAAAGTCACCTGCTGCTAAAGTCACCTGCTGCTAGTGACTACCATGGCCCTAAATGACACAACCAGTCCTCGTTTTCTTGCCTTTCTGCAGCTTGTGACCTGTTGACCACATCCTCCTTCCTGACCACTCTCCCCCTACATCTGTGTTGTGACCTTTTTTCTCCTGGCTTTCTACCCACTTCCCTGGTAGCTTCTTCTTCATCTCCTTTACAGAAGCTTCCCCTTCCACCCAGACATTGCACCCTAGCCCCAAACAGTTAATATATCAGTTGCCAGAGTGGTTGCCATGTGTGGTAGATTTAAGAAGCTCCTAGGTGGCCAGGCGTGTAGTGACTCATGCCTGTAATCCCAGCACTTTGGGAGGCCAAGGTGGGTGGATCACTTGAGGTCAGGAGTTCGAGACCAGCCTGGCCAACATGGTGAAATGCCATCTCCACTAAAAATAACAAAAATTAGCCAGGTGTGGTGGCACATGACTGTAATCCCAGCTACTCGGGAGGCTGAGGCAGGAGAATCGCTTGAACCCAAGAGGCAGAGGTTACAGTGAGCCGAGATCATGCCACTGTACTCCAGCCTGGGCGACAGAACAAGACTCCGTCTCAAAAAAAATAATAAAAATAAAAATAAAAAATTAAAAAAAAACTCCCAGGTGATTTTTACTTGCAGCCAGGGTTTCGAGCCACTGCCTTCAAAGTTGTATCTGCAGCTCCTGGAACACCGAAAGACAACTCTGTTCCCCAGAAGGCATCCACCCAGATCCAGTGATTCCTTCTCCATTTGCATATGAGCCATTCCGGAGACTGACACAGAAGTTATGCAGGGCCTTCCCCTATCCGTAAATAATCTGAATACATCTTTCCATAGTGGACTAATTAGGGAAGTAGTTCTCTTTGAGACCTTAGTCATATATCTAGAAACAAACTTATATTTTTATCTCTTGAATCATGAATTTTAAAGAAAATCTAGAATGCTAAAATGCCTATGCCCAAATTATGATGTTTTGGTTCAGTTCTCTGCTTCCCTCCGCCCCCCACCAGAATTGTCACTGCTCTCTGCTTTCTGACTTCCTGTCCCCGGGGAATTTTCCTGCTCATCCTGCTAGTCTCCACTGAGAAATCACCTCTTCCTGGTGATTCCCCAAATTCGAGCCAGGTAAGCCAGGCATCCACTTCTGTGATCCCACCCTGAGCTGATCGTAGCGTTTTGCTTTTCCTAGCATTCATCACATTGGAATGTATTGACACGCCTCCCCAGCCAGACCTCAAGGCAGGAACCGTGTCTTATTCACCAAGGTATATCTGGTGCCTGGCATAGGGCGTTCTATAAAGTTCTATTGAACTAATGAATGAATGAATATTTTTCAGGTGTAAACATAGAATAAGCCATTTCTCTGTGGTTGGTTCACCTGAATGGATTGATTAAAAGGAGAGATGAGCCCGCAAGCAAGACGGTGCAGCGTAGAAGGCAGAAGCCTGATGTCTGCAGATCGTGAACTTGAAGGAGGGCCGTGTGGAGTCCCAAGCCTGGGCATGAGAATCACCTGGAGGCCTCATGGACTCTGTCCTGGTCCCACTGGGATCATGTCCAGGAATTTGCCTTTTCACACGCTCCCTGGGTGGTTATGAGGCGGCCAGTACAGCACTAGCTGCATCCCAAAATTGGGGAGCCGTCCAGACTCCCCAAGGGCAAGTAATCCTCACTCAAATATGTGTGAAGTAAACCGAGGAAGAAGACACCGCAGCAAGGTGGAAATTCACAAGCAGCCCAAGTAGGAGAAATTCACAAGCAGCCCTGGTAGGAGAAAGGCCCCTGGAACCCGACTTGTCTCAGCGCCCCCTGCTGGGGGGAGCCCCGCGTGGGCTCAACCCGTGTTGCTGACCGCGGCACCGTGGGGCACGGAGCCCTCACCCTCCCCTGACCGAGGAGGGGACCTCCTGTCTCCGCGGGGAGGTTTGAAGAAGCTGCCTGAGGCATAAAGAATGTGGGGCTGTAGGGCAGAAAGCTCGGACGCTGGATAATCTCACCCGTAATGACCCCGTGGCTGTCAGCCCTACAGCACTCACCTCAAGCCTTCACCACGGTGTGGGAAACCACAGATGGGGTTGACAGATGATTCAGGGGCTGCAGCACCCCCAGCCACACCCCAAGGAGCTGGCATCGTTGTGCTCCTGGTTGAATTTTTCCAGCCCCCGGCATATACCTGCCCTGCCATGGAGCCTCCACTCCCTTCCACTTCCTTCAAGAACAAATATAGAAATGTGGTCCATCCACACAATGGAATATTACTCAGCCTTATAAAAGAAGGAAGTTCTGATACACACTACAACGTGATGAGCCTTGAAGACATTATGCCACGTGAAAGAAGCCAGACACAGAAGCCCACATATTGATTCCATTTATGTGAAATGTCCAGAACAGGCAAATAGGTAGAGACAGAAAGCAGGTTAATCGTTGCCAGGCTGAGGGAAGCAGGGAATTGGGTAGGGAGGCCTGCTGATAGGTCACAAGTTTCCTTTTGGGATGGTGAAGATATTCTAGAACTAAATCATGGTGATGGCCACACAATGTTGTGAATGGACTAAATGCCACTGAACTGTACAACTTAAAATTACCACTTCAGGTAAATTTTACATTACATGCATTTGACTGCAATTAAAAGAACAGATATGATTGCTCAGGCTTAGATGGTCCCCTGGCTCTAAGAGGACGCCCAGGGCTTGGGCACCAATGGCCACCCAAAGGCAACTGTATAGAAGTTTAGCCCAGGGGCAGTCAGTTCCCCAAACCAGGTCAGCGGCCATAGCCCTCAGAAACAGGAAGTACCACTGTCCCTCCCAGCCATTGACCATCAACAAACCACGTTGAACACCCATTCCGTGCTGCTCCAGAGACAAGGAAGAAGCGGGGAGGAACAGGTGTGGAAAGGGGAGGAGTGAAGATTCTATTTGGACAAAGCTAAATTCAAGATGTGAATTTTTGACTGAGCACAGTGGCTCATGCCTATAATCCCAGCAGTTTGGGAGGCTGAGGAGGGCAGATCACCAGAGGTCAGAAGTTGAAGACCAGCCTGGCCAACATGGCCTATCTCTACTAAATATACAAAATTAGCCAGGTGTGGTGATGAGCACCTGTAATCCCAGCTACTCGGAGGCTGAGGCAGAAGAATTGCTTGAAGCCAGGAGGCAGAGTTTGCAGTGAGCTGAGATTGCACCATTGCACTCTAGCCTGGGCAACAAGAGTGAAACTCCATCTCAAAAAAAAAAAAAGATACTAATTTTTTATTTATTTATTTTTGAGATAGGCTGCTCACTGCAGCCTCAGGTGAGACTCCGTCTCTACAAAAATATTTAAATATTAGCCAGGCCTGGTGGTGTGCACCTGCTACTTGGGAGGCTAAGGTGGGAGAATCACTTGAACCCAAGAGGTTGAGCTGTGACCACGCCACTGCACTCCAGCCTGGGTGACAGAGCAAGACCCTGCCTCAAAACAAAAGAAAGATATTTACAGCCATGGCCTTGGCACTGTCACCAGGTGGGTGAAGAAAAGGACCTGTCCCAAGGCCCAGGATACTGCTACATTTAGAGGTCTAGAGAAGGAGGAAACAAGCAAAGAAGAGGAAATCCAGCAGCCGGTGAATAGGAGGAAAGCCAGGAGATGGTGGAATCACAGAAGGCAAGGAGACAAAGCACTTAGAGAAGGAGGAAGTGGCCATGCTTTGGTTAACGCTGCTAGGAAGTGGATAGAGGAGGGCAGAGTTGTGGACCCCGGGTTGGCAGAGGGGATCCAGGTGCAGTGCCAAAAGCTTATACAGTATTGGGAGATGGGCAGGCTCTCCTTATGAAAAATAATATAAACTTACAAGTAAAAGTGTGCGTTCAAGTTTTTAGAATATGAAAAAAATCACAAATTACACATTTTTAAAAACTGATAACACCCACCTCAGCAAATCTAGAAAATTAACATAATATTCTTATAATTAAGTGCCTGACTATAATCCTTTCCTTCCTACATTTTGACTACCTACTCTTTGATTGCCTTTTCATATTATAATGATTTTGTAATATGAATTTTTATAGAAAAAAAGAAAAATAATCAATTCTATTTTTCTTTTTATTATGAGAATTTAATACTTTTTTTCACCTTTGCAATTCATATTACTAATGCCGTGAAAATGTTTAGGGTTGTTTAGGATTTGTTGTCAAACTTGGGGCAACCTGTACCAAGCTTCTTTCAACAATGAGCCAATAGGGAGAAACAACTCAAGCGTCCATCAACGGATGAATGAATAAACAAATGTGGTATATCCAGACAATGGAATATTATTTAGCCTTAAAAAGGAATGAAGTTCTGATATATACTACAACAGGGATGAAACCTTTTTAATTTTCTTTTCTTTTTTGTAGAGATGTGGTCTTGCAATGTTGCCCAGACTGGTCTTGAACTCCCGGCCTCAAGTGATCCTCCCTCTCAGCCTCTCAAAGTGCAGGCATGAGTCACTACATCCAGCCAACATAGGTGAACCTTGAAAATATTATGCTAAGTGAAAGAAGTCAGACACAAAGGACAAAGACTGCAAGATTCCACTTATCTGAAGTATCTAGTGTAGGCAAGCTCACTGCAGCCTCGACTCACTAGGACTCAGGTAATCCTCCCACCTCAGCCTCCCAAATAGCTGGGACTACAGGCACGTACCACCACACCCAGCTAATTTTTCTATTTTTTTGTAGAGATGGGGTTTTGCCAGGTCGTCCATGCTGGTTTCAAACTCTGGGGCCCAAGCGAGTCACCCGCCTTGGCCTCCCAAGGTGCTGGGATTACAGGCATGAACCACTGCACTCAGCAGCAAATTCCTTATTGCAGGAAAATCTATGAATCCTCCTTTCTTCCTCCTCCCTATCCAAGAGGCCACCAGATCCTACTGGTGGTGCCTCTAAAATATCTGTTGCCTGTCTTCTCTCTGTCTTGCTTGTTACGAATTAGTTTATTATGCCATTGCCCTGTCTGGGATTGGCTCCCCTACTCATCCCTCTGCCCTCTGGCTCCAGCATCTCTGTCACCAGGAGTCATAGTCTTCCCCTGAGGACCAACCCCAGGGCCTCTTAGCTTCATCTTCCTTCTCCTCCTCCTCCCAGGGATCTGCTCCAAGATGATGGATGTGACCAGGCCTCTCTGTGGGAGCTGCCACCTCCTCCTGGCCATGTTGCCTTGTCTCTCTCCTCATGGTCACAACATGGCTGCAGCAGTTATTCTATCTATCTATCTATCTATCTATCTATCTATCTATCTATCTATTCTAATCTATCATCTATCTATCCATCATCTATCTAATCTATCTATCATCTGTCTCTTATCTATCATCTATCTATCTAATCTGTCATCTATACTTCATCTATCTAATCTATCATCTATCTATTATCTATCTATCTAATCTATCATCTGTCTATCCATCATCTATCTATCTAATCTATCACCTATCATCTATTATCTACCTATTATCTGTCATCTATCTATCTAATCTATCATCTATCTAATCTATGTATTTATCTAATCTATATATCTATGCATCTATCTATGTATCTATGTATCTATCATCTACCTACCTATCTATCTATCATCTATCCATCCACTCATTCACCCATCTATAATGAATTTTACTCACATGAAGATAATAAATACTCAAGACTCATCCCTTCCTAATTCTTCTACTACCTGGCTGGAACTAGAAAAGGAATGAGAGTGAGCATACCGTCAGCAGAAGGGATGCCTACACTAACAGCCGTTAGTTAGCATCATTCAAAAGTCCTCTTGATCTGGTTCCTGCCTACTTCTCCAGCTCCGTGTCACACCCCTCGCCCTGTTGGACACAGTTCCACGCCATACTGGGCATCCTTCAGTTCCTGGAATCCGCCAAACTCTCACCCACCCCTGGGGGTTTTTCCTGCCACTGACTTCTAACCTCTGCTGGGTCTTGGTTCAGATACCACTTTCTCCAGGAAATCTTCTGCGACCTTCGGACTGGGTTGTTGACCACCTATGAGCTCCCATATCTGTCTCTATTTTATTTAATAAATATGTATTCGCCACCTCATCTGTGCCAAGACCTACTGCTCCATTGCTTGTTCTTGTCTGTTTCCCACTGGAACATACGCCCTGCAGGGGCCAGCATCGCATGCACCTTCCTCATCAGCATGTCCTGTGACAGCTAACAGCACGCAAAGCACAGGCCACAATGCCACACATTTTTGTTGGAGAAGAAAAAATGAATTAATTGTTTTAGTTGAGGTGAAATTCACACAACGTAAAATCAGCCATTTTAAAGTGAACAATTCGTGGCCGGGCAGAGTGGCTCACACCTGTAATCCCAGCACTTTGGGAGGCCAAGGTGGGCGGATCACCTGGGGTCAGGAGATCGAGACCAGCCTGGCCTACATAGCAAAACCCCGTCTCTACTAAAAATACAAAAATTAGCCAGGTGTGGTGGCATGCACCTGTAGTCCCAGCTACTAGGGAGGCTGAGGCAGGACAATTGCTTGAACCCAGGAGGCAGAGGTTGCAGTGAGCCGAGATCATGACACTGCACTCAAGCCTGGGCAACAGAGCAAGATTCTGTCTAAATAAATGAATAAATGAAGTGAAGAATTCAATGGTATTTCGTACAGTCACAGTGTTGTACAACCACTGCCTCTGCCTGGCTCCAAACATATCCATCACCCTCCAGGAAACCCTGCACCCATTAAGCTGTCACTCCCCACTCCTCCCTCCTCTTGGGTTCAAGTGATCCTCCCATCTCAGCTCCTGAGTAGCTAGGACTATAGGCACGCACCACTACACCCAGATAACATTTCGATTTTTTGTGGACTGTGTTGCCCAGGCTGGTCTCAAACTTCTGGGCTCAAGAGATCCTCCTGTCTTGGCCTCCCAAAGCACTGGGTTTACTGGCATGAGCCACTGTGGCCGTCTTGTTCTTCATTTTTAAAAGGAGACAAAAAATAAGGCAGTTGTGTCACTTTGCCTCTGAGTCTGAGGGTCTGATGCCTGGAACTATAGGAACTCTCTCTGAGGCCAGGAGCGGCAGCTCACGCCTGGAATCCCAGCACTGTAATCCCAAGGCAGAAGGATCGCTTGAGCTCAGGAGTTTGAGACCAACCTCAGCGACATAATGAGACCCTGTCTCTACAAAAAAATAAAAAACATCAAACATCAGCTAAGCATGGTGGTATGTGTTGTAGTCCCAGCTACTTGGGAGGCTGAGGTAGGAAGATTGCTTGAGCCCAGGAGATTGAGAGATGGAGGCACAGTGAGCCAAGATCGCACCACTGCACTCCAGCCTGTGCAACAGAGCAAGACCCTGTCTCAAAAAAAAAAAAAAAAAAAAAAAAAGAAACCGTCCTTGAGTCCAGGTGAGCAGCCCAAGAGGACAGGCACGAGGCGAAGGGGACAAGGAACCAAATGAGTTTTCGGTGGTGTCACAGAGCTGCTACATTTACCAACCTTGGGCCTGCCCTTACTCCAGGAAGGGTTTCAAATTTGCAATGTTTCATATATGCAAGCACATCACTGATTCATCTTTCTGCGGGTGCTTTATGCTGCCCTTTGCTCTGTCACTCCCCGTCTGTGGCCCTCAGGTCCCTCTGTCAACTCTGCACATCCTTGCAGAAGCTCTAGTTCCTCATCACTGTTCCAAGCCTCTCTCCACCCCACGCTTGTTTTAGCATCAGAGTTGCCCCTCTCCTGTTCCACTCCATCAGGAAGGAAGTCACCATGAAGCCCCACAGAACAGTGTCACCAGGTCTATACACTGGGTATGAAATGGTTAAGCTTGGGTTGTGCTGGGTGGGTGAGGGGGAAGGGGATTCACTTGGAGTTGATGGATCCCTGCACAAGGAGGAGATCTTTTTGATTGTCACTCAACTGGAAAGTTGTTCTCTTCCTGCCATAAGTCAGGGTGGTCTACACAGCCCCTCCTATGGCTGGGAGTGGTGCAGAGACAAAGCCCAGAGAAGTGTCCAGTGGCTGGAAGCCACAGCAGGGGAGAGAAAATATTTTACCATGCTCAGCCTCCTGCAGATGGGGTAGGAAGAGCCCCCAGAACGTCAGAGCACAGTGGATGAGGCTAATCAAGTGATGAGGCTGGGGCTGTAGGAGATCAATGCCAGGTGGCTAGGAAGTGTGTGTGCTGTGCTTGCCCAGTGCGGGCCACTGAAAACAGACAGGAGGGTCTGTGGACAACACAGAGCCAGGAGAACCAAGGACAAGAGGATCCCAAAGGCCAGCCTGGATGGGGCACTTTACTCAGGCTCCTTGTGCTGCGGCCGTGCTGGTCTTTTCTGGGCAAGTGTTTGCAATTAAGACCCAAACTGCCTTCCCAGTTACTTGCAATCATGCAACTATACAGTGTGCATTGGGTCAGCCATGCTCCTGGAATCTTGTGAAGTCCCCCAAGTCCCTTAGGCAGACTCATCAGTTATCTCTGACCACCTTCTTTCCCTCTCTTCACCTTCCAGCCAGTCACCAAGTCCTCTCAAGTCTGCCTAGGAAAACATACACACAGCCGGGTGCAATGGCTCATGCCTGTAATCCCAGCACTTTGGGAGGCTGAGGCGGGAAGGTCACCTAAGATCGGGAGTTCGAGACCAGCCTGACCAACATGAAGAAACCCCATCTCTACTAAAAAATACCAAAAAAAAATTAGCTAGGCATGGTGGCACATGCCAGTTATCCCAGCTACTCGGGAGGCTGAGTCAGGAGAATCACCTGAACCCAGGAGACGGAGGTTGCAGTGAGTAGAGATCGCACAATTGCACTCCAGCCTGGAGTGCAATGCAAAACTCCATCTCAAAAAAAAAAAATGGGAAAAGAAAAACACACACACACACAGACATACAAATACACATATATATACACAAATGCATGCACACACACTCACACACACACGTATATGTACACATGGATACAAACACACAAATGCAGGTAGACATATACAAACACACATACAAACATGCAAATACATGTACACACATACACAAAAGCAAATACACACATGTACACAAGTACATACACATATACATACACTTAAACACAAATATGTAGGCATGCACACACATACATACACATGTGTTAGGCACATACTTGGGGTGCTGGTTAGAAATGGAGATTCCTTCATCTCACCCCATCTAGGCTGGAGGATTGGGAAGCTGAGAGGAAAGTCTAAATCTATCTTAGTCTGCTTCTGCTGCTATATCAAAATACCACAAACTGGGTAATTTATGAACAACGGAAATGTATTTCTCCACCAAGTACAGTGGCTCACACCTGGAACCCCAGTGCTTTGGGAGGCTGAGGCAGGAGGATTGCTTGAGTCAGGAGTTTGAAACCAACTGGACAACATAGCAAGAGCCCATCTCTATAAAAATTTTTTTTTTAATCTTTTTAAAGAAATGTATTTCTCCCAGTTCTGGAGGCTGGGAAGTCCATCTCCACGTGCCTGCAAGATTGGTGTCTGGGGACAGCTACTGTCTGCCTCCAAGAGGGCACGTGTTGCTGCAACCTCCAGAGGAAGCGAACATTGTGTCCTCACAAGGTGAAAGGGGTGGAAGGGCAAGAGGAGCTCTCTTCAACCTTGAGCCCTTTAATAAGAATAATAGGCCCTCAAGACTTAATCACCTCCCAAAGGCCACACCTCTTAATACTGTTGCATTGGGGATTATGTTTCAACATGAATTTTGGAGGGGATACCATCATTCAAACCATATTAAAACTTCCTTTTCAGAGCCCTAAAGCTGCTCCTGCGCCACACAGCAAGCTCTGCATATAAACAGGCCTCCAGATTGCATGGTACTTTCACAGCCTCCGTTCTGAACTACCAGCCTTGACCTCCCTTCCTGGTTTCTAAATTCCTATTTATTCTACTATCAATAGCCTTATTCCACCAGAGCCTGACACTCGGCCTTGTTTCTCTGAGAACTCTTTCCTGTTCCCCCACAATCCAGACTGTAGCTCTGGCTCCAGATGCCTTTATCTCCTGGAAAGGCACGAGTCTACAAGTGCACAGCCCCAACAGTACTGACCTCAACCCTACAAGCAGGATTTTGGTCCCTCAGAGAACCTATCAATGTCACCTGGCTAGGAACAGGGGATCCAGTGAACTGAAAGAACGTTGCCAAGTTCACCCAACTCCAAGACAGCAGCAGGAAGGATCTCTCCTGGCCCCATTCCACAAGGGCTACCGTTCACCCAGATTAGCCTCTCTTGGTGTGAGCTGGAGTCCACAAAGTTGAGGTCTCTTTCTCTCTCTCTCTCTCTCCCTCTCTCTCTCTCTCCCCCAGTACCTAAGGCAGAAGTTCTCATGCTTTAGTGTGCTAGAGATTCCCTCAGTATCTTCCCAGATCCCTGGCCGTGCCCAGGCAACCAGCAGACTCTCTGGAGCTTGAGATTCAGGCGCATGTGTTGGGCAAGGGAGCAAGAAAGGGAAGAAGACAGAGTTGGTGACTTATGCGGCTCAGAAAGAACCCAGGAATCTTTGTTGAGGTTGTCGCTGGGATAGTGGTGCAGATGTGGCTGGGGAAGGCCCGGCCAGCCCCTGTGGGACCGTCTCACTTGGTGCACAGGACACCTAGTGATGGTCATCAGTGCGCCAGCGTGGAGAAGTCTTCCCATGGGCGCATGGCATGGACCAGCCAGGACCTCTCAGAAGCCAAAAAAGGCCCAGCCCACTCCCCTTTTCTGAGGGTCCCAGTATATTTTTTAAAGTCAAGACATTTCAAAACAGAGTTTCTAAAATTATGGCATATTTTAAATGTCTTAGTTATTAGTGCTTTTGATGCATATACACACAAACAATGAAATATTTTCTCTGCCTAAAAGAAGTATGATAATATAGTTTTGAGTGATGCAAAATGCCAGAAGGTTTGCAGCAAAATTACATTTATTTTACATTTTCTTTCTTTCTTTTTTTTTTTTTTTTTTTTTTTTTGAGACAAGGTCTTGCTCTGTCACCCAGGCTAGAGTGCAGTGGTGTGATCATAGCTCACTGCAGGCTCCGCCTCCTAGGCTCAGGTGATTTTCCTGCCTCAGCCTCCCAAATAGCTGGGATTATGGTGCTTGCCATCAAGCCTGGCTAATTTTTGTATTTTTAGTAGAGACGGGGTTTCACCATGTCGGGCAGGCTGGTCTCAAACCTCTGACCTCAAGTAATCTGCCCACCTCGGTCTCCCAAAGTGCTGGGATTACAGGCATGAGCCACTGTGCCTGCCCTAATTTTACATTTTTAATAAGACAGAATTTTATACTAATGATGGTTTCATGATAACTATATTAGTTTCCGGTGGCTGCTGTAACAAATTGCCAGAAACTCAGTGGCTTCAAACAACAGAAATTTACTTTCTCACAGTTCTGGAGGCCAGAGTCCGAAATCCATTTTCACTGGGCCAAGGCTCACAGAGAGAATCCGCCCCTGGCTCTTCCAGCTTCTATTGGCTCCCAGCACCCTGACCACCTCACTCCAGTTTCTCCCTCTGTGATTCGTTGCCTCCTCCTCCTCCTCCTCCTCTTCTTCTTCTTCTTCTTTTCTTTTCTCTTTTTCTTTCTTTTTTTTTTTTGAGTCAGTGAGTCAAGGTCTGATTCTATCACCCAGGCTGAAGTGCAGTGGTGCAACCTCTGGCTCCCAGGCTCAAGCCATCCTCCCATCTCAGGCTCCCAAGTAGCTGGGACTACAGGTTTGCACTACCATACCTGGCTAATTTTTGTAGAGACGGACGGGGTTTTGCCATGTTGCACAGGCTGGTCTTGAACTCTTGACCCAAGCTATGGAACCCACCCATTGTGCGGGTAACCGTCTCACACACATCTTCTCCCGAGTCTCCAAGCTGCAAGCTCCCATGTGTTTGTCTGAAGGAAGCTCATCTTTTTTCTTATTATTGTGATGAAACACACATAATATAAATTTTACCATTTTAACCATTGTAGGTATGCAATTCAGTGGCATCGAGGACATTCACATTGTTGTGCAACCATCACCACTACCTAGTTCCAGAACTTTTTCATCATCCCCAAAGGAAATCCATTAGCCATCACTCCCATTCCCCCTCCCCACAGCCCCTGGCAACCGCAAATCTGCTTCCTGTCTCTGTGGATTTGCCTATCTAAACATTTCACATAAATGGAGTCATACAATATTGGCCTTTTTGTGTCTGGCTTCTTTCATTTAGCATGAGGTTTGCAGGGTTCATCTATACTGTGGTGGGTGTCAGTACTTCACTGCTTTACATGGGTGAATAATATTCTGTTGTTTGTTGGTTCTTTTTTTTTTTTTTTTGAGATGGAGTCTCACCCTGTCACTCAGGCTGGAGTGCAGTGGTTCGATCTCGGCTCACTGCAGCCTCCGCCTCCCGAGTTCAAGTGATTCTCCTGCCTCAGCCTCCCGAGTAGCTAGGATTACAATTGTGCACCACCACGCCTGGCTAATTTTTGTATTTTCAGTAGAGACAGGGTTTCACCATGTTGGCCAGGCTGGTCTCAAACTCCTGACCTCAAGTGATCCACCCACCTCGGCCTCCCAAAGTGCTGGGATTACAGGCATGAGCCACTGCGCCCAGCCTGTTGTTTGTAGGTTCTACATTGTGTTGATTCATTCATCAATTTTTGGATATTTGGATGGTTTTCTACTTTCGGCTGTTTCTGGCCAGAGCCCCACAGCGCCCCCTCTAGACCCTCCATACTCATCTCTGAGTGAGGCAGTCATGCAGCCAGCGGGCCTCCAAGCTTCTGTGCCAAGTCAAACAAGAGTTTGACCCTAATCCAACACAGAGAAAATTTGGCAACGCTAAGCCAAGTTCCTTGGTGAGGCGCACATTTGCCTCTTGATCTGCCGCATGCCCTCTTCAGGGAACACCCTTTCTTCCTGGGGGCAGCTTCTCCCCCTATTCCAACCACGTGGCCCTAGTGGGGCTGCCATGCCATCCCGGAACCCTACCTGATGCAGGGTCTCTGCAGCTCAGCCTTTCCCACATGCGGAGCGGCCAAGTGTGCAGCTGAAGTTTTTGGTTGATTCTAGCAAATTCCCCCTTTCTGCCCAAGCTGGCTCATGTTGGATTTTGTCACTTTCAAGCCAGAGTCCTCACGGGGGCAGCTCCATCTCCCACCACAAATCCCAGGTGCTCCCTGAAGTGGAGAAAATGGGGCATCCTGCCTGGGCCCAGACTAGCACCCCCCCACAATATAATAACTCTGTGGGGTCCCCAGGTGTTTCATTTAACTTTGAGCTTCCTGGATGAACAGCATGGAGCTCCAATATTCATAAAAACTGGACCTCTGGGGCACGCCCAGGCTTGTCGAGACCCTGGAGGTCAGAAAGTGCAAGAAAGTTCTCCAGGTGTTCCTTGGACAGTTTGCACCTGGTAACTGACCCTTGGCTTGTGGGATTCCCCCCACCCCATGTCATTCCCCCCACCCCATGTGGCTAATGAATGGATCCTGCAGGGAGTCACCATTCGCCTGGATAACGTCCTTGGGTGCCGTCCAGTGGGGCCTGGAAAAAGTTGCTGGCTTAGGCAGCATCGCCTCCAAGCCAGCTGTTCCTAAGGACTGTGTTCCCACATGCAGAACACCTGGGCCCTCCTCTGTCCAGCCAGGACTTCTGCGTGTGCTGAACTGGCTATTGACACTTCCTAGGTAGATTCCCCAGTGTCTGTCTGACCAGCAACCCTCCTCACCTCCTCCTCAGAACTTATTGTGGAATCAGAAAGTATAAGATTTCCCCTTGGGGACGAGTAGTACAGAATGAGTCCAGGTGTGGTGGCTCACACCTGTAATCCCAGCACTTTGGGAGGCTGAGGCAGGGGATCACTGGAGGTCAGGAGTTCAAGACCAGCCTGGCCAACATGGTGAAACCCTGTCTCTACTAAAAATACAAAAGTTAGCTGGTCATGGTGGTGTGCGCCTGTAGTCCCAGCTACTCAGGAGGCTGAGGCAGAATTGCTTGAATCTGGGGGGTGGAGATTGCAGTGAGCCGAAATCACACCACTGCACTCTAGCCTGGATGACAGGGCAAAACTCTGTCCAGACTCTGTCTAAAAAATAAAAAAAAAAACTGTAGGGCACGGTGGCTCACGCCTGTAATCCCACCACTTTGGAAGGCCAAGGCGGGCAGATCACCTGAGGTCGAGAGTTCAAGACCAGCCTGGCCAACATGGAGAAACCCCATCTCTACTAAAAATACAAAAGTAGCCAGGTGTGGTGGTGCATGCCCGTAATCCCAGCTACTTGGGAGGCCGAGGCAGGAGAATCGCTTGAATCCGGGAGGTGGAGGTGGAGGTTGCGGTGAGCTGAGATTGCGCCATCACACTCCAGCATAGGCAACAAGAGTGAAACTCTGTCTCAAAAAAAAAGTACAGAATGACAATTATGAAAATCAATTTTGTTTAATCTTTTCTAAAATGGAACAATGAACCAAGCAATTTCCTGGGCCCAAAAAAAGAAGCAGTATTGCGGTTATTAAAATAGTGTTTACTTTGTGCTGATGGGAAAAGATGTGAAATATTAATGACTCCACGGAGCCCCGATTATGTGACTCATTAGGCAAAGGCCCTATGTGCAATTAAAGTAGACTCTTCAGTGTCTATCTTAAGTGACTTTGTGTTTTGTCCAGCCACTCCATACACAAGGATGAGTGGCCAGGTGCAGAGGCTCATGCTTGTAATCCCAGCACTTTGGAAGGCCGAAGCAG
This sequence comes from Homo sapiens, assembly GCF_000001405.40. NCBI lineage: Eukaryota > Metazoa > Chordata > Mammalia > Primates > Hominidae > Homo > Homo sapiens. The sequence continues at coordinate 50,804,548 of NC_000017.11, read as the reverse complement.
GAGGATCGTGAAGCCTAGGAGTTCGAGACCAGCCTGGGCAACATAGTGGGACCCTCATCTCCATAAAAAAAAAACCAAAAAAGCAAAAACAACAAAAAAAAAAGAGAGAGAAAAAGATAATTTTTGTTGTTCTAATTTTTTTCTACAGAGCCTTTTTCATATAACTTTGTGCCTCGGGTTCCTCATCTGTACAATGGGATAATAGTACTTACTCCATAGGAATATTTTGAGGATTTACGACATATAACTCACTTAAAAACTGTGCCTGATGCCGGGCGTGGTGGCTCACGCCTGTAACCCCAGCACTTTAGGAGGCCAGGGAAGGCGAATCACTTGAGGTCAGGAGTTCATGACCAGCCTGGCCAACATGGTGAAACCCTGTCTCTACTAAAAATGCAAAAAATTAGCTGCAAATCGCTTAAACCTGGGAGGCGGAGCTTGCAATGAGCTGAGATCTGCCACTGCACTCTAGCTTGGGCGACAGAGCGAGACTCCATCTCAAAAACAAACAAACAAACAAAAAACTGTGCCTGAAAAGTAGGAACAATAAAATACATGAGTCATTATCATCCCCATTATCATCATTATAAATCTCGAGGATGTAGAACACACTTTAGGTAACTGAGTGAAATGAAGCTCGATAGCACAGGACACAGTCATGGTTCAGGACCTGCACCCACTGTCAATCACTTCAGCTGCAAATACGCTCAGCAAACTCACTGGGTTCTTGTCCTTTGTTTTGTGTTTCTTTTTCCCCATCTAAACTAGGTCCCTCTGTTTCACTTACTAAGCGAGACCAGTCTGCTGTTTTTCTCTGCAGATACTGGCTTTAAGAAAAAGGTGCCTCTGGCTGTTTCTGAGTTTTAATGAAAGCAAAGCTTCTTTCTTTCCCCAAGACTCTGCCGCAGGCTGCAGGGTGAGGCCTGTGATTCAAACTGAACTCGTTTCTCCCACCTAAAGAGGTTACAAGCCAGACCCTTTGGATCTCTTTCTCCGGACTTTTCTGCCAAGCTTGCCTCACAGGTGCAGGGGGCAGGACTGGAAGGAGGTGGCCTGGAGCTGCTGAAGCCCACAGGGGCTGGGTCTCTAACGGTGGCCTGTGAGGTCTTCAGAGACACCCCAGTTGCTGCCATTCTCAGCTTCCTGGTGTCCTTCCAATCGGGGCCTGTTGTTTGGTTTGGTTTTGACTCGTTTGAGTATACTTCCTAGGGTTCACCAGAGACACAAGAAACACCTACAGCCAGGCACGGTGGCTCCCGCCTCTAATCCCAGCATTTGGGATGCCAAGGTGGGCGGATCACTTGAGCCCTGGAGTTGGAGACCAGCCTGGGCAACATAGTGAGATCTTGTCTCTACTAAAAATAAAAAATTAGCCGAGTGTTGTGGCGCACGCCTGTGGTCCCAGCTACTTGGGAGGCTGAGGCAGGAGGATTGCTTGAGGATGGGAGGTTGAAGCTTCAGTGAGCCATGATTGTGCCACTGCACTCCAGCCTGGGCCACAGAGCAAGACCCTGTCTCAAAAAAACAAAACAAAACAAAAGTGAAACACTGTCACCTTTTTTCTTCCCCTCCTGCCTCACAGCCAGCCTCCTAGAGAAGGAGAAAGGCCTGGTAGCAGCATGAGCTGCCAGGAGCTGAGAAACCCATTTCTGTCTGTCCTCCTTGTTCCTGAGCCACTTCACCTAGGGGAGTGCTATTTGTGCTCTGGTGGGGACATAAAATTGCAACAGGAAGCCAGCACAGGTGACCTCTGCCCCTGTCTATTTGGAGAAAGTTGGTCCTAGCTGAGGTCAACACCCCAGGCACAATTACACCCACAGTAAAGCGGGGGGATGAACCACTTTACAGGGTCTGGCTCCCCAAGATGGTACATCAGCACATCAGAACATAATCATCCAAAGAAAATGACTTGGCTTGTGCCTCGTGAGAGTTCAAATTCCACATCAGCTCCAGGCTAGGGGGAGTCAAAACTGCTGAACAGATACAGAATAGCCGGAGATGAAAGCTAAGAGATCTCAGGACCTAACGGCTTTGTGGCTGTCTGTATTAGACAGGATCAGTTAATGCTGCAAGAAACAAGCCTGAGAATGATAATGGCACAAGCGTAGTGAGGTGGAATTCTCATTCACATAAACAGTCACAGGTGGGCCCAGTCCCTGGAGCTGGGGGAGGAGCTCTCTGCCACAGAGGTCTTCAATTACCCGGGATCTGTCACCTTCAACACATGGCTCCCAAGATCACTTGGGATGTTGACATCCAGCAATGAAAGGGGAAAGGGCATGAAGAACTGGTGAAGTGGGGAAGGCTTTTATAGTTACAGGCAGGCCTAGAAAAGCAGTCACATTTCATCAGACTGTTCCCTCCACTGAGATGGAACTCAATCTCACGGCCACATCTAACTGCAAGAGAAGCTGGGCATACAGTCTTGCTGTGTGCCCAGATGAAAAGAGAGCACCCAGCAATGCTTGTCACACCATCCAGCTGTGGCTGCTATAGATGTGAGGGTCAACTGTGTGCAGCATCTCTGCTCCCAAATCACGGAGCCATTGTGGCAGCCTCAGAGGATGACTGCTAGGGAACACTGGGCTGTCCTAGACCATCAACTCCACTAGCTGTACCCTCCTTCTCTCCAGAGATGGCCACCACTCAAAGCTTCACTCCTCAGAGGGCTACTACAGTCTACTGTGAATTACCCTCCAGGATTCTGGAGGCTCCTTCCATCATGGAGGACCCTGTCTAGCACTTGTGACCCTTGACCCTGACCTCAGACCGAGAGCCCATCTAGGGTCCCAGGGCTAAGGATTTCATTCCAGGTGAACCCCCTGGTACCTGCATCCCACTGCCTCCACGGTTCTACCACCACCCTGAGAGCAGAGAACCCCTCAAGAAGACAGCATCGGCCATTTGTTACCTTGACTCATGCCAACCCTAGCCACTGCCGCTCTCTCCATGAATGATCCAGCCACCTGAAGTCCAGTTCCTGGCCCAGGTTGGATAAGCATGGCCACCTGTCCACCACTTACCACCCAACAGCCAAGGACCAAAGAGAACTTCTCAGCCATATCTCCCAGGAGTTAGGACAACAGCAGGATGAAGCTGAAACAGCCTCGGGTTCAGGTCGTCCTGGCTTCACATCTCTTCTCTGCTACTGACTAGCAGAGCTTCTTGCTTAAGTCACTTACCTCTCTCTGAACCTCAGCACCCAGGCTATAATGCCCCTGTGCAGGACTCGATGAAATAGTGTGCACAAAGCCCTGGCTCAGTGCCTGGCGTGCAGTAGGCCATCAGCCGAGTGCTGTTATAATGGGGGCTCTTTGCTGCTACAATGCAGCACCTTAGACCCTGGGGGTAATGATTCACTCAGGCTTCCATCCAGGGTGAATGGTCCCAAAGCAGCTGCAAGCTGAAGCTCCTGCTCAGCCAGCAATGCCCAAGGGAACTTGATCAGGAGCAGCTCTTCCCCCTCCTCCTCCTCCTCCTCTTCCTCCTTCTCCTCTTCCTCCTCTTCCTCCTCCTCCTCTAAGAAGGCTGCTCCCCAGCCTTCATAACTGCTGTGCACAAGGAACAAGTTTCCAGCTGCCTGTCAGCCTGTGGCAAGCCCGCTGGCTTCGACCTCCTTCACGCTGCACTCACGGAGGCCACCTCCCAATCACCAAAGCCAATGATACATTCAGTTCTTGCATCACTTGACTTCTTGGCTGCATCTGATGCTACTGACAATCCCATCTTCCCTAACCATCCTCCGCCTGCCTTCTGAAGGCCACTTTCTATCTCTTCCAGCCACTTATACACTCTCTCTGACCAGCTCCTCTTCCCGGCCTTCCCTCCCCATGCTGACATTCCGAAAGGTGCGTCCTGGGCCACTTGTCTGCTCTGCGGGGTCATTCTCCCAGGTGGTCACACCACTGCCATGTGTTGGACCAATGACTTCCAAACAATTCCTGGCACCCCAGCAGCTTGCCCACTGCAGCCAGGATGATCCAATTCACAAATTGGATCAAGTCTTTACACGGCTTAAAACCCATCAGTGCCGTCCCGTGGCTCAGAAGATTAAACCCAAGCTCCCTGGTACAGACGCCGTGTCGTCTGACTCCTGCCTGTGTCCTTGGCCTCAGCGCTTGCCCTTCCTGGCATCGGGGCTCATCCCATTCCTGAGGGATGACTGGCACCCTCGGAGAGCCCCAGGGTCTCCAGGTCTCGGTTCCTTTGACTTGCATGCACTCTACCTGGAACATGTCCCCACTGGAGAATGCTCCCTGCCTCTCCAAACCAGATCCAGGGCCCTTCCCCAAGCCCCCTCCTCTGAGTGTGGCTGACCTCAGCATCTCTCCTGTTGTTTTGCTTTGGTCTCCCGGTCCGCATGCCCCTGCTATGTAATAAGTACTGGGTGAATGTTGGTGGAGCAAAGGAGGGAATTAATGACCAAGCCAGCCTGACTCTGAGGTGGGCTTGAGCTGACTCAGTGCTGTCTTAGGTCCTCCTGCTGGAAACCTGGCCCAGAGCTGAGCGGGCTTTGCACCCCTCCCTGACCCCAGCCTCACAGCCGCCTCCACCAGGGCCCAGTGGCTGGCCAGGGACTGTTGGTCAGGAAGCCCAGGCTGGAAACCTGGCTCCCTCCCTCCCTGCTAACACCTTGGAGCAGATCTGTGGGGAGAATTCTCCACTTGAAAGAAAAGCACCAGGTCTCCCCTCCTTCCCTGCCTTCCTGAGAGCCCCTGTCACCGCTGCATTCTTGCTGAGGCTGGAGGAGATTAACCGGAGGCTGGTGGCAGCAGCCGGTGCCCTAAGCTGCGTGCTGCGTGTTCCCAGCATGGCACCACTCACAAGCCGCCCTGGAAGGAAGGTTCTGGTGGTAGGAGCTGGATTTGGTCACCCAGGCATGGGCTGTGAAAGCCCCCACAGCTCCTGGCTCTGCCAGGTCGGCGGTTGCTGCAGGCCGGTGTGAGGGTGGGGATGCCACAGTCCAAGGGTGTTCAGGGTCAGAGCTTCTTAGGGAAAGGTAAATTACCCCACAGGGTGTTATGGGTAGGACCATGTTCCTATCACAAGATATGCTCAAGACCTAACCCCTAGTATCTCAGAATGTGACGTATTTGAAAATAGGATTGTTGCAGATGAAATTAGCAAAGGTGAGGTCATACTGGAGTGTAGGGTGGGTTCTTAATCCAATAGGACTAGTGTCCTTATGAAAGAAGAGAAGAGACAGAGAGACAGACATATGCTCCTGCTCTGTGTGAAAGAAAGAAGACGCGGAGACTTCGGGGAGGCAGCCGCAAGTCTGGGCCTGCCAGGAGGACTGGCAACCACCGGAAGCCAGAAAAGAGGCAAGAAGTCTTCCCCCTCCAGGCTTGGAGGGAGCAGGCCCGTCCACACCTGAATTCCAGACTCCTGGCCTCCAGAACCGTGAAGCAATACCCTTCTGTTGTTTGCAGCTGCCTAGTGTGTGGTACTTAGTTAAGGCAGCTCTAGAAGCAAATACACAGGGCCTCAGACGGGGAGGCCTCAGATTAGAGGGAAATGCCTCTGACTCCCTATGGTGATTGAGACACTGTCATATTCGTTCCTGTCCCCAGCCTTGCTTGTGAGGCCAAGAAAAGCAAAGGCTGAGTAATGACAATGCTAGGCAGAGGGAAGTCTAGCTAACGTCAGGCCTCCTGCTCTCTCCTGATCCAGGGGTAGAAGGAAACAGACCGTGGGCTGCTGGATGAGGCGTCTCCCCACTCCTGGGTCCACCACTCCGCTCCGGCCACTCAGGGCTGCCTGACAGCTCGGGCTTCCGCCTGAGCTCACCCCTGTCTCTGCCACGTCCTGAGCAAGGCCCTGCCTCTCTCCCAGCCTTGGGTTCTCCCTAGCCCTGAGGCTCCCATGGCCATGCCACCTGCTGAGCCCAGACATCCCCTCCTCCCTGAACCCTCCCCTGACCCCTTCCCTAGACGCCTTCTGTGTTGGGGATGCCTTGGGACGGCTGAAGAGGCCCCGTGCTGAACCGCTAAGGGAACAGGACAGTCAGACACACCTGCCTTCAAATTCAGGCGTCACACTTGTAGCTGTGTGACTCCAAGCAAGTTCTACATGGCATCTATTTCCTCCTTTGTAAGGTAGTGATCCCAGCAGGGTTGTGGGAGGCAGCTAGTCAAGGTTGTAAGAGACTCTGCAAGGCCGAGGCTCTTTCCCTGGGTCCCACGGGCCAGCCTCAGGAGGTCCATGAGAGCCCCGAGGCTGGAGTGAAATAGCGCGTACGGCTGCCTACATTGCTCTCAAGCCTTAGCTCTTGCCTTGTTCTCAGAGGGGTTCATGACTTCAAGAAGTTAAGACCCCCACGTAAATCTCCCAGCCCAGAGCCCCTGAACACCGCTCCACTTTGGACTGAGCATCTCTCCTGGGTCCTGCCACCTTGCATCTTGCCCTGAGCTGCATCTGCCGTGTGGTGTGGTGGCCTGTCCCCACAAGGAAAGGGGCCCTCACAAGGCCAGCCTCAGACCCTGTGCCTGACCCAGGGCTCCTTTGCAAAACAAGTTCTTTTTTTTTTTTTTAATACTTTAAGTTCTAGGGTACATGTGCACAACGTGCAGGTTTGTTACATATGTATACATGTGCCATGCTGGTGTGCTGCACCCATTAACTCGTCATTTACATTAGGTATATCTCCTAATGCTATCCCTCCCCCCTCCCCCCACCCCACAACAGGCTCCGGTGTGTGATGTTCCCCTTCCTGTGTCCAAGTGTTCTCATTGTTCAATTCCCACCTATGAGTGAGAACATGCGGTGTTTGTTTTTTTGTCCTTGAGATAGCAAAACAAGTTCTTAATACTGCTCCTTCCCGAGGGGCCCTGAGGCCCAGCTTGCCAAGCGCCCACAACGCACCTCCAGCCAAGGTTTCAACAGATCTCACGAACAACCCCAGTCCAATGGAACACACCATGGAAACCGTGTTGTTTACGTTTCACAGATTTGCCGGGGATAAAGGCTACTTAATGAAGGAGGGCCTGAAAGTACTCATGGGAAAGGAGTTCCTTGGATTTTTGGAGAATCAAAAAGACCCTCTGGCTGCAGACATAACAATGAAGGACATGGACCAGTGCCAAGACAGCACACTGAACTTCCAGAACTTGTTTTCACTCACTGCGGGGCTCACCACTGTGGACAACAACTATTTTGTAGTACCTATGAAGCAGAAGGGAACGAAGCAGGCAGAACTAAGCAATTACTCAGCCCTGTGAGAGTTCTCCCAAAGAGTCGCTATAGGAACCTGCCCACAGCTTCCCCCTGTAGAAGGCTTTCATGAGCAGACCAGGGCCAAGAAAACAGACACATCAAATCCAAATCTCATCTAACAAGCAAAGAAAGGAAGTTAATTAAATAATAGGCTTTTGGTCTTTGGATTGTTTGCATCCTCTTGGCCTCAATTGACACATCCTTTTTAGTTTGGGAAAAATATAGATATACTTTTTAAATTATTTTTTAAGCCTTTGCCTCTGTACATATATATTTTTATATTATATATATATAGTGTTTGGCTGAGCTCAGTGGCTCATGCATGTAACCCTAGCACCTGGGGAGGCTGAGGTGGGTGGACCTTGGGCCCAGGGGTTTGAGACCAGCCTGGTCAACATAGTGAGACTTCATCTCTACAAAACAAAACAAAACAAAAAAAACCAGCCAGGTGTGGTGGCGTGCATGCCAGTAGTATCAGCTACTCAGGAGGCTGAGGTGGGAGAATTGCCTGAACCCAGGAAGCTGAGGCTGCAGCGAGCTATGATCACCCCCACTGCACTCCAGCCTGGGTGACAGAGTGAGACCCTGTCTCAAAAAAAAGTACATATATTTATGTATGTATGTATACATACGTATCTAGAGTTTCTTCTCACTGTGGTTTGAATGTGTACTCCCAAAAACATGTGTTGGAAACTTAATCCCCAATGCAACAGTGTTGAGGTAGGGCCTAATGAGACGTGATTATGCCAGGAAGTTCTGCCCTCAAGAAAGAGCTAATGCTGTTATCTCAGTGGGAGTGAGTTCCTTATAACAGGATGAAGTTGGCCCCTTTCTCTCTCTGTCTCTACCTCTCTTGCCCTTCCACTGTCAGATGATGTGGCAAGAAGGCCCTCACCAGATGCCGGCCCCTCAATATTAGACTTCCCAGCTTCCAGAACTATAAGAAATAAATCCCTGTTCCTCATAATTATCCAGTCTCAGGTACTCTGTTATTGCAGCATAAGACAGACTAAGACACTTCTCTCTCCGTCAACCACATTCCTTTTTTTTTTTTTTTTTTTTTGAGACGGAGTCTTGCTCTGTCGCCCAGGCTGGGGTGCAATGGCACGGTCTCGGCTCACTGCAACCTCCGCCTCCCAGGTTCAAGCGATTCTCCTGCCTCAGCCTCCGGAGTAGCTGGGATTACAGGCACCTGCTACCATGCCTGGCTAATTTTTGTATTTTTAGTAGAGACGGGGTTTCACCATGTTGGCCAGGCTGGTCTTGAACTGCTGACCTTGTGATCCACCCGCCTCAGCCTCCTGAAGTGCTGGGATTACAGGCGTGAGCCACTGCGCCCGGCCTATTCTTTTTTTTTTGAGACGGAGTGTCGCTCTGTCACCCAGGCTGGAATGCAGTGGTGTGATCTCAGCTCATTGCAACCTCCGCCTCCCAGGTTCAAGCAATTCTCCTGCCTCAGCCTCCTGAGTAGCTGGAATTACAGGCACACACCATGACACCTGGCTAGTTTTTGTATTTTCAGTAGAGATGGGGTTTCACCATGTTGGCCAGGCTGGTCTCAAACTCCTGACCTCAAGTGATCCACCTGCCTTGGCCTCCTAAAGTGCTGAGATTACAGACGTGAGCCATCATGCCTGGCCACCACATTCCTTTTCTTCCAGAAGGCCACTCTGCCCTCATCCTCCTCTTGCTTCCTTCTCAGTCTCCTTTGTGCCACCTCCGTGTCAGCCGCTCTTTAATGAGGTGTCCCCAGGGTCCTGCCTCAGTTCTCTTCCTGCCTCTCCCTGCTCTGGTTGCTCTGCTCCCATGGCTTCAACTCTAGTTAAGGTGACACCAGCTGCTATTACAGGCAAACACCAAGGTTTCAGTGGCTTAATGTAATAGAAGTGTATTTCTTCATAGGAAATCCAGTTGGCCTGAGTTCCACAAAGTCACAAAAGTTTTTTTTTGTTTGTTTTTTGAGACAGAGTCTTGCTCTGTCACCCACCCAGACTGGAGTGCAGTGGTGCAATCACTGCTCACTGCAGCCTCAACCCCCTGGACTCAAGCAATCCTCCCACCTCAGCCTCCCAAGTAGCTGGAACTACAGATGTGAGCCACTGTGCCCAGCTAGTTTTTTATTTTATTTATTTATTTATTTATTTATTTATTTATTTATTTATTTATTTTTTAGATGGAGTCTCATCACACTGTTGCCCGGGCTGGAGGGCAATGGTGCGATCTCGGCTCACTGCAACTTCCGCCTCCTGGGTTCAAGCGATTCTCCTGCCTCAGCCTCCCGAGTAGCTGGGATTATGGGCGCCTGCCACCACGCCCAGCTAATTTTTTGTATTTTTTAGTGGAGACAGGGTTTCACTGTGTTGGCCAGGCTGGTCTCGAACTCCTGACCTTGTGATCTGCCTGCCTCAGCCTCCCAAAGTGCTGGGATTACAGGCGTGAGCCATCACGACTGGCCCAGTTTTTAAATTCTTTGTAGAGATGGTGTCTCACTATGTTGCCCAGGCTGGTCTCAAACTCCTGGGTTCAAGTGATCCAGCTGCTTCAGCCTTCCACAGTGCTGGGATTACTGGTGTAAGCCACCATGCCCTGCCCCCTGCCATCTTTGACACATGGCTTCCTCATTGGCCTTGGACATCTGTATCCAGTCAGCAGCCTGGAGAGAACAAGGAGAATGGTTTGGAAGGTTGTGTGGGTTTTTATGATAGACAAGTACCTCACTTCCACCCACCTTCCACTGGCCCGAACTCCGCCCATGGCCACATCTAACGCAATGAAAGTCGGGAATGTGATCTAGCAGTTCATCTGGCAGTAGAGGGGCTGGCGTTCGATATAGCTTAGATGTTTGGCCCCTCCAAATCTCATGTTGAAATATGAGCCCCAGTGTTAGGAGTGGGCCTGGTGGGAGGTGTTTGCATCATAGGGGTGGATCCCTCAGGAATGGCTTGGTGCCCTCCCCATGGTAATGAGTGAGCTCTCAATCTATTAGTTCATGTGGGTGCTTTGTTTTTGTCTGTTTTTTTTTTTTGAGACAGGGTCTCACTCTGTCATCCACGCTGGAGTGCAGTGGTGCAATCACGGCTCACTGAAACTTCCACCTCCCAGGCTCAAGTGATTCTCTCACCTCAGCCTCCTGAGCAGGCCCACACCGCCACACCTGGCTAATTTTTTTTTTTTTTTTTTTTTTTTTTTTGAGACAGAGTCTCACTCTGTCACCTAGGCTGGAGTGCAGTGGCACAGTTTTGGCTCACTACAACTTCTGCCTCCTGGGTTCAAGTGATTTTCATGCCTCACCCTCCTGAGTATCTGGCACTACAGGTGCCTGCCACCATGCCCAGCTAATTTTTGTATTTTTAGTAGAGACAAGGTTTTACCATGTTGGCCAGGCTGGCCTTGAACTCCTGGCCTCAAGTGATCTGCCCACCTCGGCCCTCCAAAGTGCTGGGATTACAGGTGTGAGCCACGGCGCCCAGCCTGATTTTTTTTTTAGAGATGGCGTCTTGCTATGTTGCCCAGACTGGTCTCAAACTTCTGGCCTGAAGCAATCCTCCTACCTTGGCCACAGTGCTGGGATTACAGGTGTGAGCCACTGCACCCGGCCTGGTTATTTAAAGGAGCCTGGCATCGTTCTGGCCATGTGGCGTGCCTGCTCCCCCTTGTCCTGTGGCCCTGAGTAGAAGCTTCCTGGGGCCTTCCCCAGATGCAGGTGCTGGTATCATGCTTCCTGTACTGCCTGAAGAACCATGAGCCAAACACCCCTCTTTCTTTATAAATTACCAGCCTCAGTTTCCTTTACAGCAATGCAAAATGGACTAAGACAGCGTTCGTAAGCCTCTAGCCAGTCTCTGCCATGGGTTGCCCAATAGCCACTAAGTAGCCATTTCACTCTTCCTCTTACACATGGAACACACTCACTGCTTCCCGGAGAGGCAGCTGAGTCCACACCATCACTGCCTCCTGGGGCCTCCGCCACAGTTCGGGATCTCCAGCACACACAGGATTCTCTCCTCCAGGTCCTCTGTGACTCCCTGTGATCTGGAAACCGATGCCTAAAAGAACAAGTTATCGTGTCCTTCCTTTCTCCACCCCAGTATAGACACACAACACACTTCCGGATCCAGTGGTGGGGTGCAGATAGGGCAAGCACAGGACAACATCCTCTTCAGAGAAGGGAAGAACAGAAGATGCAAAGCAGGCTCTGATGACAGCGATGATGCCATTTGGCCAGGTGGGTGCTGGGAGCGCCCCCACCCTTGAAGGAATTGCCCTGTCCTCTTCTCTATGGCTCCCAGCCCTGCCCTCCACACTGTCGTCTTGCCATGTTGCTCCAAGGCCGCATTCGCAGCGACCGTTGAGGGGTAGACCCTCCCGGGTTGCTGCTCATCTTTTGTAGCCTGCAGCTCCTTCGGGTAAAAGTTTTAAGATCTCAAAGTGGTTTTGTTTTGTTTTGTTTTGTTTTGAGACGAAGTTTCGCTCTGTCGCCCAGCCTGGAGTGCAATGGCGCAATCTCAGCTCACCACAACTTCCACCTCCCGGGTTCAAGCGATTCTCCTGCCTCAGCCTCCCAACTAGCTGGGATTACAGGCATGCGCCACCATGCTCAGTTAACTGTGTGTGTGTGTGTGTGTGTGTGTGTGTATTTAGTAGAGATGGGGTTTTACCATGTTGGTAAGGCTGGTCTCGAACTCCTGACCTCAGGTGATCCACATGCCTCAGCCTCTCAAAGTGCTGGGATTATAGGCGTCAGCCACCACATCCAGCCTCAAGGTGGTTTTAAGGCCCAAAAGTTCAAACACTTTCTCTCTTTTTTATTTGTTTATTTTTTGAAGTTCAGGCTTATGGCTTATTTGACATACAGTTCCCTGAAAATCTGAAAAGGCTCCTCTACTTGCTTCCAGTCATTTCTGGATGCCAGCAACCACGTGCGAAATTCACAGTTAGACACAGTTCTCCAGCCTGATTCTTCTGCTGTCCGCCCTCCGGCCATTCTCTCTCGATGTGCTGATGGCAATCTTGAGGTTCTCAGGCCTGGGGAAGGACACTCCCTGACTCTGACCTTGCCTGAGGTTGAGGCTTCATGGGCCTTTGCTGCTCAAAGGCCTTTAAGCTATGATTTCCTTCTGTTTGGCATCTAGAAGCCGTCAATGTTCCTAACCAATACCCCAAATTCCGGGAGTCCCTATTTCATCTTAGTTTTGCTTGCAAATCAGCCAGTGCTCACTGGTCCCATCTTATTCTTCTGAGACCTTGTTAAGTGCTGCCTGTACTTTATGACTTCTTCCCTTAGAGCTACAGGGTCAGAGGACAGCTGACCTGTTTATCTCAGGCAACTATTTTACCAAATGTTTTGCCGTTGCCTAGCATGGGTCTCCATCTTTCCAAACCCTGACAAAGGTTTTCTCACTATCTTGCCCAACTACAAAACCAATGCCACACATTTTCGATTTTCATTATGGCAATATCCCGCTCCTAGTACTAATTCTATCTTAGTTAAAGTAACACTAACTTATGGAAGAGATACCCCACCCCCAAATTTCAGTTGCTAAACACAATACAGGTTTATTTCTTACTCCATAAAAGGAGGATGGGGGCAAGGAATTGGGGGACCTCCATTTCTGCTGTAAGAAACGGAAATCGCCGATTCCTTGCACCCCATCTGGTTTTCTTGTCTGGGTTTCTTACAGTGTCTCAGACAACGGGAGGCTGTGCCACTTTCAACATGTGGCTTCTAAAGGCGATCTGAATATCAGAATTCAGGTAGCAAATAAGAGAGAGAGAAGAGTAGCTGTGGCCCTGCTTTAGTAGATAAAGTTTCATTGAAACACAGACACATTTACATATTGCTTATGGCTGTCTTCACACAACAACGGCAGAGTTGATTAGGTGCAATAGAGATGGCATGGCTCATGAAGTCTAAAACCGTTACCAACTGGTCCTTTACAGAAAAAGTCGGCCAATGCCTAGAGGAGAAGATTGGAGAGCTAAGGGTAGATTTTCATAGGCCAGACCTGGAAGTGGCTTTGCCACTTTACTCACATTCCACTGGACAGAAAGCAGCCCCCTCAATGGAGGGAGGCTGCAAAGTGTGTTCTTTTGTTTTGTTTTGTTTTTTGAGACCAAGTCTGCCTCTGTTGCCCAGGCTGGAGTGCAGCGATGTGATCTTGGCTCACTGCAACCTTGAACTCCCAGGCTCCAGCAACCCTCCCACCTCAGCCTCCCAAGTAGCTGGGACTACAGGCACACGCCACCATGCCCAGCTAATTTTTGTTGTTGTTGTTATTGTTGTTGTTTTGTAGAGACGGGTTTTCGCCCCGTTGGCCAGGCTGGTCTCGAACTCCTGGGCTCCAATGATCTGCCTGCCTTGACCTCCTAAAGTATTAGGATTACAGGCGTGAGCCACTGTGCCTGGCCCAAAGTGTATTCTGGATGTGTCCCTAGAAGGAAAGGGAAACAGCTGGAGTTATCATCTGGTCGTTCTCTGCACAAGCACCATCCAGGCCCTGAGGATTTCTGACTGGGCACTTATGGGTCCAACTTCCTTCCTCAACTTCACATCCGTGTTTCTAGAAATCTGCCAGTCATCTCACGCTTCGTGTCCTCAACAGAACCTGATCCTTTTCCCTCTGAGCTGGCTTCTCCTTCTGTGCTCACTCCCAGTTAATAGTCCATCATTCACTCCAGTGCCCAAACTGGAAGCCCCAGGAATGCCCATGGCCCTCCCAGTCCCTCAGCCCCATAATGCAACACTCTCCTAGCAGATATCATTGCCTCCTCTTCTCCGTAGCCTGCCACAGCCTCAGCGCAGGTTCTAGTATTCGTCTTGTTCCTTGTCTCAATAACCAGAACCATCCCTGAAGCTTGCTCACAATTGTCTGAGTTCAGCTTCTTCAAAATCTCTTTTAACTAAATTGCTCCCCCATATTAACTCTTGCTGTCCCAAAGGACACGAACACATCACCTGAGGTCACCCATCATGCAGTGGCAGAGCTCAGATGGGAACTTTGGCTTATGAGCCTTCACAGGCCTCACTCTCCCATTCTTTGCAGGATAAAGCACCAGGAAGCACAAAGAAAATTCTTTGCATAGCAGAAACTCTCAAATGGTAGAAAGTGAGCAACCCCATTTCCACACACTCAGAGAAGAATTTTGCAGTGGGCTGAGCAGTTTTGCTCTGTGGGAACACAGCATATACCTCTCATGGGTTCTCTGTTTCCTTTTTTTTTTTTTTTGAGACAGAGTCTTACTCTGTCACCCAGGCTGGAGTACAGTTGCATAGTCTCAGCTCACTGCAACCTCTGCCTCCTGGGTTCGAGCGATTCTCCTGCCTCAGCCTCCTGAGTAGCTGGGACTACAGGCGTTCACCACTACTCCCGGCTCATTTTTGTATTTTCAGTAGAGATGGGGTTTCACAGTGCTGGCCAGGCTGGTCTTGAACTCCTGACCTCAGGTGATCCGCCTGCCTTGGCCTCCCAAAGTGCTGGGATTATAGGTGTGAGCCACCACACCCGCTGTTTCCTTTTTTTGAGACAGGGCTCCACTCTGTCTCGCAGGCTAAAGTGCAGTGGTACAATCATAGTTCACTGCAGCCTCAAACTCCCAGGCTCAAGTGATCTCCTGCCTCACCCTCCCGAGTAGTTGGGACTGCAGGCATATGCGCCACCACGCCTGGCGAATTTTTTTTTTTTTAATAGGGTCTTTTTCTGTTGTCCAGGGTGGAGTGCAATGGCATGATCTCAGCTCACTGCAACCTCTGCCTCCTGGGTTCAAGTGATTCTCCTGCCTCGGCCTCCCAAGTAGCTGGGATTACAGGCACGCACCAACACGCCTGGCTAATTTTTGTATTTTTGGTAGAGATGGGGTTTCACCACGTTGGCCAGGCTGGTCTGGAGTTTCTGACCTCAGGTGCTCCACCTGCCTTGGCCTCTCAAAGTGCTGGGATTATAGGCATGAGCCACAGCACCCTGCGAAGAGATTCTTCCTCTAGGACAAAGCCCCCCCCTCCAAAGACCCCTGAGGGTCACTGCAGGGCCACTCCTCTTCCCTCCCCTTCCTAATGGTATAGCAGCCATTCTGTGGGACAAAAAGAAGACAAACTGAGGTAGGTCCTCCTGGGAGTCTGGGACTGGTCCTTGGGGCTGCCTGGGTGACCCCCTACCCAATTCTGTTTCCCTGGCACTCCCTACCACCCTCTACTGCTCCTTGTGACACCGTCCTTCTGTAAGATCATCTTCTCTTTTACACGTTTGCTTATTCATTACCTGTCTCTTCTACCTGGAGGTAAGGAACCAAATTAGACTGGCAACACCGCCTCTTGTTCTCCTCTATTTCCAGCATCCAGAAAAGTGTCTGGCTTATCCTTGGTGCTCCATAAATTTTTACTGAATGAATGAATAAATGAATTCATGAATGAACAGGATGGCTAGTGAGACTCTGACGGCCTCCTGCTTCCCCCACACTGTGGAAGGTGGGGCTCCCCAAGCCTGCACTCCTACCTGAGATGCCAGTCTCTTTGTCTACTTTAGACACCAGGTTCCAAAGACCCTGTGCTCTCAGATACCTTTTATGTCTAAAGCAGAGGCCCTACCCCAGCACTCCCCATCTCAGTAGACAGTAACTCCATTTACCCACTTGTTCAAATTCAAAATGTCAGTCATCCTTGGCCGGGCGCGGTGGCTCATGCCTATAATCTCAGCACCTTGGGAGGCCAAGGCGGGCGGATCACCTGAGGTCAGGAGTTTAAGACCAGCCTGGCCAACATGGTGAAACCCCCTCTCTACTAAAACACACAAAAATTAGCCAGGCGTGGTGGCGCGCACCTGTAATCCCAGTTACTTGTGAGGCTGAAGCAGGAGAACCACTTGAACCCAGGAGGAGGAGGAGGACGTAGTGAGCCAAGATTGCACCACTGCACTCCAGCCTGCGTGACAGAGTGAGACTCCATTTCAAAAAAAAAAATAGTGTCAGTCATTCTTGACTCCTACCTCCCTTTCCTCCAATGCACTGGCGAATCCTATTTGGGCCCCCTTCAATGTACATCCTGAATCTGACCACCATGGCGACCACGAACTCTCACCTTGACGATGGCAATACCCTCCTAAGGGGACTCCCCACTTCCCTTCTTCCTCTTCTCCAACCCAGGTTCTGTCTGCACATGGAGTGGCCTATTGGAAATATCATTCAGATTGCCTCACCTCCCTGCCTGCGACCCACTAACAGTCCTCTCTCTTCTTTGCTCACTCTGTTCCAGCCACTGAAACTATCCCCACAGGGTTAACAAGAATCACATGTCAGGTTCTGGACAGAAATAGAGTTATAATTAAGCTTTAATTTGGCTGCTTTCTGACCCACTTCCTTGTTGCTGAGATTCACATAGCACTAGATATTGACCACTTGCCTCCCCATTGTCCCTACACATAGGATTTCTTTTTCTTTTTTTTTTTTCTTTGAGATGCAGTTTCACTCTTGTTGCCCAGGCTGGAGTGCAGTGGCGCGATCTCGGCTCACTGCAACCTCTGCCTCCGGGGTTCATGTGATTCTCCTACCTCAGCCTCCCGAGTAGATGGGAGAATCACTTGAACCCAACAGGCAGAGATTGCAGTGAGCCGAGGTCGCACCACTGCACTCCAGCCTGGACGACAGAGAGAGACTCTGTCTCGAAAAAAAAAAAAAAGAAAAAAAAACAAAACAAAACTTTAAAAGGGCAGGGCCTTCGTCTACTTTATGTGCAGCTGCCTCACAGTGTCTAGAACAGGGCCTGCACACTGCAGGTGCTCCACAAATGTTTGCTGAATGAAAATGGGATGGTGGCTGGTGGAGAGAGTTACTGATGGTGGCAGGTCGCTGTGCAGGAGGAGGCCTGGGATTTGGAGCTCAGATCAAGGGGCTGTAATCATGTGTGCAAGGGCCCCAGTGCTTTACTCCCTGTGTCTTTACCGTGTGCATCTACCATCCTGGTGCCCTCCCACTCAGACTCTGGGCTCAGCCACGTGCTTGCTGTGGCCAGCAGGATGTTAGCAGACCGGAGGCAGGCAGAAGAGGGCTTAGCATCTCCATCTGTTCTTGCCCTGAGCTCCACTATGAGAACATGCCCGGGCAGGCCTGCTGAAGGATGAGAGACCCATGGATATGTGAGGAAAGAACATTCCGGGCCAAGGGAACGGGCAGTGCAAAGGCCCTCCTTCCAGATAGGGGCTTGCCTGGTGTACTTGAGAAGGAGCACAGGGCCAGTGGGGCTACAGCCAAGTGAGAGAGGGGACCACGTTGCAGGAGCTCCTGGGATCCAGACTGTGGAGGGCTTTGTAGACCATTGCAAGACTTAGGCACTTACTCTAAGCAAAATGAGAAGCAGAGGCCTGGCAAGCTCTGACTTCCATGCTAAAAGGATCACTTTATTGCTGAGAAAGAAGAGATATGGGGGCGGTGCAGAAGCAGGGAGACCAGTGGGAATGGGAGGGGATATTGCAATAATCAGACTAGGGTGGCCGCAGCGGAGGTGGGGAGAAGAGGTTGGATCTGACTATGCTGTGAGGTCGGATCTCAGAGGATGGGGTGGGGGTCAGTGAGAGGAGGTGAGGGGTTCTGAGCTGAAGAACACCAAGGCTCAGCCTGGCCCTGCCTGATGGCCCCACCCAGAAATCCCCAGCTCCCTCTGCTCCCGCTGCATTGGCCCTTGTTTTCATCCCCCGAACACATTCCCCTCTCTCCTGCCTCAGAGGTCTCGGTACTTGCCACTGCCTCTTTCCCCTCGCTCTTGGCCTGGCTAAATCCATCATTTGGGTCACAGCTTAAATGTTCTTCCAGAGGCCTTCCCGGGACCCCCACCCACCCCACCCCTATGAATTGTCTTCTCTGCCATCCTCCCTCCTCCTACCCTGTTCTTTCCCTTTCCAGTGCTCCTTTTAATCACGTACGTAATCCTGTGGTTATTGGTTTAACGTCTGCTCCATTAGATCACCAGGGAGCAGGGCCCGACAGGCTGTGTGGGGTCAAGTCCCTGTTATTCCCATCTAGACCTGTGTGAACTGGGGAAAGCTAGTAAACCACTGGGCCTCAGTCTCTTCCTTGGAAAAATGGCAGTAAGGCCCAAGGCAATCCTCCAGGTAGAGCGCTGAGCTCAGTGCCTGGCCCACTGTTCAGTACATGTTAGCTACTATGGGGGCCATGGAAAGGAGGCCAATGTATTTATCTGGAAGCGCTCAGGCTGTTCAGATGACTTCACTGTATTTGGCAAGCTCTCCGAGTGGCATAAACAAACAGCACTCTGAGTAGACTGCTCAAATGAGGCAGGTTTGAAACTGCCTCTTGGCAAATGCACATTCAGGGAAATTAGAGAGATGTGTGCATTTGCTGATTTTAGTTGCTTGTCATCCAAATACCAATCGAGAGGGGAGGATACAAATCTCAAGATGGGCTGGAGGCAGTGTTCCCCCTATGGAAGCCTAAGGGGGCCAAAGATCCAATTCCTGCAGGGGGTGCTTGGGAACTCAGCCTTGGTTCATCCTGCCTAGGACTTTGACACTGACTGAGGGTTATTGAGAAGCTGGGACCATTGAGGTGTCACTCCTCTAATGTTGGGGTCCCAGCTGCCACCATCAAAGGGCAGTGATGGTTGTGAGGTTGGCATGATTGTCCTCATAAGACCCTCCCTGTGATTCTGCCTCCCAGCCTTCTGGGTTCCTGCCCAATTTGTCAGGCTGGTTCCAGTTTACCCTGTGACTCTATGAACCATCCATCATCATTCCAGAAAATTATTTTTGGGCTATAGTTAACCAGGGTTGTTTTCTATTGTTTACAACCAGGATCGTCTCCCCTCCCAGAAGGGGCTGAGTACCAACCCTCAGAAAACCTCATCCACCACCTTGGCTCTGCCCTACTCATTACTGGGAGCATAAACTTCCCTAGGGTGCTATGGGGCGGGCATGTGTCAGTCTGTACTAGGAGTACCCTGAAAACAGGGCAAAAGATGTGCCAAGCTAGATTAGGAAATGTTAACCAGGCTTCTTTCTCTAGCATGTCATACCGCCCCGCCCCAATGCAGGTGGCAGCAAGGATGTCCTTGGGGCAGGAATGTTTCAGAAGAAATGAAGAGAAGCCAGTGGAGCTAGGTCTTGGATACTAGCTTCAAAGTTGAGGTCCTTGCCTCAGTAAAAACACTGATCACACGATGGCTCTCTCCTCCCCACTCCAGCCCTGTTGTCTGGGCTGCAGTAGGGGCACTGCAGAGCTCAGGGAGTAGAGGGGCGCAGTGGTGAAGGCACTTCCTGGTGAAGGCACTGAGGTACCATCTCCCAGAACACCCTCATGTCTCTACACGTAAGGAGACATGCTGCTGTGGCTTGTCTGGGCAGAGAGGGCCTGAGACAAACCCCTCCCCACAGTTTCCCATTGAAGTGGCTGAGAGAGGGTTCTGGGACCACATGAAGCTCAGGATCAGGATGGTATAACAAGGAGGCCAGGTGGGCCGCGGGCCCTCATGGTGAATGCTGATGGGATGGACACGGGCAGTAATGAATCCAGTGAGAACGGAAATCAGCAAATGATGCCCGATAGGGCCAGAGACCATCTTTACAGATACCAGCAGAGAAAACGAGAACGACCAAGATCAGAGCCCTCTCCCTGCTGACACCATTAGCTGGGACCCCAGGGCAAAGGGGGAGGCAAAAACTTAGAATTGACTGAAGAGGCCAGGCGTGGTAGCTCACACCTGTAGTCCCAGCACTTTGGGAGGCCAAGGCGGGTGGATCACAAGGTCAAGAGTTGGAATCGAGCCTGGCCAACATGGTGAAACCATGTCTCTACTAAGAATACAAAAATTAGCCAGGTATGGTGACACATGCCTGTAATCCCAGCTACTCGGGAGGCTGAGGCAGGAGAATCACTTGATCCCAGGAGGCAGAGGTTGCAGTGAGCAGAGATCGCACCACTGCATTCCAGCCTGGGTGACAGAGCAAGACTCCGTCGCAGAAAAAAAAGAATTGACTGAGGAAACCCTGAATTCTGTAATAAAAATGTTTCCACATCGTGCAACATGGGAAATGGAGGTGGAAATCCAAGTCAATTATAGAAAATAGAAACATTCACACTTCTGACTTTGTAACCCATGAAGCTTGTGCCCCTACAAGGAGATCTCACCCCCATGTAACCTGGGTGCCAACCCATTACCTAAGAAAACAGACAGGCCTGGAGAGCTTTAGGGAGAGTTGTGGAGGGACGGACTTTGAACTCTTGTAAAGTGACTTGCTTTTATTAGGCACCTACTGTATACCAGGCACATTGCTGAACACTATATATTATTTATTTTTCTTTTTTCTTTTCTTTTCTTTTTCTTTTTCTTTTTGGACAGTCTCACTCTGTTGCCCAGGCTGGAGTGCAGTGGTGCCATCTCAGCTCACTGCAACCTCCATCTCCCAGGTTCAGGTGATTCTCGTGCCTCAGGCTCCCGAACTATATATTATTTCTTTCTGTTTTTGTTTGTTTTGTTTTGTTTTTGAGACAGGGTCTCACTTGGTTGCCCAGGTTGGAGTGCAGTGGTGCGGTCTCAGCTCACTGCAAGCTCAGCCTCTGGAGTAACTGGGATCATAGGTATGTGTCACAACGCCTGGCTAATTTTTGTATTTTCACTAGAGACGGTGTTTCGCCATGTTGCCCAGGCTGGTCTCAAACTGCTGGCCTCAAGTGATCCGCCCGCCTTGGTCTCCCAAATTGCTGGGATTACAGGCATGAGCCACCATGCCCAGCCTACATATTCTTTCTAAGTGAGGTGGAAATTATTATTTTCTTTTTGCAGACAAGAAAACTACAACACAGTTGCTGAATGAGGGAGCCAGGGTGCATTGGGCTGATTTCCCACAGGACAGTTTATGGACTCCTTGGATAACCAGGAATACTGCTCTGCGGCTTTACACCCAAAGGTGGTGCTGGGAGAGATGGGAGACCAGGGAGGGACTGAATTAAAAATGCAGGTTCTTGGAGGAAGCTCAGGCAGGAGTGGGGCGGCCCCTGGTGGACACACGGAGAATGGCAACTCGGTGGTGCGGACCTGCCCTGCCCAGTGGCCTTGCATGGGAATGGCAGGGAAGGAAAGGGGCAGGCTCAAGAGGAGGTATTGAGAGGGGCTCCCATGTTGGAGCTCAGTCCTGGGACAGCAAAGGCTACTCCTGGGGCGCGGGGGCGGTATGGGAAGGGGCATTTCATGAGGACAGGCAAGAGGAAGGAAGCTGACCTTCACTGAGCGTTGACTATGCTCACAAGATACAGGTGGGAAATGATATCGACTTTTAAAACGGGCCCGCTGGGCGCGGTGGCTCATGTCTGTAATCCCAGCACTTTGGGAGGCCGAGGTGGGCAGATCACTTGAGGTCAGGAGTTCGAGACCAGCCTGGCCAGCATGGTGAAACCCCATCTCTACTAAAAATGCAAACAAATTAGTGGGGCATCATGGCACATGCCTGTAATCCCAGCTACCTGGGAGGCTGAGGCAGGAGAATCGCTTGAACCCGGAAGGCAGAGGTTGCAGTGAGCCAAGTTCCCACCACTGCGCTCCAGCCTGGGCGACAGACCAAGACTCCATCGCAAAAAAAAAAAAAAAAAAAAAAAAAAAAAAAAAAAGGGCAAAGATATCCAGGCACATGCGAACCAAAAGAAAACCAAGGTCATGACATGAAGCTCAAAAAATTATATGAAACACGACGGATCTCTTTGTACTGCTAAAAGGGAAAGACCCCAGAAAATAAAACGTGCACCAAGTAACATAATGTAAAACACATAGGCCGGGCGCGGTGGCTCACGCCTGTAATCCCAGCACTTTGGGAGGCCAAGGCGGGCGTCACGAGGTCAGGAGATCAAGACCATCCTGGCTAACACGGTGAAACCCGGTCTCTACTAAAAATACAAAAAATTAGCCGGGAGTGGTGGCAGGTGCCTGTAGTCCCAGCTACCTGGGAGGCTGAGGCAGGAGAATGGCGTGAACCCGGGAGGCGGAGCTTGCAGTGAGCCGAGATGGAGCCACTGCACTCCAGCCTGGGCAACAGAGCGAGACTCTGTCTCAAAAAAAAAAAAAAAAAAAAAAAAAAAAGTGCACATCAAGAAAGTGAAGAGACAATCCACAGAATGGGAGAAAATATTCATAAATCATATACCTGATCAGGGACTTGTAACCAGAATATGTAAAAAGGCTCTTACAACTCAATAAGAAGACAACCCAATTTTAAAATAGGCAAAGGCCAGGCTCGGTGGCTCATGCCTGTAATCCCAGCACTTTGGGAGGTCAAGGCAGGCAGAACACTTGACGTCAGGAGTCCTAGACAGCCTGGCCAACATGGTGAAACCCCATCTCTACTAAAAATACAAAAATTAGCCTGACACAGTGGCACGAGCCTGTAATCCCAGCTATTCGAGAGGCTGAAGCGGGAGGATCACTTCAGCCCGGAAGGCGGAGGTTGCAGTGAGCCAAGATCACATCACTGCGCTTCAGCCTGGGCGACAGAGTGAGACTCCGTCTCAAATAAAATAAAATAAAATAAAATAAAATAAAATAAAATAAAATAAAATAAAATAGGCAAATGATTTGAATAGATGTTTCTCTAAAGAAGACATGCAAATGGCCAATAAACACAAGAAGAGATGTTCAACATCACTAGTCATTAGGGAAATGCAAATCAAAACCAAAATAAGATACCACTTCACACTCACTGGTATAGCTACAGTTTAAAAGACAAATAAAAAATAGACCTTCTCAATCCCCCTGTCTCTGTGAACTTCCGCTGGGAAAAGCGATGCACTGGCGAAAGCCGTGTGAGGGGGGCCTTTGGCTCCAGAGAGACGGCGCGAGAGCCCCAGTGGGAACCACCCGGAGACCCAGAAGATCGAATTCGCCACTGCGCTGCGCGGCCGCCACACTCGCCGGGATCGGCCGGGTTTGAAGACGCGCCATGGAAGCCAGAGGGGTCTGACGATGGGGACCTCTCGGAGCGTCGTCGCCCTGCTACTGCGCCTTGGCGGCCGCGCTCCATCTGGAGGCTTCCTCGTGACGCATACGCAGCCTGGCCGCCAAGAAGACCGTCGCCTGCCTGGGACAGCCACCCTGGACACCCAGAAGCCAGGAGATTTCCAGTGAGGCCCTTCGCTTCCTTATCTTTTGCCCAAGAACTGGGTTTCCGTAATGCGTCCGCTCTGTTCCCATGCCACCCAAGAGGCTGTGGCTGAGCAGCGCTTCTGACACATTGCTCTCTTTAGTCTGTTCTCGCAATAAAATCCAACGCCAGTGCAAAATAATAATAATAATAATAAACATAGGGCCAGGCACGGTGGCTTACGCCTGTAATCCCAGCACTTTGGGAGGCTGAGGCGGGCGGATCACGAGGTTAAGAGTTCCAGACCAGCCTGGCCAACATAGTGAAACCCGGTCTCTACTAAAAATACAAAAAATTAGCCGGGCATGGTGGCACGCCCCTGTAATCCCAGCTACTCGGGAGGCTGAGGCAGGAGAATCGCTTTGAACCCAGGAGGCAGAGCTTGCAGAGAGCAAAGATTGCACCATTGCACTCCAGCCTGGGCAACAGAGCAAGACTCCGTCTCAAATAATAATAATAATAATTAATAAAGGCCAGGCATGGTGGATCACACCTGTAATCCCAGCACTTTGGGAGGCTGAGGCAGGTGGATCACTTGAGATCAGGAGTCCAAGACCAGCCTGGCCAACATGGCGAAACTCTGTCTCTACTAAAAATACAAAAAAAATTAGCCAGGCATGGTGGCACACGCCTGTAATCCTAGCTACTTGGAAGCCTGAGGCACAAGAATCACTTGAACCCGGGAGGCAGAGATTGCGGTGAACCGAGATTGTGCCACTGCACTCCAGCCGGGGTGACAGTGAGACTGTCTCAAAAAAAACAAACAAACACATAGTGAACCCCCATCTCTACTAAAAATACAAAAAAAAATTACCGGGCATGGTGGCGGGCGCCTGTAGTCCCAGCTACTTGGGAGAGAGGCAGGAGAATCGCTTGAACCCAGGAGGCAGAGGTTGCAGTGAGCTGAGATCACGCCACTGCATTCCAGCTAGGGGCACAGAGTGAAACTGTGTCTCAAAAAAAAAAAAACCCACAAAACATATACACAGAATTTTTTTTTTTTTTTTTGAGATAAGATCTTGCTCTGTTGCCTAGGCTGGAGTGCAGTGGTGAGATCTCGGTTCACCGCAGCCTACACCTCCTGGGCCCAAGCGATCTTTCCACCTTAGTCTCCCAAGCAGCTGGGACTATAGGCCTGTTTTTGTTGTTGTTGTTGTTTATTTGAGGCAAGGTCTCATTTTGTCACCCAGCTGGGAGGGTAGTGGCACCATCACGGCTCACTGAAGCCTCAACCTCCTCCTAGGCTCAAGCGATCGTCCCATCTCAGCCTCTTGAGTAGCTAAGACTAAAGGCGCAACCAACATACCTGGGTAATTTTTCTTTTTTTTTCTTTCTTTTTTTTTTTTTTTTTAAATAGACAGAGTCTCACTGCCTTGCCCAGGCTGGTCTTGAACTCCTGGGCTCAAGCAATCCTCCCAACTCAGCCTCCCAAAGTGCTAGGATTACAAGCATGAACCACCGTGCCCAGCCAGAAAAACTCTAAAATGCATAGAAAAATAGACAAATAGAAACACCTCTCAGCCCGTATCAGATACTTTTAAAACAAAACAATAAGGTTCCTCAGAAGTTCATGTCATAATCAATGGCTCCAGCTTTACAAGGGCCACAAACTTATATTGCAAACCAGCCACATGCCAGGTATTGTTCAAAGCCCTGGGGACACAACTGGGGGGAAAATCTCTGTTCCTGTGTAGCTCACATTCTACAACAAATATTCACTCAACAAGTATGGGGCATCCTTCTGTTCCAGGCACTGTTCTGACCTATGTGCTGGGCACACATCATTAAACAAATGATGATAATGTAAGGTTTACAGATATTTACAAAAATCGACCCGGAGTAAGAAGGAAATCTCTATAAGTTTAGAGCAGCCTAGGCAACATGGTGAGACCCTGTCTCTACAAAAAAAAATAAAACATAAACTAGCCAAGCATGCTGGCATGGGCCTGTAGTCCTAGCTACTTGGAAGGCTGAGATGAGAGTGTCACTTGAGCCCAGGAGATCAAGCCTGCAGCAGGCCATCATCACATCACTGCACTCCAGCCTGGGCAATAGAGCGAGATCCCATCTCAAAGAAATAATACAGGCCCTATTCTTTGACCACAATTGAAAAAATTAGAAATAGGAAATAAGAAAACAAAAATCCCCAATCACTGAGAAACTTCAAAGCTTCACATATTGTCATAAACAACTTTATCTTCAAAGAGAACGTTCAAACTCCCATTGCAGACTGTTTGGGAAGTGAGTTTATATTCATGTGAAACATACACATACGTCGTAACTATGTGATACTAGTTATTCCAAGTGCACTGCCAAAGTTAGGGCCAGAAGGGGTTCCTTGTGGTCATTACTGTTATTTGACATTTTTTGTAGAAGGAACAGTCTATACAATTATACAAGAGAACAAGACAAGAAGTGCTATTGCTTACAAACCACATCAGATTGGCAAAGATTAGGGTGGCAGTTCCTACCATCAACAAACATGGAGTGAAACGGCTCCGTCATGCGCCGTCCATAGAGGCTCAGCTTGGTCCCAGCGTGCTCTTGCCTCAGTCCTGAAGCTTCTTGTAGAAACACACAAGTGCTCAGGGAGTCAAGGGCCTGGAAACAATTGTGCATCAAAGAGAAATTAGCTAAAAGAAATTCCACAGCCACACTCTGGAATACTCTTATGCCGCCAATAAAAGAGGTAGATTGATATAAACCCACGGTTCTCCACTGGAGGCGATTTTGCCCTCCAGAGGACATTTGACAACATCTGGAGACATTCTTTATTATTTGCAGTGGGGTGGGAAGGTGTTAGTTGCATCTTGTGGGTAGAAGCCAGGGATGCTCCTCAACATCTTGCCATACACAGCACAGCTCCCCTCCAACAAAGAATGATCCGGCATCAAATATCAGTAGTGGGCCCAATGCAGTGGCTCACACCTGTAATCCCAGCACTTTGGGAGGCTGAGATGGGCAGATCACCAAAGGCCAGGAGTTCCACACCAGCCTGGCCAATATGGTGAAACCCCGTCGCCACTAAAAATGCAAAAATTAGTTGGGTGTAGTGGTGCACACCTGTAGTCCCAGCTACTCTGAAGGCTGAGGTGGGAGAATCACTTGAACCCGGGAGGTGGAGGTTGCAGTGAGCTGAGATTGTGCCACTGCACTCCAACCTAGGCGACAGAGTGAGACTCCATCTCAAAAAAACACAAAAATAAAAAAAACAAACAAAAAAAAACACACAAATATCAGTAGTATCCAAGTTGAGAAACCCTGGTATAATGTAACATGGAGATATATACACAATGAATTGTTAATAAAAAAGTAAGTTCGGAACCCAACTTATACCATGACCCCATATTTTTTCTTAATATACCTGTACTGGTATATACCTAGAAAAAATATTAGAAAGTTCATATCAAACTGCTCATACATTCATCATTCTTTCATTCATTCAACAAATATGGGCACCATTGTGTCTCAGGAACTGTTCTGACCTATGTGCTGGGCACACATCATTAAACAAAACAGACAAGGCTCATGCTTTTCTGGGAACCATTGTGTCTTAGTGGGAGACGCCTGGGAGGGGTGTCTTATTTTAGGGGGCTATAACAAGATACCATCAACTGGTGCCTTAAACAACAGGCATTTTTTTTTAATAAATTTTTTTTAGATAGGGTCTTGCTCTGTCACCCAGGCTGGAGTGCAGTGTTGCCAACATGGCAAACATGGCACACTGCAGCCTCGACCTCCTGGTTCAGGCAATCCTCCCACCTCAGCCTCCTGAGTAGCTGGATCACAGGCACACACCAGCACACCTGGCTAATTTTTTTTTTTTTTTTTTTTTTTTGAGAAGGAGTCTCACTCTGTCGCCAGGCTGGAGTGCAGTGGCACGATCTTGGCTCACTGCAGCCTCGGCCTGCCGGGTTCAAGTGATTCTCTTGCCTCAGCCTCCCGAGTAGCTGGGATTACAGGCATGTGTCACCATACCTGGCTAATTTTTGTATTCTTAGTAGAGACGGGGTTTCACCATGTTGGCCAGGATGGTCTCGATCTCTTGATCTCACGATCCACCTGCCTCGGCCTCCCAAAGTGCTGGGATTACAGGCCTGAGCCACTGCACCCGGCCAACAAACATTTATTTCTCAAGGTTCTGAACGCTAAGAAGTACAAGATCAAGGCTCTGGCAGATCCCATGTCTACTGAGTGTTCTCTTTCTGGCTTGCAGATGGCCATTTTCTTGCTGTGCCCTCACATGGTGCAGAGACACAGGGGAAGCAAGCTCTCTCCTGTCTCTTCTTCTTCTTCTTCTTTTTTTTTTAAATTATTTTGAGACATGATCACAGTCTGTTGCACAGGCTAGAGTGCAGTGGCAGCTCACTGCCACCTCCACCTCCTTAGCTCAAGCGATCCTCCTGACTCAGCCTCCCAAGTAGCTGGGACTACAGGTGAGCACCATCACACCTGGCTAATTTTTATGTTTTTCTTAAAGACGGGGGTTTCACCATGTTGCCCAGGCTGTCTCTCTCTTCTTAGAAGGAAACTCATAGCTGCTGGGCACGGTAGCTCACACCTGTAATCCCAGCACTCTGGAAGGCCGAAGTGGGCAGATCATCTGAGGTCGGAAGTTCCAGAACAGCCTGACCAACATGGAGAAACCCCGTCTCTACTAAAAATACAAAAATTAGCTGGACGTAGTGGCGTGCACCTGTAGTCCCAGATACTCAGGATGCTGAGACAGGAGAATTGCTGGAACCTGGGAGACAGAGGTTGCAGTGAGCCGAAGTGGCACCACTGCACTCCAGCCTGGGCAACAGAGCGAGACTCCACCTCAAAAAAAAAAATTAGCCAGGCATGATGGTGCACACCTGTAGACCCAGCTACTCAAGAGGCTGAGATAGGAGGATTGCTTGAGCCCAGGAGTTTGAGGATGCAGTAAGCTATGACTGCACCACTGCACTCTAGCCTGGGAGACAGAGTAAGACTTTGTCTCTCAGAAAAGAAACAGCATAACTTGTTGGGTGGCAGGATGGCCTGTCTGTTGCAGTGCCGCCTATATCACAAGGCTTCAATGTGTAAGAATTCTCCATGCCATCTGTGTCTGTCTCCTTATGGTGCTGCTGCTGTTTAGTTTCTCCTGGGTTGTGGGTATCTTTCCCATTCCAGAAGATTTGAGCAGACAGGCCAGCTGAGAAGAGCTATGGGGTGAGAGTCCTATCACCTGTCCACCCAGCCGTGATGTTCTCTGACTGCGGGACTCTCCCTGCCCTGCTCTGTTTCTTCCCATTTGTATCTAAATGCTTGTTGATTTTTTGCTGGTTTTTTTTTTTTTACCATATTCATTGTTTTTTATTTACAAGGTAATACAAAGGCCCTGGGAAATTTTGTTGTTGTTGTTGTTGAGACAGGATCTCGCTCTGTCGCCCAGGCTGGAGTGCAGTGATATGATGATGGCCCACTGCAGGCTTGATCACCTGGGCTCAAGTGATACTCTCACCTCAGCCTCCCAAGTAGCTAGGACTACAGGCCCATGACAATATGCTTGGCTACTTTATGTTTTAATTTTTTTTCTGGAGACACGGTCTCGCCATGTTTCCTAGGTTGCTTTAGAACTCACAGGCCCAAGCATCCTTCTGCCTCAGCCTCCCAGAGTGTGAGAATTACAGGCACGAGCCGCCGTGCCTGGTCAGGAAATATATATCGTGCCTGGTCAGGAAATATATATATATATTTTCTGACCAGGCACGGCGGCTCGTGCCTGTAATATGTATGTATGTATGTGTGTGTGTGTGTATATATATATATATATATTTTTTTTTTTTTTTGAGACAGAGGTTTGCTCTTGTCACCCAGACTGGAGTGCAATGGCATGATCTTGGCTCACTGCAACCTCTGCCTCCCGGGTTCAAGCGATTCTCCTGCCTCAGCCTCCCAAGTAGCTGGGATTACAGGCGTGTGCCACCACGCCCGGCTAATTTTTGTATTTTTAGTAGAGATGGGGTTTCACCATATTGGTCAGGCTGGTCTTGAACTCCCGATCTCAGGTGATACACATGTCTTGGCCTCCCAAAGTGCTGGGATTACAGGCGTGAGCCTGTAATCCCAGCACTTTGGGAGGCTGAGGCGGGCGGATCACAAGGTCAGGAGATCGAGACCATCCTGGCTAACACAGTGAAACCCCTCTCTACTAAAAATAAAAAAAATTAGCCAGGCATGGTGGCAGGCGCCTGTAGTCCCAGCTAATTGAGAGGCTGAGGCAGGAGAATGGTGTGAACCTGGGAGGCAGAGCTTGCAGTGAGCCGAGATTGTGCCACTGCACTCCAGCCTAGATGACAGTGCCAGACTCTGTCCACAAAAAAAAAAATTTTTTTTTTTTTTTTGAGACGGAGTCTCACTATGTCACCTGAGATGGTCTTGAACTCCTGGCCTCGGCCTCCCAAAGCTCTGGGATTACAAGCATGAACCACTGTGCCTGGCAAAGTTAGGCTTTTTGACTTGCCCTGGTTCCCTTCCATCCCTTGTTCAAATTGCCATCTCATGAAGTCAAAACCCAGCAACTGCCCTGGGGCTCTCCTCTTCCACCTACTCTTGTGGCCCCAGCACTATAAGGTAGTCAACAGCCCACATGTGTGTTCAAGGTGAAGTCATCATCCTACTCAATCAAGCCTTTTTGCTGATTCCAAGATCAAAGAAAAGAATGGTATGGCTACAATAGTGCCCCACTCCCAAGAGGAAAACAAAACGAAACGGTGGAGGGAAGGTGGTGCTAGCAGGTGAAGGGTCTTTGGTAAAGAGAGCTGTCCCTGAAGAAACATCCAGTCCTCTCCTGATCCCTAGTGGTTGCCCAAGGCCTTTATCTGAATTGGCTTCTCTAAGGCCTCCAGGATTCCCTCAAGGAATGGCAATAGCCAACAACTCATACAGGACTTTAAAATTTACAGAATGAGCGGGCGCGATGGCTCACGCCTGTAATCCCAGCACTTTGAGAGGCTGAGGCGGGCGGATCACCGGAGGTCAGGAGTTCGAGACCAGCCTGGCCAACATGATGAAAACCCGTCTCTACTAAATATACAAAATTAGCCAGGCATGCTGGTGCATGCCTGTAATCCCAACTACTAGGAAGGCTGAGGCAGGAGAATCGCTTGAACACAGGAGGCTGAGGTTGCAGTGAGCCGAGTTTGTACCGTTGCACTCCTGCCTGGGCGACAAGAGCGAAACTGTGTCTAAAAAAAAAAAAAATTCACAGTATGTATTTTTGTATATTCTATCCTTGAATCATCCTCACAAGTAGAATAGATGGTATTATTATCTCCCATTGTACAGATGAAGAAACTGAGGCTCAGAGAGAAGATAAACAAATTGCCTATGACTCCATACTCAGAAGTAAGAATAGGACTTCTACCCCCATGACAGTCTCGCCCTCCCAGAGCTGCCATATTTTTTATACAACGAAACTGGATTATTTGTTGAGTCTCCAATCTTAGAAGCTGGTATAGATTTTTATTTTTTCTTTCGCTCTCTCTCTCTCGGGTCTCCAATCTTAGAATCTGGTACAGATTTTATTTTATCTGTCTCTCTCTCTCCACCCTCACCAGGCTGGAGTGCAGTGGCATAATCATGGCACAGTGCAGCCTCAACCTCCCAGGCTCAAGTGATCCTCCTACCTCAGACTCCTGAGTAGCTGGGACTATAGGCACATGCCACCACACCCGGCTATTTTTTAAATTTTTTGTAGGCTGGGCGCAGTGGCTCACGCCTGCAAACCCAGCACTTTGGGAGGCTGAGGCGGGCGGATCATGAGGTCGGGAGATCGAGACCATCTTGGCTAACATGGTGAAACCCCATCTCTACTAAACATACAAAAAATTAGCCAGGCGTGGTGGCAGGTGCCTGTAGTCCCAGCTACTCGGGAGGCTGAGGCAGGAGAATGGCGTGAACCTGGGAGGCGGAGGTTGCAGTGAGCTGAGATTGCGCCCTGCACTCCAGCCTGTGAGATAGAGCAAGACTCTGTCTCAAAAAAAATAATTTTTTTGTAGAGACAGGGTCTCACTATATTGCCCAAGCTAGACTTAAATTCATAGGCTCAAGTGATCCTACCTCCTAGGCCTCCCAAATTGTCAGGATTTCAGGCATGAGCCACCATGCCTAACTAGATTTTCTTCATTGATTCAATAAACACAAGGGTCAGCTAGGAGCCAAGTACTATTTATTAGGTTGGTGCAAAAGTAATTGTGGGTTTTGCCATTACTTTTATTTATTTAGAGACAGAGTCTCGCTCTGTCGCCCAGGCTGGAGTGCAGTGGCATGATCTCAGCTCACTGCAACCTCCACCTCCTGAGTTCAAGCGATTCTCATGCGTCAGCCTCCCAAGCAGCTGGGACTACAGGCGCACACCACCACG
Organism: Homo sapiens; assembly: GCF_000001405.40. NCBI lineage: Eukaryota > Metazoa > Chordata > Mammalia > Primates > Hominidae > Homo > Homo sapiens. The sequence continues at coordinate 50,772,817 of NC_000017.11, read as the reverse complement.
CCCCGCTAATTTTTGTATTTTTAGTAGAGACAGGGTTTCACCATGTTGGCCAGGCTGGTTTTGAACTCCTGACCTCAAGTGATCCGCCCACCTTGGCCTCCCAAAGTGCTAGGATTACAGGGCGTGAGCCACCGCGCCTGGCCTGCCATTACTTTTAAATGGCAAAAACCACAATTATTTTTGCACCAACCTAATAGTTGCTTTGCAGTCTTATCTCCTAGGAGCAAGCAGCCAAGCTATTTTTCTCTGGTCCCTGTATTGTTTATCACAGAAACAGGAAAAGTGTGTTGATTTCAGTCTCACCCTTCACTGCAACCTCAGGCCCAGTGGTTTCACAGAGCCTCGAGGCCTTCTGGGGGTGCTGAGAGCCCTCAGCTGTCTTCTCCACAGCACAGGTGTGCCGGGCTCTGTGAGGCTGCCTTCTCAACTGTGTCGACTGAAGAATGACAGCGTTCATACATTTGGAAAGGAGAGCCTTCTTTCTCACACGGGGTTGCAGCCTACAGGGTGGCAAGTGGGACAGGCTGAGAAGCATAGCCAGAAGCCAACACCTCAAGGATGGGAAGAATAACACAGGGATTTACGCTGAACGAGGTGGCCAGATATACATATTCAATAAGCTATTGGAGGAGTCATGAATATTTATGAATGGAGAAATAGGCCCGTGTGTAATTGTGCTTCCTGCTTCTCCACGGGACCCATGTTCAAAAAATGGTGGCATTAGCACGATTGGAGCATGGAGTTTTTAGCCCTCTGATATCAAAAGGTGACGCAGAAGACAGGAAGACCTTCACTGCACATCCTCTGCAGAATGGCCAGAACCACTCCACAGTTGGTGGTCTCCTGTCAGAAGGAGATGCTAATGGGTTGTTTTGTCAAAATCACAAAACAGTGCAGGGAGGAGCAGTATTAGGTGGTGGGTTAAAATCAGGCTGCTATGGCCGGGCACGGTGGCTCACCCCTGTAATCCCAGCACTTTGGGAGGCCAAGGTGGGTGGATCACAAGGTAGGAGATCGAGACCAGCCTGCCAACATGGTGAAACCCCATCTCTACTAAAAATACAAAAATTAACTGGGCATAGTGGCACGTGCCTGTAGTCCCAGCTACTCGGGAGGCTGAGGCAGGAGAATGGTGTGAACCCGGGAGGCGGAGCTTGCAGTGAGCCAAGATCGTGCCACTGCACTCCAGCCTGGGCGACAGCGCGAGACTGCGTCTCAAAAAAAAAAAAGTTTTTGGTTTTTGGTTTTTTTGATATGGAGTCTCGCTCTGTCACCCAGGCTAGAGTGCAGTGGCGTGATCTCAGCTCACCACAACCTCCGCTTCCTGGGTTCAAGTGATTCTCCTGCCTCAGCCTCCCAAGTAGCTGGGATTACAGGTGCCCATCCCCTCGCCTGGCTAATTTTGTATTTTTAGTACATATGGGGTTTCAATATCTTGGCCAGGCTGGTCTCGAACTCCTGACCTCATGATCTACACACCTTGGCCTCCCAAAGTGCTGGGATTACAGGCGTGAGCCACCGTGCCCCGGCCAAAAACGTATCTATTTAATTTTGCAAAAAGAAACATAAGAAGGGTAAGTCAGAAACGAATGAGATTAGTTTCCTACAGGGGATAGATAGATGGGAATGAAATGGAAGGGATAAAAAAGTAAAACGACACTTTTTAAAATATCAATGTTTTGACTCTACCTACAGAACCATTTAATGATTAATATATTCAAGAAATAATAAATTGACAGGCACAGTGGCTCATGTCTGCAATCCCAGCACTTTGGGAGACCGAGGCAGGCAGATTGCTTGAGGCCAGGAGTTTGAGACCAGCCTGACCAACATGGCGAAACCCTGTCTCTACAAAAAATACAAAAATTAGCCAGGCATGGTGGTGCAGCCTACTCAGGAGGCTGAAGCATGAGAGTTGCTTGAGCCCGAGACGTGGAGGTTGTAGTGAGCTGAGATCACGTCACTGCACTCCAGCCTGAGCAACAGAGTAAGACTCTGTCTTAAATAAATAAATAAATAAATAAATAAAAGCAACAAGGACTGGGAAGAATCCTCTTATACAAACAGAAACAATGAACCTAAATATATTTCAAATGAACAATTCTGAAACTTTCTGTGAATTGGACTGAGCAAAGGAGTAAATGTATCAAAGATGTTAGGAGCCAGATTTTACCCTTTGGAGAAGAGAGTTACAATATGGAACTGAAGACAGCTAGGCCAGAAACACCAAGGATTTTGGCAACCACCAGAACAGGAGAGCGGCATGAAACAGATTCTTCCTCAGAGCCTCCAGAAGGAATCAATGCTGCCAACATCTTGATCTTGGGTTTCTGGCCTCTACAACTGTGAGAGAATAAATTTCTGTTGTTTAAAATAGAAAGAAAGAGAGAAAGGCGGAGGAAGAAAGGAAGGCAAGCAAGCCAGCAAGGGAGAACCCTTTGGTGTTGGAATGGGACTAGAAATATGAAGTTGTTCTCTTAAATATATACACACACAAAAGAGGAAACTAAATAAATTAGATTGATTTTAAAACATATATCTATATACAGAAATAGATGCATGTGTTTATGTGTTTATGTGCGTATATGCATGTGTGCTCCTAGCTCTGCACACGGGAAGAGCCTAGAAGCAATGACATCTCCATGGGAATGATCACACCTGTGCCTCATGGAAAATAACCTGGCTCCTTGGAGAAATGCCTGATCGCAGGGCTGGGGCAGGGAAAGTACAATGGAACCCAGAACATCTTGATGTGCCATGAAATAAGAAAGTGCTCACAGTCCGGGTGCGGTGGCTCACGCCTGTAATCCCAACACTTTAGGAGGCCAAGGAGGGCGGATCACTTGAGGTCAGGATTTTGAGACCAGCCTGACGAATGTGGTGAAACTCCCTCTCTACTAAAAATACCAAAAAATATTACCCAGTCCTGGTGGCGTGTGCCTGTATTCCCAGCTACTCGGGAGGCTGAGCCAGGAGAATTGCTTGAACCTGGGAGGCGGAGGTTGCAGTGAGCTGAGATCACACCACTGCACTCCAGCCTCGGCAACAGAGCAAGACTCCGTCTAAAAAATAAAATAAAAAAAAAGAAAGTGCTCACAAAATAATGGGGATATGTCAAAGGATATGGGAAACAGCTGCCAGGATAAAATGCTGGACAAAGTTGGGATGATTAAAGCATCAAAATAGATCATGATAGTGATGGATTGTGACCCACTGAATAAAATAAGAATCCATGAGTTCACAATGATAATAAATGAATGAATGGATGAGAAGTAAAGCTCTTTCTTTTTTTTATTCTTTGTAGAGATGGAGTTTCACCATGTTGGCCAGGCTGGTCTCGCACTCCTGGGCTCAAGCCATCCTCCCACCTTAGCATAAGCCACTACTCCAGGCACAACTTTCTGTAAGTTTGAAACTATATCAGAATTAAAAGCTACCTCTCACAGGCTCACACACAAGCAAAACTAATACATGGATAAAAGGGCCCACTAAGTGCCCAGCATAATGAATGGAACAAGTCATATGCCAAGGCCTGTGTGGCAGTTGATTGTCCCCCCAACACACTTTGCCTTCTTCCTTCCTAATCGGCTCTGATTTTTAGTACCAGTAGATTTTTTTTAACTAGAACATGTAATACTTTAATTTTAAACATTAAAATTAACTAAAAGGCCGGACGCGGTGGCTCACGCCTGTAATCCCAGCACTTTGGGAGGCCGAGGCAGGTGGATCACCTGTGGTCAGGAGTTCAAGACCAGCCTGGCCAACATAGCAAAACCCCGTCTCTACTAAAAAAAAAAAAAAAAAAAAAAAATTAGCTGGGCATGGTGGCACACAGCTGTAATCCCAGCTATTTATAGGGAGGCTGAGGCAGGAGAATCGCTTGAACCTGGGAGATGGAGGTTGCAGTGAGCTGAGATCCCACCATTGCACTCCAGCCTGGGCAAGAGCGAAACTCCTTCTCAAAAAATAAAATGAATTAAAAGAAGAACGTGTGTTCCCCTAAATAAGAAAAAAATGAGTGTTGTTGAGTGAACGTGTGAGTGAATGAGTGAATCAGTGAACGGGGAGTGAGTGAATGAATGGACCGAACAGGTGAGCAAAATGAGAATGAACTGAGGCTTTCCCTCAAGTGCCAAGCCTTTTCATCTACAGTTCCCCTGCACCTGTAGCCACACCCACTCAGGGGAGGAGGTTCAGGATGCCTTTTTTATGGCGGACCACACCCTGGCAGCCAGGCTGGCCAAAGTGCATTTTCTCAGGAGTCCAGGCCAGGGGATCCCTGCTACTTCCGCCTCTCCATTGCCCCACCCTGCCCTTCCCCTGTTCTTGCAGAAAGACACACCAGCATGCTGGGAAGACAGCATCGGCCTGGCAGCCAGGTGACCCAGGTCCAGTGCCAGGCCTGTGCCTGGCTGGCCACGTGACTAGTGGTAAACATTTCACTTACTAAGGCCTCGTTTTCCCTGTTTGCTCCTTTAAGCAGTTTGGCCAAATCAGTGGTTCACAGTCTTGGCTGCACATTGAAATCAGCTGGGAACCTTTCAAAAGTTCTGGGGCTCTGATTGCATCCAGACCAACTAAATCAGACTTTATAGGGTGGGACCTGGGCATCCACGGTTTTTAAAGCTTCCCAGGTGACTTCAATGCACACCATGTTTGAGAGCCGGGGGGCTGCGATCTCCATAGCTCCCTCCAGCTTTTTTTTTTTTTTTTTGGTTTTTTGTTGTTGTTGTTTGGTTTATGGTTTTTTTTTAGTGTTTATTTATTTATTTATTTATTTATTTTTTGAGATGGAGTCTTGCTCTGTCACCAAGACTGGAGTGCAATGGTGTGATCTCGGCTCACTGCAACATCTGCCTGCCAGGTTCAAGCGATTCTCCTGTCTCAGCCTCCTGAGTAGCTGGGATTATAGGCGCACGACACCACACCCAGCTAATTTTTTGTATTTTAGTAGAGATGGGGGTTTCATCGAGTTGCCCAGGCTGGTCTCGAACTCCTGAGCTCCGGCAATCCACCCGCCTCAGCCTCCCAAAGTGCTAGGATTACAGGCGTGAGCCACCGCACCCAGCCAGCTCCCTCCAGTTTTTTGATGCTGAGGCCCACCCTGATGCCCCGTCTGTTTGCCCGTCTTTTGTCATTGGAGGGTTAAATGAAATGTGAGCGTTACCCGAACATCTGGGTTCCTATCTGTGCACCTCCTCCTGTCTTCAGCCTGCCTTTGAGGCAGCAGCCTCACTGGGGACTTTGACCCTCCCCACCCATTCTTCACTGAACCTCCTGCTCCAGCCTCTGCCTCCTCCATTTTGATGTCTAGAATCAGGGGATCCAGGATCATCACCAAGGTCATTTTCCCAGGTATGGAGGGGTCTTTCTGCTTCTTTCTTGTCATGCACAGCTGCTGAGGAAGGGGCTGGGAGTAAAGACAGTGAAATGGGGAGGAGGAGTCCATTCAAACCGAGAAACAAAGTGTTTGGTTTTTCTTACCCCTGGTGTAGAAGCTACCAACCTTTTCCAAGAAAGAGGGCCTGGCCCCCTTCTCGGGTCTGGCTGGGTGCCTGCTGTGCCTCTCTGGCCTCCCCTCCGAAGGGCACCATTCCCTCGGGTGAGTACTACCGGCCTGCACCGTCTTCCAGTGGGGACAGCCTGAGAAGAGAGTCTGGAGCCTTACTTCAGTACCTTCCTTCACTGGCCTCACCCTGTGCAAATCATGCCACACGCTGCAGCCTCCTTTTCCCTATCTATAAAATAAAAATGACCCTGCTCTATCTCACTGGGCTGGCAAGAACACACTGTTGTTACCTTGCAGACAGATGTGCTGAGGCTGTAGAAAGTGCTTTTTATTTGGTTGGGAGCTTGTGCATAAATGCGAGAGGGGCTGCACATCTGACGGACTAGAGGTGACTCATGGCTGAACCGGAACAGGACATCGGGGAGAAGCCAGCAGGTGAGTCTGGGAGTCCTGTTCCCAACATGGTCCTCAAGGAGGATGGGACAGGGGGCTGGGGAAGGCTGGGACACAGGTGATGCTGTGGCCAGCAGTGCCCTGTGGCCTCCGCCACTCTGCCAGTGGGGTAGTGAAGAGCAGAGCAACTAGACCAAAGGTCCTTTCAGAAGGAAGCAAGTGTCTATAGCTATAATAAATAATAATAGCAGCCAGCAATTACTGGTGCTCACAACTGCTAGGAAGTTGTACCTTCTGTGTACTTTCTCATTGACTTCTTACAATCTGGTGAGGTAGGATTGTTAACCTCATTTTCAGATCAGAGAGGTTATGTAACTTGCCCAAGGTGTCAAAGCTACTAAGTGGCAGAGGAATTCAGACCCAAATCTGCCTGAGTGCAAAGGGCATGCTTTGTGACCTCTATGAGACTCTGGCCGTTCACAGAGCTGACACATTGACCACAGAATAAAATGCTTTCAAACGTAGTGGACAGGGCAGGGAAAGTTCTCGGGCTGTGTGTTGGGTGAGTTAGCAGTGAGGCAGGAAGGCCTCGTTTCAGGTCAGGTTCTGGTATCTCTATCAGGTATCGATATCAGGTCAGGTACTGGCAGGTGGGCTGGGGCCCAGCTGCTACAGGGGCTGCCTGAGAAGGAGCCACAGCCCTGAGCCACCTCCAGGGCCCAGAATTGAAAGGCAAAGAGAAGACTGCAGATCCCCGCTCACTAGGGGAGGGGACATTATTCCTGTCCTGGGAAGGGGCTGAGTTGGGCAGGAGCGTCTCATCTCCTTGGAGGCATCTGGCAGGGTGGCACAAACAGGGCTGACTTCATAAGTCTGTGATCAGTGCAGCTGCCCAGGGCCTTGCATTCAGAAAGGCCCTGGGCTTGGGGTTCAACATTCTGTGATTGTTGACTTGAAATGTGTCATAATTTTAGCCCTGAACTTGTTTTGTAAGTGGTGTCCGATGGGACAATGGAGCATGTGCCAGGGTTGGGAGTTGGAGCCTCAGCTCATACATATGGTCTCCACACCCAGACCAGCCCCACCACTGCTGTAACCCTCTGCCAGAGTCCCTCATTCCGCTGTCACCTTTGCCCAGGCAAAACAAGGATCAGAAGTTGAGGAGTGGCAGGCAGCCCTGGACACTCTCACCCACCCCCATCCAGCTAGTTGGTGCGTTCAAGTGGGGAGGTCGCAATACCCTGGGCGTCACCCATTTGCCCTGGGTTAGAGCAGCGGCTGTGAGAAGGGGAAATTGGCTTCCTCTTCATTTTCCTTTTGCACTCGGCTTTGCAAATTATGTAGTTGGCCCTGGTCACATCCATATCTGGCCATTTACCAACCTGAACAAACTACTTCCCCTTTCAGCCTCAATTTTCCTGTCTGAAAATGAAAATAATAATGTGCATACCCCACAGGATTCTTTTGGGGACAGTGAGGCTTTTCTCTTTTCCAGAATGCAAGTCTGATTATGACAGCTCTCTGCTAAAAACCAGAATGGCTTGGTGGTGTTTTAGGACAAAGACCAAAACCTTTCATCTAGACTAATGCTGCCCAATAGAAATGTAATGCAAGCCACATATGTAATTTAAAATTGCTAGTAGCCATGTTTTAAAAAGTAAAAACAGGTGAAACTAATTTTAATAATATACTTTGCCCGCTATATGCAAATCATTATGTCAACATATAAGTATGAAAATTTTTTATTGCCTCCAAAATCCAGGGTATATTTTACCTTATCGTGTATCTTATCTCATGTGACAAGAAGCTACATAATTGGACTAACTGGCCCCTGCCAGCCTGTCTGACACTCAGTCCCCCCATGCTCTCTGCCCTGCAGCCATGCTGAACTCTCCACAGGGCCCTGTGAAAAGCTCTTCACCTCCTCTGCCCTCTGGATCTAGTGAAGCCTATTCATCCTTCAGATGTCAGCTCAAATAATCAACCTTCATGGAGGCCTCCCTTGACCCCTAACATGCTTTCAAAGTACTGTGTATTTCACATTCATCATGCCCCGACAACTGTGATTTCCCATTTATTAATATCTGTCTCTTCTGCTGGCCTGCAAACTCCAGGAGCACAGAGACATCTTTGGGATTTTTGAACATGATTTCCCCAGGGCTTAGCCCAGTGCCTGGTGCAAAGCAGGCTTTCAACATGTTCAGTGGATATTGTAAGAAAGAAAGAAATACACAAAAGGCCTGGCATATGCAAAGCACTCTAAATATTCACTCCTTTCCCTTCCCTCTGGGTGAGAAAATTTCTCCTTATAAAGACACCCTCCTAACTGTATCTCTGCTAGAGAACTGAAGACATAAAGCACTCTGTGCCAAAAATATTTAAGTAAAAACTTGAGCTAAGCACAGAGATTATAAATATTTCTTCCCCAGATTACGCACCATTTAAAAATACTGTCTCAGCTCCTTTTCATGATTTGGGTGGTGATTAAAGAAAATTACTCTTCAAGACTGAAAGTCATTACTGCCCTTTTCCTGACTTGCCTTTTCCCTTGAGAAGGGGAGGATAAGCTGCAGGGCAGGAAGTGGAAGTGGGGCATCCTTGTCCTTTGTCTGGCAGACAGCCAACTGGTCAGGTACTGCTCCTTCTCAACTCTTTCCTGATTCCCAGGTGAATATAAACAAGAAGGCACAAATCCACACTTGCCAACAACGGACCCAAGTGATAACAAGAAACCCAGTGACACCTGTCTAGGTGAAGACTCAGCCCCTATGTGACCAGGTTGCAAAGCCAAACTGACCATCTGCTTTCCATTTGGACTTTTAGTTCATACTGTATCTTCTCAGGACAGTTAAGTTGGAATACAATGCCACTGTCCTGAAAGATGGTAGAATTATCCTATTTCTGGAGGAGTGGGGGTGGTGGGTAGGAATCTCAAGAGCGATTTGCTCCTCTGCACAATAGCTTCTTTAAGGACACCAGGGCCCCCAGGGCTATACATTTCCCTGAAGCTTTCCAGATAAGCAACAAGGTATGAGCACCTGCTATGTATTGCCCAAGGGTGATGTGTTTAAATATCCATTGCATATTTTAAATCCTTGGCTGGCTTAAAGCTGCAAGCTTTCTGTCTTCAGTGGATATAATGGGGGCATACATCCCAGAGCTTGCCCAACACTCCAAGAAAAGAACCCTCAGCTAATGCAAAGTGTGTATGTGCCCATGAAAGCTCCATGTCTACTTAACATTCAGTTTTTAGGATTATTTATGCTGTAATAATAGATATGAAAATCTCTGACAGGTATTTTGTTTCCTTTACAAACTGTATTTGAATTTATGGGTGATTTAGAGCTTGTGTTTAAAGTCAGAATTCAGAACCCCAAAGAAAATGACTTCATTGAAATTGAACTGAAGAGACAAGAACTGAGTTACCAAAACCTACTAAACGTGAGTTGCTGTGAACTGGGGATTAAACCAGAACGAGTGGAGAAGATCAGAAAGCTACCAAACACACTGCTCAGAAAGGTAAGGGTTAAGAGTTTCTAAATGCAGAATCACAGTGGGTGACATCATGTTCTCTGGAGCCAATCGTTTACACTTCTGCATTTCATGACACCAGAAATCCTGGCTGCAAAACGGCCAAACATGGTAGCTAGGTCATTTTCAATCTGGCGCTTTTAAGATTTGCACATCTAATCCATAAACCTTTTAAAAACCTCTAAATGGTCCGATCACGGTGGCTCACACCAGTACAATCCCAGCACTTTGGGAGGCCGAGGTGGGCAGATCACAAGGTCAAGAGATCGAGACTATCCTGGCCAACACGGTGAAAACCCGTCTCTACTAAAAATACAAAAATTAGCTGGGCATGGCAGCGCGTGCCTGTAATCCCAGCTACTCAGGAGGCTGAGGCAGGAGAATTGCTTGAACCCAGGAGGAGGAGGTTGCAGTGAGCTGAGATAGCACCACTGCACTCCAGCCTGGCGACAGAGCTAGACCCTGTCTCAAAAAAAAACAAACCTCTGAATGACAAGTGACTCCCCAATTTAAGGCTTTAGTTCAGTGCTTTTGGCCCCACCAATCTCTGCAAAATTGACTGGTTAACATAAAATGGCATAGTCCTCAGGAAAAAAAAAAACACAAACCCATCCTTGTTTGCTTAGCAAAGGGTGGGTTTGCTAAGTATTTGAAATATTAGCAAACAAAAATTGTTTTGCATTTTTATATATTTCCCAGATTTAAAATACAGATCTTAATTTTTAATTTTGGAAAGGAAATCTTATTTCTTTGGAAATTTTTCTTTAAAGCTTTCAAAATTCCTTTGGCAATTTTTTTGTTTTTTGTTTTTTTGAGACAGGGTCTCTGTCACCCACAATAGAATGCAATGGCGTGATCATAGCTCACTGCAGCCTCGAAATCCTCAGCTCAAGTGATCCTCCCATCTTAGCCTCCAGAGTAGTTGGGACTACAGGGACACACCACCACACTCCATTAATTTCTTTTTTTTGAAATGGGTCTGGCTATATTGCCCAGGCTGTTCTCAACCCCCTGGCCTCATCCTCCTAAGTGCTGGGATAACAGGTGGTGAGCTGCTGTTCCTTTGGCAATCCTTACTGGTGTCTTGGCTTATAGTGTATATTCTTTGTAAACTAACATGTCAAGGGATGATCATGCTTTCCAGATACCTTAACAACAAAAATCTGCTGGGTGTGGTGTCTCATGCTTGTAATCCCAGCACTTTGGGAGGCCGAGGTGGGCGGATTGCTTGAGCTCAGGAATTTGAGACCAGCCTGGGCAACATGGTGAAACCCTGTCTCTACAGGAAAATACAAAAATTAGCTGGGTGTAGTAGACTTGGGAGGCTGCAGTGGAAGTGGAAGGATTGCTTGAGCCTAGGAGGTTGAAGCTGCAGTGAGCTGTGACTGTGCCACTGCACTCCAGGTTAGGTGACAGAGCGAGACCCTGTCTCAAAAAAAAAAATACAGAACTATCTTATGGGGACCGGGCGCAGTGGCTCACACCTGTAATCCCAGCATTTTGGGAGGCCCAGGTGGGCAGATCACCTGAAGTCAGGAGTTCAAGACCAGCCTGGCCAACATGGTGAAAACTGTCTCTATAAAAAATACAAAAATTAGCCGGGCATGATGGCGCATGTCTGAATCCCAGCTACTCAGGAGGCTGAGGTTGCAGTGAGCCAAGTGAGGCAGGAGAATCACTTGAACCTGGGAGGCGGAGGTTGCAGTGAGCCAAGATCGCATCATTGCCCTCCAGCCTGGGCGACAAAAGCAAGACTCTGTCTCAAAAAAAACAATACCTTATGGGTTCAGAACCCAAGATGCTGAACAATATTAATATTAAGGTTTTCTATTACATTCAAATTTATTAAGCATAATATAATTTCTTTTCTACATTAAGGACAAAGACATTCGAAGACTGCGGGACTTTCAGGAAGTGGAACTCATTTTAATGAAAAATGGAAGCTCCAGATTGACAGAATATGTGCCATCTCTGACAGAAAGGCCCTGCTATGATAGCAAAGCTGCAAAAATGACTTATTAAATACTCCCAGGAATGGCCGCGCATGGTGGCTCACCCCCTGTAATCCCAGCACTTTAGGAAGCCAAGGTGGGCAGATCACCTGAGGTCAGGAGTTCTAGACCAGCCTGGCCAACATATAGTGAAACCCAGTCTCTACTAAAAAAAATACAAAAATTAGCTAGGTGTGGTGGCGCACACCTGTAGTAGTCCCAGCTACATGGGAAGCTGAGGCAGGAGAATCACCTGAACCCAGGAGGCAGAGGTTGCAGTGAGCTGAGATTGCGCCACTGCACTCCAGCCTGGCGACAGAGCAAGACTCTGTCTCTCAAAATAAATAAATAAATAAATAATCAATCCCAGGAATTAAAAAACTGAAATCATTATTTCACAAATAATGAAGTCTGGATGCATATACCAGTTTGGCTAACTTCATGTTTGAACTGTGAGAAATTATTATGTTTCGTCATCTCCAATTTCTCTGGGCTGGGAGAAGAGTTAAGTTTAGGGTTTTGACAAATAGCTATAAAAAACATCACAAGGTATGATACTTACACCAAGGGCAGTTTATTTTGTAGAGTTGTGCCCTAATCCTGATGTATGCTTTATAAGATTCAGTCAGGACAAATGGCCAGAGTCTCTTCAGGTCAACCCACATGGGCAGGGTGAGCTGATGGTGCTAGGAAAGCCAGGACCCACTTGGCAACACAAGTTCTATCAGTGTCCGCCCCCACTCCGCCTTTTTTTTTTTTTTTTTTTTTTTTGAGACAGAGTTTCACTCTGTTGCCTATGCTGGAGTGCAATGGCACGATCTCAGCTCACTGCCAAGTTCAAGCGATTCTCATGCCTCAGCCTCCCAAGTAGCTGGAATTACAGGCACACACCACCACGCCCAGCTAATTTTTGTATTTTTAGTAGAGATGGGGTTTCACCATGTTGCCCAGGCTGGTCTTGAACTCCTGACCTAAGGTGATCCACCCGCCTCAGCCTCCCAAAGTACTGGGATTACAGGTGTGAGCCACTGTGCTCAGGTCCCCCAACCCTTTTTTCTTTTTCTGAGACGGGATTCTTGCTCTGTCGTCCAGGCTGGAGTGCAGTGGCGCGATCTCGGTTCACTGCAACCTCTGCCTCCTGGGTTCAAGGGATTCTCCTGCCTCAGCCTCCTGAGTCGCTGGGACTATAGGCATGTGCCACCACACCTGGCTAATTTTTGTATTTTTAGTGGAGATGGGGTTTCACCATGTTGGCCAGGATGGCCTCGAACTGACCCCAAGTGATCTCTTGGCCTCCCAAAGTGCTGGGATTACAGGCGTAAGCCACTGTGCCCGGCCAATTGTCCTCATTTTTAAACGTGTCCCATACTATCACTTCCTGTTTACACCTTTTTAAACTCATCTACAAAATGGCATGATATCTGAGTTGAGTAAATAACTCCTTTTTTTTTTTTTCTTTTTTGAGAGGGAGTCTTACTCTGTGACCCAGGCTGGAGTGCAGTGGCGCGATCTCGGCTTACTGCAACCTCCGCCACCCGGGTTCAAGCGATTCTCCTGCCTCAGCCTCTCAAGTGGCTGGGATTACAGGCATGCTCCAAAATGCCTGGCTAATTTTGGTAATTTTAGTAGAGATGGGGTTTCGCCATGTTGGACAGGTTGGTCTCAAACTCCTGACCTCAAGTGATCCGCCCGCCTCGGCCTCCCAAAGTGCTGGGATTACAGGTGTGAGGCACCGCATCTGTCCAAGTATTTTTTAAATTTTATTTTTTAAGACGAGGTCTTGGCCGGGCGCAGTGGCTCACACCTGTAATCCCAGCTACTCAGGAGGCTGAGGCAGGAGAATCGCTTGAACCTGGGAGGTAGAGGTTGCAATGAGCCCAGATTGCGCCACTGCACTCCAGCCTGGGAGACAGAGCAAGTCTCCGTTTAAAAAAAAAAAAAAAAAGACGAGGTCTCACTATGTTGGCCAGGCTGGTCTGGAACTCCTGGGCTCAAGTGATCCTCCCACCTCGGCCTCCCAAAGTGCTAGGATTACAGAGGTGGCCACCATGCCCAGCCAATAACGATTAATACCTTTGAGGCTATTTTTAACATACCACTTACAGAACAGGCGAGGCACAGCCCATGCCACTGGTCTGTGAAATAAGCTGAAAAACCAGCTGGTGCCCTCACTAACATCTAAAGTGAGCTGTCATCACATCCCATGCTACATTCCTCCCTAACACACTCCCTAGGATCCTTCCGGGTCAGCTCCCTTGCCAAATTCTAGTTAATAACTCTGCTTGCACCTTGTACGGGCTCATGCAATGGCTTGACCCTATCTACCCACTTTTATTCACACACACCACACTGTCACTTCTTTACACACCTGTTCCTCCTAGACCACGAAGTCATCTCTAAAGCTTGTGGGAGAGGTATACATAAAATACCAGAACTCCTTATGGCCAAGCATAATGTCTTACTTGCATCCCAGCACATGCCATTAGCCACTGTTCCTTCAACTCCAATTTCTCAGTAGCTCAACTTTGATGAAGGGCAGCGGACACATAGGCAGCACGTCAAGACTTCCCTTATCCAACTGTTCAAAACAGAGAAAAATGGTTCCAATAGTAAGAAGTGTCCTGTTTCATTCAGAAACGTCATGTGGGACCATCTGCAACTTGCTTAGTTAGCATTTGCGGCCTCCTGTAACAAGGTGACAGAAGCACTTCAGGTCAGCATCTAAATTGCTTATTTTTTTTTAATTTTGAGGCCAGGCATAGTGGCTCACGCCTGTAATCCCAGGAGTTCAAGTTTAGCTTGAGCAACATAGCAAGACCTTATCTCTAAAAAAAAAAAAAAAAAAAAAGAAAAAAAGAAAAACTTTGGGGGGGTGCATATCACTGTTACCCAGGCTTGAGTGCATGATCTCGGCTCACTGTGCAACCTGTCTCGTAGGTTCAAGTGATTCTCATGCCTCAGCCACCCAAGTGGCTGGGATTACAGGCATGCATCACCATGCCCAGCTAATTTTTAAAAATAGTTTTGACAAAGTTTTGCCATGTTGGCCAGGCTGGTGTCGAACTCCTGGCTTCATGTGATGTGCCCGCTTTGGTCTCCCGAAGTGTTGAAATTACAGGTGTGAGCCACTGCGCCCAGCCAAAACTCATTTTCTATAACACAAATAAGTCTTAAGGCTGCAGATTATCAGTAAAACAAAATTTGAAGAGCTTCAAGAGTAATTTGATTAGTTTTCACCTCACACATCGATTATAAAAAACTAATCCCTGAGTAAGGTGCAATTCCAACTCATTTTATTTATTTATTTTGAGACAGAGTCTTACTGTGTTGCCCAGGCTGGAGTGCAGTGGCACGATCTTGGCTCACTGCAACCTCTGCCTCCCGGGTTCAAGCAATTCTCCTGCCTGTCTCCTAAGTAGCTGGGACTACAGTGCCCACCACCATGCCCGCTAATTTTTTTTGTATTTTTAGTAGAGATGGGTTTTCACTATGTTGGCCAGGCTGGTCTTGAACTCCTGACCTCGTGATCCACCCACCTCAGCCTCCCAAAGTGCTGGGGATTACAGGGGTGAGCCACCAGGCCCAGCCTATTTTTTATTTTTTTTGAGACAGTCTCGCTGTGTCACCCAGGCTGGAGTGCAGTGGTGTGATCTCAGCTCACTGCAACCTCCGCCTCCCAGGTTCAAGTAATTCTCCTGCCTCAGCCTCCCAAGTAGCTGGGACTACAGTGCCCACCACCACACCCAGCTAATTTTTTTTTTTTTTTTAGTAGAGACAGGGTTTCACTATGTTGGCCAGGCAGGTCTTGAACTCCTGACCTCATGATCCGACTGCCTTGGCCTCCCAAAGTGCTGGGATTACAAGTGTGAGCCACCGCGCCCGGCCAATTCCACTGATTCTAAAATGGCCTTAAGTGAAATTAATCACGTACCAAAATGCCATCCTAAGAAGTCCCAGAACTATTTAGGTTAAAATAAAATATGAAATGACCTAGAATTCTTAGTTGTTCATTAACTCTGCACTTTCAACTAATAGGGTGATTAGTAACTCAACAGCACCACCCCTTTCCACTCCCCTTTCAGAAGTCCTGTGTACAAGGCACAGCCCTGAGGGTGCCACTGCTGCAGTGAGGACAGATTCCATAGCGGAGGGACCTGGAGCTGCACCTATTTTGTTCTTGGTGTATCCAAAGGTATCAGTCACTCCACAGCACATAGGAGCACTCGGGGATGTGTTGGATGAACTCACAGCCAAGCCCTATGCTCATACTGAGGGGATCCAAGTCTCACCTGGAGCATAGTTGAGGGGTAACAGGGCTGCTGTAAACTGACGTAGGGCCTTAGTTATATGAACCTTATGAATCTGCCAATTCAAATTTCAGTCACTTTCCTCTTTTTAAAGAGTAAACATTTTTGTGTTCACAGTACCCCTACTAAAATTAGAACAAGGCCAAAGCAGCAGCCTCTCTGAGGTAACAACCTAACTTGGGCCAGGGGAAGGAGTACAGCACAGTAAAGCAGTTTTCTTTCCCAGAATGGCATAAGCCTGAGAAAAGCTTCTTTGGAAGCTGTTTAGACAGGAAAACAAAACCATCAGCTCCCTGGCTGGCAGACAAGTAGAAACTATGTTAAGATGAAAATAAGGTATCACACAGAAAACATACATTTAGGTTTCTTTTTTTTTTTTTTTTTTTTTTTTTTTGAGACGGAGTCTTGCTCTTGTCGCCGTTTCTAGCTTTTTAAGAGTTACAATTAAGACCTCAATTTGAAGACTGGGCGCGGTGGCTCATACCTGTAATCCCAGCACTTTGGGAGGCCAGGGTGGGCCTGATCATTTGAGGTCAGGAGTTTTGAGACCAGCCTGGACAACATGGTGAAACACTCTACTAAAAATACAAAAAAATGAGCCAGGTGTGGTGGTGCGAAGCTGTAATCCCAGCTACTTGGGAGGCTGAGGCACGAGAATGGCTTGAACCCAGGAGGCGAAAGATGCAGTGAGCTGAGCTCGTGCCACTGCACTCCAGCCTGGGTGACAAGACAGAGACCCTGTCTCAAACAAAATAAAACCTTAAATTGGGCACTCAAGAAACAGCATCTTTAAATTTGTCACTGACTGATGGTTAATTTTACGAAATACACTACAGCTTATATATTAGTAACTACCTACACCAAGACTTTTTTCCCATTCTTCTTTTTAAATTTTATTAAGAAATATCATACATACAAAAGCACATAAACATACAGATTAAAAAAGGAAATGCCCACAGGCTTCAGAAACAGACCCTCACCAGTTCTTCTGAAGACCCCTGTGCCCTCATGATCACCTCTCCCTCCATCAAAACGGCTAACATTAAATTTTGTCTTAATCGTTTCCTTTTATCATGTATTTGACAGCCTGTTTTTGACTTTCATTGAAATGGAACCATAGTGATGTATTCTTCTGTGACTTGCTTTTTTTGATCCTTCTATTGTTGAGTTTTGTCCATGTTCACATACACAGCTGCAGTTCAGTTTCACTTCTGTGGAATTCCACTGTTGGAATATACCACAGTATTTATCCAACACACTGTTGGTGGACACTTGGGATCTTCCCGGGTTTTTTCTTCTTTTCTTCCTATTACACACAAATGCTTAAATCCATCCCCTGGTACGCATGTGTAAGAGTTTCTCTAGGGTATGTATCCGGGAATGAATGGCTACGAGAGAGGTTATGGCACACCCACTTATACCAAATTGTTTCCCGTTTCCCAAAGTTGTTGTTTCTAAACATTCTTAAATCTGTTGACAAATGACCTATTTGGGATGGCTGAGGGGAAGAAATAGATCAGCTACAAAACTCTTGAATTTTTAAAATAGTAAATTCAAAATTCTGATACAACAATGAAAAATACATTTACTTCTCTGCTTTGGCTTACTTGAAATGTACTTTTTAAAACTACAGGTTCAACTTAAAAGTGCTCTCCTTTATCTCAAAATAAATGTTTCTAAATATTACCAGGTAAAAACAGCAAGACTCAGAACATACGGGTATACCGTCATATATTTTGAAAGATCTATACATATATGTTTATATTTCCTCCCACCTCCCATCTCCCCACAAAGAAAACAACTTGGAAGAATAACTGTTAACAGCAGCAAGCTCCTGCAGAGGAAAAACAGAGAAATAGGAGTAGTAGGAGACATAGATCACTGAACACTTTTTTTTTTTAACCATGGGCAACATTACAATTATAATACAAAATTTCAAAAGTAGACCTGGGGTTCTTTCACAAACAACTAAAAAATCCCTCAGGAAATCAAACTTGAAAACCAATCCTGCATGAAGTCCCATCCCACAGAATTGTATACATAATAACTTCAAGTGTTTTTTGTTTCATGCACATATCAGATGTTTAAAAACATATTCACATAGCCCATCTGCAATGCATTTTTAAAAACAGAATGGATGAGGGCTCAGAGAACTTCCACCATAAAAATTTTCAGTTCTTACAAGTCTGAAAACTTTAATCAGAAGGTGGCTGAGCTCAACCAATATGTGGTCCAAGTGTTCTCAGACCTTAGAAATAAGGTTGGTTATTTATCCTCTGTGACACTAACTATATTTAAGGAACCAGAATGCCTAAGGAGAGGGAGTAAAAATATCTGAGCTGAGCAATATGACTAGGTTATTATAAGCTCAAGATCAAGAAAAGGATGTTTCAACCCAAACTGAAAAATGAATGGACTGTGTTTGAAGGGGAAAAAAAAACGTTTTAACAAAAAGGAGCATGATATGTATTATCTCTACATTCCAGAGGAGAGGATGTCTTGAGCAGCAGACTGGTCGGTCCTCTTGAAAGGCTCAATGAAAATTAAACTATTGGACCAGTGCTAATATAGTTTGATGACCAACAAAAGTTTACCCAATTTGTTTTATACTAATGAACTGTTATTTAAGAGGTCTTTGTCTTTTAGAGATACATGCTGAATTATTTACAGATTAAATGGTGTGTCTGAGACTTGCTCGAAAATAATAGAAAACAGTGGATACAAATACAATCACTCATGAAGTATAAAAGTGGTCATGAGTCTTGTTGGTGATGAGTTAACAGAGGTTAATTATATTGTTCCTCTTTTGTGTATGTCTTTAAATTTCCAAAATAAAGTTTTTTTTTTTTTAAGACCAACTGATTGCAGATTCCAAACTTACCAAGCAATCTGATTGATTAAAACTGGTTTGCTCCCCTTAAAGACCTTCCAAAGAGAAAATACATATTCACCAACTAATAACTTTTTGGTCTGCATGGCAGAAATGTTTGTTTCTTCTAGTGAACTGGTCTCAATACTGGATTCTTGTGAGCTGGTTAGCAACAATCAGTTCCTCTTCAGTCACATCAATTTTGGGTGTAAAATTCAACTTCTACGTCTCTCTCCATAACTAAAGCCAGGCCTTAGTCATAGATGTCCTGGGGAGGCAGGTCCTCCTCCCACCACCCCCACATCCCAGGTAACTTCAATAGTTACAATATATCTAAGTGTCCATAGAGGAAGCCTTTTCATATGAACTCATTTATTATACTTCATTTAAGTTAGTTAGACGTTGATTCTAGATGAGGCAGAGCAGAACAAATCTGGTATTTTAGTAACTTCCTAGATTTTTTATTACTTAGGGACAGAATATGGTTTAAAAACTATCACTTTAAGTCCTTTGCTGCTACAACCACAATGCTGTCAAACTACACAAAGCAGTGCCTGGGAGCTATCTTTGTGTTTGTTAGATTTTACTTCCCATTTTATCTTAATCCTCATGTGAATTATCTCTTACAAATTCAGAGATAACCCATTCATCTATTGCTGCATCTCCAGGATCAGCTAGGGAGCCAGGAGGGCTCTGTCTCCACAGCATTTTTTCATACAGAGCCTCTAAAGTGGGGGCGGCTTCATTATTTTTCAAAGTTTGGTGGAAGAGATTTTAGTAAATTCTTTAACAATTCATTATGCCTATTAGAATGAACACAGTGGCTTAACAGGCACTGGACCATGAGGCAGAGACCTAGCAACTCCATAAACATGAAGCCACAGGACCCTCCCTGGATAAGTCATTTAACACACTGTTTCTTTACCTATAAACTGATAGCAGTATTTGCAAGTTATAAACCACAAGGAATTGCTATGATATATATGTATGTGTGTATATACGTAGCTGGAGAGAATACTTTTATACAGTCGAAGAAGCTGGCTATAGATAGAAACATGCTGCCGGTTTTCCTAGATGTGACACAAAAATAATCACTTAAGTGGGGGGAAAAAACCCTTGCCATATATACTACACACCCTATACACAAATACATTTATAAACTGACACAGCTGGGTTAATCTTGATACAGGACTTAACAAAAACTAGCTCTTGAATGCTTTTCTACATCATCCCATAGCTAGCCAGCTAAAGAGTGCTTGTCAGGATACTTGGAATTTTCTACTAAATGAATCTCTCAGGGATGTAAAAATATATTCTAGTTCACTGCACATCTTTGCTATTAAAAGCAAAATTCAAATTTATTCATAACCACCTAAAATTGAAGCACCATTATTTAAAACATTAGAAAGTCTATAAAAATTAGTCTTAAACAGAACAAATCAGATAAAACTGTACACCAACACCTCTAGTAATAGTGTAACTCTTGTATTTAAAACAGGGGACTAGTTCAGAGTCAATAACTTTATTAGAAAAAGATTAATACTAAAACTTTTCAATGACAGAGACAATCAACTTTGTAACAGAAAGTCAGAGATACTTTATTTTTACTTCTAAATCCAAAGGCTAAGTAGAGCAGAGTTGTAAAAATGAAATCCCACTTAGTCTGATTCACACGAATACTAACGTTTAATCCTGTTTTCAAAGTCCAAGATTGAAAACTTGCAATTAAACACTGAGCAAGCCACATGTTTAAGTAATATTTCTTAAAAAGTCTTAAAGAAAAAAGTATGATACAGGACCTAAGTTTTCAGTGGCATATATACTATTAACACATGTTCTGAAATCTGGTAGGTCACATCAGTCCTGAATTAACTTTTAATAATAATAATAATAAAAAAACTAACTGAGCTTTATACTTTTTCTATGCCACTATAGCTTTCTTTCACCTCATTTTTTAAATGTCGATCTTCACTTTATGCCGTTCTCAGTATTCTTCCAAAAATCTTCGAACAGTAGTCCTACAACGCAAAATTTGGGGAAAAATGATAATTAGACAACATGTAAAAGGCCAATTTTTATGAGAAAGTGTTGGCCCAGTCACTAACTGCTAATTAACATGTGTACATGGAATGCTTGTATTCTTTTTAATTATCAAGGCATCAGTGTGGTTCTTAAAGCCATGTGCCTGTGTATGCTTGCCTAAGTGTGAATGACATACACAGACATAACCTTACATTGCTTTCCCAAAAGGGGAATGCCACCAACAAATCAACTAATTGGTACTTCCTTTCATTAGGAATATTTTGTCCCACACCACTAGCCCACAGAATGAAGTTTACAGGTTTTAAGAACACTTACAGTACCTAACTTTTAATATTTCTTTAAAAACCCAAATTCGTTCTATATAGTGCATCAGTTCTTTGATTTCACAAATTGAAGGTGTCTGTCCTTGCTATTCACACTGCTGCTTTAAATGTATCAGCCAGTGAGTGACTATTCCTACATACCTATGGCTGACTGCAAATTCTCCTACACAGTAGGAAATATTAAGCACATACCTCTTATAGACTTGAGAATTGCATTGAGTGTAACAAGGCGAATAATATGAAGTGTTTATTGTATTTAAAATTCTTTAAAGATATCTAATTCTGGCCACCACTGCAGCCCTACATACAGTTGAAAAAAAATTCCATTCTGTTAACATTTGTTTTATAAGTTTTCACGCAATACACAAAAAACCCCTCTGCACTTCTTGTAAAGAACAAAAAAGATACACAACAGTTAAGCGTAAAGATCACAGGCAATAGCATTCAAACATGGATGTGGGTAGAGAAAGGAGTACCTGGCATGAGTACCTGCTTAGTTTGACTGAATCCTTGATTTTTAATTTGGCTTTTCATGGGCCGCTCACAACACCAACGCTGTGTGAGGTATGGTAGTCAGCTGCAATAATTCATAAACCCTACACTTCCATCAATCCAATGCTACTGGCTCTCGAGTTACAGAACAAACTGCATTAGAATGCAAGGCAATAAAGCAAAAAACTAGAAACATCCTTGACAAAGAAATACTAGCAGTTTAATTAAAACAAAGTAGTCCAACATGTGCCTCCGAAATATTTAAGTTTTTAAAGCATATGTCTCTGCCAATGTACCAACACAAGATGGACTTAATACCAAAAAGAAAAAAAAAAACAGTTCAACCTTTTTATTAAAAAAAAAAAAGAAATGACATCAAAATCCCTAAAAAAAGGATAATTAACTTTTCAATGGCGACTATATTACAAATGTGGGCGATAATTTCCAAAGAGGCACACTAATGGGGGCACGAGTCTGCTACAAAATAGCTGAGACAAAACAATGTACCTCAAAATGTTTTGCAGGACTACACTGTCTTTTCCTTCAGAAGAGGCTTTTGTATGTCTTCTTACTCGGCTTAGTTCCATCTTCATCTGTGCATACTTACGCTGCACTGTCAAACAGTAACAAAAAGCCCTAATCAAAGTGAGAAACAATACACTTACCTCTGTCTGATCTGAGGTCTTATCAGATCAGTTTTAATTGGACTGAGTGTCACCTTCAGATTTAATGTCTTCACTGGTCCCATTGACCTCATTCTTAGTATCACTTTCCTTCGATTCAGTGTTTGTGTCTTCACTCTGCTTTTCTCGACTACCGGACTTCACACTACTTTTTTTATCATCAGATCCCCTCTTTTCTGCCATAAAAGAAGACATTGACCATGGATTTTAAAGTAAAATACAATAAAGACATGATTTTGAAAAAAAGTGAAACAACTGAGAGATGAGAGACAATCATTTCCCACAGACTGCAAGCAACGGTTTGGTGAATTTACCAAAGGGATAAAATTTGTAATATATGAGAGAGAAGGCAGGAAGGGGAATTCAAGGAAGCAAAAGGTAAAATAGTGGGTAAATTCTCTCAATTGGTGAGAAGCTATTAAGCACATTGCAGAATATAATATTTAAGTAAATTTCATTGTGGGTAAAAAACATCAAAAAGCACTGGGAAAGGTATAAAAGACAGCATACAAAACTATGTTCACATGAGGTTCAATTATTAAGTTAGAAGGGTAAAAATGGAGACCCCAAAAGGTGAAAAAAAGTTGAATGTTTATAACAGGCATGTTTTAAAAACTACAACTACATATTTTTCAATGCAAAACATTATTTTTATATATATTTGAATATCCAAGAAGGATAAGCCTAATCAAAGAAAATGGATCTTAAATCCCAATCTAAGCAACTGAACTTTTGTGCTTTGCTAAGAAAAGTAATATATATGCCATCTGAGAGTTGTTTTTCCAAAAAGAGAAATTAAAATTCAACTCAGCTGCAAATGAAGAATGAAAAAGGTAAACAACTTTTTCCTCTACTATTCTTTGGATGGGTAAGACCTCAGACTAGAGGTAAAAGTAGTACACCAGAGCAAGCATAGTCTAGCCTTTTCAGTTCCAAGTATTCCCCCAACAAAAAATTTCTACAGAAAATGTTAAAGCCAACTAGAAACTTTCTGGAAAAATTACTTTTCCCCTTACTAAGAATAGCTGGTCTGGCAGAGTAGTTAATTAGACAAAAAGACATTTTAAGAGAAACAGAACCCTCTACATAGTTTCTGCACAGTTATGAAGACGTAACACCAAATATCTAGGAAAGAGATGGTAATGAAAAACAAAACATGGTATGGGAGGGGCACCCACTCAGAGAACTGAAGATCTTATGTAAAAGAGCATATTTAGTCCGTAACACTTGCATAATACACAAAGCAATGTCCAAGTAGTTAAGCGCAAGACTTGCTTCATGTCTGTCTGTCCACTTGTGAGAACTGTGCCAGGACAGTGGGCTCTAACTGACCTTGTGGGAAAGTCCTCCCTTTGTGCCTTATGGGCTTCTCCGGTGCACAGGTAGCTTCAATGAGGAAGAGTCGTCTTGTTGTCCCGTAGAGGACTAGTAGTCAGTCCAATAATCTTATCTTCTGCCCTATGTAAATATGGTAGATCTTAATAGTCCTAAGGACATCCACAATTTGTGGTGGATTTTAGGGCTATGGATGAAAAAAGGAAACTCTCTTGACAAAGAGAGCACCTTACACTGGTTGCTGACAGCTTTGTGTGAGAAACCACTTTTCATTTGTGGAGTAAGATAAACTGCTTCTATCATAGCACCTGGAGTAATAAACTTGCTTTTTCTCATTTGCCATTAATAAATGCCCACTGTGGCTCACACCTGGTCCCAAAGTCCAGATCTTCAGTCATTTATAAGAGTGCCTAGATGGCTACATGGTAGTTTCTTTTCTGTATTTTTTTTTTTACATTTTTTAAATTCACTCATCTGCACACTGATTTTAATTAATTTATTTTTACATAGCATTTTCAAAATGCCAATAAATTATATCACTTCTAAAAGAGATTCCAATGTTTAACTCTATCATAGCATACCCAATCATGGGAGACAAGCCTGATACAGTTTTCTTAGTAACTTCTCTCTTTGCACCAAGTCTCACATGGAAAATCCCTGTCTGTTGCTAATCTAAACGTAACTCAGCTTATTCCGCTTAACGAAAAGTTTTACTAGGGGCCAGGCATGGTGGCTTACACCTATAACCCCAGCACTTTAGGAGACTGAGGCAGGAGGATTGCTTGAACCCAGGAGATCGAGATCACACTGGACAACATGGCAAAACCCCATCTCTACCCCCCCAAAAAAAAAAAAAAAATTAGCCAAGCATGGTAGTATGCACCTACAGTCCCAGCCACCCAGGAGGCTGAGGTGGGAGGATCACCTGGGCCGGGGAGGTAGAGGCTGCAGTGAGCTGTGATCGTGCCACTGCACTCAGCCTGGGTGACACTGAGACCCTGTCTGGAAAAAAAAAAAAGTTTCACTAAATTTCATGTCATCATCATTACAATTTTAGGATTAAAGGTAAGCAACTCTGGACATCTTTTTGCTCTATCCAGAAATTACACAAATATGCCTGTTTTTAGTCAGGCCAGTGTCATTTACTACTCAACTTTGACTTCAAGTAGTTATGAAGGCTAGCTAGCTTTTATCCCTAAGAACCAACCCAACAATTTTAAGTGGCACAAATGATAACACAGAATAGAGCAACTAAAGCTAACAATAGGAAATGTAAAACTAAAAACTTTCTCAAAACAAATATTATTAATTTGACCTGACAGTCATACCTGGCTCTTAAGAGTTGACCTCTCAACCCAAAAAGACATTACACAGAAAGTCTTGCAAAAAGATTAGGTAAAACATTCTTAAATCTAATGTTAAATCAGTTAACCCTTTGTAGCAACTGCCTTTTGAATCAGAAGCAAGTTCTCAACTTGAATGGCAAACACTAGCACATCTGGCAGGAAGACAAAAGTTTTCAACACTTTCTCACATTACAGTAAAAGCCAATAGATGTTAAATATTTCAGAAAAAGAGTGTGTGCTTATTTTAAGAAAATAAAAGCAGAGACCAAAAAATATGTCCATGGTTTGTGCTGCTAGTTCTAGCTGAGTCTAGAGGAAAAACGAAAACAAAAAACCAGGACAGTTCTATTAAAGGATATAATAAACAAACAACACACAAAAGACTAGTATAATAAACCTTAATAGTAGCACATATATTATGCTGGTGATTAAACATGGAGACAGGTAGAATGAAATGAAACAAGGAGAGCTGAGAAAATCAGAAATAGGCCCCTTCTCTCATTCCTAAAACCATGCAAAGCACAACAGCTCATTCAATACAAAATAAAAGATATTTTATATCTTTTATATAAAAAATACAAAATAGAAGAACATGAAACTCAGAAAGGAGACCCTGGTGGTTAACAGAATTATCTTCCAATAAAGGCTAAGTTAGATGAGAATATTCTTGTGAAAACATGCCACACAAATTAAAAAGTCCATTAATAGTGCCAACAGCACAGTAAATCAGCTACTGGGATGCCACACCAAAAAAAAAAAAAAAGAAAAAGAAAAAAGAAAAAGTAAAGGGGAAAGAGCATGTTGATCCCATTGAAAACGTGGGTAAGACACATGTAAGCAATTCAACTTCTAGGTACTTAGATGTTAATTACTAACTTAAATGAATGCTACAAATGAAGATTAATGCAACAATGTACACTCACTTTATAAGACGTATTATGAAACACTGCAGTGTGTAAAAAAAAAAGGAGCCAATAACCAAGGTAATATAATAAATCCTACACCTAATA
Organism: Homo sapiens; assembly: GCF_000001405.40. Lineage (NCBI taxonomy): Eukaryota > Metazoa > Chordata > Mammalia > Primates > Hominidae > Homo > Homo sapiens. Next base: position 50,746,985 of record NC_000017.11, on the reverse strand, counting down.
ACCCCGAAAGGTAATATAACACTTAAAAGAAGCTACATTAAAAACCTTCAGGTTTATCAACTGAAAGATGTTTTTAACATCTAAGAAAACACCAGATAAACTGTCATTTTCACAAATCTAAGTAGGAGAGGGGGAAAGAATGCCTGTCTCCTACTGAATGGCATTCCTCAAAGTGAAAAGGAGTATGTATGAAATGGATCTTTGCCTGTGTCTGGAGAAAAGTGAGTGGGGCGATTAGGGTGTGAAAAGTTTCTTAATGAACTGAATTCTCATATAAACTAACCTTTCTCCTTGGATTTTCTATCTTGTTCTCTGTCCCGACTTTTGCTCCTGTGCTTATATGACTTTCGATCCCGGCTTTTTGATCTTCTTCGATCCCGACTTCGAGATCTGTGTTTTCTTTCTGATCGATCATGGCTTCTGCTTCTTCGTCGATCTCTACTTCTTAATAATTTAAAACCAAAAGGCAACTTCAGCCAGTATTACAATAAGTAAAGGCCTTGGAGTAGATGCTATTAATTAACAAGACTAGGCAAAACTTACCCTCTAAAACATATTTACATTAGAAATCTTAAGAACTAAAAATTATTGAAAATCTTTCTAAATTCATCTCCAATAGTGCTAAGATGGTTATCGTTGTGCTCTTTAAGACTCTTCTTCAATTTGTAATTATAATTAAAACAGTATGGCTGATTTCATATTTTATTTCTCGGAATCAGTGAGACAAGCACTTAAGAGACCATCAGGTACTCTAACTTTGTAAAAAGGTTGGGTGAAATTTCCTAGACAGGTGGGAAATGGCACAGAAGTTGCCCCGAAGATGGAACTATTTTATTCACTGATTCCGCTCTCGCAACCCATCCTATCACTTAAAGATGCTTAAGAGCTTCCCAAGTACCATTCCAAGGAATAATACTAGTAGTTATTATTGTTATTGCACACCCATTATGAGCTGGACAGTCTTAGGGTGTTTTATATATACCTGCTCCGCCTTCTTTCTCTACTTCGTGACCTTTTGTGGTCCCGAGACCTGCTGCATCTTCTGTCTGATGTTCGGCTTGAGTGTCTACTTCGTGAACGACTTCTCTTTCTTCTTTCTCTGTCACGAGCCCTTTCTTTTTCTCTTTCTTCCTCTTCCCTTCGTCTTTTCCTTTCTCTTTCTTCCCTTTCTCTCTCCCGTTCTTTTTCTCTTTCTTCTCTTTCTTGCTTCTCCTTTTTTAGACGCTCATCACGATCAGGTTCTTCGGTTCTTTTCCTTAACTTTTCCTAGAAAAATCAAGTTGGATTCTTATGCAAATGTAACTTTAAAGCATTGTTAAACAATGGTCAACTAATGTGAAGTTATCTGTAGACCAACTTATGGAATTGATGCCCTTAAGGGAAATGTAGACATTCCAACACCATGTATATACACAAGGTATCATTATTTGTCTAATCCTCAGGAATATTCTTCCCAAATTTCTGGCACTCAAGAGTTAAGAAAATCAAGTGCTTTCATAGTTCAATAAATAGCAAAATTTCACAGAACTCACAATGCTTCAAAAATAATTACACATAGGAAAATATCAATGAGAGGGTCATATCTCCATTTAAGCCATATTAGAATATAGTTATTTTTATCTATAGCTACTGATAGCTAAAAGCTGTAGCTATAGCTAAAATAGATTTTTTTAATAGCTAAAATGTATCTTTAGAAGAAATTTACGCTGGCCGAGCGCAGTGGCTCAGCACTTTGGGAGGCTGAGGAGGACGGATCACCTGAGGCAGGAGTTCAAGACCAGCCTGGCCAACAGGAAAAAACCCCGTCTCTATTAAAAAAAATACAAAAATCAGCCGGGCGTGGTAGTGTGTGCCTGTAATCCCAGCTACTCAGGAAGCTGAGGCATGAGAATTGCTTGAACCCCAGAGGTGGAGGTTGCGGTGAGCCGAGATCACGCCACTGTACTTCAGCCTGGGTAACAAAGCGAGACTGTCTCAAAAATAAACAAACAAACAAACAAACAAAAATTAGCCAGGCCTGGTGGCACATGCCTGTACTCCCAGCTACTCAGGAGGCTGAGGCATGAGAATTGCTTAAACCTGGGAGGTGGAGGTGGCAGTGAGCTGAGATCGCGTCACTGCACTCTAGGTGACAGAGCAAGAATCTGCCTCAAAACAAACAAAAAAACTTACTTTTAATTCTTCTACAGTAGCTTTAATTTTGGCATAGCCCATGTGTTGTTTTCCCATCAAATGGTCATCTACCCGGGACTGGGCATCTCCTACTATTAAAAAGGCTCCACATACTTCACAAACTTCCATTTGTTTTTCTTGTGCAGCAAAGCTTTCAATTGTCTAAAATGATAAATCAGTTATTTTAAGAACATCTGAGGAAGAGAAACAAATCCCAGGAAAGTACTCAACATTTAGAAAAGATTTCTAATGTGTGTGAATTGCTCTTTTCCATTTCCCCAAATCAGTAATATTGGACTACAAGTGGTCAACTTTTAGAGAGGGATGTTTAAGGTAACAGCAACTAACTTACTGAATCATCCAGAAGAAATGTTGAGACCCACTGTTCAATGTTCAACACCCACATTACCTTACAAAATTTAAATCACCTTTCAGAAAGCCACCTATTTTAGTATGAATACATTCCTTGCTTAGGTTCAAGGAATAATGTCCATATACAAAACTAATTAAGGAACTAAGCACATTGACTATAATCTGAACATATCCTATTCAATATGGAGGAACCAATGACCAATTACATTCTGCAATCAATAGTATCTGAAACAAGTATATTCTATTCTCCAATTAAAAGAATTAGATATTTAAGGGTGTATTAATTTTTAACAAAGATGTAAGTATGTACTGAGTAATTTATTACAACAAAAATGAAAATAAAACCAGGCTCATATGAAAATTTATGGTTTAAGGCAGTGATTGGCAAGCCAGAGAGGCCTTTTGCTAACATTTTATTGGGATACAACCACACCCATTTGTTTCTTGTACTATATAAAGTTGCTTGCATACTGCACAAAGGCAGAGCTTAGTAGATGCCACAGACCTTGTGGGCTACAAATTGTGCTGACTCTAAGTTTGGAACATCAGTTTTCAAAGGTTCTCAAATAAAAATGAGTTCCTACTAACTGTTAACAGACAGATGAGATAATGTGAAATAAGGTTTACTCACCGACGTTGTGGACCTTAGCAGTTCTCTCTCTTCTTTTAATTGCTCAACTAATTTCATCATCCCCTGGGCTTCTTCTACTTTTCCTTCAGACCCTAATTCTTCAATCTTAGAAGAGTAGGGGAAAAAAACAGTTAAGATTTCTTTCAAACCCAACTATTGTCTTTTTTCCCCATGGTTCATTAGTGGTTGTTTTCCATCTTTTTTGTTTGGTTTCATTTACAAAAGCCTCTTTGGGTTTAATTTATCCTGGATTTTTTTTATACTTCAATAAAGTATAACTGATGTGTTAAGAAAAATGCACTTTCGGCCAGACGCGATGGCTCATGCCTGTAATCCAAGCACTTTGGGAGGCCAAGGTGGGCAGATCACCTGAGGTCAGGAATTCAAGACCAGCCTGGCCAACATGGTGAAACCCCATCTCTACTAAAAATATAAAAAAAAAAAATTAGCCAGGCATGGTGGTGGGCACCTGTAATCCCAGCTACTGGGGAGACTGAGGCAGAAGAATTGCTTGAACCCAGGAGGAGGAGGCTGCAGTGAGCCAAGATCGTGCCACTGCACTCCAGCCTGGATGATGACGTGAGACTCTGTTTTTTTTTTTAAAAAAAAGGAAAGACAGCGTCTCACTATGTTGCCCAGGCTGGTTTTGAACTGCTGGGCTCAAGCAATCCTCCCAAAGTGCTGGGATTACAGGTGTGAGCCACCTACTCTTTTCAGTACCTCCTCCAGCCTGAATCCTAAACACAATCCCCAGGCAACCACAGATCTGCTTTCTGTCACTGTAGGTTAATATGCATTTTCTAAAATTTTATATAGAGTCATAGAGTCTATATTCCTTTTTTGTCCGGCTTCTTTCACTCAGCCTAATTATTTTAAGATCCACCCATATTGTCTCATGTAGCTAATTCCCTTTTATTACTGACAGGCATTCCACCATATAGATACATCATGATTTAATTATCCACTCACCTGCTGATGGGTATTTTAATTGATTCCAGTCTGGGTTTTATTTTTTTTGTGCCATTATGAATATAGCACTCATGAACACTGGAGTGTAAATCTTTGTGTAGACATATGTTTTCATTTCTCTTGGATAAATATTTGGGAGTAGAATGGCATATGGTACATTTTTAACTTTTTAAGAGACTCCAGGGCCAGGCACAGTGGCTTACACCTGTAATCTCAACACTTTGGGAAGCCAAGGTGGGCGGATTACTTGAGGTCAGGAATTTGAGACCAGCTTGGCCAGCACGGTGAAACCCCATCTCTATTAAAAATACAACAATCAGCCGGGGATGGTGGCGCACACCTGTAATCCCAGCTACTCGGGAGGCTGAGGCAGGAGAATCATTTGAACCTGGGAGGCAGAGGTTGCAGTGAGCTGAGATCGCACCACTGCACTCCAGCATGGGTGACAAAGCAAGACTGTCAAAAAAACAGTAACAACGACAACAAAACAGACTCCAATATCATCTACAGGAATATGAAAGAAAAAAATGAGACTATTTTTTCCAAAGTGGTTGTGCAATATTATACCCCAGTTCCAGCTGGCTCACATCCTTGCCAATAGCTGGTATGATCAGTTTAATTTTAGCTATTCTCATAGGTGTCAAATAGGTATTTGATTGCAGTTTTAATCTGTATTTCCCTAACGACTAATAGTGTTGAGCGTCTTTTCATATTTGCTGTCCTTTCAGATACATATATATGTACATGTACACACACACACACACACAAGACGAGGTCTCACTCTGTTGCCCAAGCTGGAGTGCAGTGGCACAGACACGTCTAACTACAGCCTCGCCCTTGTAGGCTTAAGCAATTCTCCTAACTCAGCCTCGTGTGTAGCTGGGACCACAGGTACACGCCATTGCACCTGGCTAATTTTTGTAAAGACTGGGTCTCACTTTGTTGCCCAGACTGGTCTCAAATTCTCCGGCTCAAGCAATCCTCCCGCCTCGGCCTCCCAAAGTGCTGGGATTATACACATGAGTTACCATGCCTGGCCCATCCTTGTATTTTTGCTGGTTACATGTCTGTTTCACATTACTTCCTGACATTAATGCACACAATTCTCACCTGTTGCAGAAGTACATCAATTTTGTCTGTTAGAACCTGAATTTTTTCTTCATTTTTGCCTGTTGGGCCAGCGGCCTATTGAAGACAATAAAACGTATTACCAACAAGTTGAAAACAAAGATAAACATGCAAACTTGCACATACCATACATAATATTTCTATTTAATAATTAAAATGCTTAATTGAAAGGATAGTAATTCAATTATCTTCAACTTCTGTTGGTCAATCACATATTGTCAGTTACTACTATTTAAGGGAAAAATCTTGGCCTCAAGAAAAATAAAAACAAAGAAAAATCTTATGGTTAGCAAAATCAGTGTTATGTTTGCTAATAAAGACTGGAAAAAAAATGAATGCCCTATAAGTTTCATATCATTTTAAAGAACAAAGTAATGAACAGAAGACAAGTTTCAAAAATATTAGGGAGGTCTCTGAATCTCCAGAAAACAAGGACCGTTTACAAAGACTGAATTGACTTCACTTACCCCAGAAGACTGCTGGTTTTGAGATAATGCCAAACGAGCATGGCCTCGTCTGATCCTACGTTCTACTTCTGCAAGTAAGCTCTGTAAGTATCGCAAAAAATCTCTCTCATAGCCAACTTTCATGAAACGAGAGCTCTTCTCATACCTGGTAACATGAAAATAAACAAGTACTCATTTCCAAATCTTCAGCCATTACAACTCAAATATTCTATCTTAACTAGCCTCAACGACTATTCCATTTAGGCTGCAGGGTAAACCAGGTGTATTTGAAGTGACTTTCTGATTGCCCCTCATCATAGAGCTTTACACAGGGGTTTAACCACTAGCTTTACCACTGTACTGGATCTATGACCCTGGACCTAGGACAAGTCTCATGGATAAAATCGGGGCTGGGCATGGTGGCTCACGCCTGTAATCCCAGCACTTTGGGAGGCCGAGGTGGGTGGATCACTTGAGGTCAGCAGTTTGAGACCAGCCTGGCCAACATGGTGAAACCCTGTCTCTACTAAAAATACAAAATATTAGTCAGGCATGGTGGTGGGCACCTGTAATCCCAACTACTCGGGAGTTTGAGGCAGGAGAATCCCTTGAACCTGGGAGGCGGAGGTTGCAGTAAGCTGAGATCATGCCACTGCACTCCAGCCTGAGCGACACAGTGAGGCTCATTTAAAAAAAACAGCAAATGGGCTACAGAAAAAAAAAGTCTGACATACAGGGTGCACTCATGTGGTAGCTATCAGTATCATTACTGAAGCTATAGAACTTTCTTACTATCCCCAGCCACTGACTGGACTTCTCTCAGACACTCATTTTACATTTAATTGCAATTATTCCTCAACCCTTGTCCCACTTAAACCAACTAATAACTGGGGGGGTGGAAATGACAAGCAAAATAACTTACTGTTTTCGTAGATTTTCATCATGAATTTTTTCACACGGACCTGGGGGAAAAAATATAATTGTATAAATTATCTGTGATTATTAGCAACCTTTTCTTGCCAAAAAAAAAGAGTTATTTTTCTTTTTAAAAAGAAAAAGGATTCACTTTATCACTGAGTAGTTTGTAGACATCTAAACTGATCCTACTAAATCATGAAGCATCATAACCAAATAGGATATAAAATTGATCTGCTCAGTCTTCAAAGTCAATATAATGGACAGCAACCATATATGGTTAAAAGAGAAGTAAAGGAGGGAGGGAGAAAAGGAGGGAAGGTGAAAGGAAACTGTTCCTTATTGCCACTAAAGAAAACTGATGGGGACAGACCACTGAACTGAACCATTGCCGACTTTATTATTTTCAAATCTGTATATAAAGTCAAATAGCACTAGACTAGTACCTAACCCCTACTTCTTCCCACCTCTAAAAAGCAATTATCTTAACTCTTCTCTATTTCTTCCCGAATTTACCTCCACCTTTTAAAATTCTATGCTTATTTTGCTATTTATCAATCCTAGACATCAAAATTTTTGGATAAATAAACACTTGGTGCTTATATTATGCAAGTACTATTCACTGTCAGGCCAAACAAAGGCTCATTATGAGACACTTCTGATGTTTTCTGTTGTTGTTGTTGTTGTTTTGTTTTTTTTGAGATAGAGTCTTGCTCTGTCGCCCAGGCCGGAGTGCAGCGGCGCAATTTTGGCTCACCGCAACTTCTGCCCACCAGGTTCAAGGGATTCTCCTGCCTCAACCTTCCAAGGAGCTAGGATTACAGGCACCCACCACCATGCCTGCGTAATTTTTTTGTATTTTTAGTAGAGACAGGATTTCACCCTGTTGGGCAAGCTGTTCTTGAACTCCTCACCTCGAGTGATCTGCCCTCCTTTGCCTCCAAAAGTGCTGGGATTACAGGTGTGAGCCTAGTTTTTTCTCTATATTTTCAAATTCTTCTCAAACACTTCAAACTCAGCTATAGAAACTATCTCAATACTAATTTCACATATGACTCAAAATATATCACATCATCAGTTTCATTTTCTTCCATGGGCCTTCTGCCTTACTTCAATCTGGGATACTTATTTTCTAAGCTCACTATAGAATTATTGTCCTGATGAATTCCTTTTCTGCTCTGTAGTAGATGAGAATTACTGGATCTCTTGTTTTTTCTTTCCTCTTTCTCGGTTTATGGACATGTTTTGGTGGAGTTTCCTGAGAAAAGGCCCGTGGGAGATAAATCAGTTGAGACCCTGTATATCTGAAAATGTCTTTTTCCCCCTCCGGCAGACACATTTTCACTCAGCACCCTGAGGATGTTTCTCCAATGTCTTCAACTTCCCCCGTTGTTACTGACCAGTCTTAGGCCATTCTGATTCATAATTCTGTGACCTACACCCACCCCCACCACCCCCGTGTTCTAAAATTTCACAGGGGTATGCCTAGGTATGGATCTTTTTCATTCACTGTCCTGATCACTTGTAGGACCTGCTCAACCTAAAGATGAATGTCCTTTAGTACTGCAAATTTTTTTTCTTAAGCAATTCCCTCTGCTTTTATTCTGTCCACAACTATTAAGCTGGTAGTACAGTTCCTGGACTAAGTTTTTTAAAAATCCTTCTGTCGTACTGCCCAATATTCCAGTAAATTTCCTTAATTTTATTTTCAAATCTTTCTGGTGATTTTAGTTCTATTTCTTCAGTTTTAATTTCTAAGAGCTGTTTTTCAGAAAATGTTTTTCACTTTTTCCACAAGTTCCCTCTTTATGGCATCGTATTATTGCTGAAGAATATAGTGTCTTCTCATATGTCTCTGAAGATACTAAATTTCTTAAGATTTTGAAGAATCTCTCTTCTGCTTTCCCCATTATCTCCAATTCCACTAAATTCTTCTTTCTCTGTTGGTTTTGTTAATCTCTTGTGTTGAAGGCTTTCTTCGAACGTCTGGCTGGTGGTCCTTGGCAAGCAACTAATTTTTTAAAAAGACACTTCCAAAATCTGACTGGAAGTTAGTAGGGATTAGGCAGGGTTTGTCAGCTCATGAATGGGCTTTATCATAGGAAAATCAGGCAGTAAGACTTTCTTTTAAGAGATTCCCCAAGGGTCAGTACCTGCAGAGATCACTTCTCAGGAACTGTTCACTTTCTCTAGAGAAGAATCCTCTTTTCTTCTGCCTGGGGAAAAACATCTGGCTGTATCCTTCTAGGAACAGGGCAGAGGAGAGCCCCACCAATAAAAATATAGATTCATTTACTCTGTTTTACATTCTTTTTTTAACTTACTACTGCCCCTGCTGTGTCTGAAATCTCAAGATCTAGACTGGTCCTGCCTTAATATGCTCCTAATGCTCTAAGGCAAAGATTGTACATAATGAATTGACTTCTTTTATGTATCCAGAATGATCCTGGTTATGTACCATCCTTGAGAGAATTGAGGAAATAGTCAATTATTTTTTTCTATTTTGTGGTTCAGATAAACTAGTCTCTCTAGTCCAATTTCTCCAGAAAATAACCCTCTCTTCTCCTGGGGTCTATGGGGAGGAGAGTAAGATCAACAGATGCACAGGACCACCTACACTAGTGGCAATTTTGCATCCTGGGGGACATCTGGCAATGTCTGAAGACATTTTGGGGTGTCACAACAGGGGGTGCTACTGGTTATCTAGTGGGTAAAGGCCAGAGATGTTGCTAAACATCCCACAATGCATGAAAAGCCCCCTCCAAAACTGGCTCAAAATGTCAACAATGTCAAGGTTGAGAAACCCTGAACTAGACTACAGACTAATCTCTCTCATTTTCAGCCCCATGACTCAACCCTGCCTTCTGTGGTACCTGGTGCCTCCAAATCCTGAGCCTGTCCAGGGTTCTGCTGATCAAACACTCGCTTCTGTTTAGTATCCCCTTCTGCAGGCTTTTAGGGTACAGGTTGCTCTGCTCTGTTGCGTTTGCTGCTACTCCTCCATCCACTTGTCATCTTCCAAAAATTTGCTGACATCTCTAATGTTATCTCCTCTTCCAAATACATCTTTTTAAAATTTTTTTCATTTAAGTGGAGTTTTGGGAGGGAGTGGAAATAGACATGTATGTTTAATTAAGCCACCATGTTTAATCAGACTGACATTTATTAATACATTCAAATATCTAAACCAAGTAAGAAATTACTTATTAGCAAATCTTTAAGAAAAAACTTCACAGAATTATAATCAGTTTTTTTCCTTTCACCACTCCTATTCAACATTTTAAATATCATAAATTTGATAAAAGTTACACAGAAAATTCACTTACCAAGATCAGAACGTGTATTTGTGAACAATTCCGCAGGACAAAAACCACAGAGATAATATTTACAAACCTAGTAAAGAAAAACAAAGGTACTTAAAAAATTGCTTGGTTTTAAAACTTTATTGGAGAAAGGTGCCAAATAACTATTTTCTCATTTCTTGAGGTATGTATGTTTCAACCAATGTAAGAATTTCATTTGTTGAATCATATTAGGTAAATTAGTGATTTTCAGACTCCTGAATTTCGATAAAAGAATAAATCTGCAGTACTCGTATTACTAGTATTTTCTTTATCTATTTTTAATCATCACCTGCTGACCCCCCAGTAGCAAAAACAAATATGGGAAAGACATCCCAAAATAAAGGGCAATTTTTATATTTTTAAAAACTCTTACGCTATTCTTATCATTTCATCTCTTTCATAGATTAGGGCCTATTTACAAATTAGGATTTGGAAATAACCATCTAAATCACAGTTAACACTCATTTAAAGCAATTTGGCACCATCTTTTTGCTTAGAAGATCCTTAACACATCAGCCTCCCAAGTAACTACAACTACAGGTGCAAGCACCATGCCTGGCAAATGTTTTAAAATATTTTGGAAAGATGGGGACTTGCTACATTGCCCAGGTTGGTCTCAAACTCCTGGCTCCAAGCAATTCTCTTGGTGGGTTCCCACAGTATGGGGAAAAACTATTAACATAAAACCAATGTTTAATTCTCTCCCACTGGTACTTTTGTAACTCCTTCAGATATATTCCAAAACTGCTCTATCCCAAATTTAATTTTATAACACTACAAATCAAACCATGTAAATCAAAATTCCAAAATATCACCTTTCCTTCACACAAAACTTCACTGTTACTAGGTGGATTATTACTATATATTTTTTTGAAACAGAGTCTCACTCACTCTGTTGCCCAGGCTAGAGCACAGTGGCACCATCTCAGCCCACTGCAAGCTCCGCCTCCCAGGTTCAAGCAATTGTTCTGCCTCAGTCTCCAAAGTAGCTGGAATTACAGGTATGTGCCACCATGCCCAGCTAGTTTTTGTATTTTTAGTACAGACAGGGTTTCACCATGTTGGTCAGGCTGGTCTCGAACTCCTGACCTCAAGTGATTTGCCCGTCTTGGCCTCCCAACGTGCTGGGATTACAGGTGTGAACCACTGTGCCCAGCTCTGGGGAGATTATTAATGCACAACTATAACACATGAAAAGAAAAGGCAGCGTTGGTCAGGCATGGTGGCTCACACCTGTAATCCCAACACATTAGGAGGCCAAGGCAGGAGGATAACTTTAGCCCAGGAATTTGAGACCGGCTTGGGCAACATGGCAAAACCCCATGTCTATAAAAAATACAGAAAGTAGCCAGGCATGGTGGCACAGTCCCAGCTACCCAGGAGGCTGAGGCAGAAGGATTGCTTGAGCCTGGGAGGTCGAGGCTGCAATGAGCCATGATTGTGCTATTTACTGCACTCCAGCCTGGGCAACACTATCACACCCTGTCTTGAAAAAAAGAAAAAGAAAAAGAAAGGAAAGGCAAAAGGAAAACGAAAAGGAAAAGGGAAAGGAAATGAAAAAAAGGCAGTGTTAAATTTAAACCTGAAAGTTCTTTCTAGACAGGACTGGGTGCTAAATCTGAAATAGGCCTTTTTTTTCCTCAACGGCTTTACACTCATTTGAAGCAATGTGGTTCCATAAGCTGCATCCAGGATTAAAGTCATAAAACATATCTAAATATTCATGTTTAAACAACCTCACAGACACGAAAGTTTTTTTTTTCTTTTTTTTTTTTTTTGAGACAGAGTTTCGCTCTTGTTGCCCTGGCTGGAGTGCAATGGTATGATCTTGGCTCACCGCAACCTCTCCCTCCTGGGCTCAGGCCATTCTCCTGCCTCAGCCTCCCAAGTAGCTGGGATTACAGGCATGCGCCACCACACCCGGCCAATTTTGAATTTTTAGTAGAGATGGGGTTTCTCCATGTTGGTTAGGCTGGTCTCGAACTCCCAACCTTAGGTGATCTGCCTGCCTCGGCCTCCGAAAGTGCTAGGATTACAGGCCTCACCGCGCTCAGACGTGAAAGTTTTACTATTACTGTGAATTTTATCTTTACTTATAAAAATTTCATTTATATTTCCCATTTTTACAATAATACATTCTAGGGTTTTGGAGAGATTCTTTCTAAAGACTCATTTTATTGTTTTCAATAGGACTTCTAATGGCCTCATGACCAATTTAAAACTATTGTTCCATAAGTTTAAGCTAGGCAAGCCACTAGTTTTATGCCAATATTACTCTGATACAGCTTTATGTCTTAGTATCTTTCTACTGTTTTCTTTCCAAGTTATTATACTTGATTTTTAAGATTATTCTTTGCAGCTGGGCACAGTGGTGCAGGCCTGTAGTGCCAGCTACTTGGGAGGCTAAGGCAGGAAGATTAGTTGAGCCCAGGAGTTTGAGGCTGTAGTGTGCTAGGACCACACCTGTGAACAGCCACTGTACTCCAGGCCCTGGCAACATTAAGTGACAACTCGTCTCTAAGAACATAATAAAAGTTTTAAAGGCTGGGCACAGTGGCTCACACCTGTAATCCCAGCACTTTGGGAGGCCAAGGCGGGAGGATCACCTGAGGTCGGGAGTTTGAGACCAGCATGACCAACATGGAGAAACCCCGTCTCTACTAAAAATACAAAATTAGCCAGGCATGGTGGCGCATGCCTATAATCCCAACTACTCGGGAGGCTGAGGCAGGAGAATTGCTTGAACCTGGGAGGCGGAGGTTGCGGTGAGCTGAGATTAGGCCATTGCACTCTAGCCTGGGCAGCAAGAAAGAAACTCCATCTCAAAAAAAAAAAAAAAGTTTTAAAAAAGATTATTCTTTGTAACTTAAACATTGTTGTCACAAATAGTTTATTTTAAAAAGACTATATGCTATCTAAAGCTAATGTTTTTAAAAATTATTTCTGAAGTTCCACTGCTTGTGATGCCATATGATTTTCTAATTCTTAAAACATCCATTTTGTTCAACTTTGTGTTCACTTTAAATGCAACACAGTAAAATACCAATGCCAATACTCGATTTTTATAAACATTTCTTTGAGAGTTTATTTGGGGGAGGGAGGATGTGGCAACAATTATGCCACTTTTACTGTGACCTAACCTTTCAATTATATTAACCCTGTTTTGAAGACTCAAAAATTTCACACAACTATATTTAGTAAAAGTTATTGCCAGAATCTATTATTTATAGCCATAAACTGTATGGTTATAAAATAATTTAAAAACTAAATTTTGTGTGCCATCCTCACACACATGAAAAGTCTTACTATTACTGTGAACTGGCTGCACGCCTGTAATCCCAGCACTTTGGGAGGCTGAGGCGTGCGGATCACGAGGTCAGGAGATTGAGATCATCCTGGCTAACACGGTGAAACCCCGTCTCTACTAAAAATACAAAAAATTAGCCAGGCGTGGTAGCGGCCGCCTGTAGTCCCAGCTACTCGGGAGGCTGAGGCAGGAGAATGGCGTGAACACAGGAGGCGGAGCTTGCAGTGAGCCAAGATGGCGCCACTGCACTCCAGCCTGGGCGACAGAGGGAGACTCTGTCTCAAAAAAAAAAAAAAAAAAAAACTAGCCAGGCGTGGTGGCAGGTGCCTGTAGTCCCAGCCACTCAGGAGGCTGAGGCAGGAGAATGATGTGAACCCAGGAGGCGGAGCTTGCAGTGAGCAGAGATCGCACCACCGGGTGATAGAGCGAGACTCTGTCTCAAAAAAAAAAAAACAAAGTTTTACTATTACTGTGAATTTTATCTTTACTTATAAACATTTCATTTCTATTTCCCATTTTTACAGTAATATATTCTAGGGTTTTGGAGATTATTCTATCTAAAGATTAATTTTATTGTTTTCAATAGGACTTCTAACAGCCTCATGACCAATTTAAGTGTTTCGTAAGTTTAAGGTAGGTAAGACACAACGTCTATGATCCTCAGAAAGGTTCACCATTAAAAAACAAAAAAACGAATAAACACATCTCTACAGTCCCTCCTGACTCTCAAGCATGTGAAATTGGTACACTGCAACACAGCACAATGAATCTTCGCCGTTGCTTATCTGCTAAAGAACCAGGGGTACCTGGCGGGGCTCATGCCTGTAATCCCAGCACTTTGGGAGGTTGAGATGGGAGGACTGCTTGAGCCTCAAAGGTGGAGGTGGCAGTGTGCTGTGATCACACCGCTGCACTCCAGCTAGGGTGACAGAACGCAACCTGTCTAAAAAAGAAAAAAAGAAAAAGAACCAGAGGTCGTAATTCTGCCTTGGTTTCTTCATAGTATTAAAAAAGGAGATAGGCTGGGCCCAGTGGCTTATGCCTGTAATCCCAGCATTTTGGGAGGCCAAAGCAGGAGGATCATTTGAGCCTAGCCTGGGCAACATAGTAAGACCTTGTCTCTAAAAAAAAAAAAAAAAAAGAATGAAAAAAATTAGCCAGGTATGGTGTCACACACCTGTAGTCCCAGCTACTTGGGTGGCTAGGGTGGAAGGGTCGTTGGAGCCCAGGAGGTTGAGGCTGCAGTGAGTGGTGATCATGCCACTGCACTTCAGCCTGGGTGAAAAGGGCAAGACTCAAATAAATAAGGAGGTAATAAATTTCTTATAGTGGGATTGTAAAGATTAAACTGTGTACATTTGCTAAATTGGAAGAAAAAGGTGTTAGCCTGTATGTAAAAGCGAAAGCAACTCCATCTTGGGTGTTAAAGTGCCAGGCTGACTTCCGATTAACTCCAATTCCAGGAATGCCCCTAAGATTTCTACTTTATCTACTGTTCCTTGTGTTAAGAACATGTACTTACTGTAAATCCTGCCCTTAGGTCAAAACAATTTCGATGATTTTGTACTTAACATAAATCCTGCCCATAAGTAATTATCCTACACATGCCTTCTGAAGCACAGATACCCTTTCCCTATGGCATATAAGCCCTGGGTCTGGGGATATGACATCTTGTCTTGACGCCAGCAGCTGCCCAAGACACAGACCTGGCTTCTGTTCGTAGGTCCCTATTACATGTTTCCAAGACACTGGATTTGTCAGCCTCTTTCTTTGGCCTCTCAGCTTCTTCAGACTCTGGGGGTAGGTTTCCGTAGACCTGTCCGCTGCACATTATTATTTTAAATGTTTTTAGGCACTGTGTAAACCAAATAACACATGCCTGTCTGTGGGCTAACCAGAAGCTACCTAATCTAGTCCAATCACCCCATCAGAGACCACATGACCTGCCCTGACAGCATCCAGCTATATCTACAGAATCCAGACTAGATTCCATTTCCCCAATCCAGTTCTGAGTGTTCCTTCCACTCCAACTCTCCTGCTTTACCATTTAATGGTACATCAGAATTATCTGTTACTCTACACAATAAACCAGCTACCTGGACTGCTTCTTTTAACTCTCCCCAGAGAATGATTTTAACTAAAAATATTAACAAGTGATCCGAAAAAATGGGAAGAACATATTTGGGTTCTTCAAATAAAGTCATCAATAATGATAATAAGAACAAACCCAGAGAGGCCAGGTGTGGTGGCTCACACCTGTAATCCCAGCACTTTGGGAGGCGGAGGCAGGCGGATCACCTGAGGTCAGGAGTTCAAGACCAGCCTGGCCAACATGGTGAAACCCTGTCTCTACAAAAATACAAAAACTGGCCAGGCATAATGGCAAGTGCCTGTAATCCCAGCTACTTGGGAGGCTGAGGTGGGAGAATCGCTTGAACCCGGGAGGGAGAGGTTGCAGTTAGCTGAGATCGCACCACTATACTCCAGCCTGGATGACAGAGAGAGACTGTCTCAAAAAAAGAATAAACCCAGAGAATTCGTTTCTTACTTTTGGATATAATCATGAGAACTGCTCAAGTTTTGGAATACCAGCAGTCTTCATTTAATAGTAATCCCCAAAAGATATAAATGCTTATTACAGATTAATACCCATGCAAACTCTCTAAATACCTACATAATCATAACTTATCCTCTTAATAAATTTAAGGCAACACTAGTGACAAGTGTTCAATCTCATCAACAGTTTTTATTTTTATTTTTTTGAGACAGAGCCTCACTCTGTTGCCCAGGCTGGAGTGCAGTGTCACGATCTTGGCTCAATGCAACCTCTACCTCCCAGGTTCAAGTGATTCTCCTGCCTCAGCCTCCCAAGGAGCTGGGATTACAGGAGCATACCACAATGCCTGGCTAATTTTTCTATTTTTAGTAGATGGGGGTTAAGCCATGTTGGCCAGGCTGGTCTCAAACTTCTGACCTCAAATGATCCGCCCACCTCAGCCTCCCAAAGTGCTGGGATTACAGGCATGAGCCACAGCACCAGGCCCATTAAGGACATCTTAATGATTTTTGTCTTTCTATATCTACTTAGATCCAACACTAAGCAATACAATTCTCCTTTGAGCTAATCAAATATTTTCAATGCTGTCTGCACTATTTTTAGGTCTTTTTTTTTTTTTTTTTTTTTTTTTGGAGACAGAGTCTTACTGTCGCCCAGGCTGGAGTGCAGTGGTTCGATCTTGGCTCACTACCTCTACCTCCCAGGCTCAAGCAATTCTCGTGCCTCAGCCTCCCAAGCTGGGATTATGGGCAACTGCCACCATGCCTGGCTAATTTTTGTATTTTTAGTAGAGATGGGGTTTTACCATGGTTGATCTCGAACTCCTGGCCTGTCTGCACTATTTTCGTTAAACTGCTTATCATAAAGATAATAGACTGGAAGTGGTGGCTCACGCCTGTAATCTCAGCACTTTGGGAGGCTGAGGCAGGCAGATGGCTTAAGCTCAGGAGTTCGAGACCAGCCCGGGCAACGTGGCAAGACCCCATCTCCACCAATACAAAAAAATTAGCCAGGGGTGGTGCGGGCCTATAGTCCCAGCTACTCAGGAGGCTGGAATGGGAGGAGCCTGCTCAAGCAGTGGGAGGACTGCTAGAGCCCAGGAGGTGGAAGCTGCAGTGAGCTGAGATTGTGCCACTGCACTCCAGCCTGGGTAACAGAGCCAGACACTGTCCCCACCTCCCCACCCCCAAAATACATACATATATATATATATATATATATATATATATATATATATATATATATATAATGTATTTATATTCAATATATACTTCTGATTATCTAAACACTGGCAACACAACTCATGTTGGAAACAGTAAAACTGACAGGGACTTAAATTTTAAAAATCTAAATAGCCAATCCTAATTACTATATACAGTAAGTCCTTGAATAATGTGATGAGGGGAAAAAAAATTATTCCCAGCTGGGGCTAACTGTGTAGGAGTCTGCAAGTTCTCCCCATGTCTGTATGGGTTTTCTCCCAGTACTCTGGTTTCCTTCCACATCCCAAAGCTGTGCACGGTAGGTGAACTGGCATGCCTAAGTCCCAGTCTGGGTGAGTGTGGGTGTGTGAGTATGCCCTGTGATGGGAGGGGATCTTGTCCAGGGTTAGTTCCTGCCTTGCATCCTGGGCAGCCGGGATCAGCTCTGGCCACCCACCACCCTGAACTGGAATAAGGAGGCTGGAAAGGAATGAATATATTGTATATTACAATGAAATTATTGTAAAATAAAAGTCTGTAAAGCATATGATAATCATACAAATGCATGAAAATAAACAGCATAGTCCAAAAGTGGTGAGTTTACCATCTTTATTATTGTGTTGGAACTGAATGGAGGTAGGAGGTGCTTCTGACAATGTTCAAGTTGTAAACATTTATTCCTTGACTTAACTCACCACCACTAAAATTGCCATCACTCACTGATTCACCAAAAACTGGGTAATTACCTCGCTTTTATTCATCTTTCTTAAATGTATGTATACCTCAAATTTATCTCAATGTTTGATATCAGAAATGTTTTGGGTCTTTTTAGTTATGTTTCTGTAACCAGAATGTGCCACAGAAACCTAACTCTTCTTTATATTAACTAGTCTATGGTAAAACTTTTGTTATATGTCATTTCAACTGAAGTCATAGTTTCCAAGAACCCATTAACGACGTTAAATGCAGACTTACTGTATTCTGAAACAGGACATATTACTGGAATACCTCAAATGCCATACACATACAAATATTAATTTAAAATCCAGGAATACCTGGAAATTTTATTGGTTAAAAAAAAGGAACACAAGCCAGCTGCAGTGGCTCACACCTGCAATCCTAGCACTTTGGGAGGCCGAGGCAGGCAGATCACTTGAAGCCAGGAGTTTGAGACCTGCCTGGCCAAAATGGCGAAACGCCGTCTCTACTAAAAATACAAAAATTAGCCAAGCATGGAGGCACACGCCTGTAGTTCCAGCTACTCGGGAGACTGAGGCACGAGCATCGCTTGAACCTGGGAAGCGGAGGTTTGCAGTGAGCTGAGATCGCGCCACTGCACTCCGGCCTAGACAACAGATCAAGACTCTGTCTCCAAAAAAACAAAAACAAAAACCAACCCTACACGCTGTAGTCTTTTGTCACTTCTGCCTCAATATTAATAGTTTAATTCTGATTATGACAGTCTATAAATATTTTTTTTTACCTAAGAGTTCAATTCACTGTGTTAAAGATAAACCCCCAAAGAAATAATTTTTAATAAAAGAATTTATAACAAAAATTATGTCCCTGATAACATATAGCTTTATGTTTCAGTTATACCACGACCACACATTCATTTCCATGCCTTTAATTTTATTACGTATACCTTTGCAGGTATGATTCACTATTTATTGCCTACACAAACTTCTAGTAAAATTTCAATCAATCTTCCACAGCAGCCAGTTAGTAAACATCTCTCTTCTGCTTAGAAGCCTTCAGTTATTTCCCAATGTAATAAAATCTAAACTTTCAACAAGGCTTATAAAAACTTTTTTTTTTTTTTTTTTGAGACAGATCTCGCTCTGTCGCCCATGCTGGAGTGCAGTGGCGCGATCTCGGCTCACTGCAAGCTCCGCCTCCCGGGTTCACGCCATTCTCCCGTCTCAGCCTCTCGAGTAGCTGGGGCTACAGGCGCCTGCCACCACACCACGCCCAGCTAATTTTTTTTTTTTTTTGTATTTTTAGTAGAGATGGGGTTTCACCATGTTAGCCAGGATGGTCTCGATCTCCTGACCTCGTGATCCACCATCTCTGCCTTCCAAAGTATTGGGATTACTGGCGTGAGCCACCACGCCCGGCCTATAAAAACTATTTAAAACCAAGTTCTTGCCTACCTATCTACACTACCCCACCCAACAAAAACATACACACTACAATACTATTTAAAATTTGCCAAATTCACCGATTTTTCTCCAGCTCTTCCTTCAGGCTGGTAAGGTGTCTTCTCTCTCCTCTCCCTCAGGCTAATTCCTGCCAATCCTTTAGGTAAATGTATTTAAAGACCACTTTGTCTGACAGGCCTTTCCTGAGTATCCATCCCAATCTGGGTTATGCACTCCTTTCCTGTGTACACTATACAGCTGACCTTTGAACTCGGGGGGCTGGGGCACTGCTATGGTTTGGATGTGGTTTCTTTGGTCCCAAAAAAAACATTCTTGTGGGAGTGAATTCCCATTCTTAGTTGACTGGAAAATTGGTTGTTGAACAGAGCCTGGCACTCTAGCCATGTGATCTTTGCGCATGCTAGCTCCCCTTCTGCCATGAGTGGAAGCAGTCTGGGACCCTCACCAGATAGGTACCAGCTACAATGCTTCTTGTACAGTCTGGGGAACTGAACTAAATAAACCTCTTTTCTTTATAATTATCCAACCTCAGGTATTCCTTTATAACAACTAAGAGAGTTACTGACCCTAACTCCCCTAAAACCTAACTATCAAAAGCCTACCACTGACTGGAAGCCTTACAATAACACTAACAGTTGGTTAACACGTATTTTGTATATTATTTGTATTATATACTGTATTCTTTTTTTTTTGAGACAAAGTCTCGCTCTGTCAGCCAGGCTGGAGTGCGGTGGCATGATCTCGGCTCACTGCAACCTCCGCCTCCCGGGTTCAAGAAATTCTCCTGCCTCAGCCTCCTGAGTAGCTGGGATTACAAGCACCGGCCACAACGCCTGGCTAATTTTTGTATTTTTAGTAGAGACAGGGTTTCACCATGTTAGCCAGGCTGGTCTCCAACTCCTGACCTCAAGTGACCGCCCACCTCGGCCTCCCAAAGTGCTGGGATTAAAGACGTAAGCCACCGTGCCTGGCTATATACTGTATTCTTACAATAAAGTAAGCTAGAGATGTGCACTGTAGAATGTTTAGGGAAAAAAATAACTATAAGTAAGCTAGAGAAAAAAATGTGAAAACACATTTACAGTGCTGTATTTATCAATACCCTAAGTTTAGGTCATCTGTATACAAAAGATGAATTGTCTCAAATGCCAGCAACCCCAGGTGCAGATCTCAGTCTATCGTACATATCAAGCAATTTAACTTCTTGTACTGTCATGACTTTTCTGCTTCTTCGGAGCACTTCCAATGTCACTAGCTGCACTTCGTATGGGTCTCAGGGCGTTATTCAAAGGTCATGGTATTGTACATAGGCCAGGCGCTGTGGCTTACACCTCTAATCCCAGCACTTTGGGAGGCCAAGGTGGGCGGATCACTTAAGGCCAGGAGTTCGAGCCCAGCCTGGCCAACATGACAAAACCCCATCTCTACTAAAAATACAAAACTTAGCCAGACATGGTGGTACACGGCTGTAATCCCAGCTACCTGGGAGGCTGAGGTATGAGAACTGCTTGAACCTGGGAAGCAGAGGTTGCAGTGAGCCGAGATGGCACCACTGCACTCCAGCCTGGGCGACAGAGCAAGACTGTCTCAAAAACAACAACAACAAAAAGCAAAACAACAAGTTTATACGGTATTGCAATAAACAATGATGAAAATACACAAGAACCAAGGGATAATTTTTTACTGTGATATGCAATTTACTTTAGACACCAACTGCTCATGCAGAGATTATCAAGAGTCACAGGTCATAGGGCATTTTAAGTGGAGCCTGGCAACACTTGAGCTCACTGTAATAGCAACAGGTGGCTACAAAATTATTACAGTATTACAGTATGTACTATAGTTAATTTTATGCAGTTATTACTCAAGCTTTACTTTCTCTGGACTGCTAGTGGCACCATGTACTGTGTGCATAAGTTTTTATAAAGTTTAACTTTTTATGATTCGTATGTATTTTGTGGTAGGAAAATGATAAACTAGTATATACATCTATTTTATGTATTTGTGATGTACTTATCTTTTCTTAAATTTTAAAAATATTTCTAAGCTATGTGATTCGTCTTCAAGTTTTTTCAAATTGTTGCAAATCTCCAAAAAATGTTCCAATATATTTATTGAAAAAACTCCACGTATAAATGGACACACTCAACTCAAACCCGTGTTGTTCAAGGGTCAATTTTACTTTTCCCAATGGTAGGATTTATCATATTCTGTTATGGAAATGCGTTTACATTCAATTGGAATAATCCCCATTGGAAAAAAAAAGTGCATTTACTGTCACCAATACATGATGGCTCTTTAGGACCAAGTGCTGTATCTGTACTATCCTGCTGTTATCTACCTAAGAGCAATACTTTTAATTTTTTTTTTGAAATGGAGTCTTGCTCCTGTCACGCAGGCTGGAATGCAGTGGCGTGATCTCGGCTCACTGCAACCTCCACCTCCCGGGTTCAAGCGATTCTCCTTCCTCAGCCTCCCGAGTAGCTGGGATTACAGGCGTGCGCCACCACACCTGGCTAATTTTTGTATTTTTAGTAGAGACAGGGTTTCGCCATGTTGGCCAGGCTGGTCTCAAACTCCTGAGCTCAGGTGATCCACCCGCCTCAGCCTCGCAAAGTGCTAGGATTACAGGCGTGAGCCACCGCTCCCAGCCGAGCAATACATTTTTGTTGGATAAATGAATACAACAATTTTCCTAACTTACTATAAGAAATGAAGAGAAAGGCTGGGCATGGTGGCTCACCCCTGTAATCCCAGCACTTTGGGAGGCCGAGGGAGGATCACTTGTTGTCAAAAGTTCAAGACCAGCCCGGCAAACATGGTGAAACCCCATCTCTACAACAACACAAAAATTAGTCAGGCATGGTGGCATGCACCTGTAATTCCACCTACTCTGGAGGCTGAGGCAGGAGAATCGCTTGAACCCGGGAGGTGGAGGTTGCAGTGAGCTGAGATCACACCACTGCACTCCAACCTGGGCAACAGAGCAAGACTCCATCTCGGGGGTAAAAAAAAAAAAAAAAAGAGAAAATATTTCATAAAACGAAGAACTGTATTAGCAAAAAAGTCAAATTTACAAACTTAAGCTACCTTCTCCTTTTGTGAGGAAATCAAGGCTAATAACATATATAATGACACACACACACACACACACACACACACACACACAATTTTCCTAAAGCAACCAAAGATTTACGAAATACCTTACTATAATTTTCAGTGATTATGGTATTGTGGTTATTTTATTCTATTTTTTTTTTGAGACAGAGTGTCACTCTGTTGCCCAGGCTGGACTGTGGTGGCACCATCTCGGCTCACTGCAACCTCTGCCTCCTGGGTTGAAAGGATCCTCCTGCCTCAACCTCCAGAGTAGCTGGGATTACAGGAATGCACCACTACGCCCAGCTAATTTTTTTATTTTTTATTAGAGACAGGGTTTCACCATGTTGGCCAGGCTGGTCTCGAACTCCTGGCCTCAAGTGATCTGCCTGCCTTGGCCTCCCAATGTTGAGATTACAGGTGACCCACCATGCCCGGTCGGCTATGTTTTTTTTTTAAAGTCCTTGTATTTTACAGATATACAATGACCGCTTTAAGGTTGACAATAACAGAATTGCTTCAAAATAATGGAAGGGATACAGAGGAAATAATATTGACTATGTGCTAATATTGCTAAATTGGGCATGGGTACATGGGGAGTTCAATTTATTATACTATTCACTCTAATTCTGTATGTTTTGGGAAGAAAAGCAAATAGCAATTACATACACATATAACACATGGACTGCTGGCAATTCTGAGAAGCCAACACTTACTATTTTACTATGGAGTAAGGTAGGAAATGCCAGCCGGGCGCAGTGGCTCACGCCTGTAACCTCAGCACTTTGGGAGACTGAGGCGGACCGATCACTTGAGGTCAGGAGTTCAAGACCAGCCTGGCCAATATGGCAAAACCCTGTCGACTAAAAATACAAAAATTAGCCGGGCGTGGTGGCCCACACCTGCAATCCCAATTACTCGGGACGCTGAGGCCAGGAGGTGGAGGTTGCAGTGAGCCAAGATCATGCCACTACACTCCAGCCTGGGTGACAGAGCTAGACTCTGTCTCAAAAAAAAAAAGGGGGGGGGGCAGGGAGCAGGGTAGAAAATGCTTTTCTATCTTACTCCATAGTAACATAGTAAGTTACTATGAACATTTTGGTGACTCTGAATGAAAACTAGTAAAATACATATTAATAGATGCCATCATGCATTATAATTACTAGTTTTTTGCTTTCAATTTTTGCTCCCAAATTCTGAACATTTTTAAAGCAAAAAGAAAAAGTATACAAGTAAAAAATGTGGACAGAAGCTTTAGCTATTTTTCCTTTTCTAAACAACTTTTCAGTGTCAATGACAGTATCTGCTAACATTCCAAAGATTTTAGAAAAGAACATAGTTCAATTTCCTTCATAAATTATTAAACCTTCATGTTAAACCTTCATGGAAGGAAGGGTAGGCTTGAGTTTGATAAATGGAAGAAAACTCATTTCAGATATTAGAATCAGTGTTAATGATTAAGTAATTTCATTTTCAGGTTGAGATCTAGAATATAAAAACCTCAATTTGAACTACAAAATTTCTGTCTTGCTACATAAAAAATAACAAAACTCCCGATCAGACTTTACAATTTACTACAATCTTCTAATAATATGGCTACTAGTGCCTTCTCTGGCTAACACTGAAATCAAACCCTCACTGAAAGGTACTCACCCTAGGCAGTTAGTTACAATCACATGCTTTCCTCATCACTGTGGTTGTTTAGGATTAACCAAGCAATTGCTTAGTGCAAAAAACCAAAACAATAATCTCAAACAATTGCAAAATACAAATAAACACGGTGGGAGGGTGTACCAATGAATCCATGAAACAGTATTAAAGCCGACTTCACTTTAGCTGCAGTTTCTCAGATCCAGAGGTAGCAATCTACAAAGTTGGAAATGCCTGTAAAAGCACTAGCCCCAGTAAAATACCTTGGTGAAGGTTACATACACACCATTACAAATAAATGGTCGATGATTTTGCATCACAGATGCATCCTTCACTTGAAACTGCGCTTCGCAAGTGCTGCTTGCTCACTTATTACCCATCATGAAAAGGAGAAAAAAGTACAGTATTAGAATCTACTACCAAATTAATACCAATTAAGATTTAATTGTGCAGATATGCACAATTAAAAGCCCAGGACTAATCAGGATGGGTCAGGAAACAGTAGGTCACAAACTTTAGAATGCATAAGAGGAGCCGGCCGGGCGCGGTGGCTCGCGCCTGTAATCCCAGCACTTTGGGAGGCCGAGGCGGGCAGATCACGAGGTCAATAGATCGAGACCATCCTGGCCAACATGGTGAAACCCCATCTCTATTAAAAATATAAAAATTAGCTGGGCGTGGTGGAGGGCGCCTGTAGTTCCAGCTACTGGGGAGGCTGAAGCAGGAGAATCGCTTGAACCCGGGAGGCGGAGGGTGCAATGAGCCAAAATCACGCCATTGCACTCCAGCCTGGGAGACAGAGCAAGACGCCGTCTCAAAAAAAAAAAAAAAAAAAAAAAAGAATGCATAAGAGGAGCCATAAAAAATGCAGATACTGGGACCCTTCCCCAAGACAGACAGAATCTGACTCTCTGGGAAGGGGAGTTGAAGGGGTTGAAGTACAGAAATATGCATTTAAAACAAATTCCACAGGTCAAATACAGCTATCTAGGGACTACCTTTAATACTAGGTAAAGTTAGCATTTTGACTGTTAAATACTTACAGATGCCACGGCAACTGTCTTTTAATTAATGGTTGCTTCCTTTCCTTATTTTGGTATTTATCTCTATTCCAAAAAAAAAAACAAGGGCCCCATCCAGCTGAAATGGCTTCTTCCATTTAATGCAAGTATGGCCAAGAAAAATTTCCAGATAGAACAGGAATGCAAAAATATGTTAAAATATTAGGCTATAGAAAAGGTGACTCCTTTTCAGCATATAATGGGTTTGCCCATCCCTGCAGGTTTAGCACTAACAGCCAACAGTACAAGAATATGCAGATGACCCGGAAACGATATCAACAGCTTCCCCAGCTTCATTATACAATAATTCCACCTATTTAGATGAGACCATGTGCTTTGTTTTTGCTCAACACTACCAACATTTTCCCTGCAGATATCAATCTGAAATGCCAGTAACTGACTTGAAATCCTTCAATCTAGAGTGAAGTGCAATCTGTCATTAAGGCATTAAATACTTTAGTAATAAACACTGAAAGTTAAAATTAGTGAAAAGTACTAAAACTGAAAGCAAAGCAGATTACGGCTGAGATGACATAAAACCTAAATTGCTATTCTGAGGGCCTCATCATTGAAGAGTCATAAACCCATCACATACAATGCAATGTGGCAACAAATTACCCCGGGAAAGAAAACAGTTTCTCTAAAACGTGTTCAAAGTCAAGGGTGCAGAGATACAAGGCTGTTCCAACTGATAAGGAGTGCAATGGAAAGCATTTTTCTCTTGAATTCAAAATATACAAATAACCTATTGAACATAAGCCAAATCGCCATAATGTTTTGGTTTTTTACCTTACTTAGGATTTTGAGCGTTATTCCTAACACATTTGCAAAGTTTAGACTGAAAGGTTACAGAGTCAGGTAGTTAAAAAAAAAAAAAGTTACTTCGCTATAACAAAGATGCCTACAAAAGAAAGATGGTCAAGGTAAGCAGTTCCTTAGTCTCCTATTGTGACAAATGGTCGGGGGGATGGGGAGCCTAAATGTTAAAAACAAAAAACCCACCTCTTAAAAACAATAAATTCTACTCTAAGAATGTTTCATACTACTTTGGAATCAGTTAGCACCCCAACACAACTTGAGCCAAACTTACTCTTTCTTAAAGTCCTAAAAGGAGTCATCTAGCACCAACTTGCTTTCCTACACTGCAAAAAAGAAATTTTACCTTAACCAAAGCCTACGTTTAAAAAGAGTAAGAAAACAGTTTTCTAAAGAAGCATGCATTACCTGAACTATTCCTTCCTATTTTGATTAGCAATTGTTTTAAAATTAGCATGTTAGATTATAACCTCAAAGTAAAATTAAATTCTGTATCTATTCTCCAGATAAGACCTAAAGTAAACATTACACTGCATGTTCAAAACTAGATCAAAACACTTGAAATGCTACAGTAGGTGCAGAGAACCAGTTTCATAGGATTGTGGAAAGCTAACAGAACTACAAAGATTAGTTTCCTCAGTTGCCAAGACTTTGGGTGAGCCTTTTTAAGTCTCACCAGTGAAACTGGGGTTATAATATTTACCTTTACTCCCCGGGCTAAGAGCATCAAATGAGTTTTATGTGGAAGAAAAAACCTTGACAGCTGCCTCTATAAGGGACTTCTTAGAATACTGTTAACGAACAATACTTGTAAATCATCACGGTAAACCCTAACAAGTAAACGACTTCTTTTACATTTCTATTTCCCCGTATAAGCGTCATGCTGTAATTACTTAAATAAAATACCGCCACGATTTTTACCATGAATCCTGGTCAGAAATTTTAGTCTAAATACGACGTTCAACCCAAACTATAGAAAAATGTGCCCTTCTCCCTATTTCATAATGAGGTGAAACCTCGGAGCCGCTAGATTTAATAAGACGCTGCTATCCTTCTTTCCCGCGTTTCCCCGCCTCATCAAGGTGCTTTTCAATTATGCCAAGGGCTCTCCCGGACCCCCTTGATACTAGAACAACAAAACCAAATCACCCCCATCCCCGGGTCCGGACAGCATCCTCCCTCCTGGCTCCATGGGCACCGGGTCAGACGCTCGACCCCGGGTGCGGCCCTGGCCACATCGCGCCGCGGCCAGGAGGGCCACAGCCCGCGCCCGCTCCCCTCCCCCACGGAGCCCGGGCTCAGGCCAAGGCCCGCGGGACTTACGCTCTCGTGGTCCCACCGCACGTTGCTGCGCTTCTCGTCCGGGGCTAGGTTTCGGTCCCGGCCCATTAACTCATCCAACAACTGCGCGGCCGAAATCATGGTGCTTCCTTCGGGCGGCTGTTCCCACCAGCCCAGGCACCCGCCAACGAAAACACGGGCGACACCGTCGCCAATCTCCTCGGCCCGCTCTCAGGCCGAAATCCCTCCTACACACAGGAGCCGACAAGACAAAATGGCCGCCGCGCGGACGCCTTCCCAGCATGCCGTGCGCCCGTGGGACACGCCCAGGCCCGGGCGGAGAGGGCGAGCTCGGCTTCCGCCGTCCGGGGGCGGGGCCCGCGGAGGCCGGGTAGGGACTCCGCCCCTGTCTAGAGGCCGCGGGGACGGGTAGCCTCTGCCCGCGCGCCTCCCCAAGCGCCCGGTTTTCCCGAGCTTCTTCACGGTGAGAAATTGGAGCCTAGGTCTTGAAGCCTGGACACCGCTTCAAAATGGAGAAAGTGTCTCCTTTAGTCCACGTGGTGCACATGGTGCCTCATGCAGCGGAGGAAACTGAAGATTACGGCTTCCGACTCCATTTTCCTAGTCGCTGTGCTCACGCCTCTTGCACCTGGCTTTGTCCTCCCGCCCTGAGTCTCCTGATTAACAGGATGGGAAATCGAGGCAAGAAGAGACAAGGCGGCTTCTAAAATACGGGGATTCAGTCCTACACCAAATGTCTCCCAGTGTGGAATTTTTTAAAAAGATATTGATCCAGTAGGCCAGGTGAGGTGGCTCACGCCTGTAATCACAGCACTTTGGGAGGCCGAAGCGGGCGGATCACCTGAGGTCGGGAGTTCGAGATCAGCCTGACCAACATGGAGAAACCCCGTCTCCACTAAAAATACAAAATTAGGTTGGCGTGGTGGCGCATGCCTGTAATCCCAACTACTCAGGGGGCTGAGGCTGGAGAATCGCTTGAACCCGGGAGGCGGAGGTCGCGGTGAGCCGAGATCGCGCCATTGCACTCCAGTCTGGACAACAAGAGCAAAACTCCATCTCAAAAAAAAAAAAAAAAAAAAAAAAAATATATATATATATATATATATATATACACACACACACACACACACACATACACACACACACACACACATATATATAGATAGGTAGATCCATTTATTCAACAAATGGTATGTGCCAGGCACTGTGCTTAAAGCTAAACTCAGAACCTTTCAGACAGTCCATGCTCCCGCAGACCTGTGCATTGGCGAGGGGAGATAATCGCTGAAGAAATAAAGTCACAAATATATCAACGTATGTTGGGATAATGCTTTAGCACAGTTAAGGGTATGGTCTCTAAAGCCAGATTGCCTGGGTTCGTAATCCCAGCTCTGCCGCTCTGTGCCTTTGTTTCCTTTTCTGTAAAATGGGGTTTACAATAGTCCTCCCCCGGCCCCCAGCCACGATGCTATTGTGAAGATTAAATGAGTTTATACAATGTAAGGCACTACACATTGATAACAAGCCCAACACTTTTATTTTTGGGGGGACTGGGTCTGGCCCTGTCACCCAGGCTGGAGTGCAATGGCACGATCTCAGCTCACTGCAGCTTCAACCTCCCGGGCTCAGGCGACCCCCTCGCCTCAACCTCCCCAGTAGCTGGGACTACAGGCGCATGCCACCACGCCCGGCTAAGTTTTTGTATTTTTGGTAGAGACGGGGTTTCGCCAAGTTGCCCAGGCTGGTCTTGAACTCCTGAGCTCAAATAATCCACCCACCTCAGCCTCCCAAAGTGTTGGGATTACAGGCGTGAACCACCGCGCCCGGTCGTGGACACCTCTTTTTAAGAAGGAAAGCAGCAAAATAGGGTGAGAACTCAAAGGAGGTATGGGACATGAAGCCTTTTTTTTTTTTTTTTTTTTTTTTTGAGCTATCGCTCAGGCTGGAGTGCAGTGGTACCATCTTGGCTCACTGCAACCTCTGCCTCCCGGGTTCAAGTTTATCCTGCCGCAGCCTCCTGAGTAGCTGGGATTACAAGCACCCGCCACCACGCCCAGCTAATTTTTGTACTTTTAGTAGAGACGGAGTTTCGCCATGTTGGCCAGGCTGATCTCAAACTCCTGACCTCAGGTGATCCACCTGCCTCGACCTCCCAAAGTTCCCAAAGTGCTGGGATTACAGGCGTGAGCCACCAAGTGGGGCTGGAGCCTTTTTGAAGATAGGAAATTAGAGGCTAGACATGGTGGCTCACGCCATAATCCCACTACTTTAGGGAGGCAGAGGCAGGGAGATAGCTTGAGGCCAGGAGTTTAAGACCTGCCTGGGCAACATAACAAGACGCCATTCTCCACAAAAAGGAAAAAAAAAGAAAAGACCAAAAAAAAAAAAACCCCAAACGTAGGAAATGAGAGAATGTTTAATGTTGGGGATATTCCAGTAGAGAGGTGGAAAATAAAAGAAGGGGATAGTTAATGACTTAAAATCTTAAAAAGGTAACGGGTTGGGTCCTGGCGTGGTGACTCACGCCTGGAATCCTAGCACTTTGGGAGGCAGAGGTGGGTCATTTGAGGTCATGGGTTCGAGACCAGCCTGGCCAACATGGGGAAACCCTGTCTCTACTAAAAACACAAAGGATAGCCAGGCGTGGTGGTGGCGCCTGTGATCTCAGCTACTCGGGAAGCTGAGGCAGGAGCATCGCTTTAAACAGTGGACTGTCAAGAGACTTAGGCTGTAGTGAGCCAAGGTCGCGCCACTGCACTCCAGCCTGGGCAACAGAGTGAGTGAGACTGTGTCTTAAAAAAAAAAAAAAAGTAATGGGTTAGGCTCCAGGGCATATTTGAAACCTCTGGCCTTTGATAGGAGAAAGGATCTTCTCCACTGAAACAAGAAAGAAGAAAATCAATTTACAGATTTAGCAGTGAGATGAGGCAGTTCTCAGCTGTTGGTTACAGTTTTCCCAATGAAGCATTTATTGAGGGCTCTCCACTGTTACTACCACCAAAAAAAAAAAGGCCGGCCACAGTGGCTCACACCTGCAATCCCAGCACTTTGGGAGGCCGAGGCAGACAGATCATGAGGTCAGGAGATCAAGACCATCCTGGCTAACACGGTGAAACCCCGTCTCTACTAAAAATACAAAAAATTAGCCGGGCATGGTGGCGGGCGCCTGTAGTTCCAGCTACTCCAGAAGCTGAGGCAGGAGAATGGCATGAACCCGGGAGGCGGAGCTTGCAGTGCGTCGAGATTGCACCACTGTACTCCAGCCTGGATGACAGACTGAGACTCCGTCTAAAAAAAAAAAAACTGAACCACAAACAAACAGGACTGCACACATCATGAACCGCAAACACACAACCAGATTGCAAAATTACAGTTCCTGCCCATCACAGGTTCTTAATCTAATTATCTCATTCATTCCACAAACTATAATGGTGCATGTGCTCTTTGCCAGGACCTGGGTTACTGGCTGGGAATACAAAGACAGACGTATAAAACCTGGTTCTCCAGGAGCTCCTGACCTATGGGAGACAAATATGTCACAACTACAATTTGGTCTTGAAATGAAAATACTTGGCCCAGCCATGGTGGCTCACACCTGTAATCCCAGCTCTTTGGGAGGCCGAGGCAGGCGGATTGCTTGAGCCCAGGAGTTTGAGACCAGCTGGGCAACATAGCAAAATCCTGCCTCTGCAAAAAATACAAAAAATTAGCTGGATGTGGTGGTACATCCCTGTAGTCCCAGCTACTCACGAGGCTGAGGTAAGAGGATCACTTGAGCCCAGGAAGTCGAGGCTGCAGTGAGACATGGTTGCACCACTGCACTCCAGCCTGGGCAATGGAGTGACACCCTGTCTCAAAAAGAAAGTATTAAATGCCTTTGAATCACAGAGGTGAGAGCGCCTGGCCCTGTCATACACCAGGCAAGTCTTACTCTACAACTCTCTTTTTTCTAAAGTCTGAGGACAAGCCACAGTTCAGTGTGCATTACCACTACAGATAATGAATTGCTTCATTCATCCTTCATTAATGCAGTGAGCCCCAGTGTGATCTGTATCAGATTCTCTGCTATGTCTTGGGATCCAGAGGTAAAAGTAGTCTTTCTTAACAGGTCACAAAGCCCATTTTACAGATAATTTTGATGGATTACAGGAGTTGGCTATTTCCCAATGATGGAATGGGAAATGACTTAATCTTATCGGCTAGTGGTGTCCAGACCCCATTCCATACCTGTTACTAATAGAAAATGTTACGGGCTTCGGGCACAGTGGCTCATGCCTGTAATCCCACCACTTTGGGAGGCCAAGGCAGGTGGATCAGGAGTTCAAGACCAGCCTGGCCAACATAGTGAAACCCATCTCTACTAAAAATACAAAAAATTAGCCGGGTGTGGTGGCAGGTGCCTGTTCTCCCAGCTACTTGGGAGGCTGAGGCAGGAGAATTGCTTGAACCCAGGAGGCAGAGAGTGCAGTGAGCTAAGACCATGCCATTGCACTCCGTCCTGGGTGACAGAGTGAGACTCCATCTCAAAAAAGAAGAAAATGTTATGGGCTGAACTGTGTTCCTGTCACCTCCAAACTCATATGTTGAGGCCTAATTCCTGGAACCACAGAATGTGACTGTATTGGGAGATCGTGCATTTGAAGATGATGATGAAGTTAAAACAATGCTGTTAGGTTGGGCCATAATCCTATCATACTGGCGTCCTTATACGAGGAAATTTGGATACACAAAGAGGCACCAAGGATGCACTTGCACAGAGAAAAAGCCACGTGAGGACATGGTAAGAAGGTGGCCATTTACAAGCCAAAGACAGAGGCCTCCAGAGAAACCAAACCTGCCAACACCCAGATCGTAAACTCATAGCCTCCAGAAAATAAAAATCTCATTTGTTTAAGCATCTAGTCTGTGGTATTTTTGTTATGATAGCCCTAGCAAGCTAATATAGAAAGGAAGCTGCAGTTACTACAGGTCTTCTCACTGCTTCCCAGCCTCCCAGCCTCCAGTGCGGGCCCCTTGACCCCATCCTCCATCTATCTTGCTGCCTCAGTCACCTTTCTTTTTTTTTGAGACGGAGTCTCACTCTGTTGCATAGGCTGGAGTGCAGTGGCACGATCTCGGCTCACTGTAACCTCTACCTTCCAGGTTCAAACAATTGTCCTGCCTCAGCCTCCTGAGTAGCTGGGACTACAGATGCACGCCGCCATGCCCAGCTGTTTTTTTTGTTTTTTTTTTTTTTGTACTTTAGTGGAGACAGGGTTTCACCATGTTGCCCAGGCTGGTCTCAAACTCCTGAGCTCAGGCAATCCGCCCGCCTCAGCCTCCCAAAGTGCAGGTATTACAGCCATGAGCCACCACGCCCAGCCATCAGTCACCTTTCTAAATGTAAATCTAGATGTGTCTCATCCCTGCTCGAAAGGCTCCAACTGGCCAGGTGCAGTGGCTCACACCTCAGCACTTTGGGAGGTCGAGGCTGGTAGATTGCTTGAGCTCCAGAGCTTGAGACCAGCCTTGGTGATGTGGCGAAACCCTGTCTCTACTGCAAATACAAAAAGTAGCTGGGCATGGTGGCACGCGCCTCTATTCCCAGCTACTCAGGAGGCTGAGGTGGGAGGATTGCTGGAGGCCCAGGAGGCAGAGGCTGCAGTGAGCCAAGATGGCACCATGCATTCCAGCCTGGGTCTCAAAAAACAAACAAACAAACCAACAAACAAAACGCCTCCAACCTTAGAGGCGATGGCTCCCCATCATCTCCACTCTAAGGTTCAAACACCACAAGGTGGTCTGTGCTCTGACCCCCTTCTCCAACTTCATCTGCTACTGCTTCCAGTACTTGGAAGACCCTTGATTCCTGCATTTCACCATCTACGTTGCTCCAGGCATGGAAAGCTCTTCCACTCCAGCAGCAAGCAACACCTACTCATCCTTTTTTCAGAGACGGTCTCACTCCTGCCTCAGCCTCCTGAGCAGCCGGGGTTACAGATACGAGCCCCTACTCATCTTTCAGCTTACAGCCCCAGTTTCAGCAGCTCCACAACGCCACCCTGGACCCTGGCCCTCCACCTGCTACACACTGATCACCTTCTTTGTGCCATCATTTTACCTGAAGCATCCTTGCATATTTTTGGGTTTGTCACACGATATTGCAAATAGCAATTTCTTCCCTTAGAATGAAAGGTTTTTTGTTGTTGTTGTTGTTGTTTGTTTGTTTTTGTTTGTTTTTTAGGTCAGGTGCCAGCCTGGGTGACAGAACAAGACCCTGTCTCAAAAAAAAAAAAAAAAAAAAAAGGCAGGACCTTTCAGGTGTGATTAGGTCATGAAGGCAGAGACCTCAGGAATGGTATTAGTGCCATTCATAAATGAGGCCCGAGAGAGCTCCTTTGCCCCTTCTGCCATGCCATGTGAGGAAAAAATGAGAAGCTGGCAGTCTGCAACCCAGAAGAGGGCCCTCGACAGAACCTGACCATGCTGGTACCATGATCTTGGAATTTCAGCTTCCAGAATTGTGAGAAAAAAATTTCAGTTGCTTATAAGCCACCCAGGTTGTGGTATTTTGTTATAGCATCCCAAATGGACTAAGAAAGTCTGGTGGCTACCTGTACCACCTCACTGCACCTTTCCTCTTCAATGGCACCAGCAAGCTTGTGATGGTTAAACCCATTTCATGTGTTTCAGCCCTTTCTTTCTTGCCCTTTCTGCAGCATTTGACCCTGTGGATCACTCCCTTGTCTCCAAACCCTCCCACTCCTTTGCTTTTCCTCCTGCTAGTCTATTAATAGCTGCTCCTCTGCTCTCATTTGAGAATTTCTTCTCTTCTGTCCGTCATTAAAATGTTGACTACAGATGCTCCTCAACTTACAAAGGGGTTAGATCCCAATACGTCCATTAGGTTGAAAATGCATTTAATGCACCTAGCCTATGGATAGTTTGGCTCTGTGTCTCCACCCAAATCTCATCTAAAATTGTAATCCCTATGTGTCCAGGGAGGAAGCTGGTGGGAGGTGATTGGATAATGGCGGCGGTTCCCCCATGCTGTTCTCGTGATAGGGAGTGAGTTCTCAGGACATCTGATGGTTTAAAAGTGTGGCTCTTCCCCTTCGCTCTCTCGCTCTCTCTCCTGCCACCCTGTGAAGGAGGCGCTTGCTTCGCCTTCCCATAATTGTAAGTTTCCTGAGGCCTCCCCAGCCATGTGGAACTGTGAGCCAATTAAACCTCTTTACTTTATAAATTACCCAGTCTCCGGTAGTTCTTTTTTCTTTTTTTTTTTTTTAAACAAAGTCTTGCTCTGTCGCCCAGGCTGGAGTGCAGTGGCACAATCTAGGCTCACTACAGCCCCTTCCTCCCAGGTTCAAGTGATTCTTGTGCCTCAGCCTCCCGAGTAGCTGGGATTATGGGCTTGCGCCATCACACCCACCTAATTTTTGTATTTTTTAGTAGAGACAGGGTTTCTCCATGTTGGCCAGGCTGGTCTCCAACTCCTGGCCTCAAGTGATCATCCACCTGTCTTTGGCCTCCCAAAGTGCTGGGATTATAGGCATGAGCCACTGTGCCCAGCCTTAGGTAGTTCCTGATAGCAGTGTGAAAATAGACTAATATACCTACCAAACATCATAACTTAGCCTAGCCTTAAATGTGCTGAGAATACTTTAATTAGCCTACAGTTGGGTAAAATCATCTAACACAAAGCCTATTTTATAATAAAGTGTTGAATATCTCACGTAATTTATTAAATACTGTACTGAAAATGAGAAACAGAATAGTTGTTTGGTTACACAAAGTAAGGTTTCTACTTATTTTTGCACTTTTGTGTATCACTTTTGCACTGTTGTAAAGTAAAAGAATCCTAACTGCAACCATCATAAGTTGGGAACCATCTGTATTCTTCAGTCTTTGGCTGTCTTCTTTTTAAAAATTATTTATTTACTTACTTATTTTAAGACAGGGTCTTACTGTCAGGGTTTCACTGTGTTGTCCAGGCTAGTCTGGAACTCCTGGGCTCAAGGGAATCCTCCTGTCTCAGCATCCTGAGTAGCTGGGATTAACAGGAACAAACCACCATTCCTGGCTGTCTTCAGCAGTCTTTTTTTTTTTTTTTTTTTTTGAGACAGAGTCTTACTCTGTTGCCTAGGCTGGAGTGCAGTGGCATGATTTCGCCTCACTGCAACCTCCACCTCCCAGGTTCAAGTGATTCCCCTGCCTCAGCCTCCTGAGTAGCTGGGAATACAGGTGCGCTCCACCACACCCGGCTACTTTTTGTATTTTTAGTAGAGACAGGGTTTCGCTCTGTTGGCCAGGCTGGTCTGGAACTCTGACCTCAGGTGATCCACCCTCCTCCGCCTCCCAAAATGCTGGCATTACAGGCATGAGCCACCGCGCCTGGCAGGAGTCTTCTCTCAGCACTCACAGACTCCCTTGGGGCTATCTCTTCTATTCCCATGACTTCAGCTAGCACCCTTTGCTGACTGCCAAAATACAAATCACCAGCCCAGATCTCCTTCCTAAATGCAATACCCATTCACATAACTGTTTACTGAACATATCCATTTAAATGAAAATCAGAAAAGAAAGCACAGGCTCAGAAGTTGAACTTGAGTTCAAAGCCTTGCTCCATCACAAACTACGATGTATAGCATTGGGCAAGTTTGTTTATTTATTTATTTATTTATTTTTGAGACAGAGTCTCACTCTGTTGCCCAGGCTGGAGTGCAATGGCGAGATCTTGACTCACTGCAACCTCTGCCTCCAGCACCTGCCGCCACGCCCATCTAATTTTTGTATTTTTAGTAGAGACGGGGTTTCGCCATGTTGGCTACGCTGGTCTCAAACTCCTGACCTCAGGTGATCTGCCCGCCTCAGCCTCCCAAAGTGCTGTGATTACAGGCATGAGCCACCGTGCCTGGCCAGCACTGGGGCAAGTTAATTACCTCCCTGAGCCTCAGATAATAATGATGGTCCTGTTTTACAGAGGAGTTGTTGTGAGGATTAAATGAGATAATCCATGTACAGCACTTCCTGCAGCACCTGGCAATGAGTTGATAGTAGCAGATAGTAAAGAGTAGTAGTAATTAAAAGGTCTCAGAAAGTTCAAGTCAACAGATTCAAAAGTGAATTCATGACCAAACCTCAAACCTTCTCTTCATCCTTTGTCCCAAATCTCAATAAATCACACCACCATCTAATCATCCAGAAACCCGAACATTATCCTTGTTTCTTGACCACCACTGCCCTCCCATTCTGCCAGGTTAAGTTTTCCTAACGTAAACCTTGTTGTAACCCACCTATGATCCAATGAATGTTTAAGATGTCTAGGCTTTGCACATATCCATTCATTCAATCCATAGAACAATCCTGCAAGGTGGGTGCTACTATTATTCCTGTTTCGCAGGTGCAGAATTTGAGGCACAGGAAAGTTGAGTAACTCATTCAAGATTATATGAGTGGCAAAGCTGGCATACAAACCCAGGCAGTCTGGCGTCTGTCTCCACACTCACTACCACTATGCCACATTGTTTCTATTGTAATGCATAGCACATTCTATTGTTCGCCTTGTCTCCCCTGATAAACTGTTCTTCAAAGTCAAGGACTCTGATTCATTTGCAGCAGCATCCTCAGTGACTAGAACAGTGCCTGGCAAACAGCACATGCTTAATACAGTTCAGTGAGTTAGGTAGTTCCCTAGAGACAAGACAGAGTAGAGATAAATGGAAGTAGTAATAGAACAGCCAGCAGGTTACATTCAGTTATATCCAAGATCAGAAGTTTTGTTTGTGGATAAAATTTTGTTTTTTTTAATCTGAAGATAATAAACAGAAGACTGAAATCAGAGTAAGTAGAGGTTGAGTTTAAGAAGATCTACTAATATTCACGGATACAGCAGTTATGTAGGGTACATGCTATAATCCTTTTAAGGAAGGGACATTTGACAAACTCTCATAAAGAGAACTCATAGACTTTGGGGGCCGGGCGCGGTGGCTCATGCCTGTAATTCCAGCACTTTGGGAAGCTGAGGCGGGCGGATCACCTGAGGTCGGGAGTTTGAGACCAGCCTGAGCAACATGGAGAAACTCCGTCTCTACTAAAAATACAAAAAATTAGCCAGGCATGGTGGAACATGCCTGTAATCCCAGCTACTCAGGAGGCTGAGGCAGGAGAATCGCTTGAACCTGGGAGGTGGAGATTGTGGTGAGCCGAGATCGCGCTGTTGCACTCCAGCCTGGGCAATGAGAGCGAAACTCCTCCATCTCAAAAAAAAAAAAAAAAAAAAAAGAACTCATAGACTTTGGGGTGCAGTCACGAACAATTTTTTTTAACTGCATTAAAAACAAAAAACAACAACAACAAAAAAACAAAAACAGGCCAGGCGCGGTGGCTCATGCTTGTAATTCCAGCACTTTGGGAGGCTGAGGCTGGCAGATCACATGAGGTCAGGAGCTGGAGACCAGACTGGCCAACATGGTGAAACCCCATGTCTACTAAAAATACAAAAATTAGCCGAGCATGGTGGCACAGGCCTGTAATCCCAGCTGCTCGGGAGGCTGAGGCAGGAGAATTGCCTGAACCTGGACTTAGAGGTTGCAAGGAGCTCAGAGATCGCCCCACCGAACACCAGCCTGGGCAACAGAGTGAGACTCTGTCTCAAAAACAAGCAAACAAAAACAACAAGCCACTACCTACTCCCATGTCACTGAAATTGTGTTGAAGGACTCAAATCCAGTGCCATACACATCAGTTTCAGATAGAGTATCATGCTGGATGTGAGAATTAAAATTTAAATTGGGGGAACAAATGAAAATGTAAGCTCAAGCAGGGTTACAATTTGCCATGGGGGTCAATTTAAGTGTGTAGTCAGTTTATATTCAGCACCACCTGGTGTGCACTGTGTACTGTGTGAATTACTGTATCATACTAAACAAACAGACATTGGTTTTTCTTAAACTGTAGCAAGAAAAATGCTTGCTGTGCAGATCCCAGCAGCCCCAAGAGACGGAAATGAAAACTCCATGCCTAAATTTATCCCTTCCTATTTCATCTCTCCTTGTTCAGGCCTTCCTCCCTTCCTCCCCAGGGCTATTTCCTTAATCTTGACCCCATCTGTAAAGTTCCATCCTGTGCCACATCGGAGGATCTCTTCAGGGCACCTGGGCTCAACAAAACAATATTTCCTTTTTCTCCCACTGGGTATAAAACAGTGCCAACTGAGGCTCTGAGCCTCATTAGATAGATCGGGCAAGAAGTGAAGCAAAATGCTGTTTACATGTACACCACAGCTCTTCCCAGAGCACTTGGAATCAGGACCAGGACACCTCCAAAGCCTCTTTGGTGTTTTTCCTTTCTTTTCTCCTTATATGGCCTTCATGAAGAGTAACTAATTACAATCTGTAAGCAGTAATTACAGTTCATAAACTGTGAGCACAATATAAATATTTTTCCTGAAAGCCAGGTTAGAAGAAATCCTGTCTAAAATGAGATGTAAAACAACAACAATTGAAATAAATATTCTAACTGAATTGTCCCCAAGCACTGTCAAAAAGAAGAAGAGTCTAATCTATCTCTGTAATAATGGGCGTATTATAGTAGGATCGTTTTCAGCCCATTTCCCCATCCTGCTGGGCACGAATTGGCTCAGATAAGGAAAAGGAGCCAACCAAACTGGGGGAAAATAACAAAAAAACCCCAAATCCCAATAAAAAGAACCCACCAATTATTTTGGATGCCTGGTAAACAGCCTGCACCAGAGGATAAGGCTTTTCTGGCCCTCAGCTATGCTTTTTTCTCTTTTCATGTGTCTTGTCCTCCTCCCTTGAAACTGCGGGGTGGGGAAGTCTAAAAATAGTCAATGAATCATGGCATATAATATTGTGCAGTAGTTACATAAACAGCCAGCCCGGGCGCCGGAGCCCCGGGTCGGAACGGAAAATATCTGGGTCAGCGTTGTCACACTGAACAGGGTCCCCCGGAGCCGGCCTTCGGGAGGCGCGGCCCGGGAGGAGGCCTGGGCCTGCGGGCCGGGAGCAGCAGGGGCGGCCCGCGGGAGGGAGCGGAAGTCCCGGGGCGGGCGCGGGCAGCGGCGCGAGCAGGGCGGGCGAGTTCCGCGCTCCCTCCCCATGGCCGGGAGCGGGCCGCGGCGACGGCGGCGGCGCTGACAGGCCCCGGGCGGGGCGGGGCAGGCGGGCCTGGGCGGGGGCCTGGGGCTGTGGGAAGATGAACGCCCTCCTAGAGCAGAAGGAGCAGCAGGAGAGGCTGCGGGAGGCCGCGGCCTTAGGGGACATTCGGGAGGTGCAGAAACTGGTGGAGAGCGGGGTGGATGTGAACTCCCAAAATGAGGTCAACGGCTGGTAAGTGGGGAGCGGGGGAGGCCTAGGGTCAGGGCAGCCGGTCGGAAGGCGTGGGGCAGTCAGTCGCGACCTGGGCCCAGCGCGGGACGCCTGGCTACGGCGAGGCCTGCCACCTCGGGCCTCCGAGATTGTGCTCTCTTGAGGCCAGCCCTGGCCCCCATGCCTCGTGCGGTCGGGAGCGCGTCCTGCCCAAATCCCGGCCCACGTGGTCCACTCGGGGCAGCGCCCACTGGGACTCTGGTGCCCTACCCCCTTCCCCCGCGCTCCCGGCTCACTTGGTCAGAGCGGTGCTGGAGGCAGTGATTCTCAGCGACTATGCGTTGGAGCTCACCCCAATTCGAGTGTTGAGTTAATTTGCCGTAGGTGCTTCTGGAGAACGCATCTTGCAGAGCTAAAAGCATAAGCAACTGAGCAAATATGAATTTTATAAACTAGCACGATTTCCTTAGCCAAGACCAGGAAAAAAAAACACATTTGCATCACCATTCTGCTTCTCTGTTGTTTCACTGCAACCGATTTGCTGCTGCTGCCTGTAGTTGCCTGTTTGAGGGAAAACTCATTTGTTTATCCTATCGATTATTTTCTTTCTTTTTTTTTTTTTTTTTTTTTTTTTTTTTGAGACAGGGTCTTGCCCTGTCGCCCAGGGTGGAGTGCAGTGGCATAGTCTCGGCTCACTGCAACTTCTACCTCCCCGGCTCAGGTGATCCTCCTGCCACAGCCTCCCAAATAGCTGGGAATACAGGCACGCGCCCCCACACCCGGCTAATTTTTTTTTTTTTTTTTTTTGGTATTTTTGGTAGAGATGGGGCCAGGTTGGTCTCAAACTCCTGGCCTCAAGTGATCCACCCGCCTCAGCCTCCAAAAGTGCTGGGATTACAGATGTGAGCCTACCGTTCCTGGCCAGTTTTCTTATTACAATTTCAAATACAGAATGTCACCCAAGACTTTAGATGTCTGCCTGCAGATTGAATTCTTCCCAATTAAATAAGGAGTCTCATCTTAAGATGTTGCTGGTGGTCAAAACAGAAAGTTACTGAATGTGGCATTATTCCGCTCTCTGCATTTAAAATTTAAAATTTTGATTCAGGTAATGCTTAGCCAGACTATTTTGCTAGCTTAGAGTTAAAGTGAGTAGCACTTTGGGAGGCTGAGGTGGGCGGATCACGAGGTCAGGAGATCAAGACCATCCTGGCCAACATGATGAAACCCCGTCTCTACTAAAAATACAAAAATTAGCTGGGCGTGGTGGTGCATGCCTGTAGTCTCAGCTACTTGGGAGGCTGAGGCAGGAGAATCACTTGAACCTGGGAGGCGGAGGTTGCAGTAAGCCAAGATTGCACCACTGCACTCCAGCCTGGGCGACAGAGCAAGACTCTACCTCAAAAAAAAAAAAAAGTGAGTTTACATTTTGTTTTTTTAAGTGGAATCATCCATTTTGGAACTGAAAGGGACAATGGAGAGAGGCTCAACCACAGAGAATAACTTGCCCTAGGCCACATAACTATTAATATGATAGCACCAGAACCATGGTTTCCAGACTGCCTCAAAAGTCTACCTACCTGGACCTGGCGCGGTGGCTGACGCCTGTAATCTCAGCACTTTGGGAGGCCAAGGTGGGCAGATCACGATGTCAGGAGTTCGAGACCATTCTGGCCAACATGGTGAAACCCTGTCTCTACTAAAGATACAAAAATTAGCCAGGGGTAGCGGTGTGTGCCTGTCATCCCAGCTACTTGGGATGCTGCAGCAGGAGAATCACTTGAACCAGGGAGTTGGAGGTTGAAATGAGCCAAGATCACACCACTGCACTCCAGGCTGGTGGCAGAGCGAGACTCTGTCTCAAAAAAAAAAAAAAAAAAAGTCTATCTTCCTGGTAGGACCTGGTGGCTCACGCCTGTAATCCCAGCACTTTGGGAGGCCAAGGCAGGAGGATCACTGGAGTCCAGAAGTTTGAGACCAGCCTGGGCAACATAGTGAGATCCCAGTCTCAAAAAAAAATTTTTTTCTACCTAATTTCCCTAAAGAAAACAGCCTGGACAGCTGTCCAGAAGGCCAGGAAACAGTGGATACTACCTTTTTGTTCTGTTTTTTTTTTTTTTTACAGGTCTTTGCAAACTTGCTGTTGTGTATGTAACCTTTTCTCAGCATTCCTCTGGTTCAAAGCTGTGAATTACCATTTTGGCACTGGGAGGCGGTGTTGTGTAGAAGGAGCCTGGTCTTTCCTGCAGGTTCTCCTCCATTCCTGCCTAGCTATGGGACTTTGCCTGAGATGCTTCATTTTCTACTTGTTCCAGAAGAGTATTGTGAGCCCTTAATGAGATGAAGCATAAATAGCTAACATTTATTGAACTTGCTTTGCAGCACAGATAGGATAGGGTTCTTTTTTTTTTTTTTTTTTTTGAGACAGAGTCTCGCACTCTCGCCCAGGCTGGAGTGCAGTGGTGCCAGGTGCCATCTTGGCTCACTTCAAGCTCTGCCTCCTGGGTTCACGCCATTCTCCTGCCTCAGCCTCCCGAGTAGCTGGGACTACAGGTGCCCGCCACCACGCCCGGCTAATTTTTTGTATTTTTAGTAGAGATGGGGTTTCACCGTGTTAGCCAGGATGGTCTCGATCTCCTGACCTTGTGATCCGCCTGACTCTGCCTCCCAAAGTTCTGGGATTACAGGCGTGAGCCACCGTGCCCGGCCAGCTCAGATAGGGTTCTAAGTGTTTTACATGTGTTAGCTTGTTCACAACTACCTGGGGACATAGTTACTGTTCTCTCCATTTACAGATGAAGAAACTGAGGCCCAGAAACCGTAAGTTGTTTCCTCACTTTTCACAGTGCCCCTTCCCAAGGTCATAGGATTGACAGTAACTAGTGGAGCCAGAAAACAAACCTGGTATCTGATGCCAGACCTACCCTCCTAAACACAATGTCTGCCCCATAGGAGGTGTTTAGTGAAGTGATTCTGAGGTAGCCTGAAGAGGCTTCTTATAGGTTTTTTTTTTTTTTTTTTTTTTTGAGATGGAGTTTCACTCTTGTCACCCAGGCTGGAGTGCAATGCGTGATCTCAGCTCACTGCATCCTCCACCTCCTGGGTTCAAGCGATTCTCCTGCCTCATCCTCCCAAGTAACTAGGATTACAGGTGTGTGCCACCACGCCTGGCTAGTTTTTTGTATTTTTAGTAGAAATGGGGTTTCACCATGTTAGCCAAGCTGGTCTCGAACTCCTGACCTCAGGTGATCTGCCCGCCTCGGCCTCCCAAAGTGCTGGGATTATAGGCGTGAGCCACCGCGCCCGGCCTCTTGTAGATTTAATTGGAGGAACTGTCTAATAGGCCCCTCAAACTCAACATGTCCAAGATTGAATTCCAAGTCTCCCCTCATCCCTCTACCACCTCAAGCCTGCTCCTCTGAGTCCTCAGCCTCTCAGGAGTGCTCAGGCCAGAACCCTTGGCACCCTGCTTGCCTCCTGCTTGCCTCCTGTCTTTCATAGCCGACATCCAGTCAGCCAATTCTATGAGCTCCACCTTCAGATACAGTCAGAATCTGACTACTTCTCACTAACCCTACCACTACACCTCTGATACAAAGCCACCATTGTTTCTCTTGCTTGGATTATTACAATAGCCTCCTACTAGTGTCCTTGCTCCTAAGCTTATATCATACAGTCTTCTTAATTAACACAGTGGTCAGAGGGATCCTGACTTAAAACATAAGTCAGATCATTTCACTCTGCTCAAAAATGGCTCCTATCTCACTCAGTAAAAGCCTACAGGGTCCTACAATTTCTACTTCCTGTCCCCACATCTTCCCTCCTTACCTCTGTGCTAATCTCATGGGATTTGCCCTTCTGCTTACCTTTTTCCCCTGGCCTCCTTGCTTTCTCTGGAATACCAGACAGTCCTGATTCAAGATCTTTGCGTTTTGTCTTCCCACTCTCTTAAATGCTTTCCCTCCAGATATCACATGGTTTGCTTCCTCACCACCTTCAGATTTTAGTTTAGATGTCACCTTCTTGGCAAGGCTTTTCCTGGGCCCTCAATTTAAAGTTGCACAATGCCCCTTTCCAACCTCTGTCATTCCCTAATGCCTTTCCCTGCTTTACTATTGCTGTCATACTTCATCACCACCTAGCGTACTGCGTGCTTTGCTTATTTATTTGCTGATGTCTGTTTCCTCTTCTGTAAAATGGGGGGAATGTTGACAGTAGTATTACCTCATGGGTTTAGAGGATTAAATAAGTTAATACATGTAATGCCTTTAGAACAATGTCCAACACGTAAAGCATTATACCTGTATTAGCCATTGTTGTTGTTTTCTTATTATGAAGCAATATGCTAGATAATGGAATATAAGGTTACCCTCAAAAAAACGTACTCTCTTGCATTTGCAAAGCAGAATGGTGACTGCTTTCAAGTCTTAGTTGCTCAGTAATCACAATTTCAGCACCAATGAGTGATGCCCTGTTGATGAATGACACCCAGTGCCTCAGGTCTGAAATAGTTTCTGACACTAATAAGATATTTTGACTGCAAATGTAAAGCTTAAGGAGTTGAAGTTCAAAGATAGAGTAATCTATCAATTAGATTGATCACTAATCATTCCCCCACATCAGTTGTAATTCAAGTGTCATGCATAACCCTTGGTTCATGAAGAACTTGAAAATATTACCTGGCTGCAGGGGCTCTGAGTTATGGCTGCCCAGAGCCGCACAGCTCTGGACGGTAAATGATGATCACTAAGGCACAGGGCTGTGGGGGCCACGCTATGTTGACTTAACCCTGCTTTACATGGGTGGTAGTTTAGCAAGTTGGTTTGTCCCAGAGTCTCTCAGACCCACTGGTAGTAAATTACCTCCTTTACTCTCAAGCTTGCCACGAACAAGTGATCTACTACTAGCAAGTGAGCATTTTATTTCCAAAAGGGAGCATATTTTTCTCATCATGCTTCATTCATTTTTGAGGGCTCACTTATC
The DNA here is from genome assembly GCF_000001405.40 of Homo sapiens. Lineage (NCBI taxonomy): Eukaryota > Metazoa > Chordata > Mammalia > Primates > Hominidae > Homo > Homo sapiens. The sequence goes on along the minus strand of NC_000017.11, from coordinate 50,702,558 downwards.
ATTATAATTGTTCACTTTTTAAGCCTGTGCCACAGACATCCACACACAAACACACTCAAGGTTCCAGTTTGCCCAGAATCAAGGGTAGATTGGATCCTTCTACTTCAAGCAAGGTCCACTTTATCCTTAGTTTACTCATTTGGTACTTTTTTTTTTTTTGAGATGGAGTCTTGCTGTGTTGCCCAGGCTGAAGTGCAGTGGCACAATCTTGGCTCGCTGCAACCTCCACCTCCTGGGTTCAAGCAATTCTCCTGCCTCAGCCTCCCCAGTAGCTGGGATTACAGACATGCACCATCACACTAATTTTTGTATTTTTAGTAGAGATGGGGTTTCACCCTATTGGGCAGGCTGGTCTCAAACTCCCGACCTAAAGTGATCCACCTGCCTTGGCCTCCCTAAGTGCTGGGATTACAGGTGTGAGCCACCGTGCCTGGCCCATTCAGTAAATATTAATTAATACATGCCAAGCAAACACTTCCTTGCCTTCAGGGAGCTTGATCAAGACTCTTCTCTCCCAAACTTAACGAGACTCTTATTTTTCCCAAATTAGCAATAATTTTGTCATTGCATCATGGAATACACCTTAAAGGAACCTGGATAATCTAATTCTAATGAACCATAATGTAGAATGTCACTCTGAGACATCAATGGAATTGCTCCCAGCCAGCCAGACATGCTAACTTTCTGTAAGTTACTAATGTTAAGCCCAGGGCAAATCAGCTTTTTCCTGGAATCATATAAACTTTCCAAATAATTATACTTCCCAGGTTAGTGAACTAACCTTCAATATTGAACATTTGTTCTAATCTTCATTTCTGTATTTGGCTATAAGAGCTCTGAAGATATGTATCTCAGTTCAGTTAGAGAGTTGGTGAAAGAAGACCTTTCAAAACACAGGCGAAAAGTATTTTCCTTCCATAATATACAGTCAGCTCTGGCACCTAGGGATGGATTTAGTTGCTCTGAATCTTTCATTTCTGTTAAGATGGAGTTTTTGCTGGCATGCTAATTATGTTTCTGTACAGTATTAAAATAGTAGCCCTTCAGAGTGTGCAGAATTGCTTCCTCTGTGTACAATATTGAGTGATTAGTTTTACTTAAATGAGTCTGATATGTTAGAAGAACCTGTTCGTGAAGAATTTTGGTTGTTGATGTATATTTTTTAAGTACCTCAGGAATTAAAGTATGTGTGCAGTGCCTTACATTTACGCAGATGAGGATATGTTTGTAGCCTTCTGGAGAGAACTAGAGAAGCCAACTTTTTAAAAATGGAAATTTGGAAATCCTTTGTGTGTGTGTTAAGGAAAGAAAAGTAAGAAGGAAAAAGAAAGTGAGCAACTGGGATTCAGGCAAGAATATCTGCTGTCATAATAATAATTTAAGTGACAGAGCAAGCTGCTGATAGGAGATGGTTATTATCCTGATAATATTGAATCTTCAGGTGGCATATGAAGTGAGTTTCCATAGTCCCTGAAAAGGAATATAGCAATAGAAAAATATGTTTCAGAGACTGAGATGATCTAATGAGCGATACTGATAGAGTATATTCCACGGTATCATTGGAGTTAGCCAGCCAGTGAGCTTACCTTCTGGAGGCTATTGAAATTAAAACTCCTAGGTTAAGTTAGTTTTTCTCAGGAGCCAGAAATGAAATTTAAAAACAAAATTTAAGCATATTAAATATTTTGCTCATCGGCTTTGTGAAAAGTTGAGATTACCAGCCCGGTTACCTGGTTCTAGCTGAACTCTAACAGGCTTGTTTATACATTATTTACTAATGTTTAGAATCTGAAATCCAAAATCACTTCTCCTCTTTTTCAATCATTATTTTCTTTGGTACAGGACTTGTTTACACTGGGCATGTAAACGAAACCATGGTCAGGTGGTCTCTTACCTGTTAAAATCAGGAGCTGACAAAGAAATTCTTACCACAAAAGGAGAAATGCCAGTCCAGTTAACATCAAGGAGAGAAATCAGGAAGATTATGGGAGGTGAGTCTGTGTTTGGGGGAACTTTTGATTTCCTCAGACTCATTGAAGACTTGTGGTATTATTGGCTACGTTCTTAATGCTGGTCAAACAACTGCTCTATTTCTTTCTTTTTTTTTTTTTTTCCGAGACGGAGTTTAGCTCTTGTTGCCCAGGCTGGAGTGCAGTGGCGTGATCTCGGCTCACCACAACCTCTGCCTCCCAGGTTCAAGTGATTCTCCTGCCTCAGCCTCCCAAGTAGCTAGGATTACAGGCATGTGCCACCACGTCTCGCTAATTTTGTATTTTTAGTAGAGACGGGGTTTCACCATGTTGGTCAGGCTGGTCTCAAACTCCCGACCTCAGGTGATCCGCCAGCCTCAGCCTCCCAAAGTGCTGGGATTACAGGCATGAGGCACCGCTCCCGGCAACTGTTCTATTTCTAAAAGCAAATTACTGTGCCAAGATAGTAATTCCAGATTGTTTCTGGGGAGGTCAGCATTGTAAGGTTTTATTTTTTTATTTGTAAAATTTAAGATAATGATAAAAATGGTAATCATAAACCTAATGAAGTATTCTTTTTTCTTCTGACCTGACACTGACCAATGTCACATACCAAAAGACACCACTTTCAAAAGACACCTTGTTTTGATAATTTTGAAAGGACTGTGTAAATGTTCTGTTTTCTTCTTTTTAAGTGGAAGAAGAAGATGATGATGATGATGATGATGACAACCTCCCCCAGCTGAAGAAGGAGTCAGAACTGCCCTTTGTTCCCAACTATTTGGCCAACCCAGCCTTCCCTTTTATCTATACACCCACAGCAGAGGATTCAGCCCAGATGCAGAATGGGGGCCCCTCCACACCCCCTGCATCACCCCCTGCAGATGGCTCACCTCCATTGCTTCCCCCTGGGGAACCTCCCCTGTTAGGGACCTTTCCCCGGGACCACACCTCTTTGGCACTAGTTCAGAATGGTGATGTGTCGGCCCCCTCTGCCATACTCAGAACACCAGAAAGCACAAAACCGGGTCCTGTTTGTCAGCCACCAGTGAGTCAGAGCCGCTCCCTGTTTTCTTCTGTCCCGTCCAAGCCACCAATGTCTCTGGAGCCTCAAAATGGGACGTATGCAGGACCAGCGCCAGCATTCCAGCCATTTTTCTTCACTGGAGCATTTCCATTTAATATGCAAGGTAACCCCTCATCAGCAAACAGCCTCTGCAACAGGGGAGTTGGTGTCCAGAGGGGTGGGATTTAATGAGGTATTCTGGGTATAATTGCAAACTTACAGAAACGTTACATGACTAACATAAGGAACTCCCTTTACTCAAATTCACAAATTGTTTACCTTTTGCCCTTTTACCCTGATACCCTTCAGTATTCTTTCCATTATATCTTTCCTAAGAACAAGGATATTCTCTCTTTTTTTTATTGAGACGTAGCTTCGCCCTGTCACCCAGGCTGGAGTACAGTGGTGTGATCTTGGCTCACTGCAACCTCCGCCTCCCAGGTTCAAGTGATTCTTCTGCCTCAGCCTCCCAAGTAGCTGAGATTACAGGAGCATGCCACCACGCCTGGCTAATTTTTTTTTTTTTTTTTTTTTTTTGTATTTTTAGTAGAGATGGGGTTTCACCATGTTGGCCAGGCTGGTCTCAAACTCCTGACCTTAAGTGATCTGCCTGCCTCAGCCTCCCAAAGTGCTGAGATTATAGGTGTGAATCACCGCACCCAGCTGGATATTCTCTTATATAACTACAGTACAAATGACCAAATTTGAGAAATGTAATCTTGAGCTAATGCTGTTCTGTAATCCATAGACCATGTTTAAATTTTGTCAGTTGTCTCAAACATTGCCTTTTGTATTCCCTCATCTACTATACGTACTGTCTGTACTATTACAGAAATAGTACTATCTGTACTATTGATATCTATCTGGACTATCTGTACTCCTCTGCCCCCTGCATCCTGCCCAGGATCATATGTTGCATGTAGTTATCACGTTGTTTTAGTTTCCTTTAATCTGGAATCTTTACCCTTTATCATTTTTGATCTTGATCTTTTTGAAGAGTCCAGGCCAATTATTTTTGTGGGATATGATTTTCTATCATTCTTTCTCTACTTATTAGTTGGTATTTTACTGTAAAGAAGGGCTTTCCCTTCTCCTTCATTCATATCAGTATTGACTCATATATTCTTATTTTATTCAGTGGGTTATAATCTGTTACTATCATTTTTTAATTATTCAAATTATCCCAGATTTGGCCAGTGGGAGCCCCTTGAAGCTAGTTCTTATGTCCCTTGCATGTGTCTTCATTGTTCTTGGAGCACTGCCTTACTTTCTGGGGCAGCAAGATGTTCCGGGCTTATAGCATAACTTTTCCTGCCCCAACCCTGGAATCAGTCATTTCTCCAAGAAGCCCTGGTTCTTTTTGGTGGAGAATGGTATTTAGGGCACACAGCAAACTTGCCTCCCACTTGGGCCCACCGAGAATGGTATTCAGACACCAGGATGTGGTCACTAGGTGTCCTCATTGCTACAGGTATATCATTTCTTCTAGGCCCGTTGAGAGGACATAGCCAGGAAAGATATCAATATTTCTCTATGTATAACTTTTTAAAAATATTAAAAACCACAAGTTCATCCTGATTCTTCCAAATCCAGTCAAATGCCATAGGGTGTAGCTAGTCTTACTTTTCCTTTTTTCCTGGAAGTAACTCTCTCACTTCCTGTTTTTGAGGAGTTACTACTGTAGGTGCTAACAGTGACCTGGGGTGCTACAAGGGATTCATATACAGGGAACAAAGCAGAACTGCCAAATGTACAGGGTGCTTGACTCAGGCTGTCTTGGCAGCCAGGTTCAGAATAAAGGAGCAGATTGCTTAGATCCCAGACCTATGAATAATAAGCCAAGACCCCTTCCTCATGAAGGTGTGCTACATTCAAATCAAGTTATACTTTAGCTTTTATTAGTAGCTTGTCATTTGGCTCTTTTACTGTCTTTTTTGCAAGGAGTTTCATATTTTACAGATACCTTTAGGTCCATAATTGTTAAATCTTTTTAGGGTAACTCACATCCTGCCCATGCCTTCTTTCCAACCTTCTTCCCTCTTCCCCTGTTCATGTATAGTTTGATACCCAAACCTGTTCTTAAGACTTTGCCTCCTTAGCTCCAATGGCAGAAGTAAATTATCCTTCTACATAGCTGGAATGGTTTCCCCTGCCTTGCTCTTACTTTGTGAACCATAGCCTTAGAAGTACGGACGACAGTGCAGGAAACTGCCCCAGCAGAGGCAGAGCTGGGCCTGAGCAAACCCTGCTGGCTGCACTTGGTTTTCCCACCAAACAGGTCTGTTAATCATGCACAGACCTTTGGCATGATTAAGTATAACCATCTTCTGGAAAAGATCTTAAACAACATGGGCTGTGCTGTGCCAGAACTATTCATTAACATTTCTCCTTTTTTTTCTAGAGCTGGTACTCAAGGTGAGAATTCAGAACCCATCTCTTCGAGAAAATGATTTCATTGAAATTGAACTGGACCGACAGGAGCTCACCTACCAAGAGTTGCTCAGAGTGTGTTGCTGTGAGCTGGGTGTTAATCCAGATCAAGTGGAGAAGATCAGAAAGTTACCCAATACTCTGTTAAGGAAGGTAAGAAAAGTCTAAGCATGAATGGCTGCTTTTTGCATTTGAAAAATACCTAGCCCCCTCCTTGGTTATATGAGGTAGTTGAGGGAATAAACAAAGAATAGAAAAGGAGCAAAGAGTGATTTTCCAAATGTAATCATTTCCTTCTACTGAGTCTATAGGGACACTGGCTTTTTTTTTTTTTTTGGCAAGTCAAGTGAAGCAGTGGAGTGGAGAAGGAACAAAGACATCTGTAACTGGTGTTTGGCCAGTTACAGTCTTACAAACTAGTTGTAAACACCATTGCATTCAGACCAGCCACACTGGCATTTTTGGAAGTTGATACCAGAGAGAAGTTTCTGAATTATCATTCACGTGTTCCTATTTTCGGTTTCTGTAGTGAGCTGTGAGGATTAACTTAGTGCACTACTAGATGTGCCTTCTGTTTTACAAGTGAAGGACCAAGTTCAGTTACAGAGCAAATCACATAGATGCATGTGTGGTCCTTCATACATCTCTGGGTTTTTGACATCAGGCTTCTGGCTTCTCAGGGCACCTGGGAAACTGATCTGTGCATTGCCTCTCCCTTCGCAGTGTGTGCTCATGCTGTCGCAGCTGCTGAGCTGTTTTTAAGGACTTCCACTTTGCAACCCAATCATCCTGGGGCCTTAGTTGCACTATCACTGACTTAGCCTGCCACAGGGATTTTTTTTTTTCTTCTAGGTTTTGAAATAAGACAAGATACTGGTATCAATAGAGTGCACCAAACATATGGAGACAAGTGGCTCCTGTTAATCTGTTTAACATATTTTTGTTTTAGGACAAGGATGTTGCTCGACTCCAAGATTTCCAGGAGCTGGAACTGGTTCTGATGATAAGTGAAAATAATTTTCTGTTCAGAAATGCTGCATCCACACTGACTGAAAGGCCTTGCTATAACAGGAGAGCTTCAAAACTGACTTACTAATGCAGCAGGGACTTTTATCACTGAGTATTATGACAGTGTGCATCACCTCTGGGCCAAGGACAAGCCATTGATCTAAATGCCTCAGATGCCCGGGAGGGCCTCTGGTGCCACTGCATAGTATATACTAACATCATTCTGCCAAGGTAGGAAGCCCCTGACCCCCAAGCAGTGGTGCCACTCTTCCAAGCCTCTTGGTGCACAGTAAACCTATTGCTTGAAGCTTTGAACAGCTGAGAAGTGGTCTGGAGAGGCAGAAGCTGAAGGTTCTATATCCAGTGTGTTTTATGTCCAGAATGTAAGAGAGTTGTCTAAGCAGCAGCTGAGAGAGAGCGGAGCCTATTTCTAGCCACTCCTGTTGACAGTGCACCTGAAGGGCTGGGATGCGTTTTTCTTGGTGTTGCATGCTCACAACTCTGCTGACATTGGGAACTTATGAGAGAGGAAGACTCGGGAAAGCACAGATACTGGACAGATGGATTCTGGTGTGGGGAAAGCACAGATACTGGACAGATGGATTCTAGTGTGACTTGTGACTGTGAGGTTTCCTATAACATATTTATAAATGTTACTCAGGTTAAAAGTATTTAAGAATACAGTTAACTAATTGTAAATATGCTGTTAACCAAAAGAGCTTTCCCTCCCTCACTTTTTCCTTTGTAAACACTCATGACTGCTTCTCTGTCTCGAGTCATCTCTGCATTAACTCCCCTTCGTGGTCACTAGAGGGCTCTCTGATGCCTTCTAAAAGAACAACTGCTTTTTTACAATGCCCCCCACCCCCACCCCGCCCATAGAGACAGGGTCTCACTATGTGGCCCAGGCTGGTCTCAAACTTCTGGCCTTAAGTGATGCTCCTGTCCTTGGCCTCCCAAAGTGCTGGGATTACAGGTGTGAGCCACTGCACCCAGCCCACTTTTTTTTTACTCTGAAGTGATTCCAGTCATATGTGTGTGTAACTGCATCCTATGAGAAGAGCACAAATATTGCTGTTCCATGTTCTCCACTTTCATTTTCCACTACAAATGAAAAGCAATTTTTGAGACTGAATCTGTTGCTATTTTAAAGGTTATTGTGGGAAACTGAGCTAAAGGAGTTAGCATCTTTATTTTTGTATCAAAAATAAAGGTTATTTTGAAATTATTAGGATTTTTACACAATTCTGAAATCTGTTGCTTTTGTAAACAAATTGTTTGATCTTAGTGATCCCCCTACTACTACCACCAATTCACTTCACAAAGTCAGTTATGAGTCTACCAGACTTTGTTCTGAAAAATAGAAACAAAACACCTGATTAAGCTCTTGAGTATGGCATAGGAATTTTTTAGAAGAATGCATTCAAGGATTCTTTTCCTTTCCTTCAGTGTCATTAATGTTAAAAGAGCAGCCACTGTTTTGTTGAAACAAACAGCTTAACTTCAGAAATAAGAACTAGCACACTTAGACAAACAGGAGAGCAGGGGTTTGAAGCCAGCTGTCGAAGAGCATCCCTGCTGTCTTAAGAAGCTTTTTCCCCATAGTGCCTATAGTTTCCAAAGAAACTCAACTTCCTAACTGTGTTAACTTAATTTTATTAGAACACTACAGTTGAGTGAGAACGTGCAGAAGATGTCAACAGAAGAGAATGTTGTGCTAAGATAATGGCCTCCTGCTGCTGCCTAAATGCTGAAATGAGGTTGAGATGTTTTTCAAGGCTAACTTCATGGACTCACTCTGTTTAGTGACTTAATTGTATCCCACCAATTACTGCTGGTGACTTACTCACCCTTGTACAGTGTTTGCATAGCAGAGTGAAGGTTACTTATTACCCTCTTTCTCTCAAGTGCTTTAAAGAAGAAACCTCCCTGGTGTTTCTTTTCTTTTTTTTTTTGAGACGGAGTCTTGCTTTGTTGCCCAGGCTGAAGTGCAGTGGCATAATCTCAGCTCACTGAAACCTCTGCCTCCCGGGTTCAAACGATTCTCCTGCCTCAGCCTCCCAAGTAGCTGGGATTACAAGCATGTGCCACCATGCCCAGCTAATTTCTGTATTTTAGTAGAGACAAGGTTTCACCATGTTGGCCAGGCTGGTCTCGAACTCCTGGCCTCAAGTGATCCACCTGCCTTGGCCTCCCAAAGTGCTCCGATTACAGGTGTGAGCCACCCGGCCCAGCCCCTCCCTTGTGTTTCAACCAATCGGAAGTGAATTTAACTAGATGTAGTAACCTTTTTTTTCTTTACTTCTAAAACAGTTACAGTTTACTAATAAAGTTAAGTCTGGTTCTGTCCTAGAGGAAATAAATTCACTATTAATTCATGTCTTAAGTTACTTGGGTTAAAACACTTTCAGCCACCCAGATTAATTAAAGTGGAGCAGTGGAGCCCCTGGCTGGGAGATGGCCTCCAGAGGAGCAGCTGCAGGGCATGTTCTGGGCTTAGCGACAGAGGCAAGCAAGGGACTGGTGTCTCTGGTGAGAGGTGGGTTTGATGTATCTCTGTCCTATGCTGGTCTCTCTTCTCCTTTATAAAATCCTCTGTGGTCAACTGACTACTGCGTATCGCAGTGGAATAAGACTGCACAGTTGCTGGTAGGTGAGTTTAAAGTCTTAATCTATGCATTCAGAGAAATATTTTTATATGCTTTGTGTAATTTATAACAAGGATTTTTTTTTTAGCTTTGTTAACTGTGAATTCACCCCTCCTCCTCCACTGCATATTTAAAGCATGTGTTCACACTGTGTGTAAACATTCACTGAAGATTTTTTCTTTGTGCATTGCTGACTGTTCAAACATAACAAGTATTATTAAAATTAAATATTAACTGACCGATCCTATATGCCTTCATTTTGGCTTCCTAAACAGCACTACAGTTCTAATCATAGGGGGTTCAAATTGTTGGACAGTCCCAGAGACCAGAAGCTCTGCAGGAAAATTAGAAGGGCCCTCTCTCCACCTGAGCCTCCTCCACATCCCGTTCATACCCTGTCAGTAGCACCTGGGGACGGATATTTTGTGCGGCGTCTTTCCTTCCAGTTCACGCAGTCGGCTTCATTTCCCTGGAGTAGCTGAGCCAGTTAGATGGAGGTCATCCCCTATTAACCACATTTTTTGATTATCCTATTTACTTTACCCAACTGAGCCTCTCCTTTGAGTTGTCAGCACCTGTCAGGGCCTCAATGAGCTCAGAAGCAAAGTCCCAAGACAGGAGAGGAAACACAGCCTTACACTTCCAGATCTTTAGCTGATACTGATGCTGAATGAGTCTGCTTTTCTGTTGGTTCAGGCCAGCTAGCACCTCACAAAGCAGACGTCAAGCCAAATTGGCCTAATAAATCAGAGAGCATAGCAGAGACCTTTTCTTAGCACCAAGGAGAGGCAGGATAATTTGGGCATTTGTGCTTTCATACTTGCTTTATCACAAGGATGGAAGTCATCTTCCATATACTCATAAACATCCTGGGCAGAAACAGCCTGCCAAAAAAATGTGATTAACCTTTAACAAATGGTCCTGCAGCACAGGCTGACCCAGAGCATATAGAAAAAACCAGTCAAAGGATCCACCTCCATCCATATCTACTGCAAGCCATTTAGGGTTGGGGAGAAAACCACCATCACCCACAGCCACTCACATCATACCAAGACAAAGATAGAGGAAATGAGAGCGAGACAGAGGAGACCAGAACACTTAGGAACAAGGAGAAGAGATCCATTCCAAATAGAAGGCCGGTGCCAGCCAGGTGGACTCTGACCTGCAGAAAAGAAACTCTTTGTTGGCTTGCTCAAGAAAACAAATTTAATTCACCCCTCACATCTTGTCTGCCAACCTGGGAGTGTGGGTGGCTTCTCTCTGGGCAGGAGGTGGCCTCTCGGCTTCTTTGTGCTCACACATTCAGCTTTGGCTAGACTGAGGAAAATGAATGACTTGGAGGCCTCACTGGTTATAGGAACTGTCTGGAACAGACTTCGAAATGAGCAAGGAAGTAAAAGCATCATGCACTTCTCAGTCCCTAGAGAAACAGGCATAGAGGGCTGAGGGATGACATTAACGTGGAGGTGTTCACAGCAGCTTTCCCAAGAGGCCCCAGGTCAGATTTCAGGGCCTTTCTCACCGTTTTACAATATCTGCACAGCAGAGCAGGAGCTACTGGCAATTACCCAGGGAATTTTGGCTGTGAAGGCAATATTTGCAGCCAAGAGCTCTTGGGTCTGAAGTTCAGGTAACTACAACCATGTACATGTGTAGAAAGTCTTCCTCTTGGCCTCCTCCAAAGATCCTAATCCCCAAACCTTGTGAACAAGTGCAAAAAGACTACTGTGTATATACTGTTGACCATGTAGTTTTATTTCATCAGTACTCCCATTTTTAATGGATTCAGGCAGCACCCCAGAGTACAGGACTGAGTTCCTAGGGGTGGCCTGACCCAGCAGCTGTCTTCTGTTCCAGGAGGAAAAAGCTTTTTATTAAAAAACAGAAACGAAACTTTAGAAAATATGAAAAATCAGAGGGAGGACAGAGGTCATTTCATAAAATCGTTATTTGAAAACAGTGCAGTGTGCAAATAACACTCAGTTGGGAATCGGGAGACCGGGGACTAGTCTAACTGGCTCAAACTAGCTGTGACCTTAGGCGTGTCATTCACCACTTGGGGATCATTTCCTCATCTAAAGCATTCAGCACAGTTACCCTGTAAGGCACTTTACAGGTGCAAAATCTTAAGGTGCCCCCAGTGTTTGCTATCAAGTCCATTCTGCGGACATATTTGGTGTCATTTCCTTCCTGATGAAAACCAGGAAAGGCCAGGAGGAAATCTCAGGAATATATTTTAGGCAAGTCCAGCATCTCTGGCCATCCCGTAGAAGATGCCTCTAGCTGCAATGAGGTTGGCTGGAGAATCAAATTCAGCTACTACTCCTTTGTCCAGGACCAGGACCCTAGTCAAAAAAGAGAGAAGTGGTCAGGTTTCCATCAGCCCTGACCTGGTCACATCGTCTAATCCTGCTCTTCTGGGTACTTGCTCAGGCCCACAGTGACATGCCAACCCACCCAACACAGCCACCGCACCACATGTGCACACTTGCAAGGCTGGTTATTTTAGCCATTCTGTTAGTTCTGGCAAGTGAAGCAGTTTCTGGGATCAAACACAAGGTCCTATTCATCTCTGCTAGTCAGGGCTCTGAAAACCTTCCCTAATGAGCCCTTCCCCTTGCCGGGGTCACAGGACTTCAGCAGGCTGTGCGCAGGGAGCCATGGGCCTGTGCGCTGGGCTCTGTGCACATCCATCTGCTTTGTGTCGGCTCACAAAAGCACACGGCAGGAAACCAGCTGCAGCGAGGCTGACACTGGAATCTGGGGCTTGGGCTGCAAATCTGGTGGCGGCTGCTGCGGCTGCTGCTGCTGCTGCTGCTGCTCGGTGGGTCTCCAGCTCACACACAAACAGCTAGGCCTGAGCCCAGGGTTAGAATCTCCCACCAACCACTCACCGAGTGCACCTGGTACAAGGCCAGTGGGCTGGCTCCACCAGGGTACGGCAGGAGGGGAAGGGGCTCTCCCCAGCCTGGAGAAGTGCTCCTCCATGGGAGGGGGCTGACTGCATTCTGGTTCTCAGCCTACTGGGCTCCCAGATGTGTCCTGGGAAGGACTGTGTCTGTGACATCACTGCCTGGCCACCGCCCCCCCTCCCCTCCCGCCGATCCCAACCCTGACTCCAAAATCAAGGTCTTCAGCGGCTTTTGATTGCTCTTGGGTAAGGACTGAATGCTCTCCCATGGTCCTCAAAGTGCAGCAGAGTGCGGCCTGTTCTCCACCCCCATCTTGGTTCTACTGCCTCCCTCCCACGCACTCCAGCCTCCTGTACCCTCCTGCCTTGGGGCATGTGTTATATCCTTTGCCTGCAATTTTCAGCTCGCTCCCTACCTTATTGCCCCACCTCCATCCTCCAACTCTTACTCATTCTTTCAGGCCTGGCTGGTGCATCCCTTCCTTACAGGAGAAAGTGTCCTGGCCACCCTGTGTGGATAGCCTTTTTCTGGCCTGCACACACAGGCCTTTGCGTCCTTCCTATGGGCCCTATTTACACATGATTATTTGATTAATTTCTGCCTGTTCCACTAGAATGAATGAACTCCCAACCTCCAAGGTCCATCCAAGCCCCTCACCCTAGGGCTGCTGGTGAATGAAACAGTTTTGGTTAGGCCTGGGAACAGGTCCTCTCAGCCCAGCCCTGTCCCTCCTCCAAACCCAGGGCTCAGCACTTCCTGCCCACCCTCCCTTCTCCCAGTGGGGTCCTAAATGGGAGTGGGGGGTGAGGGTAGGAGAGGGATGGAACAGACAGAGGGTAGCATCAGGCATTCTCAGCTTGGCTCCCAAGACACTGCTGGCTGCATGGGGGCACTTCCAAGAGAGCAAGGTCTGACCCATTGCCCTGTCCATGGCACCCTTCCCACTCCATCGTCCTGCAAGTGTTTCTTGAGTGAGTGAAGGCCTGTTGGGGTATTCCCACTATACTCCTTCAAAGAAGACTTGTCTGAGCCTCCTGCCTCCTCCTCCCCTCTAGTTTCTAGGGAGCACAGCCTGCCAGGCCAGGGCCAGTTCACTCCCGTGAGGCTTCTGAGTCACCCAGCCCTCTCTCCTCGACCTCCAGCACCACACTTTGACATCTGGCACAATGAGGGAGTGGTCTGCCTCTCCAAGGAAGCCACAAGCTTCTGAGGGCATGGCCCCTCCCCTCATCCTTGGAGGGCCTAGCGCAAGAATTAGAGCAAGGGGCTGGGGAGGACACTGTCATTTCCCAGGATCACCTGCAGTTTAAATATCTTTCATTGACTTTTTTCTTTTTTTTGAGGCAGAGTCTCGCTCTGCACCCAGGCTAGAGTGCAGTGGCGCAAACTCTGCCTCCTGGGTTCAAGTGATTCTCCTGCCTCAGCCTCCTGAGCAGCTGGGACTACAGGTGCCTGCCACATGAGAGGCTAATTTTTGTATTTTTAGTAGAGACAGGGTTTCACCATGTTGGCCAGGCTGGTCTCTAACTTCTGACCTCAAATGATCTGCCTGCCTCGGCCTCCCAAAGTCCTGGGATTACAGGTGTGAGCCACCGCGTTGGCCACCATTTTTTTTTTTTTTTGAGACAACGTCTCACTCTGTCACTCAGACTGGAGTGTCCTGGCGTAATCTTGGCTCACTGCAATCTTTGCTTCCTGAGTTCAAGCAATTCTCTGTCAGCCTCCCGAGTAGCTGAGATTACAGGCATGCACCACCACATCCGGCAAATTTTTGTTTTTGTTTTGTTTTGTTTTGTTTTTAGTAGAGACAGGGTTTCTCCATGTTGGCCAGGCTGGTCTTGAACTCCTCACCTCAAGTCATCCGCCCTCCTTGGCCTCCCAAAGTGCTGAGATTACAGGTGTGAGCCACTGTGCCCAGCCCTCATTGACTACGACAATCCCACGAAGCATCATTTTCATTTGAAACAGGCTCAGAAAGGTTTTGCAAATTGCCCAGGGTCACACAGCAGCCTGGGACTCCAGACACAGTGCTCTCCCCACAAGGCTCAGCTCCTCATGGTGCTGTCACGGTCCAGCTGCCACTTGAGTTGCTTCTTCATCTGTGACCAGAGTGGCTGTGAGACACCAATAAGGTGAGGGACATGCAGGCACTCTGCCAGCAGGTTTCTTAGGAAGTGATGGGACTCAGCATGAAGCCTCCAGTTCCCCTTACATTGCCTCATGGAGGAGGCAGGATGCAAGTGGCCTGTGCACAAAGACAGTGCCTGTGGAGCCCAGTGTGCCCTTCCCCATGTGTTAGAAAATGTCATTGTTGAAGCTGGGCGCAGTGGCTCACGCCTGTAATCCCAGCACTTTGGGAGGCCGAGACAGGTGGATCACTTGAGGTCAGGAGTTCGAGACCAGCCTGGCCAACATGGTGAAACCGTCTCTACTAAAAATACAAAAATTAGCCGGATGTGGTGGTGCACGCCTGTAATCCCAGTACTTCGAGAGGCTGAGGCTGCAGTGAGCCACTGCACTCCAGCCTAGGCAACAGAGCAAAACTCTGTCTCAAAAAAAAAAAAGAAGAAGAAGAAGAAAAATGAAAATGTCATTGTATACCCCACCCCTGAGCCCAGGCCACCCCACTCTGGTCTGCCCCTTATCCAGATCTTGGGAAACTCTGCTCTGCCTGCCATGCCCTAGCAATCCCAGGAACATTGCCTTGTTCAGATAACCCTAATCTGCCCTGCCCATTCCTGATGCCCCAGGTGGCCCCACCAGGTTCCCCATTGCTCAGGTTTCCGTGTCCCACCTGGTGTAGTCCATGATAGTGTTAAGCCGGTGTGCGATGGTCAGGACAGTGCAGGTATCAAACTGGGTGCGGATGGTAGCCTGGATGAGGTTGTCAGTCTCCAGGTCGATGGCAGCTGTGGCCTCGTCTAAAACCAGGATGCGGCTCTTGCGGAGCAGGGCTCGGGCCAGGCACACGAGCTGCCTCTGGCCCACGCTGGGAGTGGAGAAGGCAGGCATTTCCAGCTGGGGGCCTCCCACCTGCCTCTGGGCCTCATTCCCAGACCTGTTTCACTCCTCAGTGGCCCAGGACTGGTTTTCTGTCTGACTTCTCCCATTTCTGCCACAGCCCAGCCCTCCAGAACGGAGCAGAGGTCTGGACACCATTGGGATAATGAGGGGCCTTGGGGAATGAGCCAGTGCTAAAAGGCATTGTGAAATCCCTGGTCTGCTCTTGGCACCCTTGGCCTCCTCTCTCGGTGCTTTCTTCCCCATCCTTGCTTTTCAGCTAGTGCCGTGATGTTTCTCTGCTTCACTCTATCAGCCATTTACACCTTAGTAAGAACATACTTGCATGGCTCTTCTTGGATATTTGCAAATAGGCCACACGATGCCATCTTGCTGAGCCTAATATCACACAATTCAGGCAGTCACCTCCCACCCCATAGGGAATACAGGCCAGGGCTCTGCTTCTGGGACAAGAAAATGGCAGGGCAGAGGAACACCCGGGGACTCTTTGTGTCTGGTCACTGAGGAGGTAAAGGAGGAGCAGGACACACGCCTTCAGCCTCCTGCTCTGGAAGCCAGAGCCAGCAGACAAAACGAGGCTGTGTTCCCAACCAGAGGCCACAGCATCCCCACATCCAAGGACAAATACCTCAGCCCTTCCCAAAGGCGTGAGTCACCACAGCCGGAGTAAAGTCCGGGCTCTCTCCCTGGCCCATTCCCGCAACTAATGAAGGTTTTGGCAGCAGAATAAGCCGCCGGATAGAACTCAGGGCTGATTTATGGTGGAACTGGCACAGGACACAGGTTATACTTAAAGTGGCTACAAGCTCAGTGAGGGAGGAGGGGAGCTGATTTCTGTCTCTGATCACGGCATGTGTCGGGGTGGGGCATGCTCTGGGGGAAGTGTTGAGAGCAAGCAGGTGAGAAGAATGGATCAAGCAAGAGACAGTCATGGGGCACAGGGTCTGGAGAGACCATGTTTGTCCGCCAGCCACCCCCACGTGGTTATGTAAGTGAGAGCCACTTAAGATGCATATTTAGTCTTAAGGGCTGCGTGGGTGGCAAGGGAGTCCCACCCTTGGGATAATGAGGGGCCTTGGGGAATGTTGTCCAGGTGAGGGAGGTGGCTGTGATACAGCAAGGAAAGGTTTGGGACAGAGCCAGAGTCCCCGCTCTGCCCCTTACCAGCTGAACTGCTGCGAGGAAATCATTTCAAACCGTGGAGGCTCGTTTCTGGCCCACAGGACCATGGTAAAGATTAAAGGAGAAAGTGGAGGCCAGAGTGCTTTGAATATTGTTAAGTGCTGGGCAAATGTAAAGTTTTTTTTCTTGAGACGAAGTCTCGCTCGGTCACCCAGGCTAGAGTGCAGTGGTGAGATCTTGGCTCACTGCAACCTCCGCCTCCAGGGTTCAAGCGATTCTCCTGCCTTGGCTTCTCGAATAGCTGGGATTACAGGCGCCCGCCATCACGCCTAGCTAATTTTTGTGTTTAGCAGAGACAGGGTTTCACCATGTTGGCCAGGCTGGTCTTGAACTCCTGCCCT